>NC_000012.12:94960128-95585128 GCF_000001405.40 Homo sapiens
TCACCATGTTAGCCAGGCTGGTCTCAAACTCCTGAATTCAAGTGATCCACGGCCTCAGCCTCCCAAAGTGCTGCAATTTCAGGCATGAACCACTGCACCTGGCTTCATTCTATTTTTTAATCCCAATATAAATTTGTACCCATTAGAAAATCTATTCAGCTGCTTTTTTTTTTTTTTTTTTTTTTTTTTTTAGACAGAGTCTTGCTCTGTTACCCAGGCTGGAGTGCAGTGGCACGATCTCTGCTCACTGCATTCTCCGCCTCCAGGGTTCAAGCAATTCTTCTGCCTCAGCCTCCTGAGTAGCTGGGACTACAGGCGCTCACCACCATGCCCGGCTAATTTTTGAATTTTTAGTAAAGACGGGGTTTCGCCATGTTGGCCAGGCTGGTCTCAAACTCCTGACCTCAAGTTATCTGCCCACCTTAGCCTCCCAAAGTGTTGGGATTACAGGCATGAGCCACTGTGCCTGGCCCAGCTGCTTCTATTTCAGAGAAATAATATGGCTTAAGAGAGAGACTTCTTTCTCTCCCACCTGAAAGAAGTCCAGAGGTGGGCAGTCCAGGGCTGCATGTGGCTCATGAGAGCCCTATGTCTGAATTACATGGCTTGGGTTTCTTTCTAGCAGTTTCTAGAATGCACTGGAGCTTCAATTCCAGATCAACCAGCTAAATGTCCCTGGGAACAGCCATTTATCTTTCTATGCCTCTGTTTGCTCATTTGTAAAATGAACAATAACAGCACCTCCCTCACAGGTTGGCTGTTGAGAATTAAATGAGATAATACACAAAAAGTTGTCAGCACAGAGCCTGGAACACAGCCCCAAAAGTGTAAGATTAAGTGACCCCATCTCCACTCTTTGATTACCTGGGTCATTATAAACTGTAACAACAAAGCAAAATCACTTGAGGTCAGGAGTTTGAGACCAGCCTGGCCAATATGGTGAAACCCCCATCTCTACTAAACATACAAAAATTAGCTGGGCCTGGTGGCATGCGCCTATAATCCCAGTTACTCGGGAGGCTGAGGCAGGAGAATTGCTTGAACATGGGAGGCAGAGATTGCAGTGAATCAAGATCGCGCCACTGCACTCCAGCCTGGGGGACAAAGTGAGACTCTGTCTCAAAAAAAGAAAAAAAAAAAAGAAATGGGAATCAGGAGCCAAAAGTTAATCTGTAAGAACATAAGCTCTACCCCTCCCTGAAGCTTTGGATAGATTGTTGGATTTTCTTCAACTGTGAAGGGGAGAGGGGCTTTCTGAGTCAATTTTATCTAGATCTAAGGAGCAGGAAGACCCCAAGTGACATTTGATTTGTATAGTTAATGCCTACCCTCCTTCTGTCCCCAACCACTTCTAGAGACTCTTGGCAAAATTGGATGGGAATTTTCTGACACTGCCTCTGCTTGTACAATACTGAGAAGTCAGGAAGAGCTTGAGTTGGCTGTAATTCTAAAGGGTGAATGGATGCTGATGGTGTTTCCTAGCAACAGCTGAAAAGAAATCAATGTCAAGTGATACAAGTTCCATGAGTAGAAGAAGCAAAATATCCACTGAAACATGGTGAGAAGTCACATGACCTAGGTACTGACTGTCAGGCCCAAACTGGCCATTGTAAGCTAATCTTGCTGTTAGGATGCTGTAAAGATGAGGCAAGAGCAAAGGGGTTGTAGGAAGCCTCATAAAAATGACCCCAAATCAAAATGTTCAATCAAAGCCCAGCTTTGGAGCAATGGCCTTAGCCAGAGAAAACCACTTAATTTGTAGATAACCAAAGGTCATAGAAGGTTGTCAAATAAATCCCTTTAATCTAATTATGAATGACATTTACCTCAATAAAGCCACATGGTATTAAATAAGACATTAATAATCATATCTCACAAGAATGGAAATGACTCTCATCCATTACCCATCTCATAAACTTAGAAAGCATTGATTTTTAGCCAAGAACCAACTGAAGAATACTAATACCCTACTGCATTAGTCAGGGTTGTTTTTGCTGCCAATGAGAGAAATTCAGCTGGAATTAAGCAAATTCAAGGGGACAGAGTAAGTCATAGAATCAAAGGAAGTCTCTCTCTCTCTCTCCTTCCTAGGGAGGCTGGGCATGGTGGCTCACACCTGTCATCTCAGCACTTGGGGAGGTTGAGGCGGGCGGATCACCTGAGGTCAGGAGTTCAAGACCAGTCTGGGCAACACGATGAAACCCCATCTCTACTAAAGGCTGGTGAAACCAGCCTGGGCAACATGGTGAAACTCCATCTTTACTAAAAATACAAAAATTAGCTGGGTGTGGTGGCACACGTCTGTAATCCCAGCTACTTGGGAGGCTGAGACAGGAGAATCACTTGAATCCGGGAGGCGGAGGTTGCAGTGAGCTGAGATTGCGCCACCGCACTTCAGCCTGGGTGACAGAGGGAGACTCCGTCAAATAAAAAAAAAAAAAAAAAAAGAAAAGAAAGAGAGACAGAGAAAGAGAGAAAAAAAGCAAGCCAGCCAGCCTAGGGAATAATTTGATTAGCTTGGTGTGGACCGCACATATGTCTTATTCCAGGGCCACTTATTAGGGCCAGGAGGATGGTGTCAGAAGGCAGGAGGCAGTGTGCTGTAGTTAGCAGGGCTAGAATGGGAAGGAGAAGTTTTCCAAAGAAGGCGGATGCTGTTTTCAAAAGGGAAGAAACTGATGCTGAGCAGACAAATACCAAATGCCCGGCACATTTATTGAATCTGTGATAAGAGTGAATTTTATAACCTGCCACTATCATTAGCTTGTCTAAGTTGTCTTGGCAAAGGTAAAACATTACAGAATCCAGGGCTGTCTGGAATGTACTGTGGATTTGATCTTTCTAAATCATTTGTAATTATCTATCATAGGAGGTGGAACGTCAGCTGTACATCTCTGAAAATACCAAATTTCATTTTCCTGTAAATAAAAGAAGGGCACTATAAAGATAAAAGCTAATATTATAGCTATATATCTAATTTTGTCTTCAAATATAACCATTAAGTGTTTTAAGTAAATAATTTAAAATTGAGTTTCTAGTAAAACTCAAAGGAATATTACATAAAATAACTTTTAAAAAGTCTCTAAGTCATTCTTGTATAGTGATCTATATTAACTAATAAAAGGCCAAAAATTAATCATGCTTTCAGGAACTGTAAATCAGTAAACTAAATTATCATTATTTAATATTGTTGTTAAGACTGGGTGCGGTGGCTCACGCCTGTAATCCCAGCACTTTGGGAGGCCGAGGCAGGCAGATTGCTTGAGCTTAGGAGTTCAAGATCAGCCTGGGCAAGATAGTGAAATCCCATCTCTACTAAAAATACAAAAATTAGCCAGGCGTGGTGGCGCATGCCTGTGGTCCCAGCTACTCAGAAGGCTGAGGTGGAAGGATCACTTAAGCCAGGGAAGCGGAGGTTGCAGTGAGCCGAGATCATACCACTGGACTCCAGCCAGGGTGACAGAGTGAGACCCCATCTCAGAAAAATAAATAAATAAAATTGTTAAAATTTTGGATCTTTGCTTATGATTCCACCAAGATCGTTAAGATATGATGATAATAATACTAATGTTTACCATATGTCAGATGCTTTACCTAACAAGTCTAAGGAAGATTTAATCATCCCCGTGTTACAGATGAGGAAACTGATTTCCTCTTAGGAGGTGACAGTTGCCCAACGCTACGTGACTAAGCTCTGGGATGGTCCTAGGTCAGTCCAACTCTAGAGCCGGATCTCTTTCCAATCTGTCATACTGCTTCCCTGACTCAACGGTGCTGGAGAGAAGAACGCATCTGTTCAGGATGTTTGTTAATCAGATAGAACTCTAACAACTGAGTGTTCCAAAATAATTATTCAGTCCACAACCACACCACCCTAAACATGCCCAATCTCATTGAAAATAATTATTGAATCATAAATTATATAAATGTGCCATACAGTTGGACAAACAAGTTAACTTATTAGATTTTTAAATGTACTCCAAAAATAGAGTAGACACACTTGCGGTGTGTACGATGAGATAAGTGCCAATTCTAGGATCCTAAAAGAAATCTCAACATCAAACTCAACGAGCAAATACAGACAAACAAGAAATGAGGGCAAGGCAGCCATTCCTCCGTCAAACGTAGGGGAGAAACTTTGCTTTAAGTGACCACAAGAGAAAATGTGAGAGTGAAATCTTAGTTTTTCACCAGTGGAAAATTAGTTAAGGGTTTTAATTTAGGGTTGTGGGGGCTGGGTGTGTGGAGACCGTAAGGGAGCTGGGACAAGCACAGCTGTGTGACAAATATTAATGGCTATCGCAATTCTCAAACTGAGAAATTCAGGTCAGCCTGTAGGGCAAGCTGCCTCTAAATGCAACAACCTTTTTATATGGCTGACTACTTCTTCCATGAGTAATTTTTTTATTTTTTCACTTAGCTCAAGTTGGAATTAATGGTTCTAGTGATTTGTGTTGCCTTAGATGAAATTCTTAACATTGCAATTTTATTAATCCTACCTGCAAAGAGAGAGCACTCGCGCCTGTAATCCCTGCACTTTGGGAGGGTGATTTCTCATTTCTCAAAACTGAGAAAATAGTTTTTCATGTAAGTTAATATTTAAATTTTCAAATTAGGGGCTGGGCACAGTGGCTCACGCCTGTAATCCCAGCACTTTGGGAGGCCGAGGCGGGTGGATCACGAGGTCAGGAGATTGAGACCATCCTGGCTAACACGGTGAAACCCCATCTCTACTAAAAATACAAAAAATTAGCCGGGCATGGTGGTGGGCGCCTGTAGTCCCAGCTACTCGGGAGGCTGAGGCAGGAGAATGGCTTGAACCTGGGAGGCGGAGCTTGCAGTGAGCCGAGATCGCGCCACTGCACTCCAGCCTGGGTGACAGAGCAAGACTCCGTCTCAAAAAAATACATAAATAAACAAATAAATTTCAAATTAGGATCCAGGTTTTCTTGCATGTAATTTTTCCATCCCCTTTGTATTACTTTGAAAAGAGTATCATACATCACCTAAAATTGTGAGGCTGATGCTTACCCTTATTTAGTGACATAAAAATGACTGCCAATTTTTTTTTTTTTAGCAATTTTATTGTGGCTCAAACTTCCAAGTCCAGGCTACATGCAGGCAAATCTGTAAATCTGACTTCTCTGCAACTGGAATCAGGTAGAGCCATCACTTACAGAAATTTTAAAGGCCCGGATATATCCTCAAATGTACATGCAGAGGTTTTATGGAATACATGTATCCATTTCAACACAAACTTTAAGTTTTTAAATAAAGCTATTTATTAGCTTATAGTAATAAATCCTGGCAAACACTACTGGTTCATAATATGCCAAGAGTTATGAATCAGAAGATTAATAATCAGGGCTACATCTAGTAAGAAAGGTGGCTGGCTGGGCATGGTGGCTCACGCCTGTAATCCTAGCACTTTGGGAGGCCAAGGCAGGTGGATCACCTGAAGTCAGGAGTTCGAGACCTACCTGGCCAACATGGAAAAACCCCATTTCTACTGAAAATACAAAATTAGCAGGGCATGGTGGCGGGTACTGGTAATCCCAGCTACTCAGGAGGCTGAGGCAGGAGAATCACTTGAACCCGGGAGGCAGAGGTTGCAATGAGCCAGGATAACGCCATTGCACTCCAGCCTGGATAACAGAGTGAGACTCTGTCAAAAAAAAAAGAAAGAGAGGGAAGGGAAGGGGAGGGGAGGAGAGGGGAGAGGAGAGGAGCAAGCAAACTTGGGCAACATAGGAAGACCTTGTCTCTATAAAAAATTAAAAAACTAGCTGGGCATGGTGGTGTATGCCTATAGTTCAAGCTACCTGGGAGGCTGAGGTGGGAGGACTACTTGAGCCCAGGAGGTCGAGGCTGCAGAGAGTCATGATTGCACCACTGCACTCCAGCCCGGGCAACAGAGTAAGAACCTGTGTCTGGGAAAAAAAAGAAAAAAAAAAAAAGGAAAGGAAAGGAGAGGGGAGGGGAGGGAAGGGAAGGGGAGGGGGGAAAAAAAAGAAAGAAAGGAAAGGAAAGGGGAAAAGGGAAAGGAAAGGAAAATGAAGAAAGAAAGGAAGATAGTACACAGCAGTAACAAATTCTATTACTAGAGGAGAAGTAATAAAGCCATAAGGATGCTGTATCAGTGAGGACATTCAGCTGCAAGTGAAAGAAGCATAAGTCAATACAGATTTGAAGTCAAGCTATAAGAAAATAGTTGGGGAAATTTACTGGTTCATTTACTGGTTCATGTCATTGAAGAGTGTAAGTGAATGTACTTCAGGCACATGTAGAACCAGGTTCTCAGACAGCAGACATCAGCCTGGAAAACAGCGTTTCTGGCCAGGCACGGTGGCTTACGCCTGTAATCCCAGCACTTTGAGAGGCTGAGGCGGGTGATCTCTTGAGGTCAGGAGTTGGAGACCAGCCCGGCCAACATGGCGAAACCCCGTCTTTACTAAAAATACAAAAATTAGCCAGCCATGGTGGCATGCATCTGTAATCCCAGCAACTCAGGAGGCTGAGGCAGGATAATCGCTTGAACCCAGGAGATGGAGGTTGCAGTGAGCCGAGATTGCGCCACTGCACTCCGGCCTGGGCAACAGAGTGAGACTCGGCCTAAAAAACAAAAAATATACACAGACATTAACTTCCTGGAGCCAGAGCTGATAAATATGGCTCCATTACTATGCTCTTATGATGTGTGCATTTCATACTATGGGCACTTGGCACCAGTGTATGAATTAACTTGTATTTGAGAAGAATGTTAGGAACAGGACATCTCCATTCATAGAAGGATGACTTGAAAGCGGGGATATAGACCGACAGGTCTTTGCAAGCTGATCACACAAGTGATTGCAAACCCTTGAAATGATCACCAATTTTTTGGAAACACAGCATGACATCATGGTAATTAGTGTTCTTTTTTTCCTGTAAAAATTGCTTAATGAAACTTTAGAAATTTCCTATGTATAACTATTTGCATGTTTAGATGTTATTTCCCACAAGAATTCTTACTTTCTGAAACTTCAGAATTTACTGTTCTGGGCTGCCGCTGTTTAATTTCAGTCACTATCTCACCTCCAACAAAAATTATTATTATTTTTTTTGAGACAGAGTGTCTCTCTGTGGCCCAGGCCAGAGTGCGGCAGCGTGATCTCAGCTCACTGCAGCCTCTGCCTCCCAGATTCAGGCGATTCTCCTACCTTAGCCTCCTGAGTAGCTGGCACTACAGGCATGTGCCGCCATGCATGGCTAATTTTTGTATTTTTAGTAGAGACGGGTTTTTGCCATGTTGGCCAGGCTAGTCTCAAACGCCTGACCTCAGATGATCTGCCTGCCTCAGCCTTCCAAAGTGCTGGGATTACAGGCGTGAGCCACTGCACCCTGCCCTAAATCTAATCAATACAGTTTTGCTTCATTATGTCTACATGTAGAGTGCTTTTGTAGGTGGACAGTGGCTGTTTAGTAAATGCTCAATACACAGATTCTTTACTGGAATAATTTTGTTCAGGCCTTTTCCCAAAAAGTAACAATAAGTACTATGAATAAAATAAAACAAGGAAATTCATACAAATAAACAATAATAGGAAGTTCCTGAGGAAGCTACTTTAGATTAGATGGACACAGAACATTCTGTTGAGGAGGTGATACTTGTAAAGTAAGATATGAATGATACCAAAAAAAGGAGCAACACAAAGATGTTAATATTCTAGGCAGAAGGAAGAGCAAGTGCAAAGACCTAAGACGAGAATGAATCCAGTCTTTGAAGATTAGACAGAGGCTTGTGTGGCTGACCTGTAGTGGGTGATGCAGGGAGAAATGAGAGATGATATCTGAGAGGTAGGTCAGTAAGGCACATCATAAACACAAGCAGGGACTCCCACAGGCAGTTCCACTGTCTTTTTTTTTTTGAGACGGGAGTTTCACTCTTGTTGCCCAGGCTGGAGTACAATGGCTCACTGCAACCTCCGCCTCCCGGATTCAAGTGATTCTCCTGTCTCAGCCTCCCAAGTAGCTGGGATTACAGGCGCATGCCACCACACCTGACTAATTTTTCTATTTTTAGTAGAGGCGGGGTTTCATCATATTGGTCAGGCTGGTCTCGAATTCCTGACCTCAGGTGATCCGCCTGCCTTGGCCCCCCAAACTGCTGGGATTACAGGTGTGAGCCACTGCACTAGGCCTCTTTTCTTTTCTGTGAAGTGAGTTTCTCCACCACGGACACTGTCCTACATATGACAAGGTAGAAAGCATTCTAATCCCATGAATGCTGATGTTGACCAAGGCATGATAGGCAAGGAAAACAGACCCAAATTCAGAATAAGTGCCTATTCCCACAAAAACAAATCATCTCTCCCTCCAATATGGAAGAAGTCCCGTGAAATGAACTTGCCGCATTGACGATACTGGGCTTAGATATGTGTTTTCTGTTGGGATCTTCAAGAAGTAGGCACTGAGACAAAGATTTGTTCCCAGAAGGTGATCTCAGTAATCATCTGGCTACTTTGTTCTAAATCTTTTTGGATTACAGCTCCAAGCCTCAAGGTTCATTTGCCAAGCTCCTCCCAAAACTTTTACACTAATCTTCCATGTTGCTTTTCTCCATCTCTGACTATCTAGCCAGTGACTGGTTACGGTTACAGATCCTCACCTCAGATCATGTTTCTCTCAAGTCAAAGTACATGATAAAAGACAGTGCTTGGAATTCTGCCTACAAATTGAGATTTGCCCTCTACTGTCCTTCAAGACCACCCCAAATATACACAGTACATTTCTAGCTGATAGTGCCTATTGTTCATGGTATCTGTAAGCCAGGTTTGGTTTTTTTCATTTTCAGTTAACTGGATAATAATGCTCCACAAGGGTAAAGGGACAGATTGGTAGGGGCGAGGTGTGGGAATAGAGTAGTTAAAGGCACAGGGTCGGGAGAAATCTGTTCAAAGGAAATGTGTCTTCATGGCCTGTCTGGTCCCACCTGCTAGGTGATGGAGTGCTGCTGGAAATGGTCAACTTTATGAGTAGATGGATTAAATAGCACCTGGTGTCCCATAGCCTCCAACATCCCCAGAAGCAAATTAGAACCGTTTCTCAAAAGGAGAATAGTAATCTTCCAGAAGGGGGTATGACCTTGCTCCAAAGTCCTGTGGGCTTCCATTGTGATTCTCCTGGAGAAATTTGTCTCTGACTTCAATAAGTCTCCCAATCAGCCAGATAGACTTTGAGAGGGCTGAGCAGCAGAGCTGCTTGGACTGCAGACTGGGCCACCTACAGGGACTATTTTTGCTCTGCCAGCTTTTCAGGTCACCAGGTAAATAAATAAGTGCAAAACACCTGTATGTTATATGCTGTCTCAAAAGTCCAGGGCTCAAAAAGCCAAAACAGCACACTGAATAGTCTCTTGAAGGCACTGAATTCAACCTGATCCAGCTAAGTAAGGGATACTCAGGACATAGGGCTGTAGTAGACTAGTTTCTTATGAATGAGGAAGTTTCAAAATAACTGGTTTTTGCATGTTGGTTCTTTAGCACAGTTGTTCAAAACATTGGCTGTAAATGGAACCACAAGGTGGGTGCAGGGAGAGGTTTTAAAAATTACTGATGCCTGGAACCTGCCTTCAGAGATGCTGGTCTGATTGCCTGGCTTCTAGATTATAAAAAAGCTAATATGCAGCCAAGGGCAAAGACCATTGTTCTAGTTCCTTCTAGATGTCCCTATACCAATAGGCAGGGTCCCACTCTATCCCTTCATTTTCATATAGGAAACCAAGGAGGTAAGCTAACTCATATAATTACCCTGCGTTTCACTTATAACCCGAAAGGTATCTGAGACAGGTCTCAATCAATTCAGAAAGTTTATTTTGCTGAGGTTAAGGCTGTGCCTCTGACACAGCCTCAGGAGGTCCTGACAACATGTGCCCAAGTGGTCAGGGTACAGCTTGCTTTTAGACATTTTAGGGAGACATGAGACACCAATCAGTATGTGTAACATGTACACTGGTTCCGTCAGGTAAGACTGGACAACCTGAGATGGGGGCTTCCAGGTCATAAGTAGATAAGAGACAAAAGGTTGCATTCTTTTGAGTTCTTGAGCAGCCTTCCACTGAATACACTTTAGTCCGGCTCAGTGAATCCGTATTTTTAAATAAACAATAAGGCAGAGGAAGCAATCGGTATGCATTTATCTCCAGTGAGCCTCAGAGATGACTTTGAGTTCTGTCTGTCCTTTGTCCACAAGGAATTTCAAGGAAGGAGATATGTAGCTTTTTATCTTTGTAGCTATTAATATCTTATTTAGGGATAAAATGGGGGTCAGGTTTGCCTGACATAGTTTCCAGCTTGACTTTTCCCTTGGCTTAGTGATTTTGGGGTCCCAAGACTTATTTTCCTTTCACACACTTGATGCCTTGAGTTGAGATTTGAGAATCAAGGTTTATTCTCTCTTAAGTCATTCAATGCCCTTGGAAACAACCACCTGACTCCATAATCCTAGCATTTCTTTCCATTGCTATTAAATTGTTCCATGGTGGCTGCTAACCAGTCTCCAGGGGCCTTATCCTAAGGGGGCTCATGGATTCTGGTGACTAAAGGCAATAGCCTGCTAAGCTCCTTGATCACTGGAGCTGTGAGCTTTCCATCTGGAATGCAGAGAGATGTGGGCCTTTCACCCTACCCAGACACAACAACCAGTTCCAAAGATCCCGCATCATTTCCTTGAAGGTCTTTTGCCTACCTCTGGTACCAATCTGGATATTAAAGACTTTTTTATTTGTAAGCAACAAAAAAAATCTGTGACCCTAGTTAGCTTAAAGAACTAAGAATATATTGGAATAGAGTCTAGGATAGTTTACAGTTTAAAATGAACCATTAAAGAACCAGACTCAGGAAATACGATATCTCTGATAACCTCCTTAGAGAGCGTCAATAAAAGCCACCCAGTTTTGATGACTTTCAGCCTTCGTGTCTCTCCATTCAAGTTCCAAATTCCCATGAGAAAATCTGGCTTGGCTTAGGTCTTCCCATATAATGAGCTATGGTAGTAAGGTACGGTCCCAAAGCACAAACAGGACCACAGAGGCTGTTTCCAGAAAAGGGAACTGTAAACCAGGCAGCTACCCCAATACAAGTCTACTTCAATCACCATGTTTGGAAGCATCTATTTTGCAGTTGGAAAACAACAAAGTGAAGGGCAAAAAGGCACGAAAGACATTGTTTAGTCACACAATTTTAATTGTGAATTATAGTGAATGGTAAACAGTAAAAGAGTAATTACATGAAAAGCTCCATATTTTGCATGTTTCAACTGTTCTTCATTGTCTTTACTTGTAAGGTGTTGAAGGTGGGATCCACTCCTGAATCTTCTTTCTAGTGGTAGAATAAGGTACATATTGTTCTGGGGTGCCAGTCACGTTGAATTTATGGTTCGTCCAAATGAATTTACGAGCAGTAAGTGGTTTTGTTGTTGGAGGATCATCAGTCATACTGTGAAGCCAACGATGCCTTAAAGAGGGGAAAAAACCCAAACAGTTATGAAGAGGCAGTACAGCATAGTGGAAGGACGGTTAAAAACGTAGCCCTGGAACTATTTTGTTGCTTGGGTTCAAGCCTCAACTCCATCAGTTACTAGCTGAATTCTTCTATGCCTTAGATTTTTTCCATCTGAACATCCCTACTCCTCAGGGATGGTATAAACATAAAAGGAGATAATAGACATAAAGCACATAGAAAAATTCTTGTGTGTGGCAGATACGCAACAAATGTTAGCTACCGTTCTCATTACTGTATTTTTTTTTCTTCGTTTTCTTTCTTTCTTTCTTTTGGAGACAGGGTCTCACTCTGTCACCCAGGCTGGAATGAAGTAGCACTATCATGGCTCATTGCAGCCTCGAACTCCTGGGCTCATGTGATACTCCTACCTCAGCCTCCTACATAGCTAACACTACAAGAGCATGCCACCACCATGCCTGGCTGACTTTCAGAAGATTTTTGTAGAGATAGGATCTCACTATGCTGCCCAGGCTGATCTCAAACTTCTGAGCTCAAGGGATCTTCCTGCTTCAGCCTCCCAAAGTGCTGGGATTATAGGCATGAGCCACCATGCCCGGCCCATTACTGTATCTTATCAAATCTGACACTATCCATTTTCAGACATGCCATGATTTTATCTACCTCTAAGAAAGAAAAGATGCTACCAAATAAATTATGGCCACTACTGATTATAATATGTATCCTAATTTTAGACGTGGAAATGCATTTTAGAACTGATAAAAATACAGTATTACTATTAGGTGCTAGAGGCCGATTCTGGATTTTCAGTATGCTCAGGTTACTCTGGCTCATGAAGGTTTAGTTTAAAACCCATGAGGCTCCTGCTGAGAAGAGCCTGATGCATTGTAAATTCAAGCATGTGAGTGTAAACACTAGAGAATATGCAACTTGTTATATTAAAAAATTAAATCAGGGCCAGGCACAGTGGCTCATGTCTATAATCCCAGCACTTTGGGAGGACGAGGTGGGAGGATCACTTGAGGCCAGAAGCTCAGGACCAGCCTGGGCAACATAGTGAGACCCTGTCTTGAGAAAAAAGTTAAATCGACCCCCAATTCACAAATATTTCAGTCATAAGTGCTTAACAATTTAAGAGGATATGTTCCAGAAATCAGACCTAAAAGCTGGATACCTGGAGTTGAAAGGGAAGAGACCACCGATGCTGCTGCTAATGACAGGGAAAGGAGGAATCAAAGTTTGTGGGACAGAGTGCAGGAAGCTAAGCTGAGGGGTTTACATGGGAAAGAAGGGAAGACAGAATTTGTCCCAGCCTCTAAGACCTGGAGCTCACAAGACAGAGATGACCTTATTGGGGGAAAAGAAAATGAGAAGACAGCCACAGAACTGCAGCCCGGGGGTGGGGGGAAAAGTGATTATCTAGCTGCAGAGAAAAGGACAAGAGGAGGATGTTTCAGTGGAATAACTAAAACTAAAGCTAATGAGAAAAAATTTTTGTTGCTATGTAAACCTAAGAATATTTGCTAGCAGTAATTGATAGATATAGCTAGGTAACTGACTAAAAACCAGTCTGAATAGAGATAAAATATGATTACAGTTGCTATGTTTATGTCTAAAGATAATTGTATCATGATCAGCTTATACAATGAAGAATGCAGAAGGCTGTACAAGCTAGGTCAGTGTCTGTCTTACATCCTCTAAAGGAAGCTGGGGATTAGTGAAAGTGACCTGGACCAATAAACTGTAACCATTCATATGAGCACACGAGCGCTGAAGCCCTTATGAGACGATAGTGGTGAGCCAGGCTCCACTAACCACTCAGAGGAGGGATTAGCTGTTAAAGTCAAGGCTGTCACTTATCAAGGGGCTTTATGTGAGCTTACGGCACAGCTGAAATATTTAACTTTTACCTCACTGAGTCAGCTTAACTAAAGAAAAATTTTATTCAAAAAATTGCTGTCAAGACTCCGGAAGGTTAAAATGATATTTAAGGAACCATAGTCCCAAGCTTATGCCTATTCAGTTACTTAAGTGAGGAAGTGAAGAGCTCATGGAGAAATGGAAAATGCTCCAAAAAAGGAAAAGATAATTTTTATCACAATACACAAAATCTGAAAATATTTATCCTAGCAAGCCTACATGCAAGAATCAGGGAATTAATAAATAATAAACTATACCCATTATGGCAGTTTATAAAGAATTATAAGAAATAAGGAAATGTTTATAGTCTGCTAGGCAAATATAACCCTTGTTATTTTATTATTAAATAAGGGGTAAAAAAAAATCATATCTTTCAGATTGCCACACCAGAGAGTTTTACTTGCAAAACAGACTCTTGGGTCTTTTTTTTTTTTTTTTTTTTTGAGACAGAGTCTTGCTCTGTGGCGCAGGCTGGAGTGCAGTGGTGATATCTTGGCTCACTGCAACCTCTGCCTCCTGGGCTCAAGTGATTCTCCTGCCTCAGCCTCCCGAGTAGCTGGGATTACAGGCGCATGCCATCATGCCGGGCTAATTTTTTTATTTTTAGTAGAGACGGGGTTTCACCATGTTGTCCAGGCTGGTCTCGAACTCCTGGCCTCCAGTGATTTGCCCGCCTCGGCCTCCCAAAGTGCTGAGATTAAGGCTACCGCTCTGGTCCACAAGGAGCAGTAAAAAAAACCTACAATGAGATATTATCTCATCCCAGTTAAAATGGCTTTTATACAAAAGACAGGCAATAATAAATGCTGG
Source organism: Homo sapiens (assembly GCF_000001405.40). Classification (NCBI taxonomy): domain Eukaryota; kingdom Metazoa; phylum Chordata; class Mammalia; order Primates; family Hominidae; genus Homo; species Homo sapiens. The sequence continues at coordinate 94,974,357 of NC_000012.12, forward strand.
GAGGATACGGAGAAAAGGGAACCCTCAAACACGTTGGTGGGAATGTAAGTTAGTACAACCATTATAGAGAACAGTTAGGAAGTTCCTCAAAAAACTAAAAATTGAGCTACCATATGATTCAGCAATGATGCTGCTGGGTATAACCTAAATGAAAGGAAATCAGTATATCGAAGAGACTTTTGCACTCCGATGTTTGTTGCAGCATTGTTCACAACAGCCAAAATTTGGAAGCAACCTAAGTGTCTGTCAACAGATGAATGAGTAAAGAAAATGTGATACTTAAATACAATGGGGTACTATTCAGCCATAAAAAAGAACAACATCCTGTCATTAGTAACAACATGGATGGAACTGGAGATCATTACGTTAAGTGAAATAAGCCAGGTACAGAAAGACAAACATTGCATGTTCTCATTTATTTGTGATACTTAAAACTCAAAACAATTGCACTCATGGAGATAGAGAGTAGAAGAATGATTACCAGAGGCTGGGAAGGGTAGTGGGGTTGGTTTGGGGATTAGGGGGAGGTGGGGATGGTTAATGGGTATAAAAAAAAATAGTCAGAAAGAATGAATAAGACCTAGTATTTGACAGCACAACACAGTGACTATAGTCTATAATAACTTAATTGTACATTTTAAAACAACTAAAAGAGTATAATTGGATTGTTTGTAACACAAAGGACAAATGCTTGAAGGGATGGGTACCCCATTTTCCATGATGTGATGATCACATATTGCATGCCTGTGTCAAAACATCTCACCCCATAATATATACACCTACTATGTACCCAAAAAATTAAAATTGTTTTTAAAATTGAAAAGTGTATGTCCTAAAACACTATAAACAGGATTAAAGACTAAAAGAAACAGGGGAAAATATTTGTAATATACAGAAAAAAGGTTCATCTATCATTACAAATCAGAAAAAGTCAAATATCCAATAGAAAACTGGACAAAAAACATCAAGAGATGTCAACAAAGAAAAAATTATAGTGGCAAACAATGAAGTTTAATCAAGGCAATGCACATTAAGGTATAATTTTTTACTTGCTAAATTAGCAAAGATTTTAAAAAATAAAACCCAGAATCAGTGAACTTAAAGAGAAATCAGTACTCATATACTATTCAATATATTTATCCTGAGAATATAAATTGGTATAGCCCTTCTAGAGGGCAATTTGGCAGCAGGTATCAAAAACTTATAAAACATGTATACTCCTGGTGGATCCATTTCCATTTAAGGAAATGAGGATATGAATACTCATGTACAAGGATATTTATCAGAGCTTTATTTATAACAGTGAAAGAATGGAAAGAACAAAACCAAAAATAAAGGGAATAGCTCATGGCATATCCATATGATGGAAGACTAAGGCATTATTAACATTTATGCTATAGATAATATTTTGGCCAGGTATGGTGCCTCACACCTGTAATCCTAGCACTTCTGGAGGCCAAGGTGGGAGGATCGCTTGAGGCCATGAGTTCGAGACCAGCCTGGGCAACATGAGACCCCATGTCTACAAAAAATGCAAAAATTAGCCAGGCATGGTGGCAGGCACCTGTAGTCCTAGCTACTTGGGAGGCTGAGGCAGGGATCACATGAGCCCAGGAGTTCAAGGCTGCAGAAAGCCATGATCGTGCCTGGACAGCGGGGGATCCCATTTCTAAAAAAAGAGAAGAGAGAGAGAGACAGAGAATATTTTATGACTTGAGAAAATGTTCACCATATATGTTTTAAAAGCGGGTTATTTGCCTAATTTATTTAATACTTATAGATAGCATTTATAAGTCATGGGCACTAATCTATACACTTTACAAATATTAACCTATTTGATCCTTATAACAACTCGTGATAAATATTATTATCCAAATATAGTAAGTGAGAAAACCAGGCTGCCAAAAGTTAAAATAACTTGCAAACCCAGGCTACTTCTTCAAAAAGCTCAATTACATTAATAACAAAAACAAAAGAATATATATGCATAGAAATCGAGGAGATAAGAATAAACAGTTGTCCCTAGTGTCTATGGGGGATTGATTCCAGGACACCCTGTGGATGCCAAAATCCACAAATGATCATTTGTGGATATGCAAATGTAGCATTTGCATATAATTTATGCACAACCTCCTGTATACTTTAAATCATCTCCAGGTTACTTATAATGCCTAATATGATGTCTGCATATGACTTCATTCATGTGGATTCAACATAATACTCGGCACACAGCAAATCCAAGTTTTGCTTTTTGGAACTTTGTGAACTTTTTTCTGATATAATTTCCATCTAATGTTGGTTTAATCCATGGATGCAGAACCCACAGATACTGAAGGTCAAATGTGTATCAAAATATTAATAGCAGTGGTTTCTACAAGTGGTGGGATAACAGGCTATTCTTATTTCTTTTGTTATTTTTTGAATTTTCTATAATGAACATGCTGAGCAGTTCCTCATTCACCAAGAGTAATACATAGTTTATTTCCACATTCCACATATGGAATTTTCCAACAAGGCATCTTTGTAAAATGTTAGAATCAATATTAAATGAAGCAATGAATACTCAGTGAAATGTGTTAAATAAAAGCTGAGTTTTAAAAATCAAAACAATCTTGTCTTCTGCTTATAATGAACACATTTTAACAGAGAAAGGGTATAAAGAAAAGTAACATTCTGTAACATAAGAGAAACTACCCAATTAATGCAGTTTGTAGTTTCTTAGAACACAGTCTCCTAATATTCTGATTTTTCTGGAGCAGAAAATAAACATTAGGAAGGACTTACTTTGAAGAAAATATTATCTGCCATTGACAGCTAGCAATTTATTTAGAGAAATAATATTTTAGAAGACTGTAACAGGCTAGGCACAGTGGCTGTCACATATAATCCCAGTGCTTTGGGAGGCCAAGGTTGGAGGATCACTTGAGGCCAGGAGTTTGACACCTTCTCTCTCAAAAACAAAAACATTAGCTGGGTGTGGTGGCATGCACCTATACTCCCAGCTACTCAGGAAGCTGAGGCAGAAGGATAGCTTGAGCCCAGGATTTTGAGGTTGCAGTGAGTTATGATCACGGCACTACACTTGGCCTAGGTGACAGAGCAAGACCTTGTGTCAAAAAAAAAAAACACCCCTCCGCCCCTGCCCCAAAAACCCCACAAAACTGTAACAAATGATTCAGTGGGTCAAAGTACTAAAAAGGACAGGTTGAAATTGCAATGTAATTCAGAGGTAAATCTAGTTTCAAATTCATTAGAAAGCTATAAAGGAGTAGCAGAAGATGCCATTTTTGGATCAGCTAAAGTGAAGAAAACTGATTATCATACCCAAAAAATAATGTTTGTTTCAAGTAAAATGTATATGTACATCCATTCATTCAACAAAAATCTATTGCAGAAATACTATGTGGTAGGCACTGTTCCAACATGGTATTTGGGGAAACATACAATAAATTAAATAATATAAAAAAAATGTTAAGCAGAGGTAGTTAAGTGCCATCAAGGAAAAAACCAGAGCAGGGGAAGAGTATGGAGTATGAGAGGGAACAGGGCTCTTATAGACTAGACCACCTGAAGAGCCACCAGATGGGCACTTGAATAAAGTGAAGGTGTGTGAGCCATGCCAAATCTGGGGAAACAGCTAGTGCAGAGACTGAGTTGGGAGTATGTTCACTGTTCAAGGAAAAGCAAGAAGGCCAATGTGGCCAAGTCAGAGTCAACAGGGCTGTGACTAGGACAGTGCATGCAGACTGTGATCACATAACGCCTCGCAGAGCATGGAAGGAGTTGGGGTTTTTACTCTCACTGTGATGGGAAGCCACTGGGTCATTCTGAGCAGAGACTTGATGTGTCTGATTTACATTTAAAAATATGCACTCTCATCACTTAGCATGTTGGGAACGCTAGTGCACTGCAAGAATGTTATCAAACCAGTTGGGAGGTGACTGTAGATGTCCAGGCAAGAGATAATTGTGCCTTGGACTAGGGTAACAGTCATAGAGGCAGTGATGAGATGTGGGATATATGGAGAAACGAAAGCAGGATGAACTTGCTAACAGACTGGACATTAGAGAATTAGACTGGGGGATGACACTGAAGTTTTGGGCTTGAGTAAACAAGAGTCATTTAAGTGCTTAGGAACATTTTGCTTGATAGGTTAATCTGCCTATGCACTGGGGATTTGAAGAATTGAAAAAACTCAAATATCAAATATGTTCAATTTATAAATGTGACTAAACTGCTTAAAGAGATGTATTAACTAAATTTGCAAATGGGTATTACTGTTTAGGACAATGTAATCCTTTCCATTAGAGTTTACCGAACATTCATCAAAGAACAAGAGAAAATGATTGTTCCTTATTTTTATGCAAAAAGTAATTCAATTTACTAATCTTTTTATCCTATTTATAAATTGAACCTCAAGAATGAAAAACAATTAGGTTTTTAAATTTGCAACTATAATAAATAGTATATTAATTTTAAATCCAAATTGCCCAACAATCCTTTCTAAATACAAAAGCCCCACAGAAACTAAAACACTCGAACTGACACAGTATTTAGTGAGACAGGAAAAATGTCTGTGACATATTAAGTGAGGGGAGGGAGAAGCAAGTCAGAAAATGTTGTATACATTATATGAGAAATGTGTAGGTATATGTTATTTATAATAATAAGCTTTCTTCTAAAGAAGGTGTGACCAATAAACTACAATCAGTTTTTCACACTGTGGTCTTTAAAAAACATTCCTCTGTGGAGTCCCAGCTACATGGGAGGCTGAGGCAGGGGGGATGCTTGAGCCCAGGAGTTCAAGGCTGTAGTGTGCTATGATTGCACCTGTGAATAGCTCCTGTACTCCATCCTCGGCAACAGAGCAAGACCCCACCTCTAAAACAAACACCCCCAAAACATTCTTTCTCTACCCAAAAGCAGACCCTCAAATAGTTGTTGAATCAGTGAATAAAATATTAACAGTATTGCTTCTGGGCCAAAGAATTGTTTCTACCTCATATTAATAATTCTCCAGATTTCCAAATTTTCTATAGCAATTGTATATTCTTATAATCAGAAAAAATCTTTTAATGGTGATTATAAGGATTGTTTTAATAACATGAAAAATTGCTTATAATATTGATGGAAAAAAGCAAGTAAAATGGAGTATGGTTATGAACACAACTACACAGAAAGGATTAAAAAGGGACGGGGTGAGGTGGCTTACACCTGTAATCCCAGCACTTTGGAAGGCTGAGGCAGGCGGATCACATGAGGCCAGGAGTTTGAGACCAGCCTGGCTAACATGGAGAAACCCCACCCCTATAAAAAAAAAAATACAAAAATTAGCTGGGTGTGGTCATGGGACCTGTAATCCCAGCTACCCAGGTGGCAGAGGCACAAGAATTGCTTGAACCTGGGAGGTGGAGGATGCAGTGAGCTGAGATCATGCCACTGCACTCCAGCCTGGGTGACAAGAGCAAGACCCTGTCTCAAAAAAAAAAAAAAGGATTAATGGAACTATGTCCAATATTGACAGTGCATGTCTACTAGGGGCTATGTGGATCACTCTCCTTTGCTAGAATGTTCAAACTTTTCTGATCTCTCCTCATTTCTTTCAAGAACAGATTCTATGTAGATTCAATGAATTTCATATTGCCAAATCACACGGACATTTTTCTGTCATCATCTTCCTCAACCTCTTGGCAACAATCAATACAACGAGGCTTCCCTGGCTGAAATACTCCTCTTTCTTCCCTTTCCTCCTACCTTGCTAGCTACTTACCTTGTTCTTTGCTGGTTTGGCAGGTTTGACCATTGTCCTAAGCTCGATTTGTATATTCAGCTGTTTACTTGATATATATCTAATCATGTAGATTTCACAACAGGTATCACACACTTACTATGTCCAAAAAGAGGCTTCTGATTCTAATTCTCCACCCCTACCAACCCGCCCTTCTACAAGTCTTCTCATCTCAGTGAATGGTCCCAGCATTATGGTACCAACCACTCAGGCCCCAAACCTATGAATCATCCTTGATTCTTCTCTATCGCCTCCATGTAATGGCCCTCACCTGCCACCCTGTTTCTCTACAAAGGCTTCTAGAACACATCACGCCAAATGAAAAACAGCTGACCACCACGATGTTAAGCATCTTAAACAAATTGGCCTTTCAAGGGCAAAACCATTTATTAATTTTTCCCTGGGCACAGAAAAATTTTCAGGGACAAAATTATTTTCTGTTAAAAAAAAAAAGAAACCCTTTACCATACACTATTATTTTTTAAATGATGTATTTATGTATTACTTCAGTAAATTAATTTTAATAAGAAAAATCAATGTACGAGGAGAGACTGGTGTAACTATGCTGAGAGAGAAAGACATGTTACTAAGAAATGAACAGAAAGTGCCACCAAGTGGGAAAACGGTATACGTGCAATAGAGAAAAATCTAACCAAGCCATGTCTTGCTTTGTTTTTTTTTTTAACTTGGTTCAAAGGACTTCAAGGTTCCAATACTTCAAACCACAAAAAGCACATCTTTATTTCTTCTGATACAAGTGAAAACAATAATTTTATACAGCCGTGCATGAAATAGCCCAAACTTTCTACTTTTCTACACTAATTCTATATAAATGCTAACTACCATAACAATGAAAATGAAGACTTCTGTGTGTTACTGTGTAGACGGTGGCAATTAGATAACTTCAGAATAAAACTGAAGGCAATAAAATTGGCATTGAACAAAATAAAGACAAGAACAAGAGAAAAAAAAAGAAAGAAAAAGTAGTATAGAATAGTACTTGAGCTGGGCACGGTAGTTCACACCTGTAATGTCAACACTTTGGGAGGCCAAGGCAGGTGGATAGCTTGAGCCCAGGAGTTTGAGACCAGCCTGGGCAACATGGCAAAACACTGTCTCTACTAAATACATACATACATACATACATACAAACAGTAGCCGGGCATGGTGGCCCGTGCCTGTAGCCCCAGCTACTCCGGGTGCTGAGGCAGGAGGATGGCTTGAGCCCAGGAGGTCGAGGCTGCAGTAAGCCAAGATCGCACCACTGAACTCCAGCCTGGGTGATAGAGCGAGACACTGCCTCAAAATAAAATAAAATGTTATTTGTTATCTACTTAAATACTTTCAGGGTATTCTACTCAATCAAATTAAATATAAATTCCTGAAGAAGAAATTAATATCTTGTTGCTGATCCCATAAGAGAATAAAACATATAGGAAAATGAAGGTACTGTAAAAAAAGACACTAAATTAGAACACAGTATTAGTACTAGTATTCATTAAGTGCCTATAAACTACAAGAGAACAAAGACCATACATATTTCACTCACCACTGTGAATATATAAACCCATCAAGGCCTGACATATAGGGGGGTGCTCAATATATATTTGTTGAATGAATCAAGTTTGTAAGCAGACTGTGTTAGGTTCTAGGCAATCCGTTTCTTATTTTCAAGGCACGTGTAGCTCAACTGCCCATCCAAGAAGTTTGCACCACCATCTTTTGTTTTTGTACTGGTGGACTTAGCAGCCTTTACTGGTGGCTGGTAGATTCAAAGAAGTGAAGGCCTTTAGACCAGAGAGATAAAATGAGCTCATTTTTCCACAAGATTTCTAATGTTTCCCATAAGATTAGAGAACATTAAATGAAACAGAGAAGCTGACTAAAATTCTATCCAAAACGCTAATGTCTCTAAGGGAAATCTTTCCCTAGGTGAGATTATGCAGCTACTGAACAGACTCATAAGACTATCATAGGCCACACTTGGCATCTGAGAACTCAGGACAGAGGACAGGAATCACAGCTTGCCAGCTGGGCAGCATCAGATGTTCCTCTCCCTGGGAGTCTGTGCAGTTGTTCATGCAAGTGACAGCTCACCCAGCCGTCCAGAAGCTATTTTCTTTTTCTTTTCTTTTTTTTTTTTTTTTTTGAGACAGAGTCTCTCTGTTGCCCAGGCTGGAGTGCAGTGGTGTGATCTCGGCTCACTGCAAGCTCCGCTTCCCAGGTTCATGCCAGTCTCCTGCCTCAGCCTCCCAAGTAGCTGGGACTACAGGCGACCGCCACTAGGCCCGGCTAATTTTTTTTTGTAGTTTAAGTGGAGACGGGGTTTCACTGTGTTAGCCAAGATGGTCTCGATCACCTGACCTCATGATCTGCCTGCTTTGGCCTCCCAAGGTGCTGTGTGTGAGCCACCACGCCCGGCCCAGAAGCTATTTTCTTTAACTCCCTAGATGACACAGCTCAGGCTCAAGGGAGATGAGAGCATCATGAGACAGGTGCAGGAGCTGCCCTAACTTCAAAGCTTTACGCTCCACCAGAGCCAACGTCTCTAGTAACTCCAAAGGCATAGCTTCAGGATTCCCTTTCCCACAGGGTCATGCCAGTTCTAAGAGCAGCAGCACTCACCAGGCATTTCTAATTCCTCTCAATCCAGAGGCAATTTCCCAATCAGAGGTCGATTTTATATTGCAATACTGTTAAAACAATTTTATCTGGTTTCCAGGATAACAGAGCTAGGCATTTAACTGAAGGTCATATTCTCCTAACCCTTAATTTATAAAGTTAAGTTGAATACTACACTAGATAAAATCAAACCAAAATCCTATCTCCAGCATCAATCTCTAGCCTAACCAACAGGCTAGTTTTCAACTGTCTACTCACCTTCTCACGTGGTCGTCTATCAAGCTTCTCATACTTAACGTAGACTACCTCTTCTAAACCTGCTCCCCCTACTCCACTCTTCCCTATCTCAGTAACTGTACCTCTAGTAGTTCAGGCCAAAAATATTGAAGTCATCCTTGACTGGTTTTTCTCTCAAAAGCCAATCAATCAGCAACTCCTGCTGACCCCATCTTACTTGGCACCCTCTAAGAGGGCCTCCAACGATCACTGCCTCCTGGTATTCACACCCTTGTATAATACCCTCATTTTAAGTGTGGCTGGACTGATTGACTTGCTTCTAATAAATAGACAACTGAAGTATGGGATATCACTTCCTAGATGAGGTTTAAAAAGACTGTTCCTTCCACCTTGGTCTGGGGAAGCCAGACGCCATGTCAAGAGGTGGCCTGTGCAGAGGTCTACTGAATGAGCTGGGAAGCAAATCTTCTGAGGTCTGTCTACAGCCACATGAGTAAGTGTGGCAGTGGGTCCTTCCCAAGTCAAACCTTGAGAGCACAGCAGCCTCAGAGAAGATCTCAGCTGTAACCTTGTGAGACCCTGAGCCTGGGGCACCCAGCTAAGCTACACTCAAATTGCTGTGAGATAACATTTACTGTCTTAAGCTAAGTTTAGGATAACTTGTTCCACAGTATAGACAACTAATACGATCCCAAATCTCACAACCTGCATCACTAGCACCCTAGTCCAACCCCATCAACAGCCTAGGCCATGACTTACAACAGCTTCTTAAGTGAGTAGCCTGCTTCCACACTTGCCTTGCCTCCTTCCTTTATTCTTCACAGCAACCACAGAGATGCTTTAAAAATGTAAATCAGAGTGCAAAAGTCATTAAGTGGGCCCGAGGAATGTAGCACTTGGTATGTGAGGGAGGGTGTTGCGGTAGCCCAGCAAGATGTGTCAGAGCCTTTGTGGGGAGAAGAGCCTGTCCACACAAGGAGAAGGGAGGGTGGCAAGCTGGTTTGGGGTGCTGGAGGCAAAATAGGGTAAGGAGGAAGTCCAGTGGGGGAGGGGGGATGAGAGGGCAGCAATGGGAACTTAGTTACACACAGTGGAATTGATCAAATAACTATATTAAGAAGAAACCAGCTATAAATGTGGAAAGGGAGAAAACTGGAGTGTAAACTGTAGTGCTGGACTGCCGTCAGTGGTACTGGTGGGGACACACAATCATTACCCATGTTTCCTAGCTTGTCCACTGAGAAGGCCTGGAAGCACTGACATTCCAATAATGATGAGCACATCTGACATTCATATCTTAGTTTCTAATACCACTCTCCACTAAAAAACAAGCAAACGGCCGGGTGTGGTGGCTCATGCCTGTAATCCCAGCACTTTGGGAGGCCAAGGTGGGTGAATCACCTGAGGTTGGGAGTTCAAGACCAGCTGACGCAGGAGAATCGCTTGAACCCAGAGGCGGAGGTTGCGGTTGAGCTGAGATTGCGCCATTGCACTCCAGCCTGGGCAGTAAGAGTGAAACTCCGTCTCCAAAGAAACAAAAAAGCAACAAAAAAAAGCAAACAAACACAGGGCTCCTCAGAGAAATGGCTGTCTCCAAGGCTGGAACAGAGAAACTCTAAGATGAACCTGGAACACCTCATGTCAGAAAGTAAGAAGGTGCTCCAAGAATGATGAAGACTTTTCAAAATGACCCCCTCTAATGCTAATAGCCAAAAAAAAAAAACAACAAAAAACCCATATATATATAATATATATATATGGAATTAAAAAAACTCACCATCCTGGCCAACATGGTGAAACCCCATCTCTATTAAAAATACAAAAATTAGCTGGGCGTGGCAGCGCACGCCTGTAATCCCAGCTACTCGGGCGGCTGAGGCAGGAGAATTGCTTGAACCTGGGAAGCAGAGGTTGCAGTGAGTCAAGATCGCACCACTGCACTCCAGCCTGGCAACAGAGCGAGACTCTATCTCAAAAATTAAAATTAACATAACATAACATAAAATAAGATAAAATAAAATAAAATAAAAGCAAAGTGGCTGGGCATGATGGCTCATGCCTGTAATCCCAGCATTTTGATAGGCCAAGGTGGGAGGATTATTTGAGGCCAGGAGTTACAGACCTGCCTGGGTAACATAGGGAGACTGTGTTTTTATAAAAAAAATTTTTAAATTAGTCGGGCATGGTGGCACATGGCTGCAGTTCCAGCTACTTAGGAGGCTGAGGTGGAAGGATTGCTTGAGCCCAGGAGGTCAGGGCTGCAGTAAGCCATGGTCACACCACTGTACTTTTGCCTGGGCAACATAGCGAGACCCTATCTTTAAAAAAAGTGGTTGGTAGGCCGGGCGCAGTGGCTCACGCCTGTAATCCCAGCACGTTGGGAGGCCGAGGTGGGTGGATCACGAGGTCAGGAGATCAACACAATCCTGGCTAACATGGTGAAACCTCGTCTCTACTAAAAAAATACAAAAAATTTAGCTGGGCATGGTGGTCAGCGCCTGTAGTCCCAGCTACTCAGGAGGCTGAGGCAGGAGAATGACGTGAACCTGGGAGGTGGAGCTTGCAGTGAGCTGAGATCACGCCACTGCACTCCAGCCTGGGAGACAGAACAAGACTCCATCTCAAAAAAAAAAAAAAAAAAAAAGCGGTTGGCAGGGACAAAGTACCCAGACATTTCTCAGAAGACATACAAATGGTCAACAGCTATATGAAAAAAATGCTCATTGTCACTAATCATCAGGGAAACCAGATCAGACTGTGCAACATAGCAAGAGCTCACTTCTACTAAAAATAAAAATAGGCCAGGCACAGTGGCTCACACCTGTAATCCCAGCACTCTGGGAGGCCGAGGTGGACAGATCACCTGAGGTCAGGAATTTGAGACCAGCCTGGCCAATATGGTGAAACCCCGTCTCTACTAAAAATACAAAAGTTAGCTGGGCATGGTGGTGTGCACCTGTAATCCTAGCTACTCAGGAGGCTGAGGCAGGAGAATCGCTTGAACCCGGGAGGCAGAGGTTGCGGTGAGCTGGGATCACGTCACTGCATCCCAGTCTGGGCGACAAGAGCATAACTCTGTCTCTAAATAAATAAATAAATAAATAAATAAATAAGCTAGTCTCAGCTACTCAGGAGGCTGAGTTGGGAAGATCGCTTGAGCACAGCATATTGAAGCTGTAGTGGGCTATTAATGTGCCACTGAACTCCAGCCTGGGAGACAGAACAAGACCCTGTCTTCAAAAGAAAAAAAAAGAAAAACAAGCAGAGTAGAATGGTGGTTACCACGGGCAGGAGGAGTGGAGAGTATAAGAAAGAGGAGATGTTGATAAAAGAGTACAAAATTTCAGTTAGGAGGACTAAGCTTTAGTGCTCTACTGCACAGAATGGTGACTGTAATAAATAATAATTCACTGTATATTTGGAAATTGCTAAAATAATTTTAAGTGTTTTTACCACAAAAAAATGATAAGTATGTGAGGTAATTGATTTACTAATTGGCTTGATTTAATCATTCCACAATGTAAACATGTATCAAAACATCATATTGTACCCCACAAATATATACAATTATTATTTGTCAATTAAAAATAAAATTTTAGCCTGGGCAACACTGTGAGACCCCTATCTCCTAAAAAAAAACCAGCAGGTTGTGGTGATGCACCCCTGTAGTCCCAGCTACTTGGGAGGCTGAGGCAGGAGGATGGCTTAAGCCCAGGAGGTTGAGGCTGGAGTGAGCTGTGAAAGCACCAGTGCACTCAGCCTGGGCGACAGAGTGAGACCCTATCTCAAATAAAATATTTTTAAAAACTGAGAACCCCTCCCCTCTAAAAACCTCCAAAGAACTCCAAATGCAGCTTGAATGGGTTCCAACTAGTCAAATTGAGCCCAATTTGAACAATAAAAGAACCATTTAAAGCAATGGATTATAACCCATTGATTAAAATAGGAGTTGATACAGATACAAATAATGAATTAAAGCTTTGATGAGTAAGGGGATACTTACATAACCTCAAAGTGTCTCCCCACAAAATGCTAATTAATTTCAAAGGGAAAATTAGTAACTTTAGAATGGAGAAAACCGGCAGACCCCTTAATCACGTGATAGAGGTTTTCATTAATAATAGGACAAAAACAAATCAGCTGCTACTTAATAGAGTGCAACAAGAAAAACATGGCTTCAGTGACAGGAATGTCACAGAAGCATAGCCTGAACCTAGTCATGAGGAAACATTCAACAAACTCACTGAGGGACCTTCAACAATATAACTGTCAAGTAATTTTCAAAAGCGTCAAGGTCATGAAAATCACAGAAAAGTTGAGGAACCAATCAAGTGTGAAGGAGACTAAAGAACTTGAGATCCATATGAAATGTGTGATTGGATCTCTCTATAAAGGACACTGTTGGGACAACTGACGAAACCTGAGTGGCTGAAGTTCAGAACACGCTGCTCCAAAATATGCAGCTCTGGCATATGGACTATGCTGAGTTAAAGGCACTTGAACAACAGCAGGCACGGCTGGGTGTGGTGGCTCATGCCTGTAATCTCAGCACTTTGGGAGGCCAAGGTAGGCAGATCACTTGAGGCCAGGAGTTCAAGACCAGCCTGGCCAACATGATGAAACCCCGTCTCTACTTAAAATACAAAAATTCGCCAGGTGTAGTGGCACATGCCTGTAATCCCACCTACTTGGGAGGCTGAGATAGGAGGATCATTTGAGCCCAGGAGGTCGAGGCTGCAGACTGTACCACTGCACTCCAGCCTGGGTGACAGGGCAGGACATTGTCTCAAAAAAAAAAAAAAAAAAAAAAAAAGGTAAAGAAAAACAGCAGGCACAAGAATAATATGGCCTTTTTCTTTCTGAAAGCAGGAGAAAAAATTCCCACATCAAAGATATCCTCCCTATACCAGAAGGAAACTATCATTCTACATCAAGGACAGGAAATTGAGGTCAAGGGAAATCTGCACAAACGTTGTTAAATTAACTTTTATCTTCTTAGTCACTTCTCCACCCAATTAACCTACTCAAGCCCAAGTCCCTTTGTCTTCTCATTTTCAGTGTTCTACTCCTTGTCCAATTCAGTATCTAAGTGTTCAACATGAACTGCATCTTTGGGTCTTCATCCCTTATGAGGGCTCCACATCACGGAACTCTTATATTAAATAAATTTGTATGCTTTTCTCCTGTTAACATGTCTTTAATTCTCAAGCCCAACCAAAAAGCCCTAAGAGGATAAGGGTAAAATTTTGCCTCCCTTTCATAGTGTATCTTTGTTACTTTCCTGATATTTATGGTCATATTGTGGTTATGTAGGACAATGTTCTTGTTTGCAAGACGTACACACTAAAGTATTCAGGAGTGATGGGGCATCAATTTGGCAACTTACTTTTATTAAAATATTAGTAATGATTCTGAAAGTTCGGGATTATTCCAAATGTTAAAAAACTGTAAATCAGATCACACCCTATCTTACCTTCCAGTGACTTCCAAATAAATTCAGACAAAAAGCCGAAGTATGTACCATGGCTTACTGAAAGATTCTCCCTGAGGCCTGAAAGCTTGAAGAGATGAATAACTCCTCCCTTCTCAGGCCCAGTCCCAAGCTTGGGCCAGCAGCGTGGGTCAGCAAGACAGCAGAAGCAGGAAGAGAGCTGGCCGAAAGACACATACCCCCTTGAAGATTGAGGGGCAGGCCGTCCAGGTACTATGTAGCAGTTACATCAGACTGAGACACTTCCTGTTTACAGGAGACTATAAAACCCCTGCCCCATCCTCATTTGGTGCTAACGCCATTTTAGGCATCAGCCCACCTGCACCCAGGCGCTCATTAAAACAGTGTGTTGCTCCACACTGCCATGTTGTCTGCTGATGCACTCTCAGGGTTCGAGCCGATACAAGAACCTTTCATCTTACAACATCTACATGATTTGGGCCCTAGCTATTTCTCCTACCTCGTTTCTTAACATCTTCCCCTCACTCATTCCATTCCAGCCAAACTGGCCATACTGCTGTTCTTTGAACAGACCAAGCAATACATCTCAAACATACAGGCTTTGCACCTGTGGTTCCCTCTGCCTGGAACGCTTTCTCCCCGCTTCTACGTCTTTCCTCAAATGTCACTTTCTCAAAGAAGCTTTCTCTAACTGCTGTATAAAACAGCCACCTGACCCTTCCATTGCTCTTGATTCCCATGAGGCCCAGCTTCATATTATCTTCCTTGCATTTTTCATTACCACAATTATATAAAGGATGTTTTTCTGCCTTCCCCTATGAAAACAAGGACCTTGTTTTATTCACTGCTTTACCCCAGGTTCTTGGCACCTGGTAGGTACTAAATAGTTATTTGAATAGGGATGATAAATTGTATCTGTACAATTACTCTCTACACGTGATAATACCTAGCTCTCTAATTAGAGATATATCAACCCAACATCAAATTTATTCATGAATCAAAGGTAAGAATCCACAGATTTAGAATTCCACAGTGTGTCACGGTCAACAAAGAGGGGTTTGAGAAACAAACAGCTAAGCTTGTTCAACACCATTTCTCCCTAAAAAGATTCATCACAAGCCGTGAAGCTTCCCATACAAATAAGGGTCATCAAAGGTACTCAGACCTTAGGAGGCTCCTCTCCACAAAGAAATGCAGCTTTGAATCCTCACTTGCCCTTAGGCACCTGCTGGAGTGATCTTCTACAGCTCTTAGCTTCATTTTCATGTGGTCTCAGATCAAATAAAAGGACTTGCTCCACTGAATAGAACTTTTAGCTTTTCAGGTTTTTACTATTTTATAATTTTAAACATAATTAATCGCACATAATTGAAATCACACCCCTACCCCTCATCTCCCAAAATGTGGCCCCTGAGCACCAATGTTAGATGAACATTTTGAAGCAGGTAGATGTCAATCTGAATAAGACAGCTCACATGCCTTCTATAGCCTCCCAGGACCAATTCCACCCAAGAAACAATCTCTCAGTTAAACAAAAACCAGGACACCTCAGCTCCTAAAGCCTGAATTCCATGTTGACACCTTGGTCTCAAATAGTCCTCCTAACATATAGAATGCCCCTTTGGAGAAGGTTGATGGTTCTAAACCTAAAACCAAAGCTCAATGCATGCTGGGCTTAATACCTAGGTGATAGGATGATCTGTGCAGCAAACCATCATGGCACATGTTTACCTATGTCAACCTGCACATCCTGCACATGTACCCTGGAGCTTAGAATAAAAGTTGAAGGAAAAAAATAAAGAGACATAGAATGTGGAAAAAAAAAAAACAAAAAAACCCCACAGCTCCTCAGACCTTAACGGAACCACAGGTTGTTATTTCCCACTAAAAAGAGTGCAACAGCAATCCCCAAATGATGTAGCATGAGAAAGCTCCTAATCAGTGCTGCTTTCTCACGGTAAGAACCAAAGAGCTTTTTTTATTCAGAGACAGGGTTTCACTCTGTCACCCACGCTGGAGTACAGTGGTGCAATCATACCTCCTTGCAACCTCAAACCCCTGGGCTGAAGGGATCCTCCCACCTCAGCCTCCCAAGTAGCTGGAACTACAGGCATGTACAACCATGCCTGGCTAATTTTCTAAAACTTTTTTTATTTATAGAGATGAGGCCTTGTTATGTTGCCCAGGCTGGTCTCAAACTTCTGGCCTCAAGCGAGCCTCATGCCTCAGCCTTCCAAAGTGCTGGGACTACAGGTATGAGCCACCACACCAAGCCCCAGTGAGCTTTTAAAGATATTATCCATTATCATATTCTTCAAATTACATCACTGACACAGTCAGTGCTCACAATTAGTCCAAGTAGTAGAACAGGGGTTGAAATCTGGTTATAGCTCAGCAAAAATGTACAGTACAAATATGTTTTGCTTAGCTCACAGTATTTGAAAAACAAACAAACTATTCTGTCCAATCGAGTAGCCTACTTATCTTAAATAAAAATTTTAAAATGTCCTCAGTTGCATTATCCACATTTTAAAGTGCTCTAGAAAGGCCAGGTGTGGTGGCTCATGCCTCTAATCCCAGTATTTTGGGAGGCAGAGGTTGGCGAATCATTTGAGTCCAGGAGTTTGAGACCAGCCTGGGCAACATGGCGAAACCTCATCTGTACTAAAAATACAAAAAAATTAGCTGGGCATGGTGCCACATGCCTGTAGTCCCAGCTACTCAGGGGGCTGAGGCAGGAGGATCACTTGAGCCCAGGAAGTCGAGACTGATTGTGCCATTGCTCTCCAGCCTGGGCAACAGAGTGTCCCCGTCTCAAAATAATAATAATATTAATAATAATAAAATGTTCTGGGCCACACGTGGCAAGTGGTTACCCTATTGGACAGGGCAGATAAAGAACACTTCCGTCATTGTGAAAAGTTCTGCTAGATAATGCTGTATTTAAAATGTCAAATATTTTTAAAAATTAATTGAAAAAAAAAAGAACTGACCCGGTGCAGTGGCTCATGCCTGTAATCCCTACACTTTGCGAGGCCAAAGTGGGTGGATCACTCGGGGCCAGGAGTTCAAGACCAACCTGGCCAACATGGTGAAACCTGTCTGTAGTAAAAGTACAAAAATTAGCCAGGTACGGTGGCAGGCACCTGTAGTCCCAGCTACTTGAGAGGCTGAGGCGGGAGAATTGCTTGAACCTGGGAGGCGGAAGTTGCAGTGAGCCAAGATGGTGCCACTGCACTCCAGCCTGGGCGACAGAGTGAGACGCTATCTCAAAAAAAAAAAAAAAAGCAAGAAAAAACAAGAAGTCTCACAAATAAATACAGATGTCCACCTTTGAAAAATCATCCAGAAACCCTTCGCAGAATTCTCACCTGATGGAACTGCAGGTTGCTGAATAAGCCTGCTGCCCTCTTTGACAAGTCTGTACTTTTCAGTTCACTGCAGTCTCCACTACGTCCTATTGTTTCATAGCTGCACTTCACTCACTTATGTCACATATCTGGGTTTCCAAGTGACTCTTTAGAACAGAGGCAAATACACTGAGATTATCCCACTTTCTACTGAAGACAGCCCAAAACTAGCTCTGATGATCAAATTCAATTAAAATAAAATGTCACAGCCCACCAGATATACTTATTTCTAGTTTTTGGGTGAAATTTTCTAGACCACTGGAAAGGAGCTCCAGAGTTTAATTGTATATCAACTGTATGGTATTATTTCAGCAATCTATGAAACAGATATAAGTACTTTGCTTTGAAATACGTCATGCAAAATTTGGTAATTCAAGTGAGCATTTAGAATTTCATTTCAAAATATGCGTATTATAAAGTCATACAAATTTTAGAGACCTAAGGAATTTTAGGGCTCTCATTTTATAGACAATGAGACTAACCCCCAGAGAGGTTAAGGAACTTGCTTAAAGTCAAACTGCCAGATAAGATTACAGCCAAAGTTCTTTTCACCTTTCGCTTCACCCAGACAGGTGATACTATGGCATATTGTTTTTCCAAGACAGCCACACCATTACACATCCCAATATATACTGTGATGTTGACATGCCTCCATCAAGAGATAGGTTCATGTTTTCTCATGTAGAACTTGGGTGGAGCTTTCTAATTGCCTCAATCAATGGAATATGAAAGTGACACTGGACAATTTGCAAGACTAAGTTAGATAAGGCAATATGGTTCCTGCCTAGCTCACTCTCTCAGAGCACTTGCCTGTGTCAGCCCAGGCAACAGGAAGGTGTTCCAACCCACAGGCCCAACTATACCCCCAGCTGACAGCCAGCAATAAATGCCAGATACTAAGTGAACAAGTTTTCAGATGATTCCAGTGTCCAGACTTGGAGTCTTCCAGCTGAGGCTCCAGACATCAGACATCTAGGAGCAGAGACTAGCCACCCTCGTTTTATCTTGTCTGAACTCCTGACCCAAAAAAAAACTATGGAGAGAGAAACAGTTGTTGTTTTAAGCCACTAAATTTAAGGGTAACTTATTATGCACTCAATGTAAATAGGACAGATACTTTCAGAAGAACACCACTGACTGCTTTATAGAGAGATATTCAATAAATATTTTTGTAATGAAATAAATATTGCCAAGTTAAATAAAATAAAATGAACCAGGCATGGTGGCTCGTGCTTATAATCTCAGCTACTTGGAAGGGTGAGGTGAGAGGATTGCTTGAGCCCAGGAGTTCCAGCCTGGGCAACATAGCAAGATCCCATTTCAACTAAAAAAATAAATAAAAGCTGGGCATGGTGGCTCATGCCTATAATCCCAGCACTTTGAGAGGCCGAGGTGGGTGGATCACTTGAGCCTAGGAGTTTGAGGCCAGCCTGGGCAACATGGCGAAATCGCATTTCTATAAAAAATACAAAAATTAGGCCGAGTGCAGTGGCTCATGCCTGTAATCCCAGCACTTTGAGAGGCCGAGGCGGGTGGATCACCTGAGGTCAGGAGTTCAAGACCAGCCTGGCCAAAACGGTGAAACCCCATCTCTACTAACAATACAAAAATTAGCCAGGCGTGGTAGCATGAGCCTGTAGTCCCAGCTACTCGGGAGGCTGAGGCAGGAGAACTGCTTGAACCTGGCAGTCAGAGGTTGCAGTGAGCCAAGATCATGCCACTGCACTCTAGCTTGGGCAACAGAGTGAGACTCTGTCTCAAAAAAAAAAAAAAAAAAAAAAAAAAAAAGCCAGGCACGGTGGCTCATGCCTGTAATCCCAGCACTTTGGGAGGCCGAGGTGGATGGATCACCTGAGGTCAGGAGTTCGAGACCAGCCTGGCCAACACAGTGAAAACCTGTCTGTACTAAAAATACAAAATTAGCCAGGCGTGGTGGCTCACACCTGTAGTCCCAGCTACTCGGGAGGCTAAGACAGGAGAATCGCTTGAACCTAGGAGGTGGAGGTTGCAGTGAGCCAAGTTTGTACCACTGCACTCCAGCCTGGGCGACAGAATGAGACTCTGTCTCAAAAAAGAAACAAACAAACAAATTTAAAAACAAAACAAAAATTATCCGGGTGAGATGGCATGGGCCTGTAGTCCCAGCTACTAGGGAGGCTGATGTGGGAGGATCACTTGAGCCTGGGAGGTCAAAGCTGACATGAGTCATGATCATGTCACTGCACTCCAGCCTGGGTGACAGAGTGAGACCCTGTCTCAAAAAAGAAAAAAAAGAAAGACAAATAAAATGTTGTCTTAGCTTACCATTCAGGAGGCACCATGCTTCCATCCACATCCCAGAATGTGTTTTTGCCATTCATTTCAGTAGTATATACAACCCATCGGTGACGGCCTGGGTGGGAAGATGAACATTTAAAAAGAAAAACTTTTTTTTTTAAAGCATAGATGCATAATATCAAAGAAGACAACCTTTTTATTAAGAAAAGACTTTTTGTGATCTTATATAAGAGAGCTATTGGAGGAATAACACCCTGGGTGAATTCGTGAAGGTAAGCTCCAGGAGGTGTGTGGCAAACTTTAAGCAGCAACCCGCAGCAAGGACTGAGATGATTCACTGCTGTGGGTGGGGCTCAGGCCTTTCCCACAGGGGAGAATCCTTGCTTCCCTGCCAGCTCCCCACAGAGGGAGTAGCAGACAGGATAGGAAAGTGTGTTCCCAGATGTACAGGGTATTCAGAAAAGAAGGTGTTCCTCTTGAGACTGGGGAAAAAACACATTTGTAGCAATCATACTTGAATTCTATGTCTCCACATAAGTATTTTTTTAAAACCACCCTAGATCCTTTTGGAAATTTGTGAATTATATACAATAAGCAAACATTAGAAATGATGGTTAGGTACATAGGACAGCTCATGTCATCAAAATAATATGGCTGCACTCCTCATTTAGGAAATTTCTGTGCACTAGTTGAGGGGCCTAACCACTACTTATTTACACAATTGGGTCCTTAAACTGAGCAAAGACTTGGGCTTTGTCACTTATTATCAGTGGTTATTAGGCAAATTTTATGAGCCTCAGTTTCTTTATCTAGTAAAAGTGGATGACTATACCTACATCTTAGAGTTGCTGTGAAAATTAAACATCACATACATTCACCTAGTTCAGCATCAGCCATATAAGCACATAATAAGTATTAATTCCTTCTACCCCTTCCTTACTGCTCTTACCTGCCAATAGGGAACACTGAATCCATTCATTCCTATGATGGACTTTAAACCAATAAGTAAAAGGTAATCTGCATTTCATTTACAGGGTTTTCCCAGGTAAACATATAATCAACAAAAATTGACTAACGGTACTTAAACATGACCTCATCTCTTTTTAAAAATACAGATTTCAATCAACATTTACTGCTTCATTTAGAGAAATAAATCTTAAGAATAGCTAACTAAAAGTAAACTATAATCCAGTGAGGCAGGGGAATGTGCAGGCAGATGGAGGAGACCTTGGGAAAGGTTTCATAAGTCAAGCCCTGACAATACAGTTAGGCTATAATGATGGAAGTGGGCCCTAACAATCTCTCTCTCTCTCTGTCTGTCTCTCTCTCTGTATTTCTTGAAATGTTAAATGCCTATTCTCAGACTCAGAAATTCAACTTTATTTATTTATTTATTTATTTATTGGAGACGGAGTCTCGCTCTGTCGCCTAGGCTGGAGTGCAATGGCGCGGCCTCGGCTCACTGCCTGCAACCTCCCCTTCCTGGGTTCAAGCGATTCTCCTGCCTCAGCCTCCCGAGTAGCTGGGACCATAGGCATGTGCCACCATGCCTGGCTAATTTTTGTATTTTTAGTAGAGATCAGGCCAGAAATTTATTTAAACACATGAATGTAGTTACAAGCAGGTTTACAGTAGCATCATTCCTAATAGCAAAAAGTCAAAAGCAATCTATGTGTCTATCGATAGTAACAGGATTGAAGAAATAATGGTTCTTCCATACACTGGAATGTTGTGTTGCTATTTTTAAAAATGCTGTGCATTTTTTTTTTTTAATAAACACAACTGGCTGGGCACGGTGGCTCACTTCTTAATCCCAGGACTCTGGAAGGCTGAGGCAGGGGGATCACTTGAGCTCAGGAGTTCGAGACCATCCTGGGCAACATAGTGAAACCTTGTCCCTACAAAAAATACAAAAATTAGCTGGGCATGGTGGCACATGCCTGTAGTCCCAGCTACTCTCAAGGCTGAGGTGAGAGGATCACTTGAGCACGGGAGGCAGAGGTTGCAGTGAGCCGAGATCACACCACTGCATTTCAGGTGGGGCAACAGAGAGACCCTGTCTCGAAATAAAAGAAAAGAATTTTAAATATACATAAAGACTAAACTATTGAAAGAGTTGCAAAATTATAAGGGGAGGGAGCTTTCATACACCAAATATATATAAATACATACATATATAGGTACACACACACACACACACACACACACACACACACGAGATGGGGGTCTCTATGTTGCCCAGGCTGGTCTTGAACTGCTGGCCTCAACTGATCCTCCCACCTTAGCCTCCCAAAGCATTGGGATTACAGGCATGAGCCACCATGCCAGGCCCTAATTTTTTTTTAATTAGCAAAAATAAGAATATTTCCAATGCAAGGGAGAACAGAAGAAAGGAGGCTGGCTGCAGTGGCTCACACCTGTAATCCCAGCACTTTGGGAGGCTGAGGCGGGTGGATCACGAGGTCAGGAGTTCAAGACCAGCCTGACCAACATAGAGAAACCCCATCTCTACTAAAAATACAAAAAATTAGCTGGGCATGATGGCGCATGCCTGTAATCCCAGCTACTCAGGAGGCTGAGGCAGGAGAATCACTTGAACCTGGGAGGTGGAGGTTGCAGCGAGCCAAGATCGTGCCATGGCACTCCAGCCTGGGCAACAAGAGCAAAACTCTGTCTCAAAAAAAAAAAAAAAATTAAAGAAAGGAAAGAATGTAATATTATAGTTTGTAACAATACAGTGAGAAGTAGAAAGAATAATTACCCCAGGTTCTGCCATTAATTACATGATTAAGTCTCTTTGGTAAAGATACTTCCTTGGGCCTCAGTTTCTTCATCTATAAAACAATAGTTTTTAGACAATCTCTTAAAATCTATTCTAGGTCTAAAATTCTGTGATTTATGTATTAAAAATATCATAACTAGGTGTGACAGTATGTGCCTGTAATTCCAGCTCCTCAGGAGGCTAAGGCGGGAGGATTGCTTGAGCTCAGGAGTTCAAGACCAGCCCAGGTAAAATAGTGAGACCTCATCACACTCACACATACACACACACACGCACACACACGCACACACATAGAGTACATAAGATGTTTACTTCTTATAGACCAACATGCATCCAAAGCAACCACATTCCTGAGAAATATTCCTAACTATTCAATGACTTACCTTCTTCATCTGTGAAATGGGGGCGGAGGAGCACAGAAGTGCTTATCTCAAGGAGATGTTGAAGATTAAGGTAGATAACGTATGTTTTTGTTTAGCACAGCACCTAGCACATGGTAATCACTCAATAAATGCCAGGCAATTATTTTTTCACGTTATACATTGTTCCCCTGGATGAAGACTAATTGCTTTTTCCTCTTTGATACTTTTCATCTCAATCAAGAGAGTATTTTTTTATTATTATAAAAGTAACAAATGCACATGGGAGAAAATTCAACAATTCAAGAAGGTACAGGTTGGGTATCTCCAATTCCAAAAGCTCCAAAATTGGAAACTTTTTTTGTGTGCTGTTATGACACTCAAAAGAAATGCTCATTAGAGCATTTCAGATTTCAGATTAGAGATGCTAAACTGGGACGTATAATGCAAATATTCCAAAATCCAAAAAAACCTAAAATCTGAAATACTTGTGGTCCCAAGCATTTTGGGTAAGGGATACTCAAACTGTAAAAATAATAACAGCAGTCACAGTGCTAATATTTATTGAGCACTTATTATGTGCCAAGCATTAGGCCAATGGTTCTTAACAGATGGAAATTTTGCCCCCAAGGGGACATTTGGCAATGTCTGGAGACATTTTTGGTTTGTCAGTCAGTGCTGCTGCTGCTGGTCATTCTATGATGCACAGGACAGCCCCTCACAACAAAGAATTAGCTGTCTCAAAAAAAGAAAACTACAAACCAATATCCCTGATGAACACAGATGCAAAAATCCTCAACAAAATATTAGCTAACCAAATCCAACAGCATATCAAAAAGATAATAATATATCATGATCAAGTGGGTTGAATACTAGGGATGCAGGGATGGTTTAACATACCCAAGTCAATGTGATATATCACATAAATAGAATTAAAAATAAAAATCATATGATCATCTCACCAGATGCAGAAAAAGCATTCGATAAAATCCAACATTCCTGTATGATAAAAACCCTCAACAAAATTGGCACAGAAGGAACATACCTCAAAGTAAAAAAAGCCATATATGACAAACCCACAGCAAACATCATACCGAATGGGGAAAGGCTGAAAGCATTCTCCCTGAGAACTGGAACGAGACAAGGATGCCCACATTCACCACTTCTATTCAACACAGTACTGGAAGTCGTAGCCAGAGCAATTGGATAAAGGAAAGAAATAAAGTGCATCCAAATTTAAAAAGAGGAAGTCAAACTGTCGCTGTTTGTTGATGATAGGATTATATATCTAGAAAAACTTAAAGACCATCCAAAAAGCTCCTAGACCTGATAAATAAATCCAGCAAAGTTTCAGGATACTAAATCAATGTATACAAATCAGTAGCACAGCTATACACCAACAATGACCATGCTGAGAATCAAATCAAGAACTCCATCCCTTTTACACCAGCTGCAAAAAATAAAATAAAATACTTAGGAATATACTTAACCATGGAAGTGAAAGATCTCTACAAGGAAAACTAAAAAACACTGCTGAAAGAAATCATAGATGACACAAACAAATGGAAACATATCCCATGCTCATGGATGCACATAATCAATATTGTGAAAACGACTATATGGCCCAAAGCAATCTACAGATTCAATGTAATTTCCATCAAAATACCATCATCATTCTTCACAGAACTAGAAAAAACAATTCTAAAATTCATATGGAACCAAAAATGAGCCCACACAGCCAAAGCAATACTAAGCAAAAAGAACAAATCTAGAGACTTCACATTACCCAACTTCAAATTATACTACGAGGCTACAGTTACCAAAACACTATGCTACCGGTATAAAAGTAGCTAGGTAGACCAATGGAACAGAACAGAGAGCCCAGAAATAAAGCCAAATACTCACAGCCAACTGATCTTCAACAAAGCAAACAAAAACATAAAGTGGGGAAAGGACACCCTATTCAACAAATGGTGTTGGAAAAACTAGCAAGCCACATGTAGAAGAATGGAAGTGGATCTTCATCTCTTGCCTTATACAAAAATCAACTCAAGATGGATCAAAGAGTTAAATCTAAGACCTGAAAACATAAAAATTCTAGAACATCACATCAGAAAATCTCTTCCAGACATTGGCTTAGGCAAGAAGTCATAACTAAGAACCCAAATGTAACAAAAACAAAAATAAATAAATGGTACCTAATTAAACTAAAAAGCTTCTGTTCAGCAAAAGAAATAATCAGCAGAGTAAACAGACAACCCACAAAGTGGGAGAAAATATTTGCAAACTATGCATTAGACAAAGGACTAATATCCAGAAACTACAAGGAACTCACACAAATCAGTAAGAAAAAAACAATCCCATCAAAACGTGGGCAAAGGACATGAACAGACAATTCTCAAAAGAAGATATACAAACAGTCAACAAACCTATGAAAAAAATGCTCAACATCACTGATTATCAGGAAAATGCAAATTAAAACCACAATGAGATAGCACCTTACTCCTGCAAGAATGGCCATAATTAAAAATTCAAAAAATAATAGATGGTAGTGTGGATGTGGTGAAAACACAACACTTTTACACTGCTGTTGGGAATGTGAACTAGTACAACAACTATGGAAAACAGTAAGGAGATTCCTTAAAGAACTGAAGGCAGAACTACCATTCGATCCAGCAATCCCACTACTGGGTATGTACCCAAAGAAAAAGAAGTCATTACATGAAAAAGACACATGCATACACATGTTTATAGCAGCACAATTTGTAATTGCAAAAATAAGGAACCAACCTAAATGCCCATCAGTGAACGAGTGGATAAAGAAAATGTGGTATATATACACCATGGAATACTACTCAGCCGTAAAACAGAAAGCAATAATGGCCTTTGCAGCAACTTG
Organism: Homo sapiens; assembly: GCF_000001405.40. Lineage (NCBI taxonomy): Eukaryota > Metazoa > Chordata > Mammalia > Primates > Hominidae > Homo > Homo sapiens. Next base: position 95,000,183 of record NC_000012.12, read on the forward strand.
GATGGAGCTGGAGGCCATTATTCTAAGTGAAGTAACTCAGGAATGATAAACCAAATATCGTATGTTCTCACTTACAAGTGGGAACTAAGCTATGAGGATGCCAAGGTATAAGAATGATATAAAGGACTTTGGGGACTCAAGGGGATAAAAGACTACATACTGGATACAGTGTAACACTGCTCGGGTGACAGATATACCAAAATCTCAGAACTCACCACTAAAAAACTTATCCATGTAACCAAAAACCACCTGTACTCCAAAAACTATTGAAATAAAAAAACAAAAAATGAATAGAATTATCTGCCCCATAGTGTTAACACTGCTGAGGCTGAGAAACCCTAATCACAGTAAGTTCCTCCCATTCACTTTTCATCTTTTAATACAGCTTTAGGAGGCACATATTATTATTATTCTACTTTACAGATGAGAAAACTGAGGGTTAGGGAAGTTAATTAAGTTAACCAGGTCACAAAGTTATAAAGTGGAGGGGCAGAATGTTGAATCTCTATCATCTGATTCTATGAGTTTATTGAGTTTCCTTCCAAAATTTAACATGCACACAAAAAGCATGTATTTTCTCCTTTTAAGGATACCAAACATTGTTCTGCTACTGGAATTTTTTTATATTACACACATCTTTGACATCTCTCTATATTAAATTTATAGGTTTATATCATTCTTAACAACAACGTATTCCAAAACACGTATACATATGTAACAAACCTGCACGTTGTGCACATGTACCCTAGAACTTAAAATAAAAAAACAACAACAAACTATTCTAAAAAATGTTTAATTCATCAGTATCCAACTTACGCACACTAATGTTGCTTTTAAAATTTACTAGCACGGTGGCTCATGCCCGTGATCCCAGCACTTTGGGAGGCTGAGACAAGAGGATGGCTTAAGCCCAGGAGTTCAAGACCAGCCTGGGGAACAAAGTGAGACCCCATCTCTTTAAAAAAATTAAAAAATTAACCAGGTGTGGTGGTGCATGACTGTGGTCCCAGCTACATAGGAGGCTGAGGCAGGAGGAAGGCTAGAACCCAGGAGGTCACGGCTGCAGGGAGTCAAGATCACACCACTGCCTCCAGCCTAGGCGACAGTGAGACCCTGTCTCAAAATAACAACAACAAAAACAAACAAAAATGCTGTGGCCAGGCACAGTGACTCACATCTGTAATTCCAGCACTTTGGGAGGCTGAGGTGGGAGGATCACCTGAGCCCAGGAATTCAAGACCAGCCTAAGAAACATAGCAAGACCTCGTCTCTCCAAAAAAAAATTTTTTTAAACAATTAGCCAGGCATGGTGACACATGCCTGTAATCCCAGCTACTTGGGTGGCTGAGGTAGGAGGACAGCTTGAGCCCAGAAAGTTGAGGCTGTAGTGAGCCATGATCGAGTCACTGCACTCTAGACTGGGTGACAGAGCGAGACCCTGTCTCAACATTAAATAAATAAATAAATTTTTAAAATATAATAAAACAATGCTGTGATGTATGTTGGTTTGCAAGAATATTTGTAGAATTAATTCTTTTTTGAGATAAGAGTCTCGCTCTGTTGCCAGACTGGAGTAGAGTGGCGGGATCTGGGCTCACTGCAACTTCCGACTCCCTGGTTCAAGCGATTCTCCTGCTTCAGCCTCTCAGGTAGCTGGGATTACAGGCACACGCCACCACATCCAGCTAATTTTTGTATTTTTAGTAGCGACTGGGTTTCACCACGTTGGGCAGGATGCTCTCGATCTCCTGACCTCGTGATCCGCCCGCCTCCGCCTCCCAAAGTGCTGGGATTACAGGCGTGAGCCACCGCGCCCAGCCGAATTAATTGTTAAAAGTGGAAGTGCTGAGACAAAGGATATGTGCAATGTAAATTTTTACAAATGTTACCAAATTATCCCTCCAAAAAGACTGCATTAACCTACATATTTATATGGTTTTGCCCACATTGGGATTTATCAGCTTGAAAAATACTCAAGGCTGGACGCAGTGGCTCACGCCTGTAATCCCAGCACTTTGGGGGGCCAAGGCGGGTGGATCACGAGGTCAGGAGTTCAAGACCAGCCTGGCCAATATGGTGAAACCCCATCTCTACTAAAAAATACAAAAATTAGCCGGCCATGGTGGCGCCCGCCTGTGGTCCCAACTACTCAGGCAGGCTGAGGCAGGAGAATCGCTGGAACCCAGGAGGTGGAGGTTGCAGTGAGCCGAGATCGCGCTACTGCACTCCAGCCTGGCCGACAGAGACTCCATCTCAAAAAAAAAAAAAAAAAAAAAAAAAAAGAACAAAAACACTTCAAAATTTGATAGGTGAAAAATATATAACACTGTTTTTAAAGTTGCATTTCTGTTGTTACAAGTGAGAATGAGCATTTTTCCATACCTTCATTGGCTGTTTACTTTTCTTTTTTCTGTAAATTATCTTTTTTCATTTTCTATTGAGTTTTTCATCCTTTTCCAGGTGTTTTGTAAAAGCTCATTGCATAATATGGAAAATAGACTCAAATCAAATCCCAATCCCAATCCAATTATTCATACTAAAAAATACTGCACTCACCAAAAAATTGCTTGTTGTCTTCATAGTATTTGTTTCCATATTTGTCTTCCCCCACTAATGTACCAACCTTCGCATCATTTGTCCTGTGAATACCCAAAAGAAAACAGACATTTTAGAATGATTCTTAGTTCAAAACATAAACGGAAATAAAGTGAGAGTAACAACTTTCAGACACAAGGGCTGCTGCATCAACTAGCAAAATGAAGAAGTGCTGGGGATGGGAAAAGATGAATTGACAACTGATGTGCTCAAATTACACTAAAAATATAAATGTAGTCTCTTCAGATTACAGGACTACTTGTATCTACTATCCCTCAGCCAGGAGGCACTGGAATTAGCAAAACCTTTAGGAAATCAAAAAGCCAAAGTATTTCATCTTCTTACAATGATACGAAGGTCTCCAGGCTCTTTCATTCCACTCTGGGTCTCCATTTAGGTTTCTGCGAAACTATGCTGCTCGTGGGATCAGTGAATGTCAGGAAGAGAAGGGACCATCATTATTACCTTCAACGCCTTACAGACAAGGAACTGTACGGCAGTGCAGGGAAAAAAACTTTACCAGGGTCACTGAGTTAATGTCTTGTAATCCTCATTACTCTCCAGGGCGTGGGAAAAGAGGGGAGCCCAGATGCCCTTGCCTCCGAGTCACAGCTCTGACTCTACAGATAGCTTCGGTCTTGTATCGGGGATATATGGGACAGAGACCAGCCTGGGGGTGGCAAGGCAGAGATTGGGGCGGTTGTCCTTGACAAGAGCTGTGGATTCTCCAAGGTGACCCGAGCCTGGGACCCCTTCCAAGAAATCAGCCAGCGAAAGTCCAGCCCCAGAGGCCAAGAGCATGGCTCTGGCCGCCTACCTGAAAAAAACCCGTAGATAGCCTCGGAGACCGCCGTGGCCGGTGATCTGCTGCAGCCCGCGTTTCAGGACCTGCACTAACTCCATCTTGCCTCGCTGGCCCCGCCTCCCGGGTGCGCCGAGCAAAACCCACCGGATGGAAGCTGCCACTCAGCCGCAGGAAGCCCACGCCCAGAAGGTTCTCACGCGAACGCCAGACGTGGTGGCTCTGCGCGTGCGCAGAGCTAGGTCTTGCCTACGCGGTCATGTTCTGGCTTCCCAAGTAGGCAGAATTGGTTTCCCCTGGAAGCAAAGGTACCTTAAAATTTAGTTTTCAGAGGTTAAATCTAGAAGGCGGGCATATGCTGGAAAGCTCACCTACACGAGGCTTTCTCACACGGGGATTCCCCCTTTGGGAATTTCAGTTTCCTCATCTAAAAATAATTGGCTCTGGTGGGCGCGGTGGCTCACTGTTGTAATCCCAGCACTTTGGGAGGCCGGGTAGGGAGGATCGTTTGAGCCCAGGAGTTCGAGACCAGCCTCGCCAACACAGCGAGAATTCTGTCTCTACAAAAAAAAAAAAAAAATTAAAAATTAGCTGGATGTGGTGGCGCGTGCCCGTAGTCCCAGCTACTCGGTAGGCTGAGGCTTAGATGGGAGCATCGCTTGAGCCTAAAAAATTTCAATATTACTTCATTTGTTAACCACAATTCTTCTACAAAGAGAAACCTCCCTTCAACTATTTGGCTCCTGAGATACAATTAATGTAGGAAAGGCAGTATGGGTGCTTGATTCTCTTACTTTTTTTTTGTTTTTTAATTTTAGAGACAGGCTCTCTGTCACCCAGGCTGAAATACAGTGGTGTGATCATAGCTCACTGCAGCCTCAAACTCCTGTGCTCAAGCAGTCCTCCCATTTAAGTAAGTGCCACCACCCCTGGCTAATTTTTTTTTTTTTAGAGATGGGCATCTTGTTATGTTGCCCAGGTTGGTTTTGAACTCTGGCCTCAAGTGATCCTCCTGCCTCAGCCTCTCAAAATGCTGGGATTACAGGTGTAAGCCACCACACCCAGCCGATTCTTTCCCTTATGTGTGTTTTCAAAATAACAATTTAGTTCCCTAGCTTTTTTTTTTTTTTTTTGGTAGTGGTGGTTAAAAACACAAAATATAAAATTTACCATTTTAACCATTTTTAAGTGTACAGTAGTGTTAACCACATGCACATTGTTGCGCAACAGATCTCTAGAACTTATTCTTCTTGCAAAACAGAAACTTTATATCCATGGAACAACTTTTTCCTCTTTCTCCATCCCCTGCCAACCACCATTCTACTTCTGTTTCTAAGAGTTTAACTACTTTAGATACTTCATATAAGTAGAATCATGAGGTGTTTGTCTTTTAGGACCTGGCTTATTTCACTTAGCATGATATCCACAAGGCTCATCCATAGTGTAGTATATGACAGGATTTTCTTCTTTTTATAAATGTTGAATAATATTCCACTGTATGTATATGCCACCCAGTTACCTGTCCATAAACATTTCTGCTGATTCCGCCTCTTGGCTATTGTGAATAATGCTGCAGTGAACACGGGTGTGCAGATATCTCTAAGATCCTGTTTTCAGTTCTTTTGGATATATACCCAGAAGTGGATTGCTAGATCATATGGAAATTTTATTTTTTATTTTTATAGGAATCCCCATACTGTTTTCCATGGCAGCATCACCATTTTACATTACTAACAACAATGCACAAAGGTTCCAATTTCTCCACCTCCTCACCAACACTACATATTTTCTGTGTTTGTTTGTATGTTTGTTTGTTTGTTCTGAGACGGAGTCTAACTCTGTTGCCCAGGCTGGCGTGCAGCGGTGCGATCTCGGCTCACTGCAACCTCCCCTTCCCAAGTTCAAGCGATTCTCCTGCCTCAGCTTCCCGAGTAGCTGGGATTACAGGCGCCCACCACCACCCCCGGCTAATTTTTGTATTTTTAGTAGAGACGAGGTTTCACCATGTTGGCCAAGCTGGTCTTGAACTCCTGACCTCAGGTGATCCACCCGCCTTGGCCTCCCAAAGTGCTGGGATTACAGGCGTGAACCACCACGCCCAACCTGTGTTCATTTGTTTTTTACAGTGGGCATCCTAATGGATGATGAGGTGATACCTCATTGTGGTTTTGATTTGCATTTACCTGATTACTGATGTTAACCATGTTTTCATATGCTTGTTGGCCATTTGTATATCTTCTTTGGAGAAATGTTTATTCAAGTCCTTTGCCCATTTTTGAATCGGGTTTTTTGTTGTTGTTGTTGAGTTGTAGGCATTCTTTATGTATCGTGGATATTTTCTCCCGTTCCCTAGGTCATCTTTTCATTCCGTTGATTGTGTCCTTTGCTATGCAGAAGTTTATGTTTGATGTAGCCCCAATTGTCTATTTTTACTTTGTCTGTGCTTTTGGTATCATATCTGAGAAATCACTGCTAAATCCAATGTCATGAAGCTTCCCCCGTTGTCTTCTAGGAGTTTTATAGTTTCAGGTCTTACATTTAGGTCTTTAGTCCATTTTGAGTTAATTTTGGTATATGGTGTAGGGTAAAGGTTGAACGTCATTCTTTTGCTTGCGGATATCCGGTTTTCCCAACACTATTCTCTCCCCACTATGTAGCTTTGGTACCCTTGTCAAAGATCACTTGACCAGATACTTGAGAGTTTAACTCTAGGTTCTCTATTCTGTTCCGTTGGTCTATATGTCTGTTCTTATGCCAATACCACTCTGTTTTGATTACTGCATCTTTGCACAATGTTTTGAAGTCAGGAAGTGGGTTCTCTATTCTACTCCGTTGGTCTATATGTCTGTTCTTATGCCAGTACCACTCTGTTTTGATTACTGCATCTTTGTACAATGTTTGAAGTCAGGAAGTGGAAGGCCTCCGGCTTTATTTTTCTGAAGATTATTTTGTCTATTCAGGGTCTTTTGAGATTCCGTATGAATTTTAGGACTTTTTAAAAATCTGCAAAGAAAAATGGCCCTGGGATTTTGATAGGTATTGCAATGAATCTGTAGCTTACTTTGGGTAGTATGGGATTTTAACAATATTAAGTCTTCCAATCCACAAACACGAATGTCTTTCCATTTATTTGCATCTAATTTCTTTCAGCACTGTTTTGTAGTTTTCAGTATATAAGTCTTTTGCCTACTTGATTAAGTTATTCCTAAATATTTTATTCTTTTTGATGCTATTTTAAATGTGATTGTTTTCTTAATTTCCTTTTTGAGTTGTTCATTGTTAGTGTTTAGAAGGCAACTGATTTTTGTGTGTTGATTTTGTACCTTGCAACTTTGTTGAATTTATTTATTAGTTCTAACCATTTTTTGGTGGAATCCTTAGGGTTTTCCACATATAATACCACATCATTTGTTAATGAAGATAATTTTACTTCTTTTCCTTTTTTTTTTTTAAGGCAAGGTTTCACCCTTATCACCAAAGCTGGGGCTCAAGTGATCCCCCTGCCTTAGCCTCATGCACAGCTGGGACTACAAGCATGCAACATCATGCCTGGCTAATTTTTAAAAAGTTTTTTGTAGAGATAGGGTCTTGCTGTGTTGCCCAGACTAATCTTGAAATTCTGGCCTCAAGCAAGCAATCTTCCCGTCTCAGCCTCCCAAAGTGTTGGGATTACAGGATGAGCCACCGTGCCTGGCCCTTCTTTTCCAATTTTCAGCTTTTATTTATTTATTTTTTGCCTAAGTGCTCTGGCAAGGGCTTTTAGTAATATGTTGAATAGAAGTAGCAAGAATGTACGTACTTGCCTTGTTCCTGATCTTAGAAGAAAAGCTTTCAGTTTTTCACTATTGAATATGATGTTAGCTGTGGGCTTTTCAAACATGGCCTTTATTAGGTTGAGATAATTTCCTTTCATTCGTAGTTTGTTGAGTGTTTTTGCCAAGTGCTTTTTCTATATCAATTGAGATGATAATATGGTTTCTGTTCTTCATTCTGTTAATGTGCCTCTCAACTTAAAATGGCATTACATTCTGACATGCCCATTGTAAATAAAAAATATCTAAATAAAAAATGTACCGAGGCCAGGTGTGGGGTGGCTCACACCTGTAATCCCAGCACTTTGGGAGGCTGAGTCAGGCAGATCGCTTTGAGCTTAGAAGTTCAAGACCAGCCTGGGCAACATAGTGAAACCCCATCTCTACAAAAAATTAAAAAAAAAAAAATGGCTGGGCATGGTAGCATGCACCTGTGAAGCTGAGGCTGGAGAATTGCTTGAACCTGGGGAGCAAAGGTTTCAGTGAGCCAAGGTCATGCCACTGCATTCCAGCCTGGGTGACAGAGTAAGACCCTGTCTCAAAAACAAAACAAAACAAAACACCACAAAAAAAATGCATTGTAAACACCAATAAACCCATCATAAAACAAAAAAATTGTAAGTCAGGTCATGATCAGTTGCAAACCATTTGTAGTCCATTACACTGATTGATATTTGTATGTTGAACCATCCTTGCATTCCAGGAATAAGTCAAGTCCCACTTGGCCATGGTGTATAATCCATTTTTTTTTTTTTTTTTGAGACAGAGTCTCACTCTGTTGCCCAGGCTGGAGTGTAGTGGTGCGATCTCAGCTTATTGCAACCTCCGCCTCCTGGATTCAAGCGATTCTCCTGCCTCAGCCTCCCAGGTAGCTGGGATTACAGGCGCTTGCCACTATGATTGGCTAATTTTTGTATTTTTAGTAGAGACAGGGTTTTGCCATGTTGGCCAGGCTGGTCTTGAACTCCTGACCTCAGGTGATCCACCCGTCTCAGCCTCCCAAAGTGCTGGGATTACAGGAGTGAGCTACCATACCCGGCTGTATAATCCTTTTAATGTGCTGTTGAATTCAGTTTGTGAGTATTTTTGTTCAGGATTTTTACATGAATATCCATCAAGGATATCTATAGTTTTCTTGTAGTATCTGTTGTGGTTTTGGTATCAGGGTATTGCTGGCCTCATAAAATGAGTTTAGGCTGGGCGTGGTGGCTCACACCTCTAATTCTAACACTTTAGGAGGCTGAGGCGGGCAGATCACTTGAGTCCAGGAGTTTAAAACCAGCCTGGCCAATGTGACGAAACTGTGTCTATACTAAAAATACAAAAATTAGCTGGGCCTGGTGGTGCATGCCTATAATCCCAGCTACTCAGGAGGCTGAGACATGAGAACTGCTTGAGCCTGGGAGGCAGAGGTTGCAGTGAGCTGAGATTCCACCATCACACTGTGGCCTGGGTGACAGAGGGGAAACTCTGTCTCAAAAAAAAAAAAGAGTTTAAAAGAGTTACCTTGGCCAGGTGCAGTGGCTCATGCCTGTAATCCCACGCAGCATTTTGGGAGGCCAAGGCGGGTAGATCACCTGAAGTCTAGAGTTCGAGACCAGCCTGGCCAACATGGTGAAACCCTATCTCTACTAAAAATACAAAAATTTAGCCAGGTGTGGTGGTGTGCTCCTGTAACCCCAGCTACTCAGGAGGCTGAGGCAGGAGAATCGCTTGTACATGGGAGGTGGAGGTTGCAGTGAGCTGATTGCACTATTACACTCCAGCCTGGGCAACAAGAGTGAAACTCCATCTCAAAAAAAAAAAAAAGTGTTACCTTCTCTCTTTCTTCTTTTTTTTTTCTTTTCTAATGAGATGGGGTCTCACTATGTTGTCCAGGCTGGTCTCAAACTCCTGGGCTTAAGTGATCTTCCCACCTCAGCCTCCCAAAGTGCTGGGATTACAGATATGAGCCACTGTGCCCAGCCAAGTGTTACCTTCTCTTTAATTTTTTGGAATAATTTGAGAAGGATTGGTATTAACTTTTCAATTAATTCAAATGTTTGCTAGAATTCTCCTGTGAAGTATCTGTTCCTTGGCTTTTCTTTGTTGGGAGTTTTCTGATTACTGATTTAATCTCCTTACTAGTTATGAATCTGTTCAGATGTTTTCTTCTTTTTCTTTATTTAAAATTTTTGTTTGTTTGTTTTGAGACAGTCTCACTCTGTTGCCAGGCTGGAGTGCAGTGGTGTGATCTCGGCTCACTGCAATCTCCGCCTCCTGGGTTCAAGTGATTCTCCTGCCTCAGCCTCCCGAGTAGCTGGGGCTACAGTCATGTGCCACCATGCCCAGCTAATTTTTATATTTTTAGTAGAGACGGGTTTTCACCATGTTGGCCAGGATTGTCTCGATCTCTTGACCTTGTGATCCACCCTCCTCGGCCTCCCGAAGTGCTGGGATTACAAGTGTGAGCCACCGTGCCTGGTCTCTTTTTCTTTATTTTTATAGATGGGATCTCACTCTGTTGCCCAGGCTGGAGTGCAGTCATTCAGTCATAGCTCACTGAAGCCTCAAACTCCTGGCCTCAAGCAATCCTCCCACCTTGGCCTCCCAAAGTGCTTGGATTACAGGTGTGAACCACCATGCCTGCCCTGTGTTTTCTATTTGTCAAAGTATTTTCCTTTTAATTTCTTCTTTGAGGCATTGGTTACTCAAGACTGTTTTGTTTATCACTGCTGCTTGGTTGGTTGGTATTAAAAAAAAATGTGTTGTTTCATTTCCACATTTGTGGATTTTCCAGTTTTCGTTTTGTTTTTTACTTCTTTTTCTTTTCTTTTTTTTTTTTTTTTGAGACGGTGTCTCGCTCTGTTGCCCAGGCTGGAGTGCAGTGGCATGATCTCGGCTCACTGCAACCTCCGCCTCCCTGGTTCAAGCGATTCTCCTGCCTCGGCCTCCCAAGTAGCTGGAACTACAAGCACACACCACCACACCTGGCTAATTTTTATATTTTTAGTAGGGATGGGGTTTTACTGTGTTGGCCAGGCTGGTCTCGAACTGCTGACCTTGTGATCAGCCCACCTCGGCCTCCCAAAGTGCTGGGATTACATTACAGGCATGAGCCGCTGTGCCCAGCCCTTTGCTTTTGATTTCTAGCTTTATTCCACTGTAGTCAGAAAAGATACTTGGTATGATATCAATCTTCTTAAAATTTGTTAAACCTTGTTTTGTGACCTAATATGTAATCTATCACAGACAATGTTGCATGTATGCTTGACAAGAATGTGTATTGTCATTGTTAGGTGGAATGTTCTCTGTATGTCTGTTAGGTCCAATTGCTCTAGAGCATTGTTCAAGTCCTCTGTTTCCTTTTCGATATTCTGTCTGGGTGTTATATCCATTATTGAAGGTGGGGTTTTGAAAACTACTTTTGTTGTGTTACTATTTCTATTTCTCCTCAATTCTGTCAGTGTTTGCTTCCTATATTTGAGTGTTCTGATGTTAGGTGCATATTGAATTGTTATATCTTCCTAGTGGATTAACCCTTTTATCATTTTGTAATCCCTTTGTCTCTTGTGACAGTTTTTCACCTAAAAGTCTATTTTGTTTGATATAAGTACGGCCACTCCTCTTTTTTTGTTACCATTTGCATTAAAAATCCTTTTTCTGTCTTTTCACTTTCAACCTATGTGTGTCCTTACATTTACCCTATGTAAATCTCTTATAGAGAGCATATAGTTAAGATTCTGGTGGGTTTTTTTTTTTTTTTTTTTTTTGGTCCATTTAGCTACCCTGTCTTTTGACTGGGGAGTTTAATTCTTGTACATTTAAAGTAATTACTGATAGGGAAGGATTTACTACTGGCATTTTGTTAATTGTTTTCTGTATTTTTTGCTGTTGTGTCTCTCTCTCCTCTCTTGCCACCTTCCCTGTGTTTCATTGGTTTTTTGGTAGCAATTTGCCATTCCTTTTTCATTTTCTTTTGTGTATCTTTTATAGGTATTTTCTTTATGGTTATGTTGTCCCTAGGTTTTTTTTTTTTTTTTTTTTTTTCAAACTGAGGCGGGGTTTTAATATGTTGCCCAGGCTGGTCACATGCTCCTGGGCTCAAGTGATCCTCCCATCCTAGCCTCCCAAGTAGCTGGGATTATAGGCACATGCCACTGCACCTGGTGTCTCTAGCATTTTTAAAGTACAATATGTACTTATAGATTTAAATGTTTGATATGTTTCAACCCATTGCAGTTATTATTCTAATCAATTACCAAATTGTTTTATCTTTGGTTAGTAGAGACCTCTTCAGGTTGGTTCCTGAGTTTCTGAGACACAATCTAGTCATCTTTGATAGTTTTATTATCATTATTTTATTTTTGGTGTGACAAGATGTTCCCAGCTCATCTTACATATTTCCTACCCGGACCTGCAATCAGCCTTTCTTCTGGGGAGCTCTACTCCAGGGCTTATGGTTGCTTAAATCTCAACTCTATCACTGTATTAGTACCCTCTCACACTGCTAATAAAGGCATACCTGATACTGGGTAATTTATAAAAGCAAGAGGTTTAATTGACTCACAGTTCAGCATGGCTGGGGAGGCCTCAGGAAACTTACAATCAGGGTAGAAGGGGAAGCAAAAACATCCCTCTTCTCATGGTGGCAGAAACGAGAAGTGCAGAGGGAAAGGGAGAAAAGCCCCTTATAAAACCATCAGATCTCATGATAACTCACCCACTATCATGAGAACAACATGAGGGTAATTGCTCCCATAATTAAAGCATCCTTTCCACAACATGTGGGGATTATAGGATTACAATTCAAGATGAGATTTGGGTGGGGACACAGCCAAACCCTATCAATCACTAATTAGCTATATTGAGCAAGTTGCTTACACCTTAGTTTACTCATTTGTAAAATGGGGTTAATAATATTACCCATCTCATGAGATCACTGTAGGCATTAAATAAGGTACATAAAAAACACAGTGCCTGGTGTATCATAAGTACTCAATAAAGGTTAGTTTGATAAATTACTTCTAAATAACAATAGAGACATATGTCTTCTTGAGCAGATTTTTCACAGAACATTCTGACTTCCTGTTCTAATTTTGATCAGTTGTCTTTAGGCCTCATTCATGAATGGATGATCATTCTGGGATTTCTTTTCATTGTGTTTCTGAATAAATGAGTCTTATTTTATCTTGGATCCTGCATATTTTTCTTTCTTAGAATTCTCTCATTTAGGGTTGCTTGTTTTTTTTGTTTGTTTTGGTAGAGCACATTTTTGAGACTTTTTTCAAAAATGCATGTAGGAGATAACATTTCCCTCGATTGATCCTTTACTTGGTCATAAAACCCTAGGTTCAAAATAGTTTCCTCACAGAACTCTGAAAGCATTCCTCCATTGCCCTCTAATATCTAACATTTAGCTGGGTGTGGTGGTGCATGCCCATAGTCCCAGCCACTTGGGAGGCTGAGGCAGGAGGATTGCTACAGCCCAGGAGTTAGAGGCTGCAGTGAGCTATGATCGTGGCCACTGCACTCCAGCCTGGGTGTCAGAGTGAGACCCTGTCTCAAACAAAACCCCAAAACCTCTAACATAGTTGATGAGAATCCTGCTGCCAATCTGATACAAATTCATTTGTTAAAAACCTGTTTTTCAATCTTTTGAAGTTTTTCAGATTTTTCTATTTGTCTTTAAAGTTCTGAAATTTCATGAAGATTTATCTAGGGCTTTTGTAGTTGATGTTTGTTGGAATTCAGCATCATCTTTGAATTTGGAGATGTGACATTTTTAGCAGTAGAAATTGTTTTAAATAATTTTTCCCCTACATTTTCTGTTACTTCTTTCCGAAATCTGGGTATTAGGTGAACATTGACCCTTCTGGATTGATCCCCTATTATCTTTTTAACGTTACCTGAATATTTTGTTTTTTCTGCATATTTTCCATTTTCATCTTTGTGCTTTACATTCTGAACCATTTCTTTGCATTTATGTACCAGTTCACTAATTTGTTCCTTGTCTAGGTCCAGTCCATCAGTCCTGATAGATTTTTTCAACATGATTTTTAGTTTAAAGAATGCTTAAAAAAGAAAGAAAGAAAGAACTCTTTCTTTAATCTCTCTTCCTTTTTTTTTTTTGAGACAGAGTCTCACTCTGTTGCCCAGGCTGGAGTGCAGTGGCGTGATCTCGGCTCGCTGCAACTCCACCTCCCAGGTTCAAGCGATTCTCCTGCCTCAGCCTCCCAAGTAGCTAGGACTACAGGCGTGCGCCACCACACTCAGCTAGTTTTTGTATTTTTAATAGAGACAGGGTTTCACCATGTTGGTCAGGCTGGTCTTGAACTCCTGACCTCGTGATCCGCCTGCCTCAGCCTCCCAAAGTGTTAGGATTACAGGTGTGAGCCATTGTGCCTGGCCAGTCTCTCTTCTTTTTCATAGTATCCTGTTCTGATTTTTTTTGTCATTAACTTGGTATCAACATTATTATAGAACAACTAAAGTTAAAGAGACACACAGAATTCAGTTGGATAATACCGACATGTTCATGTGAACAAACATTGCCAGAAGCCTTAATTCTTTCTTCAATGATCTTAGCTTCAATTTAGCTCATCCATTTTGATCATTTTCCCTCTTAAATTTGGTACATTGAACATACGTACCTCACTGAAGAAATCATATAGTTCCATTTTCTGAACTGATTTCCCACTCCTAGCAACAACTACTTCCAACCCTTTTAGCTTAGTTATTCCCTACCATATTTCTAAATTACATGCTTATAGTATTTCTAGAGTTTTTCCAACTTTAGGCATTACTTGTTGACTTCTCAACATAGGTGAGGACTTTTAGGGCTTTCACACACTCCCCTCCTCACACCTAGCTCCCCCTCCAACTTCCTGCTCCATTTTTCATATACGGTTTACTAAATTTTCTGTTACATATCCATGTAAGGACAATTTAGTGTTTACAACTTCTCAAGGGCTTACTCCCCTCCCTTGGATACAGGGAATTGTGGAGGAGATCTGGAGATCTAACAGCACCTCATTTTTTCCACATAAGGATTTATTTTTCTATCAAATATTGGGAAATATACAAAAGTGCCTATTTGATCTTAAGAATCTACAGTCAGCTTAATAAGTAGAATAGTATCAGAGATTCAAGTTTTCAAAAAACATGGCTGAAAAAACAGCTTTGATTCCCTAAACTCTTCCAGAATCTTCCCACTTTCCTGTCAAAGGGCATAGTTTATCTTCCCTTGAATGTGGGTGGGTCTTTGCATCAATAAATAAAATGACATGGAAAGCAATGTTGCTTGGTTTCTGAGGGTAGGTTAGAAAAAACCATCTGGCTTTTCCCTGGCACTTCCTCTCTCAACACTTCCTCCAGCAGCCACATGGAAATTACCCTTCATTTCCCACAAAATGGAGTCCAGTCTGTAGCTGAGTAGTTTTCTTAGCCATCTCCTGCCCATACAAGTTTGAAGGTCCAAGATGATACCCTCCTGCCATTTTTTTTTTTTTTTTCAAATTTTAGAGACAGGGTCTCACTCTGTCACCCAGGCTGGACTGCAGTGGCATCATCATAGCTCACTGCATCCACCAGCTCCTGGGCTCAAGCCATCTTTCCATCTCAGCCTCCAGACTAGCTAGGGCAGCCATGCACCACCATGCCCAGCTTAAGATGTTACAATCCTTTAAACTTCTTATGATTTCTTATGTATCAATTTGTAAACAATTCCATAAGATGAAAACCACCCCCAACCTCCCAGGCCCCAATCTTGTCCAGGTAAGCCTTGTCTACCTGGGTTTCCAAGTGAGGCTGCTGAGATGGAATATTTTTTCCCCCAAATGAGGGAAACATTTCTAGTATTTCTGGTTCCATATGCTCTTCCAGAAGCTTGCCACTTCATCATCAGGAGGTGGAGTCTATTTCCCCTCCTTTTCCATCAGCACAGACCTTTGTGACTTCTTCGATGAGTAGAATGCAGCAGAAGACACTGAATTAGTGTTTTTTTCATTTTTTTTTTTTTGAGATGGAGTCTTGCTCTGTCACCCAAGCTGGCGTGCAGTGGTGCAATCTTGGCTTACTGCAACCTCCGCTTCCCAGGCTCAAGCGATTCTACCACCTCAGCCTCCCGAGTAGCTGGGACTGCAGGCACATGCCAGCAGGCCTGGCTTTTTTTTTTTTTTTTTTTTTTTATGTAGAGATGGGGTTTTGCCATGTTGTCCAGTCTGATCTTGAACTCTTGAACTCAGGCAATCTGCCCGCCTTGGCCAAAGTGCTGGAATTACAGGTGTGAGCCTGTATCCCCTGCCTAACACTGGATGAATTCTAATGCCAGGCAAGAAATGGTAACAGAGCTCCCACGTGGCCTTCTCAACCCTTGTTCTTGGAACCTAGCCTCTAGGTTGTGAGGAAGGGAAACAGGACTAGGTATGTGTTCTGGCTTCAGCTCCACCTGAAGTCCCAGCAAACAGTCACTATCAACTTCCAGACATATGAGTGAATGATTACATACATTCCAACCTCACTATTTGAGCTCACCTAGCTGTGGCTGAAAGGAGCAGAGACAAGCTGTCTCTCCCAAGCTCTGTCCATGTTGCATATTCATGAACACAGTACATGTTGTTTTAAACCGTTACGTTTTGGGATGGCTTGTTTAAAAGCAAATAGTTAGAACTCTGTCAATACTTTTCAAGCCCCTTGTATTCTGTTTTTATCCTCTTCCCACCCCTTCAGAAGTAACTAGTATTCTAATTTAGTATTATTTCCTTTGCTTTCACAAAATTAGCTTTCCCACATAAATACCTCTCAACAATGTATCTGCCTGTTTTCAGTAAACCAGTTAAATTATGGTTTTGTATACTTTTGGGCTTTTTTCATACAACATTGTATTTTGGGGATTCACCCATGTTTATAGTTTATTCCTTTTTTAGTGTTGCATAGTATTCCATTGGGTGATTATACCACAATTAACTTCTCCATTCTCCTGTCAATGGATATTTGAACAGTTTTCCTTTTTTGCTCTTACAATGCTGACATGAATATTTTTGTATGCCCCCTGGTACATGTGTGAGTTTCTCTAGGATAACTTCATGCATGTTCAACTTTCTATTTAATGCAAAATCTTTCCCGAATTTATTGTACCGACACTCCCTCCATCAACACACATATTTTTACTCCACATACTCTACGTTTGGTTTCGCCAGACTAAAATTTTATCATTCTGGTGGGTGTGTATTTACTTCCAAAATAGACTTTCAGCAAATCCTTCATCTTCCCCTCCAGAGATGTCATAGTACAAGAGCATTTTGGAGGATCTGTGGTACAAATCAGATTGCTTCACAGTTTTCCACACTGCAGGATAAAAAGTCCTTCTCAGGTTTGCTAGGATCATCACTACTAATCTATTTTTAGCTTTCAAAAAGTTGTGGTTATCATTTATTTCTGTCCCATTTTTTTGTCTTTGTAAGATGCATTAAAAAACAAACGAAAACCATAAAGCAAACCAGGTGTGGCAGTTCACACCTGTAGCCCAGCTAATCAGGAGGCTGGGAGACTAATCAGGAGGCTGAGGTGGGAACATAGCTTGAGCCCAGGAGTTCCACCCTGGCCAACACATTGACACTTGGTGTCTAAAAAAAATAAAAACAACCCACAAACCTTTAGCTGTTTTAATGCAGTTTTAGAAGGAACTTAGGGTTAAATGTATGCATTCAAGGCATCTTTCACCAGGCATTAATTTTTTAATTTCAGTAAATTTTTTCTAAATGTTTTTTGGCTTTTCAAATCTACTTGGTTATTTTTGCTGCTGTTTCTTGTTTACTTTTAGATTCAATTTTTTTCTCCTTAAAACATATCATATAGTTGCATTCTGCATGTGACAATTTTAATATCTAATACTGTCTTTGAGGGTCTTTATGTATTGCTTATTTCCTTGTGAGTTTGATAATTTTGTGTACTCATATTTGGTTGAGCCTAATCTGTGAGAATATCAAGATTTTAAATTAAGGGTTGGTAAACTATACTCCAAGAGCCAAATCCAGTCCACTGCCTGTTTTTGTATACGCTTTATTGGACCACAGGTATGCCCACTCATTTATGTTGTGTATAGTTACTTTAGCACTTTTTGAGTCGTTTTAACAGACACTGCATGGCCTATGAAGCCAAAAATATTTCCTTTCTCAACTTCTGTTCTCAATTATGAATATTTTCTCCAGAGAAGATTTACACTTGCTTCTGCCAGGACACAGGGGGTACTACTGACCTGAAACAACCTTAGCCTTCTTTAGGAAGTCATCTCAATTTGGTGAACTCAGCTAATAGATCAAAGGCCTTCAGAGTATCTGTTCCTCTATGCTGCTAAAAATAGCAGTTGTCTTCTTTGACTATATGATGATTTCAAGATGCCATATCTTTTAAAATTTATAATGGTGGATCATTTCCACCCACAGACATGTGTCCTTTTGTGGAACTTTTCTTACATTATTTAATAATTTCCTTTTCTGAAATCTTTCCTATTTTCCCTTTCTTAAACTCTTAGTATTGAAAGTGTTAGACCTTGGCCGGGTGCGGTGGCTCATGCCTATAATCCCAGCACTTTGGGAGGCCGAGGTGGGCAGATCATTTGAGGTCAGGAGTTTGAGACCAGCCTGGCCAATATGGTGAAGTCCTGTCTCTACTAAAAACAATAAGAAATTAGCCGGGTGTGGTGGCGTGTGCCTGTAATCCCAGCTACTGGGGAGGCTGAGGCAGAATTGCTTGAACCTGGGAGGTGGAGGCTGCAGTGAGCTGAGATCGCACCACTGCACTCCAGCCTAGGCAACAGAGTGAGACTCAACCCCCCTTTCCCCTGCCAAAAAAAAAAGACCTTGTTTGATTCTCTGATTTTATCATTTCTATCCTATTTTCTATTCCTTTGTCTTTTGGGTTTACTTTCAGGGTGAATTCTTCAATTTTATCTCTCAATCCTTCTAATGAATTGCCTTGACTATCATTTTTAATTTCTAGGGGCAATTCCTTGCTCCACATTTTTTTTGGGAAAATTCTGTTCTCCTTTTATGGATACATCTGGTTTCTCTCAAGATACTAATTATATTTGGGGAATATTTTTCTGATCTTTGCGTTTTGTATCTGCTCCCCACCCCTCATGTCTGGTCTCTCATGTATAGAGATTTTCCTTAAATATCTGGCTATCCTGGGCTGTAAGTTCACATTTAATAATAGGGCACTAAAGAACTGAATGGAAACCCAATACATACACACATGACTTGGTAATTGGAGGGCTTCATTGAAGAGTGATAAGGTGGCAAACAGGCTTTATTTATTTATTTTTTTATCATTAAGGGATAACCAAAATGGAGATCTTTTCTCTGGGGCCATTTAGCTTCTCCAAAGAAAAAAAACCTGGCAGAGAAAACTGTACTTGATTGCCAGTATCCTGGGAAAAGGGTAGCAAGCCTACATATCAACCAAATGCAGACTTTTTTTTTTTTTTGAAACAGAGTCTCGCTCTGTTGTTGCCCAGGCTGGAGTGCAGTGGCACAATCTCAGCTCACTGCAACCTCTGCCTCCTGGGTTCAAGCAATTCTCCTGCCTCAGCCTCCTGAGTAGCTGGGATTACAGGCGTGTGCCACCATGCCCGGCTAGTTTTTGTATTTTTAGTAGAGACGGGGTTTCACCATGTTGGTCAGGCTGGTCTTGAACTCGTGACCTCGTGATCCACCCACCTTGGCCTCCCAAAGTGCTGGGATTACAGGCGTGAGCCAACGCTCCCGGCCTCCAAATGCGGATTTTCACTTCCTCCACATTTTCAACCCTGTATCTTATTCACACCATTTGTTATCCCTGGTATCCTGTTAAGTCCTATGCTCTTCCAGTTCAGTTTCTCAGAAGAATTATCTCTGGCCTCCTCCTGCTTGAAAAGGGAGAAGAGAAAGTGGCCACCTTTTTTTTTTTTTTTTTTTTTTTTTCTGAGACAGGATCTGGCTCTGTTGCCCAGGATAGAGTGCAGTGGCATGATTTTAGCTCACTGCAACCTTGGTCTCCTGGGCTCAAGCCGTCCTCCCACCTCAGCTTCCTAAGTAGTTGGGATTACAGGTGCACACTACCACACCTGGCTAATTTTTTTTTTTTTTTGTAGAGATGAGGTTTCACTACATTACACCGGGTAGTCTCGAACTCCTGGACTCAAGCAATCTGCCTCGCTCGGCCTCCCAAAGTGCTGGGACTACAGGCATGAGCCACGGTGCCTGGCCTCCACCCAACTTAAGTAGGGCTGGGGAAAGACAGTCGAATTATTCTGTATCCAGACTTGCCACCAATCTATTTTTTTTTATGTCTCAAGCATCATCTCTTCTTCTGAGCACTGTTTCCTTCAGGGTACTGAGCATCTTGTTTGGTATGGCTTCTTTCTCATTGCATTGCCTTTTGCAGTCACTCAGTTAAAGCTTCTTTAGTTCTGGTTCTACTAAATCAGTCATTCTTTCTCTACCTGCATTTTGTTTTCCAAAAATTTACTTTACTCTATCCTTTGATTTCTTCTCTCCTGTTCCATTTGTCCTCGTGTAGTTATTATATTTTATGGACATTTTACTGAGATTTCGGGAACGAAAACAAAAGCTAATCTGCAGTATTTAGCTGGGAGTCTTCAAATTGAATTGTAAATAACCCTAAAATATAGGACATAGAAATGTTTCCATGTTTTTCTCTTCCTGGAGAGAGAAAATCATGATTTAATTAAAATCACCCCACCTAAGAGTCACCTATTATATCAGTGGCGATTCTTATTAGAGCTTTCTTAATATAGCAGATCTATACTTGCTATAGATGAAAGCACAATGGAACAAACGAAGGATAAGCAATCACTGAAAAGGAAAATGAATAATATATTTACAAATATACTGGTAAGACACAGAAATTTGTAATGCAAGTCACATTTTAATATAGTTTTAAAGTCTTCCAAATATAGTAGCAAATTTAATCAGAAAAAACACCTGAAACATCTTAACTATTAGTACATTATTTTAAAGGATTATTTCCCTGATTCCTTGGCTTACTAAACTGTATTTATAAAGGTATAAACTACTGATTTTTCCATTTGAGTATTATACTAAATGTAATTTAGCTGATAATTATAAATAAAATTGTTGACTAAGATCATGTTTTAAATAGGGAAAAAAGTTTCCCTTAGTAAACTGGTAAAGACTGTAAGTTGATATTTTCAAACTTTTGATTACTATAAAGTAGTAAGCAATAAAATCCACATCCCCACAAAAACTTCACTTTTCTTCTATTGCAAAAATCTTTACAAAAAATGTACTCTGAGTGCATTATCCGTGTTTGCTTTAAAAATCAACAAACATACCAAAATAATTCATCAAGAAATCAAAGCAAAGAAACAGTTATCAGTATCAGGTTTGCTAAAAGAATAAATTACTGTGGAAGACATCCGAGGAGTCTAAAATGAATTTGTTGTAGCAGTAACAAGGCTTCAGGCTGATTCTTATACTGTTGTTAAAGCAGCCCTCCCGTGCTTTACAGTGAAAAAAATCAGTGAATATTTCTTTATTTTAAAAAATTATCAATAGCTTCAAAATAATGTTTAAACTTGCCTTGAGAACATGTACTGGCTATGATAAATCCATTATTTGACATATTGGGTGAGTTTTTTTAGTGATCTAAAAGAAATTGGCTAAAACCCATACATGACAGGTTTGGGAAGCTCTAACTCAGGTCAGAAAAGTGGGAGAGAGATCAGATCCTTTTTATGGAATGAAAGAGCAACAATTTAAATATCTTTTTTGAAATAGTGAAACATTTTGGGCTCAATTAGTCTTTATTACTTTCTTTCTTTTTACAGAGACGAGGTCTTGCTATATTGCCCAGGCTGGTCTCGAACTCCTGAGCTCAAGCAATCTGCCTGCCTCAGCCTCCCAAAGTGCTGGGATTATAGGCATGAGCCACTACACCTGGCTAGTCTCTATTATTTTCAAAGACAGCAGTAGGCCAGGCACGGTGGCACGCGCCTGTAATCCCAGTACTTTGGGAGGCTGAGGCAGGATCACTTGAGCCCAGGAGTTTGAGACCAGCCTGGGCAACAGTGAAACCCACCTCTATAAACGAAAACAAAAACAAAAACACGAGCAGTAAGCTAAAAATATTAAAATATCAACACTAGCTTATTCTCAAAAACAATTTTCTGCTATATAAAGTGCTTGTAACTAATAATATACATTAAAAATGGCAACTCTTAAGATCATGAATGGCCTGTCTCACTGCCAGCAATGAGAGTAGTATATGCTAAGGGACACCATGATATTTAGAGAAGACAAAAAATATGTATTCAATTATTTCCTATAGTTCTAATACTGTCATTATACCAGTAAGCATAAAATAATCTTATTTTGATATGGTAATTAAACAAAAATTATTATGGCAGAGTAAAATGCAAGGAACTAACTCCTTAGGGATTTCTGACCATTAAGTATTTTTACTAGTTCATAATGAAGTTAAATATGACTAGAACACAATTCAGAAAAAAGAGACTAATTTATTTGTTTTATAAAATAGAATGAGCGCTTAGTTTAGATAATCAAGAGGTGACAGCTTCAGGTATCATCTTCACCAAGAATAAATTTGTAGTGTTTCATATTCATTTAAAGGAATCAGGAAGAAAAATTCATTTAATTTCTGCTGCCTGCCCAGTCACTTCAAAAATTCTTAAGGGAAGCTAAAATAAAAATACCTTGGATTCTGGTTACTTTTTAAAGTAAAAATTTCCAGATGCCTCAAAAGCAGTGAGTTCAATTTGGTGTCTTGTGTTCTGGCAAAGAACAGTTAAGTTTACAGCACTGCAGTCACAGTTTTCAAATGCTGTGACCAATTATTTGAGAGTTATAATCTGCAGGCTCCATTTTCAAAATATGTGGGATAACACTGTCAATTCGTATATTGCCAATGAGACCTTTGAAAAACAATTCTTCAGTGATGGTAGCATTCATCAGTCTTAAAGCTGGCAATCTGAGTAGTAGTCTGGATAACCTAAAAAAAGAAAGAAAAAAGGGAGAGGAACAAGGTTGTAAACCAGAAAGAAATTTAGTAGAAAAATATGAGTAATTTCTGCATGTGGCCTAATTTAATAAAGATAGCATTTTCAAAAGTTAAAATCAAAACTTTAGTATTCTCAAGCCTTAGAACATATGGCAATTACCTGGCTATTAATGCAGTCTGACAGACTCCACAGGGGAAAGCCCTGCTCTTAATGCTACACTGTACTGCCTCCACTTGGCTGTAAGGACTGTGGAACTGAGTTGTTAAACCATGCATCAAGTTATACAATTTTTTTTTTTTTTTTGAGAGAGGGCCTCGCTCTGCTGCACAAACTGGAGTGCAGTGGTGTGAGCTCACTGCAGCCTCAATTCCTTGGACTCAAGTGATCCTTCCCGCCTCAGCCTCCCAAGTAGCTGTGGCTACAGGAGTGTGCCACTATACCTGGCTAATTGTGTTTGTTTTTTTTTTTTTGTAGAGACAGGGTCTCACTATATTACCCAGGCTGGTCTCACACTCTTGGGCTCAAGCAATCCTCCTGCCTTGGCTTCCCAAAGTACTGAGATTATAAGCGTGAGCCATTGTGCCGGGCCAAGTTATACATTTAAGAATGGCGGCTGGGTGCCAGTGGCTCACCTCTAGGAGGCTGAGGTGGGCAGATCACTTGAGGTCAGGAGTTCGAGACCAGCCTGGCCAACATGGTGAAACCTCATCTCTACTAAAAAAAATAATAATAAAATAAAATAAAATCAGCCGGGCATGACCAGCCTGGCCAACATGGTGAAACCTTGTCTCTACTAAAAATACAAAAAATAATTAGCCAGGCATGGTGGCATGTGCCTATAACCCCAGCCACTTGGGAGGCTGAGGCAAGAGAATCATGAGAATTGCTTGAACCTAGGAGGCAGAGGTTGCAGTGAGCCGAGATCATGCCACTGCACTCCAGCCTGGGTGACAGACCAATATTCTATCTCAAGAAAAAGAAAAAGAATGGCTTAGCAACTCATTTCAGGTTTTAAAAATGGCAATGTTTTGTGTTATCAGGACATAAGACATTTTCTTGGTTTTGCTCTGCAAAAAACTACTGGAAGTAGGCAATAGTTGCTATTACTGGGAAAAGCACAGAATGTGGAATCAAGACCGCTGGGTTCAAATCTTGATTGAACTGCCCACTACTTATATAAATGTGTGCTTGCCACTTACTGTCTCTCACAGTGCTGTTGTGAGGATGAATGAAATGATCCCTGCCAATTTCTGTGCCAGGTAGTGAGGTTTCTTAGGGTAAGACCCTATCTTGTGTCAAAGTGCCTTATAAGTTGAAAACTACTATCCAAGGATAATGTATTATTTTTAAGTAACCAACAATGTAAAAAACTGAGAAAGCTGCAGTCACAAAGGAAAAAAATTTAAATACTGTATTTATTTGTATAATGAGGCATAGAGTAACTTTTAAAACTTAAAGATGCTGAAAAACAACCACAACAAAACCACCTTTTCAAAAAGACTGTGGTGGGTTTATCCTTCTGTCCTAACGCCTTGCACTCTAACACCTCAGACCAAATTAGACCAGCAGCCCCCAGGATTATCTTCCTGGAGCTGTGTGCTCTACTCCTCAAATTACTTAGCATCCACATCAAATTACTCAGCTTTTACAGAACTGGTAGAAAGCAGAATAGGAAAACGAGTTAAAGTAAGGCTGATATTTAAGATGAGACTGGCTTATAAATCTACATTATTTAATATATGTAAAAAAATTATTATATGTAAAAATGTTATCTTACTAGTTTGAAGTATGCCAAACTAATAAAATGTTTTATTTATTATAAACAAACACACTTATATAGCCCTTACTGTATGACAGGCACAGTCCTAAGCACTGTACATATATTAACTGATTTAATCCTTAAAATAATTGTAAAAAGTGGGTATTAGTATTATCTCCATTTATAGGTGAGGAAACATGCCCAAGGTTATGAAGCTAGCAAGTGCAGGAGTCAGAATTCAAATCCAGGTACTCTGGCTCTATAACCAGGTGATTAACCCCTCGGCTATAATATCCCTCTTTAAAGAAAGTGGCTCTTATAAAAAAAGAATTTTTCTCAAAGAATATTGGTGAGAAATAGCTTGGAGTGAATTTCATAAACCATGTTTCAAAATTAATTATAAAACAATCTAATGGTATTTGTTTTTATTTTTTAATATTTTTTAGACAGGGTCTCACTCTGTCACCCAGATTGGAGCGTAGGAGTATGATCACAGCTCATTGCAGTCTCACCTCAGCTTTCTGAGTAGCTGGGACTTCAGGCATGCGCCACCAAGCCGGGCTAATTTTTGTATTTTTTTGTAGAAACAGGGTTTCACCATGTTGTCCAGGCTGGTCTCTTGATTATTTTTTATCCTCCTTTTGCTAACAAAATTCATTATTTTATCCAAAGAAAAAGAGTTTGGATTTTAGAGTCAGACTACTTGGGTCACAGTCAGGTGCTATCATTTACTGTGTGACCTTAAGCAAAGTTAACCTCTCTGTGCTGAAGTCTCCTCTTATAAAAAATATAAGAACTGGATGAAATATTTTATGTAACGTACTTGCAACAATGCAATACTGCTTTTTATAGCATTAGTATTTCAAAGTTAAGGTTGCCTAAAACATTTAATTATTGTGAGAGTAGTAATAATGAGATAACAGATCCACAAAAGGTTTTTCAATTATTTTAATTATATAGAATTTAACTCTAGATACCTGTAGGTGTCATCTGGATATGTTTTGGTTATATAATCTTGGAATTCCACATAAGCCTTTTCCTGAAATTTCTCTATCTGTTCCATGTTTTCTAGGCTTGGATGATCTGAAACATTAAAGAAAACATTGGTACCCTAGTTCTGAATGTTCATTTAAGACAGAGTGGATATGAAAAGAGACAGAAAGAATAGTCAAAATAGAAGCCCCATCATAAAATGTGTGGCTCAGGCCGGGCATGGTGGCTCACGCCTGTAATCCTAGCACTTTGGGAGGCTGAGGAGGGTGAATCATCTGAGGTCAGGAGTTCAAGACCAGCCTGACCAACATGGAGAAGCCCCATCTCTACTAAAAATACAAAATTAGCCAGGCATGGTGGCGCATGCCTGTAATCCAAGCTACTCAGGAGACTGAGGCAGGAGAATCACTTAAACCTGGGAGGCAGAGGTTGCTGTGAGCCGAGACAGCGCCATTGCACTCCAGCCTGGGCAACAAGAGTGAAACTCTGTCTTAAAAAAAAAAAAAAAAAAAAAAAAGTGTGGCTCATTCATTCCACAAATATTGATTGAGGCCACCTACTATATACCAAGCACTATATTTTACATATTTAAAATTATTTTTTATCTCGTATACATATGCTAACAACTAATAAAAAATAAGCGGGTGTTACCAAAACAAACAGCTTTCTCTCCATTCCAAAAGTAGTAAGAATGCATTTGATAACTTTGCCTTTAATAGGAGCAAAAGGTAAATGACTCAGCTTAAAAAGACATCTTAAGGCTGGGTGTGGTGGCTCATGCCTGTAGTCCCAGCACTTTGGGAGGCCGAGGTGGGGGGGATCACAAGGTCAGGGGTTCAAGACCAGCCTGGCCAACATGGTGAAACCCCGTCTCTACTAAAAATACAAAAAATTAGCTGGGTGTGGTGGCAGGCACCTGTAATCCCAGCTACTTGGGAGGCTGAGGCAGGAGAATCGCTTGAAACCAGGAGGCGGAGGTTGTGGTGAGCCGAGATTGTGCTACTGCACTCCAGCCTGGGCAACAGAGTGAGACTCCGTCTCCAAAAAAAAAAAAAAGGCATTTTAAATCCATGAAATATTTGCAGATTATATTCTATGCCATATTTTTCTAAGTCAAAAATTCTATTTTTAGGTAAAAAGGTATATAAGAAATTATGAAACCACAAATATTATCTCTATCAGAAAAATAACAGAAACATGAAAAAATCTATATAAGCATTTCAATGGTCACTATAACATTACACAAAAACAGAAATATTAAAAGAACTTCATAAAAATTATGCATAGCTTAAGAAATGTTGAATATGGAAAGCTCTGTTCTCATGGATGAAAATTTTAAAAAGTACTAAATGGAAAAACCTAAAAATACTTAGTAAAATAAAATTACATTAGAATTTAAACTTCAAATCTATGTTCCTTCAATTTTCACCTAAGGAAAATAAAGGTGACAAATTGTGCTAAGAATAGAGACATACGTTACTAACTCATAAGAAACATTAGAAGAAATAGTACAAGCTTTCATGTTCTTACTGGTATTACTGACAGAAAGAAGCAGGTTTCCTCAGATAATTTTATTATGATGCACAAGAACAGAAACATATCAGAATGAAAAATACAGAACCTAAGAGAACAGTCAATTTCTCTTATTCAGAAATTGATCACTGAGAGCTTACCGTCATTTTACCATCTGTGAAAACTGTAAACTGGCAGGAAAACAAGAAACCAGTTTTTTAAATTTGTTGGTAACTCATATAAGATGTTTGGAAATCTAGCCCATCAACATAGCAAATAGTCATCTCTCATTCTGCCATTTAGTAATGCCTAAAAAAATACACCTAAGAATTCAAATGTTGACGTGACAACAGAAATAAAGGTCTATAACATTTTTTACATTTTCATTTATTTTTGAGACAGGGTCTCCCTCTGTCACCCAGGCTAGAATGCAGCAGCATGATTAGAGCTCACTGCAGCCTCAAATTCTCGGGCTGAAGTGATCCTCCCACCTAAGCCTCCCAAGTAGCTGAAACTACAGGTGCACACCAGCACATCCAGCTAATTTTTTCTGTTTTGATTTTTGTAGAGAAGAGGTCTCATTATGTTGCCCAGGCTGGTCTCAAACTCCTGACCAGTCCTCCCATCTCAGCCTCCCAAAATGTGAGGATTACAGGCATGAGCTACTGCGCCCTGCCAAGGTCTATCATATTATTTCACTGACTTCTCAACCTCCCTTTTCATACCCATATAAATGTCTAACATCCTTAAAATTCACCAATTTAAAGTATACAATTCAGGCCAGGCGGGTGGTTCACTCCTGTAATCCCAGCACTTTGGGAGGCCGAGGCGGGTAGATCACCTTAGGTCAGGAGTTCAACACCAGCATGGCCAACATAGTGAAACTTGTCTCTACTAAAAATACAAAAATGAACTGGGTGTGGTGGTACATGCCTGTAATCCCAGCTACTGGGGAGGCTGAGGCAGGAGAATCGTTTGAACACAGGAGGCGGAGGTTGCAGTGAACTGAGATTGCACCACTACACTCCAGCCTGGGCGACAGAGTGAGACTCAGTCTAAAAAAAAAAAGTATACAATTCAATAGTTTTTAGTATGAATATACTGATAATTGTACAACTATCACTACAATCTAATTTTGGAACATTTTTGTCACTCCAAAAAAAACACTCTACCCATTAGCAGTCACTTCCCATTTCTTCCTTCTCCTTAGACCCTGGCAACCACTTACCTATTTTATGTCTATACAGGTTTACCTATTTTGCGTATTTTATATAAATGAAATCAAACAATATGACTGGCTTCTTTCATTTAGCAGAACTTTTAAAGGTTCATCTGTGTTGCAGTATGTGTTAGAATTTCCTTCCTTTTATGGCTGAATGATATTCCATCATATGTATATATTAAATTTATTTCTTCATCTGTTGACCGACATTTGGGTTGTCTCCACTTTTTGACTATTATAAATAATGCTGCTATGACTATTTATATACACATTCTTGCATAGATATATATTTTTCATTTCTCTTGGGCTGACAAGAGTGAAGCTGCTGAGTCATATGATAACTCCATGTTTAACCTTTTGAAGAACTACTGAACTCTTTTCCCAGGTAACTGCACCATTTTACATCCCCACTTGCAACATATGAGGGCTTCTATTTCTCCACATCGTGAAACATTTTATTTTGAATAAAAAGTAAATGTTTATATACCTGGACTGAAGAGTACTATTGCCTTCAGGTAGGCATATTCGTATCCATCAATGCAGAGTTTAACCATGCTGTTACAAAACTCCTGTAGTTTGAAGATGTGCTCCATCAATAATTTTCTTCTTTCTGTTGACATTTTATCTTTAATTAAAAATAAACAAATGCTTCTAGTGTTTGTCTAAAATGAACAACTACTTTCATCCAATATATTTCCCTCTCAGGAATTTTGAAAAATTTTTTAATTCTTAAATTTTTTTTGAGACAGGGTTTTACTCCTGTCGCCCAGGTGGCAGTGCAGTGCAGTGCGGTGATCTTGGCTCACTGCAACCTCTGCCTCCTGGACTCAAGCAGTTCTCCTGCCTCAGCCTCCCAAGTAGCTGGGACTAGAGGCGCATGCCACCGCGCCCAGCTAATTTTTGTATTTTTTGTAGGATGGGGTTTCACTATGTTGCCCAGGCTGTTCTTGAACTCCTGGGCTCAAGTGATTAGCCCACCTGTGCCTCCCAAAGTCTTGGGATTACAGGTGTGAGCCACTGTGCCTGGCCTTCCTCTCATGAATTTCAAGCTTTGAGTATAACCAATCTAGAAATGTTTAAAATTAAGTATTTCTGCAATTATAGCTAAAACTAATCTTAAGATATTATTCATTCAAGAACAAGCTGTTAGTATAATCTGTATAAAAATCGTAAGTAGAAAGGTTTATATTTATTTTTCTTGAGACAGGGTCTCGCTCTGTTGCCCAAGGCTGGAGTGCAGTGGTGCGATCTCAACTCACTGCAACTCTGCCTCCTGGGTTCAAGCAATCCTCCCACCTCAGCCTCCTGAGTAGTTGGGACTACAGGTAAGCGCCACCATGAATGGCTAAATTTTGTATTTTAGTAGAGATGGGGTTTCACCATGTTGGCCAGGCTGGTCTTGAACCCCTGACCTCAAGTGATCTGCCTGCCTCAGCCTCCCAAAGTGTGAGCCACTGTGCCCAGCCAGGTTTATATTTCATCTTAATTCTTTTGATGTTGTAAAAGTACTTTTAAAAAATGAATTATTTTCTCATGGTAATTGCTTTTGGGGAAAAAACTATATATAAAAAATGGATTTGGATGTTTATGGCACTTGGCTTGTTAAAAAAAACAACAAACCAAACAAACAAAAAAAGAAAACTCTAAATGTAATGGTTCCTTTTTTTTTTTTTTTTGAGATGGAGTCTCGCTCTGTCGCCCAGGCTGGAGTGCAGTGGCACGATCTCGGCTCACTGCAACCTCTGCTTCCTGGGTTCAAGCAATTCTCTGCCTCAGCCTCCTGAGTAGCTGGGATTACAGGCGCTTGCCACCACGCCTGGCTAATTTTTTTGTATTTTTAGTAGAGACGGAGTTTCACCATGTTTGCCGGGCTGGTCTTGAACTCCTGACCTCATGATCCACCCGCCTAGGCATCTCAAAGTGCTGGGATTACAGGCGTGAGCTACCGCGCCCAACACCCCCCTCCCCACCCTTTTTATTTTTTTAAAGAAATGGTTCTCACTCTGTTGTCCAAGCTAGGGTGTAGTGGTGCCATCATAGCTCACTGCAACCTCAAATTCCTGGGCTCAAGTAATCCTCTGCCTCAGATTCCTAAGTAGCTGGGACTATGACTATAGGCATGCGCTACCATGGCCAGCTAATTTTTAAAAAATTTCTGTAGAGGTGGGGTACCACAATGTTGTCCAGGCTAGTCTCGAACTCCTAGGCTCAAGCAGTCTCACCTCAGCCTCCCAAAGGGCTGGAATTACAGGTGTGAACCACCCCACCTGGCTGAAATGTTTGCTTTCAAGATATACCTTTGAGAAGATAGGATGTAAAGATAACCATCTGAAACACTAGACAACTAAAAGTACATAAGACTCAAATTTTGGTAATAGGATTTTATTTAAGCTTATATTGGTTGGGAAAAAATGAGCAAAACCATCTACATGTTTCACTACCAAGACTACTATAATAAAAACAGATATTTAGTAAAAACACTGTTAAGAAGAAAAAAACTGAAGCAGAATAAAGTTTTACAATAAAGATTTTAATTTATTGTAGAGGGACATGTTTAAAACCCATCCATTAGTAATTAGTCAACCATAGCTTTCCTGAAGGTAGGCTTTATAACCATTACAGGCATATAAGACATGAACCAGGGGTAGGAGTCCATAAGTAAGATGGGAATGTGATGCTGCCTTCTAGTAGATCTATTTTTGATGACATTTTAAGGTGATTACCCCTCTGCTGTTAAACATAAGGAGGAAGCAAATGATTTAAAAATTATATAAAACAATAAGAAATAGAATATGCTAAAGAACTAAAAGGTAGTCCCCAATTTATAAATTATTCCTGAGCTCAAAAGGCAATTTTCCCCATTTGTTGATGGGGCACTGTTTTGGGTAGTCATAAGCCATTCTATAGTTAAGCATTTATAAATCAGTGATTGCTCGTCTTGTGAAATGAATGAGGGCTGCAATTACCTTGGCATCTAGGAAAGGAAAAACAGAATAAAAAGGATTGTTCCTGACTCTTCAGAACTATTTAGGTGAGAGAATACACTCTGATGAATTGATACAAAATCAACCTATCTTAGGATTCAAAGGGCTATAATAAAGAAAGGTCATTTAAAAATTGCTGAGTAGTATATGTTTTAAAATATTTGACCACCTCTACATAAGCTCACCCTGGATTCTTTGATAGTTGCACAAAAATTCACAAGGCCTGGTCAGAAATAGCCTGCCAGACTTAAGTATACTGTTTTCAATTTTGTTGCACTCTATTTAAAAAATATTTTTAGAGGATTAGTAAATTTATAAAATTGTAAAAATTATCTAAAGTAAGAAGAGCATTGGTACCTAAAACACTAATATAATAATTATTAGATATCTAACTTTAGTCATAACATTTAATGAAACTCATGCCTCCTCCTACAACCTGGAAAAGGTAAGGAAGGTGCTTTTTACCTTGTTGAAGACTATTGTGAAGACAATTGACAAATGTTGCTAATATAGTTGCTACATTCATCACTTGCCAGCACTGGGCAAGACCAAGAGTAAAAAGTTCATTCCAGTAAGCTTTCACCAGTGATATGCTGTTTTCTTGCCTATTAAAAACAGTAATAAAAGCACAAATCAGATATTATTAAAATAAGTTTTATAAACCTTACAGCTAGTCCAAATACTTAAAAACAGCATATTACTAAACTAAAATTATTCTAGAAAGATTTGAGCAAGTCTGTGTTTTGTATAGCTGATAACAAAATGAGAAATGAGGAATGCTTAGGCATTTAAATAGTAGCTAGCTCATCAATCAGCCAGTTTATAAGAACAATTGCAAGTAATATTCAAACTAAAAAAGTTGGGGCTTTAACTTCACATTTCATAGAAATGGAATAAAGATTGTTCTTAAAAGCAAAAGCATATATTAAAAAAAAACTTTTGCTTTGAATATAGGTAAATACCTTTTAAAAGAAAGAGCAATTCAAATTATTTTATTGTTTTGAGACAGAGTCTTGCTCTGTTGCCCAGGCTGGAGTGCAATGGCGTGATCTCTGCTCACTGCAACCTCCACCTCCTGGGTTAAAGCTATTCTCCTGCCTCAGCCTCCTCAGTAGCTGGGATTACAGGCATGCACCACCACATGTGGCTAATTTTTGTATTTTTAGTAGAGACAAGGTTTTGCCGTCTTGACCAGGCTGGTCTTGAACTCCTGACCTCAGCTGATCCGCCTGCCTTGGCCTCCCAAAGTGTTGGGATTACAGGCGTGAGCCACTGCTCCCAGCCTCTAGAATTATTTTATAGTAGGCAAGCAACCAATTTTAGGAGAAAAATGGTTCATTGTATGTTTCAGAGGAGATATTAGTATCCCTATAAATAAGATACCCAGGATTTTACTATGAATAACAAGAGATTAGAAAGGTCAAAAGTTCTCTCCTGAATTTCTAAGTAACTGATCTCAGCAGCACAAGGAGGCTGAGGCAGGAGAATGGTGTGAACCTGGGAGGCAGAGCTTGCAGTGAGCAGAGGTCGCACCACTGCACTCCAGCCTGGGTGACACAGCGAGACTCCGTCTCAAAAAAAAAAAGGAAAAAAAAAAAGACCCCCATCTCTACAAAAAATGAAAACATTAGCCGAGCATAGTGGCATGTGCCTGCCGTCCCAGCTACTTAAACCTATTTATCCATTTGAAATTAGGCAAACTTCCCAGGTCTCAGGTTGTCTAATGATACAAAATGCAGAGACACTATACGTCCTATATCTTGCTCAGAGTTATTAAGAGGTGAAAGGTAAGAATTAGCTGGGGCTGGGCGCAGTAGCTCACGTCTGTAATCCCAGCACTTCGGGAGGCTGAGGCAGACGCATCACTTGAGCCCAGGAGTTGCAAACCAGCCTGGGCAACATGGCGAAACTCTATCTCTACAAAAAATACAAAAATTAGCTGGGTGTGGAGGTGCACACCTATAGTCTCAGCTACTCGCAGGCTGAGGTGGGAGGATCACCTAAGCCTGGGGAAGTTGAGGCTTCGGTGAGCTGTGATCACACCACTGCACTCCAGCTTGGGTGACAGAGTGAGACCCTGTCTCAAAAAAAAGAGAGAGAATTAACTGGGTGCTGTGGCACATGCCTATAGTCCCAGCTACTCAGGAGGGTTGAGGTGGGAGGACTGCTTGAGGCCAGGAGTTTGAAGGGGTAGCACACCATGATTGCATCTGTGAAGAGACACTGCACTCCAGCCTCTAACCTGGCACAGGAAGACCCTGTCTCAAAAAAAAAAAAAAAATTGAGAAAGTATATGCCAGGTACTGGAGAAATAGCAATTAAGAGATTAAGTTTGCCTTCATGAAAAAAAGGGGAAATAACAAATATATAATTTCAAGTATTTTATATAAATATACATATATGATTATACATAATTTTAGGTAATAAAAATTCTACATTAGTATAAAGGATGTATATTAGAAAATGGGAAGGTTCAGATAAGGTGGTTAGAGAAGGCATTTCTGAGGTGGTGACATTTGACTGGAGAAAGATGGCAGAGAATTAAAACAAACAAACACAAAAACCAAAAATCAGATCTAGGGGAATAGTATCCCAGGGAGAACAAGGGCAAATGTGCTAAGGTGAGAACAAGCATATTCAATAAAACAATAGATATTCAATAAAAATTGTTAAGTGAATTACTAAATGCTATCCTATTGTCTTGGAAGGTCCTTTCGTAGCCTTGTTTTCCTGGCTAATACCTACTGATCCCTTAAAATATAGCTCAGAGTTCACTTTCTAGAAGGAACATTATTCCTCTCTCAACATATTCATTCCCCCTTCAGTGTCACGCACACACGTATCCTCACTGAAGGCAGAGACTCCCTTGCGCATTTCTGTATCTCAGAGACCAATGCAGTACATGGTACACAGAAAGAATTCTGCAAATGATTTCTGATCTTAGCGAGTACAGAACAGGCAGATGTGAGAACTTTGATGAAAAGAGCTGTGGGCCCTTTTACAATTAATCTTTAAACCAAACCTACAGACTTTATTATAAATAAGATGATGCAACTATAAGATTTCTTTCCTTAAATCTCTGGAGAGATATAAGTTGGTAAGAACGTCCTGATAGGAAATATGTCCAACTTAATGAATGGTACTTATATATTTTTCTTCTTAATAAAGCTTTAAAATTAGGATAATCAGTATGTTTAACAGAAATCATTCGTTAAGAATCACAGCCTTATGACATTACATTTTATTAAATAATCGAACATACTTGCAACAAATGCTAATACTGTCAACTCAGTCACAGCAAGTTTTTTTTTCTGAGAATTATTAATGTGAAATTTTAACTTCAGGCTGATCTCTTTTCCATTCAGTATCCAAGAAGGATCACTGGCCACAAGAAACTGCCTGTCATT
This sequence comes from Homo sapiens, assembly GCF_000001405.40. Lineage (NCBI taxonomy): Eukaryota > Metazoa > Chordata > Mammalia > Primates > Hominidae > Homo > Homo sapiens. The sequence goes on from NC_000012.12 coordinate 95,034,291, forward strand.
TGAAAGTAAAGTTTAAATGCAAAGAAAACCGGTATTTTATAATATTCCTATAGAAAATGCTTAAAAATATCAATCTTAAACAAAATCAAAGGAGATAAAAATAAAGGATACTATTTTCATTAAAGATGGATAAAATCCAGAATTGAGGAAGAGGTGAGGAAATAAGTATTCATTCTCATACACTGCTGACGTGAACATAAACTGGATCAACATCTTTTCAGAGAACAGTTTGGTAGTACCCATCGAAAGTTGAAATGTGCACTTTCTTAGACCCAGCAATTTCACCTCTAAGAAACTATGTTATAGAAGTACAGTCATGCATAGCACAATGTTTTAGTCAACAATGTACCACATATACAATGGTGGTCCCTTAAGATTGTAATACCATATTTTTATGGACACTTCTCTATGTTTAGATACACAAACATTTACTATTGTGTTACAACTGCCTATGGTATTCAGTACAGTAACATGCTATACAGGTTTGTCCTAGGTTTGTAGCCTAGGAGCACTAGGCTGTAGCATATAGCCTTGATGTGTAGTAGGTTTGTGTAAGTACACTCTATGATGTTCACAATGACAAAACTGCCTAATGATGCATTTCTCAGATTACATAGCCATCATTAAATGGGCAACACATGCCTATACTAACATGACCATACTAAAAAAAGTGGGCGAAAATACATACACAATGCCACAAAATGCACATTGTAGCACTGGATATAATAACAAAGAAAACTGGCAACAACCCAAATGTCTACTAATAAGGAATGAATAAGTGCATAAAATGGAATACTATAATAGAAGCCATGAGGACAAATGGGGTAAATTTACATGTACTAACATAGGAAGAAGTCTATGAGTGTAAAAAGCAAGGCAAAGAATAGGATGTGTAAATATGTGTATGTATTTAATTGTCTAATAAGTATCTCACAGAAACATTCTAGTAGGACACCAAACTGTTAACAGTGGGGTTAGTTACCTCTGGTGAGTGAGGTTTTACTTTATAATCCTATACTTCAATATTACTTTAAACATTAAAAAAAATTAAAAGCTAACATGAAGGAAGTTAGAGTAAACTCAGTTTCACTTTTAACCTCTGATTCTGAAGTTTTAAGGAGGAAACAGCTAACCAAAGTAGTTTGCTAGTAAACACAGGAAAGGAAAAATAAATGGAAAAAAATCAGAGCTGGCTTGTGCTATGCATCTTGTAGTAAGAAAGTACCTTGGCATTGCTGGAGAAGCTCAGAAAAAAAGGAGTATAAGTGCAAAGGATAAGAATACCAAAATTATTACTAAGGAAAAAAGACACCAGTGGCAGATGAGAAATAACCTACCAGATTATTGTGTTTCCAAAAGAAAAGGGAAAAGGACTGTAGAAACCAACTACAGAAAGGTATCTATTTACATTTATCTAAACCCCAAACCAAAAACCCTGATGGTATAGCTAGCTATGTTTTTAAAAGTTCAATTATGTTAGGAAAGAAAAACAGCAAGGCTACTCTAAAAAGATGGTCTTTAAGAGAATGACGAAGAATGACCTTTTATTATCTACTTTGCAGCAGGCAATGGCTTAGATGCATTTACATTCATTATCTCACCTATGTGATGTAGTTCATAATGAAGTGTTTCTGCTCCCAATTTACAGACACTGGGCCTCATTTAAGTTACGTGGTCCAAAGACACAAAAGCCAGCAGATGTATAAAAACAGAATTTGAACCTTTATGCTCCTTTAAACCTCATTACACAATTTAGCAAGTGAAATGCTAAAGTCAGTAAATTTCTCAGTAGAGACTCCTCCATTTAAGGTTAATATTTTGGGATGGTAAGGGCATGTTTGCTACCAGTTTTTCCTGTTAGGAAAATAAATGACTATTGTAGTTTATGTTCAAAACATCTTTAAGAAGCAAAAAGAGCTGAGTAGAGACTGTAGTTAAGGTTATCACTAAGGCATCTAAAAAGCAACACGAATGTTGAGATTAAAAAAAAAAAAAAAAAAGGCCGGATATGATGGCTCATGCCTGTAATCCCAGTACTTTGGGAGGCTCGGCTGGGAGAATTGCTTGAGGCAAGGAGTTCAAGATCAGCCTGGACAACAGTGAGACCTCCATCTCTAGTTTTTAAAAAAGCATTAACTTGTAAAATTAGTAAATATGTTAATTTCTTTTACAAATAGGTACAGGTATTTTTCTCTAACTACTACACTATATTGTGGGTTTACTTTTTTTTTTTTTTTTGAAGGAGAGTCTCACTCTGTCACCCAGGCTGGAGTACAGTGGCATGATCTCAGCTCACTACAACCTCCGTCTCCTGGATTCAAGTGATTCTCCTGCCTCAGCCTCCTGCGTAGCTGGGATTACAGGCAGCTGCCACCATGCCTGGCTAACTTTTGAATTTTTAGTAGAGACAGGGTTTTGCCATGTTGCCCAGGCTGGTCTTGAACTCCTGGCCTCAAGTGATCCGCCTGCTTTGGCCTCCCAAAGTGCTGAGATTACAGGCATGAGCCACCAGGCCTGGCCTATATTGTTAACATTCATTATAGGACTCACAATTAGAGGTTATATAATTGTTTATACTATTTATTTTCATAAAGGAATATAACTTTTGAGCCCCTCATATCTGGTAATACTGAAGGCACCAGTCCTCAGGGAAAAGTATCAGTGATAGTCAAAATGAACCTAAAAAGTTACAGGTTTCAAAACTACAAAGTTACAGGAAACATTACATTATGCTTCAGTGGTAATTTAAAAGATTCAGCTGTCTGGCTTGGCATTTAATGGAAGGCTATTGATTACATTATTCAATAAATAAAGTCTCCTGTGGTAAACGGTGGTGGCTTGGAGCTTTTGGTTATATTTTAAGAATCTAGGTAGAGATGACTGCTGCCATACTTACTCCAGGCAAATCATGACAAGTATTCTCCACTACCCCGCAATGGAATCTACCACTATTCATATAGTCACTTAACCTAAATTTTGCAGGGAGAACTTAAAACCAACAACTGAATTACTCTAAGTACTGAAACTACAAATCTTAAAACAGAAAATCAATACCTTTGTAAAATACAGAAGCCTTGTAAAATATTAGTAGTATTAACTGTATACTGACAATCAACACCTTTGTAAAATATAGAAGCCTTGTAAAATACAAAGGTACTAACCATGCACTGTTTAGTAAAATTATTTAAGTTACTGTTCCCTTCAATTAAAGTGATCAAAACAATCTTGATTTCAGAAAATGATTAATGTTGCTTATCTGTTTCTCTCTGTAAAATTAGGACTTTGTCACCAACTTTTATATTTTTAGATAAAAATGCAATCTTGGCCGGGCACGGTGGCTCACGCCTGTAATCCCAGCACTTTGGGAGGCCCAGGCAGGCGGATCACGAGGTGAGGAGATCGAGATCGGCCTGGCTAACACGATGAAACCCTGTCTCTACTAAAAATACAAAAAATTAGCCGGGTGTGGTTGCAGGTGCCTGTAGTCCCAGCTACTTGGGAGGCTGAGGCAGGAGAATGGCCTGAACCCGGGAGGCGGAGCTTGCACTGAGCGGAGATCGTGCCACTGCACTCCAGTCTGGGCGACAGAGCGAGCCTCCATCTCAAAAAAAAAAAAAAAAAAAAAGGAACCTAATGCCAGTTTCTACTTTTAGAATAGCTTTTATTTCCATATAATAGAATTTTTCCATCATGAGCACTTTGTCCTTATCCGTATGATTAAGTAAACACATAAATAAGATCTATGAATCATCTAGATAGGGATAAAAAATAAGAGTTTACATAATGGCCTTGACTGCTAGATCAAGTTATTCTAATTACAAAGAATCTTGTGGTTGTTACATTGAAACTGATTCTCAATACAGATCACAGGAAAATGTGGCTACCACTATAAAAATGACTTATTTTATAAACAGAAACCTCCTGAGGCCTTATTTTTGGTTTCTCAACATCTGCGTTATTTCCATAGGATAATTATACTCAATTTAATAGAAGTACTTAAGATCAATGGTGGTGTAAATAATTCAAGGAGTTCAAACCACTCCCCAAAATTCCTCCCTTTTGTTGTTTTATTATAATAACTGATAGCCTATCATGAAAAATATCACCACGTTACTTTTTAGACATGTGAATGTGAGTTACAAGATGAGTGAACTACACTTAATATTTTAAAATTAGTCAATTGCTGGCTAGGCACAGAGGCTCACGCCTATAACACCAGCACTTTGGGAGGCTGAAGTGAGCAGATCACTTGAGGCCAGCAGTTTGAGAACTGCCTGGCCAACATGGCGAAATCCCATCTCTACTAAAAATACAAAAATTAGCTGGGCTTGGTGGTGCACACCTGTAGTCCCAGCTACTCAGGAGGCTGAGGCATAAGAATTGCTTGAAACTGAGAGGTGGAGATTGCAGTGAGCCGAGATCACGCTACTGCAATCCAGTATAAGTACTTATTTTAAAAATTTTGGTCGATAATAGACTAATTGTTCTCCAGATTACCCCACCCCTCAGTAGTGTGTACTTGGTTTTCTGTATCCTCACTATATTTGATACTATTGATCATTTCAGTAATTACAAAGTAGAAAAAAGACTCTAACCCAACTAACTAAAAAAAAATCAATTGCCAATATGCAAATTTACATTTTATTTTTTTCTACAAACACACACACTGGACGTTGGGCGAGGTGGTGCATGCCTGTATGGGAGGCATCCATATAGGAGGATTGCTTGAGCCCAGGAGTTCCAGATCAGTCTCAATGACAGAGGAAGAACTCATCTCTTAAACAAAAAAAACCCCAGAAAACTAGAGAAATGCTGAAAATTGAATGTTAAAAAAGGACTAACAATCATTTTAAAGGTTAACCATCCTAAATCAGGCTTTTAGTCTATGTAACTATAATATCTGAGCACATGATTTAATGCATAGTATAATGCTGATTAATAAACCAAATTATAATGTTAAATATGCCTTTATTCAATTCTCTGTATGCCTTTTACAATCATGTTCACATATTTCTTTGTTATATTCAAAATAGTCTTTGAGGATAACAGGTGGGCAATTATTATTCCCATTTGGCAAATGGAAGAACAGGTATACAGGATGTGAAACTGAATTGTTTACAAAATCATACTGGTGAATAGGGTCCTAGGAGTTGAATAAAAACTTTCTAACTTTGAATAAAAACTTTCTAACTATGGGCTTAACTTTTTCCATTGCTTTGCCTTTAGACACACCAGTTATTTTAAAACAATTTAAATACATTTGGCAAACTTTAGGTAAAGCTTGAGTTTCTTATAGTAGGCCATTTTCTATCTCATCTGATTTCTTCAGAACAGAATGTAGATATACTCTTTTTTAAGAGACAGGGTCTAGCTCCGTCCCAGGCCGGAGTGCAGTAAGCAATGTGATCATGGCTTATTTCAGCCTCGAACTTCTGGGCTAAAGTGATTGGCCCCCCTTAGCCTCTAGAGTAGCTGGAACTACTAGTGTGCATCACCATGCCCAGCTAATTAAAACATTTTTTTTCTTTTTGTAGAGACAGGGTTTCACTCTGTTGCCCAGGCTGGTCTTAAACTCCTGGCCTCAAGCCATCCTCCTGCCCTGACCTCCCAAAATGCTGGGATTACAGGCGTTAGTTACCATGCCCAACCTCAGATGTACTCTTGAGTGGTAAGACTAACCCTCTAAGTCATTGTAGTGGTACTATGAGGTTTTACATTTTCTTTTTTTTTTTTTGAACCACATGATTGGAAAACAATTATCTCTACTTTTAACATAACCACTGTAGGCAAAATTCAGCTCTTTAGTAACATGCCTGGGATGAACACTGAAACAGTAGTGATGAGAGAGAAACAAGAACCTAGGGCAGTCTTACAGTCTCTCTATCTTTGAGCCAATGAAAGATGAGGCCTGTTACAAATGCTAGCCATAGTCTTATCAATTCTACTGATCATATTCCATCCAAATTCTTAACTTAGTCAAACTACAAAATATGGATACTCTTCCACATAAATACAGAGAAAATACTAGTTAGCTGCCATGATTTGTCATTTGAATGACACAACTTAAAGCTATAATGTTATACTGTTTTTTCCTTTAATGCAAATCTTCCCAAAATAAAAAGTTTTGTTTAATGTACATTTGCACTACAAAATCACATTTATATTCAAGATTTCAAAACACTCACCCTAGAGCCTGGAAAGAAGGAATCGAAAGTGCCCAGTGCATTGATAAGAACAGCAGTCTGGAGGCAGACTCCCCAATGTAGTGCACATTCAGGTACTCAGGCATAGGAGAAGGCATGGTGAGCTAGTATGAACAGGGATTTAGGTAAATTATCTTATGACTGAAAAGTTCTAAATTATCATTTCTTTGAAAAAGTTTAAACGTAACACATCAAATGAGAGCTAATATATTCACAAAAAAAGCTAATCTTGAAATAATCCAAGTCACTAGAATTTACAGCTAACAGGGCTTAGAATAAATAAGTAGCCCATAGTTTCTAACAAGCCAATATTTAGACAAGCAGAACCTCAACAAATATCAACGATGATATTATCTGGTTATGTTACTTCCTGTCTTGGTCTAACAATATGTTTCTTTTCCTTCCTTCTCTCCATTAATGATAGCATACAACAAATTCAGTTTAAGGAGAAATTCTGTCCGCTAAATGTTTCTTTCATTTAGGCTAAGGGGTTAACAAATTCAAATGCTTACAAAGCCAGGAGAGTAAGGAGTGCAACAGGCTTGCTGGTACCAACTGGGAAGAGCATATTTATTCCCAGATAAAGGACACAGCTGTGAATTGAATTCAGTGCAGTGAAAACATATGGAATTGTGGGCTGAGCACTGCCAGCTCTTTCAGTTTTTCAAAGAGCACATTCTGTGTGAAACCTCCCTATTTAAAAAAACTGGCAGGCCGGGTGTGGTGGCTCGTGCCTATAATCCCAGCACTTTGGGAGGTGGAGACAGGTGGATCACGATGTCGAGAGATCGAGACCATCCCGGTCAACATGGTTAAACCTCATCTTTACTAAAATACCAAAAAAAAATTGAGCCGTGTGTGGTGAGCAGTCCCAGCTACCCGGGAGGCTGAGGCAGGGGAATTGCTTGAACCTGGGAAGTGGAGGTTGCAGTGAGCCAAGATTGAGCCACTGCACTCCAGCCTGGGCAACAGAGTGAGACTCCATCTCAAAACAAAACAAAACAAAAAAACCCAAACTGGCACTAAATAAAAAAAAAATGTTTTAAAAATTACAGGTATGCCTGTGGACATACTACTAGTAAGTGGTCAGTTTATATTGCTGATCTAGTTCTTTAAAATGTCTGACCACTGTTGAAACTTTTTTCTACTTTGTAATTACTGAAATGACCAATAGTATCAAGTATAGTGAGGATACAGAAAACCAAGTACACACTACCAAGGGTGGGGTAGTCTGGAGAAGAATTAGTCTACCATCTACCAAAATTTTGAAAGTAAGTACATGCAATAATACCACTTCTAAATCTCTGTTCCAGCAAAATACTTGCATACATGCACAAAAAAAGCATGTGTAAGGATGTCCATTGCAGCTCTACATCTAACAATGAAATTAAATGCTGGCAACAACCCAAATTTCTATCACTAGAGAAAAGAATAATCCATGCTATAGAATATATGTGGGCATTAAAATTGGAAAGATAAACTGAGATGTAATGGTATACAAAAAATCTCACAGACATCCAAGTGGAAAAAACTGTAAAACAGTATGTATTAAATAGATGACCCAATTTATGTTAAAGAGTACATATATATGTATACCTAAAAAGTACAGAAGGAAACACGCCACACAGTTAACAGTGGCTACCTCTGGGTGGGGTAGGTAGATGTGTCCATATGTATTTTTCTGGGGAATGACTATTATAGCTTTCATCAGATTCTCAAAGGTATCTTTTTTTTTTTTTTTTTTTTGAGATGGGGTCTCGCTCTGTCACCCAGGCTGGAGTGCAGTGGCGTGATCTCAGCTCTCTGCCCAGGTTCAAATGAATGTCCTTCCTCAGCCTCCCCAGTAGCTGGGACTACAGGCGTGTGCCACCAGGCCCCGCTAATTTTTTTTGTATTTTTAGTAGAGACGGGGTTGTACCACGTTGGCCAGGCTCGTCTCAAACTCCTGACCTCAGGTGATCCGCCCGCCTGGGCCTCCTAAAGTGCTAGGATTACAGGCATGAGCCACCGCACCTGGCCTGTCAAAGGTATCTGCTATCTAAAATACCGCACCTGGCCCCTCAAAGGTATCTTCTATCTAAAAGGCTTGAGGTTTGAAACAAAGAAAAGTTACATAAAAATGTAAAAAACAACCCCTGCCTTTGTTCATTATTAGCCAAGAATGGTTTACCTATTTATAAATTGTACCAAGTAATAAAACAAAAGGGCAATTAATAGTTGAAATTCTGTAAGTGAGAAGAAAATTTTTTACATATTTAAGAATGTTTGAGAAAGGTTTACTACAGCAGTAAGTTAAAATACAATTATTTAAGACAATTCTTGGCTGAGCGCAGTGGCTCGTGCCTGTAATTCCAGCACTTTGGGAGGCCAAGGTGAGAGGACTGCTTGAAGCCAGTAGTTCAAGACCGGCCTGGGCAACATAACGAGACCCATTTCTACAAAAAAAAAAAAAAAAAAACCGACACACAAAACAAAAAATTAAAAATTTAGCCAGGAGTGATGGCTCACACCTGTATCCCAGCAACTCGGGAGGCTGAGGTGGAAGAGCTGCTTGAACCTAGGAATTTTGAGACCAACCTGGGAAACACAGTAAGACCTCATCTCTAAAAATAAAAAAATTAGCTGGACATGGTGGTGTGCACCTATAATCCCAGTTACTTAGCAGACTGAGGCAGAAGGATCCCTTTAGCCCAGGAGGTAGAGGTTGCAGTGAGCCAGGATTGTGCCACTGAACTCCAGCCTGGGTGACAGAGCAAGACCACATCTTAAAAAACAAAATATATCATATCTTTTCAGAATTACCCAAGGTGAGTAAAAAGGAAGTCTGAAAAACTAAGGGAATTACCAAAAATTACTAGTTTTGGGGGAAGGGGCAAGTAAGATGCAAAACAACAACAAAAAAGTCCTTTGTAAGGCTAGGCGTGGTGGCTCAGGCCTGTAATCCCAGCACTCTGGGAGGCCAGGGCAGGCAGATCACTTGAGGTCAGGAGTTCAAGACCAGCCTGCCAATGAGGTAAAACCAGGTCTCTACTAAAAATACAAAAAATTAGCCGGGCATGGCGGTGTGTGCCTGTAATCCCAGCTACTCGGGAGGCTGAGGTGCCAAGAACAGCTGGAACCCAGCGGGTAGAGGCTGCAGTGAGCCAAGATTGTGCCACTGTACTCCAGCCTGGGAGACAGAGCAAGACTCTGTCTCAAAAAAAAAAAAAATCCTTTGCAAAATAGTTTAAAATTGCATTTAAATAAAATATTAATACTTGTAATGTGTAAACACTGGATATAATGGTTTTGCTTTACACAACAGTGGTGGTAACTCTGAAAACTTTCTGCTGGTTTAATCATAAAATGGAAATAGTTTACAACACACACTAAAGGGACTCGTTATTTAAAATATTACTACACCATGTTAACTTATAAAGAGAGAAAATGTTTCATAATCTGTTCTACATGCTCAATAAAACTCTAGTATTCTGAATCAGAAAGCTAATGTTGGCTGAAGAAACAATAGTCCATTTCACAAGTCTTTGAGACTGAAAAGACAAAGATTTATTCCTATATAAAGAGTGAGCTTCCCCAAAATGCCTGTATATCTTTAGGTTTATAAATTGAATTATACACATTTTTCAAATTAGAAAAGTTCAACATATTGAGTGAATTTTTAAAGAGCATTGACAAGAACTAAACCTGACCAATCTGTTTTAGAAGTTATTAGTTGCTTCTACAATTATCTTTCTAGCAGTTTCTGTATTGAAATCTTATAACAGCCTGCGTGATATAGCTTTTTTTTTTTTTGAGATGCAGTCTTGCTCTGTCGCCCAGGCTGCAGTGCAGTGGTGCCATCTTGGCTCACTGCAACCTCCGCCTCCCGGGTTCAAGCAATTCTCCTGCCTGAGCCTCCTGAGTAGCTGGGATTACAGGTGCCCGCCACCACACCCGGCTAATTTTTTTTTTTTTTTGTATTTTTAGTAGAGACGGGGTTTCACCACGTTGGTCAGTCTGGTCTTGAACTCCTGACCTCGTGATCCACCCACCTCAGCCTCCCAAAGTGCTGAGATTACAGGTGCGAGCCACCCTGCCCAGCCGATATAGCTTTTAAAAAATCACTGGATGGCCGGGTGTGATGGCTCACGCTTATAATCCCAGCACTTTGGGGGGGCCGAGGTGGGCGGATCATTGGAGCTCATGAGTTAGCATGGGCAACATGATGAAACCTCGTCTGTATTTAAAAAAATACAAAAATCAGCTGGGAGTGGTGGTGCATGCCTGTAGTCCCAGCTACTCAGGAGGCTGAGGTGGGAGGATGGCTTGAGTCTGGGAGGCAGAGGTTGCAGTGAGTCGCGATCATGCCACTGCACTCCAGCCTGGGCTATAGAGCCAGTCTGTCTCAAAAAAACAAAAACAAAAACAAAATCCTTGGAGGCTGAGCACAAGCACAGTGGCTCAGGCCTATAATCTCAGCACTTTTGGGAGGTCGAGGTGGGAAGATCATTGCTTGTGGCCAGGAGTTTGAGACCAGCCTGGGCAACATAGTGAAACCTCATCTCCACACAAATAGAAAAAAATCATTTGAGTTAGGAGATCTGGATTCTGCTTCCAACTTTTTGTTAATCACTTCGCCTAATTACCAGTATGACCCTAGATTACATATTCATTCAGTAACTATTTACTTAGAGTTCACTGGGAACCAGTAAGTGCTATTGTCTCAGTGGAAGAATAAAATAAAAACTGAATGAGCTATAGAAAAGGGCTAAGAAAGCTAATGGCATGTGTGAGAAACCATGAGCAGCTGGGTCAGAATGTGGAGGGCCCTAAAAGGTCAAGTTATAGAGACCGGACTTAATTTCATAACATATGGGCAATGGGAAGCTACTGAAGGCTGGGCAGAGTGACATAATTTGATTTTTAACAAATATAACGCTGGTACCAGCACACAGGACAAGATGGAAAAGAAAGACTGGAAGCGAAGATATTAGGGTAACAAATCAAGAAAGGAATTTTAAAAGGCCTAAAATATGGTGAAGGAAATGAAGAGGAAGGGAGAAATTCAAGCAATGGAATGGTTAAAATTCAGTTATGGAATGAGAAGAGTGAGGCTTAGGGAGAGTAACTGCCTCTAAAGTTGCAAACATGGGCGACCAGAAAGACTGACTCTAATGTGAAAATAATAAAATTTTAGAAATAAGTATATGCAATTTCCAAAACCACCTCACTTCTGTTGCATGTATATAATTTCTAAAATGGGAATATGATCTACCATATTCTTAAAATCTTCTAAGGAGATTTTAAGAATCAAGTAAAATAAAGTACATGAAATCATACCAAAAATTATGAAGTTTAATAAAAATCTTTTTCTTTTTTTTTGAAAGATGGAGTATCGCTCTGTCACTTAGGCTGGAAGGCAGTGATGCAATCTTGGCTCACGGCAACCTCCGCCTCCCCGGGTTCAAGCAATTCTTCTGCCTCAGCCTCCTGAGTAGCTGGGGTTATAGGCATGCACCACTACGCCTGGCTAATTTTTGTATTTTTAGTAAACACGGGATTTCGTCATGTTGGCCAGGCTGGTCTCGAACTCCTGACCTCAGGTGATCTGCCTGCGTAGGCCTCCCAAAGTGCTAGGATTACAGGTGTGAGCCACCACACCCGGCCAATAAAAATCTTAAATATTACTACTGCCCTTGATTTTTCAAAATCAAACTTCAAGTTTCATTATTAGACTATTTCTCCCTACTACCAAGATTGCTTTGAACAAGACACTAAACATCTCTACATCTCTTTCTTCATCCACCAAATGAGAATAAAAATTCTAACCCTACCAGGTATGGTGGGTTACACTTGTAATCCCAGCACTTCGGGAGGCCGAAGTGAGAGGATCACTTGAGGCCAGGAGTATAAGATAAGCCTGGACAACAAAGTGAGATCCCATCTCTACACAAAAATTTTTTAAATTAGCTGGGTGTGGTGGCACATGCCTGTGGTCTCAGCAACATGAAAGACTGAAGCAGGAGAATCCCTTGAGCCCAGGAGGTCGAGGCTGCAGTGAGCTGTGATTATGCCACTGCGCTCCAGCCTGGGTGAGAGTGAGACCCTATCTCACAAAGAAAAAAAAAATTAAAAATTCTAACCTCAGCTTATGTGGTGAGGCCCAAAGGAAACAGTGTATGTGAAAATATGCTGCAAACTACAGTGTACATAGAAATGCAACAGAGGAACAAAATGCTATTCAGCTCAGCAAGTAAGAAAGGACTGAGTTGTTTGATTACAGATGTAAGGTCTTGAAACCCATGATCAGAAAACTTCAATGTGAGAACCATGAAATTACCAGACTCTAGGAGCTAAGCAGGGAAATCACTGAAAAGTCAAACATTTGACTTCACAAGGCTGTAAGACTCCGAGAAAGATGAAGTGGTCCTTTTCAGGAGAGTAAGAAACTTTATAGTGCTGACTGTGAGGATACTTAGGAAGACAAAGATGGGAATGACAAAAGCCAATCCTAAGAAGAAAAAAAAGTTGTAATTTGCCAAATTCTTCTGTCCAAAACATTTCAAGCAATCAAAAACTTTGAGGACCAACATTAACAATAAACAGGTAAACTACCCCTACTTTCTAAAGAGCACTCTGGTCCTTTTCCCTCACAATGGGTCCTGTTCCTACATCTGTCTCATTTCATCCTTCCTCCCATTTAAATCCAAAGCAGAACATAAACCTAAGAAAACAAAAGAGTATCTTTTATTTAGAATACGAAAGAACAATGGGAAAAATCAAGTTTTGCCTTGCTCCACCCTTGTCCATAAATCTTACCATAATTTTTTAGAATGATACTGATTATTCCAATTACTTTTTCTTATAGCACTCATAAAAAATTTTCCTGTAGAGTGTAGAAAAAAAATTTCTAATTTTTTCCATGTAAATTATCTTTGGTAAAATTTTACATAAAAATTGGCTTCACTGATATATTTTATTGACTACATCAAATTACACTATTTTAAGCCACTGAGTTTTCTCTGTGGCTATTTCTACCAAGTCAAATTTTATAGATACAAATATTACTTTGCACTCATAACTTCTACTGGTATACATATTTATTTGATAGCTGTACATATTCTCCTAAAAAAATCCATGGAATTTTATAATCTATAGTAAAAGTATGAGCAGTCACCCTCAGGTATTCCAAGACTGCTATATATTGCTAAGTGAAATCTATATGCATTCAATCCCTTTGCATACATCTTGCTAAGAGTATCCACAGCTGAGTGGTTAAAATGGAAGAGTCAAAACAACAGGATCGTAATGTAAGGTCTCCACAGTGAGCATGGCTATAACTCTGTCCAAGCATTATTTGAATGACAAATAGTAGAAAGTGATTTTCTAGTCTTCTACATGTATTATTTCTAGTATTCTGCATGTATTGTTTCTGTCATAAATAAATTAGGTTGGTGAAAAAGTAATTGCAGCCTTAAAAGTAATGGCAAAACCCACAATTATTTATGGGAACAAAATAAATTATAAATGTACCTTCTCCAAAATGGCTAAAAAGTGTAAGTTAAAAACTAAAAGTTAAAATATATTAAATAATTTGTATCTTTTTAAATTTTATTATGTAATTTTAATTTATAATAGAGATGAGGTCTCGGCATGTTGCCCAGGCTGGTCTCCAACTCCTGGACTCATGCAATCCTCTGGCCTCAGCCTCCCAAAGTACTGCGATGACAGGTGGGAGCAGCTGCACCTGGCCAATTTGTATCTTATAATAATGCTGGAAGCCAGCTAATTAAGATGATACATAACAAATGGAGCTCTTTGTAGTTACTATGGTAAGAGCAAACTATCTGGGTCTTATTGATTACGATATAGTAGTAGCTAGGCATTGAACAAAAGCAGTCCATTCAACACATCATGAATGCCAATACTTAAAGTTTAACAAAATGTGCTGAAAAGTTATAAAAGCTAACTTTTAAACGCAATAACTGCTATTATAACTGACTTAACAGGATGCTTTATTACGCCATTATCTTATCTACATAAGGCTTTAGCCTCCTGCATAGATGCACACTAACATGCCCAGCTTATTCAGTATCTTGATAAACAGAAGAGAAAAGCCTAAAGACATTTTGTTTCTATATGCAGATGAGTTTTTTTTTTTTTTTTTTTGAGACAGAGTTTTGCTCTTGTTGCCCAGGCTGGAGTGCAATGGCGTGATCTCGGTTCACCATAACCTCCGCCTCCCGAGTTCAATCGATTGTCCTGCCTCAGCCTCCCGAGTAGCTGGGATTACAGGCATGCACCATCACACCTGGCTGATTTTGTATTTTTAGTAGAGACAGGGTTTCTCCATGTTGGTCAGGCTGGTCTCGAACTCCTGACCTCAGGTGATCTGCCCACCTTGGCCTCCCAAAATGCCAGGATTACAGGCATAAGCCACTGTGCCTGGCCCAGATGAGTGTTTTAGCTGCTGTTCTGAAATTCTATCAGGGATATTTCTGACTTTAAAAGCACAACAAACATACTTTGATTTTTGAAAGGTAGATCAAAATCAAGCAACACAACATACAAGTTAAAAAAAACATATAGAAATACCCTGAAAGCTACATGTGAATCGCTGAGAAGTGGCCCCTCTTTTTCGGTGTAATTTATGCTTGAATCTCCAGTGATTAGGTGTACACTTCCTTCCATGCCCGCTACTGAGCTCTGGCAGGCTGTGCTCTCTCCAGGATTCAATGCTTTTGCAAGAGTGTCAAATGCCCTGTATGAAGACATCAGAAGCTATGAGCTTGACCAAACACCGCAATAAAATAACAATTCTACATAGGATTCTGGAATTAAGATTTAAGCCTAAAAAACTGGCCAGGCTGGTCTAGAACTCAAGTGATATGCCCGCCTCAGCCTTCCAAAGTGCTGGGATTACAGGTATAAGCCACATGCCTGGCCTAAAGTCTCTTTTTAAAATCTTGCATAATTAAGGGGGAGAAGCATCTTCATATTTTCATATAATAATATGTTTTTAAAAGTTATATATTTTATCGCTTGAGTCCAGGAGGGCAGGGCTGCAGTGAGCTATGATCACACCACTGTACTCCAGCCTGGGTGACACAGCAAGACCCTGTCTCAATTAAACGAAATTCTTTTCAATTAATTATTTTTTAAGAACATTATATGTATGATATATATATATATGATACTACAAGACTATCAGCCTATTTATTTTGTATACAAAAGTTACTTAGAACAAGGGTAAGAACTTATGTCAACTTTATTATACACAGTACAATAGGTCTTAAATTTTATTTAAAAATTCAGAAAACATTTTACTCATGTTTATTTTTGAAACACATTCTCCCTGTGTCAGCAAGGCTGGAGTGCAGTGGCATGATCATGGCTCACTGTAATCCTGAACTCCTGGGTTCAAGCAAGCGATCCTCCCACCTCAACCTCCCGAGCAGCTGGGACTACATGTGCGCACCACCATGCTCAGCTAATTTTTAAATTATCTGTAGAAACTGGGCCTCACTATGTTGCTAAGGCTGGTCTCCCAACTCCTGGACTCAAGCAATCCTGCCACCTTGGCCTCCCAAAGTGCTGAGATTACAGGCATGAGCTACTGCACCCGGGCAGAGAGTATTTTAAAATGTGTGGTCACATAGCTAAATCTAAACTGTAACAATTTGATATTAGAATAATAACAAACTAATGTTAGCAAATAATTACTCAAAATAGTTCCCCATATTTTTCAATAAGCCTCCTAGAGTTTCTTAAAATCTCATGTTCAACAAAGTATTACTTATTGTGACTCTTAAATGTAGTTTATTCAGTATATATATTATGTTTTGTTGTTGTTTGAGACAGACTCTCGTTTTGTCGCCCAGGCTAGAGTACAGTGGCGTGACCTCGGCTCACTGCAACCTCCATCTCTGGGGTTCAAGCGGTTCTCCTGCCTCAGCCTACCAAGTAGCTGGGATTACAGGCATGCGCCACCACACCCAGCTAATTTTTTCATTTTTAGTAGAGATGGGGTTTCACCATGTTGGCCAGGCTGGTCTCAAACTCCTGACCTCAGGTGATCCACCCCTCTCGGCCTCCTAAAGTGGTAGGATTACAGGCATACGCCACCGTGCCCGGCCAATTCAGCGTATTTTTATCATATCTTTTTTTTTCCTTTAGAGATGGGGTCTAGTTGCCGGTTGACTCAAAATCCCAGGCTGAAGTGATCTTCCCGCCTCAGCCTCCTATACACTAATGTGTTCAGCTTATTCAATATTTTAAATGATAAACGCAGTGTAGGAAAACCCTGAATAAACTGTTTCTATATCCTAAGCATTAATATTTACAGAATAAAAAACAGAATTCTGATACTACTTTCTTCAACTGTAACTTAAAACTGTAGTTGATTAAACTAAACCTTTTACATTAATTTTCATCACTAGAAATTGAGGAGCAGGATCAATATGATTGCCTAGAAAGACAAGTGTTTCGCTCTCCATACACATCTTCATCTTTAGAAGAAAAAATTCCTAGGTTTTAAGACCACATTTCTAATCTTCTAATATTCACTTACTGATTTTGTCATTTAGAATATAACCTTTCATAATGAATGCAGGTTTTCAGTGAAAACTTACTATGCCTTAAATTTTCTAAGTGAAAATAGAAATGTAGGTTAAGCATTCCTAATACTAAAATCCAAAATGCTCTAAAATCAGAAACTTTTTGAGCACCAACATGATGCCACAAGTGGAAATTTCACACCTGACCTCTCATGATGGGTTGCAGTCAAAAAGCAGGTGTATTACAGTTTATTCAGTGTTTATTCCCTGTCCCCAAGGGAAAAAAGATCCTCCCAGCTGAGATAAATCTTTTCTGTATACGCCCAGACTCCCCCAAGTAAGCACGCCCACTAAGGATGATAAAATGGCACATGTACAGGCCAGACATGCCAATGGCAAGTTCCCCCGATTCCCCATGAGGAGCCAAGACCTATGTGTATTACTCACTGTGGATTTTTGCATATTCTCTTCTTTGTGGTGTAAAGATATTTTTGAAAAGGTCAGAAAGGCCTGCATGGTACCCAGAGTAATGCAAACATTCCAAAATCTGAAATCTGAAGTGTTTCTGGTCTGAACAAAGCATTTCGGATAAGAGATAATCAACCTGTATTTAGATAATCAACCTGTATTTGTTTTCTGAAACTTTTATAAATAGCATTTAACATAAAAATGTTTTAAGAAATACTGAAAGACATGTAAACAAAAGGACATTGATAATCAAAAGATACCTTACCTTGAAACATCACCGTTGGTCTGCATTTCTTGAAATTCACACAAAGAGGTATCATCATTGCTTAAGCTTTCAATCATAGACATTTCATTACTATTTTGAGAAAGATCTTTAGTTTTTCCAAGATTCGCTAATGATGTAACCACATTGGCCAATGTACTTAAATCTCCCTGACATGATTCAGCCTTTAAAAAAAAGGGTATTAAAATTCTGTGAATTGGTATCACTATTTTTTTCAATCTGAAATATCCAATTATAGATTATGATATGCCAACAAAAGAACAGTATGATAAATGAAACCTGGAAAGTTAAAGGGCTGAGCTTTCAGAAATTTACTGAGGAAAATACAAGTTTAAAAACATCAAGTGTATTTCTTAAGAAATGTTTATATGTTACTTTGTTTTTTTTTTTTTTGGGAGATGGAGTCTCACTCTGTCACTAGGCTGGAGTGCCGTGGCATGATCTCAGCTCACCGCAACCTCTGCCTGCCAGGTTCAAGCGATTCCCCTGCCTCAGCCTCCCAAGTAGCTGGGATTACAGGCACATGCTACCATGCCCAACTAATTTTTTGTATTTTAGCTGAGACAGGGTTTCACCATGTTGGCTAAGATGGTCTTGATCTCCTGACCTCATGATCTGCCTGCCTCGGCCTCCCAAAGTGTTGGGATTACAGGCGTGGGCCATCGCGCCCGGCCGTATATGTTACTTTTTTTTAAGAGACAAGGTCTCCCTTTGTCACCCAGACTGGAGTACAGTGGCACGACCACAGATCACTGCATCCTTAAATTTCTGGGCTCACTGATCCTCCTACCTCAGCCTCCTGAGCAGCTGATCCTACAGGTGTGCACTGCTATGCCTGGGTTGTTTTTTCATTTTTAGAAATGGGGTCTTGCTGTGTTGCCCAGGCTGGTCTTGAACTCCTGGTATCAAGTGATCCTCCCTGCCTCAGCCTCCTGAGTACAATTTCTAAAACTTACTATACAAACTATAAACTTGTATGGAATATGAAGAATACTAGTGAAGAGCGGGGGAAAAAATGGCAAATGAATTGTTGAACAGACTTCCTAGGATGCCAACTTTTGCCAAACATTGTGTTAATTAAATGTGTTAAAAGGCACTGTGTTAAACACAAACATTAAAAGAAATAGATCAGTTACCCATTATTCTCTTCACTTTTTTGTCACTGGAGTTGAAAACTCTCTTTATATAGGTAAGATACTGATCTATTTGTCTTTTTTTTTTTGAGACAGAGTCTCACTCTGTCACCCAGGCTGGAGTGCAGTGGTGTGATCTCAGCTCACTGCAACCTCCAACTCCTGGGTTCAAGTGATCTTCCCACCTCAGCCTCCTGACTACGGGCGCATACCACCATGTCCAGCTAATTTTTTAATTTTTTGTAGAGATGGGGTTTCATCATGTTGCCCAGGCTGGTCTCAAACTCCTGGGCTCAAGTGATCTACCTGCCACAGTTTCCCAAAGTGCTGGGATTACAGACATGAGCCACCGTGCCCGGCTTGTCTTCATTTTTTTAATGTTTGTTGAAAATGTGTATATTACTTGTGCATTAGCTACAATTCTTTTATAAAAAAGAATTTTCTCTCAACTCTTTTGACAACTCAGAAATATAATTTGTACGGGAAAGGCAGGTAAGTGCTTTATTTTTCTTTTACTTTGTTATCAATTTTCAGAGCAAGAAGCTGATATCCTAGCAATTTCTAATTATGATACATGAGTTTTTCTGAGTATAATTTTTAATTCATAGATTTTCATATATTTGATTTAAATTTATTAAATTCTTTTGTAAATCCTTTCCCATCCTAACCTAATGAGAAGCCTTTTAAGTTGCCTTCTATGGCCTACTGGGCCAACCCCTTAATGGTATCTTCTTATTAATACTTTCTTCATGGTTTTTTCTTTTTGGTGTTTTTTTTTTTTTTTTTTTTTGAGACAGAGTCTTACTCTGTCGCCAGGCTGGAGTGCAGTGGTGCGATCTCGGCTCGCTGCAAGCTCCACCTCCTGGGTTCACGCCATTCTCCTGCCTCAGCCTCCTGAGGAGCTGGGACTACAGGCGCCCGCCACCATGCCCAGCTAATTTTTTGTATTTTTGGTAGAGACAGGGTTTCACTGTGTTAGCCAGGACAGTCTCGATCTCCTGACCTCGTGATCTGCCCGCCTTGGCCTCCCAAAGTGCTGGGATTACAGGCGTGAGCCACTGTGCCTGGCCCTTTTTGGTGTTCTTAATACTAAAATAACACATATGTTCCCATGATGTTTCATTTATTATAACAATCAGTTTCTGTGAGATTTTGGTGAATCAGTAGAATAAAATAATTTTTGTGCCTTCTCCAAATTAATCAATGGTCCAAAAATCATTTACTGAAAACCCTACCAGTTATCATGTTCTTACATAATTAATACCTATATATGCATTTTATTTAACTCCCATAACAACTCTGAAATAGAAATCATCATTCCTCTATTGCTAACCAGAAAAATGACCCAAATAGTAGAGGTGGGACTGGCTGACTGCCAAAGTCTATGCTTTTTTTTTTTTTTAAGAGACAGTGTTTTTTAGAGACACTCCTATCGCCTAGACTGGAGTGCAGTGCCAGGATCATAGCTCACTGCAGCTTTGAACTCCTAGGCTCAAGTAATCCTCTGCCTCAGCCTCCCAAACAGCTGGGACTACAGGCATGTACCACCATGCCTGGGTAATTTTTTTATTTTTAGAGACAGAGTCTCGCTATGTTTCCCAGGTTGGTCTCAAATTCCTAGCCTCAAGGAACTCTTCAACTTCAGCCTCCTGAGCTGCTGGGATACAGGCTTGAGCCACTGTGCCCAGAAAAGCCCATAATGTTAAGCACTGCCCCAAGAAATTTTCTTATATTTGAATAAAAAGTACATTAGTTACAATTTTAAATGCTTTAATATTCACCTAAAACTTAGAAGCTTATATAGTCTCTTCTACCTAGCAACATATCTAACTAGATTCTTTTTTATTTTATTTTATTTTTTTATTGATCATTCTTAGGTGTTTCTCGCAGAGGGGGATTTGGCAGGGTCATAGGACAATAGTGGAGGGACGGTCAGCAGATAAACAAGTGAACAAAGGTCTCTAGTTTTCCTAGGCAGAGGACCCTGCAGCGTTCCACAGTGTTTGTGTCCCTGGGTACTTGAGATTAGGGAGTGGTGATGATTCTTAACGAGCATGCTGCCTTCAAGCATCTGTTTAACAAAGCACATCTTGCACCGCCCTTAATCCATTTAACCCTGAGTGGACACAGCACATGTTTCAGAGAGCACAGGGTTGGGGGTAAGGTCACCGATCAACAGGATCCCAAGGCAGAAGAATTTTTCTTTCTAACTAGATTCTTAAGTTTTTGCCCCTAAAGGCTCTTAGCCAACATAGAAAACTTTCATCTTGTGACTTCAGAGTTTTGGGGCAATTTATCAGAGAAGCTTACCATACGGTTGTCATAACAATTTAATACAAAGATATACAAGAGAGCACAGTGTCTGGGCAGAGTAGTTTGTCAAGGAAACCTAGTTCCCTTCCTTTCTTAAAGGAGTTAATATGTCAGTAAAACCAATTATCATTCTAACCTTGAATCATGCAGACAGGGCTAAGTGAAGTTTTCCAAAATATATGGCAAGAGGCCACTGCCTCACCTAGCAATTACATGCTAAAGCCCAAACTGTAAGATACTTTTATTACTCTTATTTTACAGATGAGAAAGTAAGGCACTAAGAGGTCAAATAACTTGCCTAATGTTATATAGCTAGTAAGTGGTAGATGAAATTTGATTTCCGAGCCTAAGTATTTAGAGCGCCTTAAAGCATCAAGTGACAAATATATAACAAATCTTGCATAAACAGGACAAATAATCTTATAGGTTATATAAAATCAGATCCCGGCCGGGCGCAGTGGCTCACGCCTGTAATCCCAGCACTCTGGGAGGCTGAGGCAGGCGGATCATGAGGTCAGGCGATTGAGACCATCCTGGCTAACATGGTGAAACCCTGTCTCTACTAAAAATACAAAAAATTAGCCGGGCGTGGTGGCGGGCGCCTGTAATCCCAGCTACTTGGGAGGCTGAGGCAGGAGAATGGCGTGAACCCAGGAGGCGGAGGCTGCAGTGAGCCGAGATCGGGACACTGCACTCCAGACGGGGTAACAGAGCAAGACTCCGTCTCAAAAAAAAAAAAAAAAAAAAAAATCAGATCCCAGCTAGGTAGGGAGGCTCATGCACATAACCCCAGCAATCTGGAAGGCTGAGGTGGGAGGGTCACTTGAGCCCAGGAGTTCGAGACCAGCTGGGTAACACAATGAAACTCGGTCTCTACAAAAATAGGAAAAATTAGCCAGGCACAGTGTCACGTGCCTGCAGCCCTAGCTTCTTGGGAGGCTGAGGTGAGAGGATCCCTGGAGCCTGAGAGGACGAGGCTGCAGCAAGCCATTACTGTGCCACCACCGTACCCCCAGCTTGGGTGACAAGAGGGGACCCTGTTTAAAAAACAAACATGGTTGAGAGAAACCCTGATCATAGGCTTCCTAAAATCTGTTTTCAGATATGAGTTTTCAGGAGAAATTTTTGCTTCTTGTTCTCCCAAAGGGCTTCTGACAAGTACAGAAACTCTTCATGTTCAATTTAAATAAACAAACTGTTTTTCCTTTAGACCCTTGGTCTAACATAGAGCTGCTCCAATCTCTAAGAGAACTGGATGACTTGGATACATAAAAGGAGAGCTCTTGCAGTCCTATTCCTACTCTTGACTCAAGTAAATATTTTGATGGAGGTGAGCTAAGAATTTCCTTTTACCTGAAATATTTTAAGTATTTTGGCACTAAAAAATAAAAAAAGTATTTTGGCACTAACAAATCTGTAAGGGAGCATAAAAGAAATATTAAGAATTGTACGGCTGGGCGTGCTGGCTCACGCCTGTAATCCCAGCACTTTGGGAGGCCAAGGCGGGTGGATCACGAGGTCAGGCGATCGAGACCATCCTGGCTAACAAGGTGAAACCCCGTCTCTACTAAAAATACAAAAAAATTAGCTGGGTGTGGTGGCAGGTGCCTGTAGTCCCAGCTATTCAGGAGGCTGAGGCAGGAGAATGGCGGGAACCCGGGAAGCGGAGCTTGCAGTGAGCCGAGACTGTGCCACTGCACTCTAGCCTCGGCAACAGAGTGAGACTCCATCTCAAAAAAAAAAAAAAAAAGACTTTTACACCTATAATAAATGTCTTACTGAGGACTCGTATTTCAAGATGAGGGAAGAGTACGTGTTTGTTGCTTTCATGTTGAAGGGATAATCATCCTAGTGAAATTATGAACATTTCTGATTTTTTTTTTTTTTTTTTTTTTTGAGACAGAGTTTCGCTCTTGTTGCCCAGGCGGGAGTGCAATGGCACTATCTCGGCTCACTGCAACCTCCACCTACCGGGTTCAAGCGATTCTCCTGCCTCAGCCTCCCGAGTAGCTGGGATTACAGGCATGCGCCACCACGCCCAGTTAATTTTTCCATTTTTACTGGAGACGGGGTTTCTCCATGTTGGTCAGGCTGGTCTTGAACTTCTGACCTCAAGCGATCCATGTGCCTCGGCCTCCCAAAGTGCTGGGATTACAGATGTGAGCCACTGTGCCCAGCCGAACATTTCTAATTTATATTAAAAAAAAAAAGGCAACTTGTAATATGGAATATTTAAGAACAAAGCAATTTACCAAAGCAAAGGAAGTGATTAGAAAACATTTTAAAATGCTTAAAATTATCTAAGCTTTAAATTGTACTAAACACACCTTATCTGATGTCATCAGCACAGCTGACTCAGTTTTTACTCCAGATGGATGAATATTCATGAACATTCCTGAATCTAACAGTCCTGTTGACCTGTAACAAATCAGCACAAATTTTGGCCTGAGTTTCATTGGGAAGAAAAACAAAATGACCAGCTACTCAGTGTCTGTTTTACTTTACCTTGTACTTTCACTATCTGTTACAAAAGTTGGAGTTGCAGTTAATGGGCTACGAAGGTCCTTTCGGATATAGATTTTTTCTGTTGAAGCGGCACAGTTGGAAGATTTTTCTCGTGATACTTCAATGGGTTTTCTTTCACATTGGACAGCTACAAAAATGTGTTAAACTATTATATCACAATATAGGATTTACAGACAATTAGAAATGTAAGCTGTAGGTAAGCTTAATGCTGCTAATAGGAGACATGGCTACCATACTAAACTCCAAAGATAACCATCAATCTTTAGAAATTATGTGCAAGTTCAACAAAGTTGCTTTAGATTAGTAAAACAAACCAATTTGCATCTCTCATTCTTTTTGCCAAACACAAACTACAAATACGTGCTTTTTACACAGGTATTCAATAAATATTAGTTGAATAAATAAAAAAGTACATACGTAGGTCTGTATTCTTATATTTTTAGTTGGAAAACTGTAAACTAAAAAGTATACATATTTGACATATTTTGTTAATTTCAATACTCTTGTAGTTTGCTGGAATCTTTAAAAAGTATTTTCTCCTTAAAAGCTAATACATACAGTCTTGCTTCATTCCAAACGCAATACATCTCTGTAACCTGCAGTATTGACAGCGGTTTCGGTGGTGCTTATTAATAATACAATCCTTTGATCCTCGACATGAATATACTAAATTTTTTCGGATGCTTCTTTTAAAAAATCCTTTGCAGCCTTCACAAGTTACTGCTCCATAATGACGTCCTAGAGAGAAAATGTTTAAGAAAATATAAAAGTCACATTATTTCAGAACAGAAATGACATAAGCCAATTTCTTCCCTTTAAACAACATATAAGATGAAACTGATTTTTGAGCTTCTGACATGAAAAACATTTTTAGAAGTTATTTTTATTTATCATAACTTTTTTAGAGACGGGATCTCGCTCTGTGGCCCAGGCTGAAGTGTAATGGTGCGATCACAGTTCACTGCAGTCTCGAACTACTGGACTCAAGGGATATCCCCAACTAGCTGGGACTACAGGCTTGCGCCACCACACCCGACCAGTTTTATTATTATTTTTTTTTGTAGAGGCAGTCTTGCCATTTTGCCCAGGCTGGTCTTGAACTCCTGGCCTCAAGCGATCCTCCTGCCTCCACTCCCAAAGTGCTGGGATTACAGGCATGAGCCATCTCACCTGGCCTAATGTAATATATTATTAAAGATCAGAAGTCATTATTTTTAAATGATTCCTTTGCCAAAATTTCTAGTTTTCACATTAAAAAATGTTTCTACAGCTGGGCGTGGTAACTCACGCCTGTAATCCTAGCACTTTGGGAGGCCAAGGCAGGTGGATCACTTGAGGTCAGGAGTTCAAGACCAGCATGGCCAACATGGCAAAAGCCCGTCTCTACTGAAAATACAAAAATTAGCAGGGCATGGTGGCACACGCCTGTAGTCCCAGCTACTCAGAAGGCCGAGGCAGGAGAATTGCTTGAACCCAGGAGGCAGAGGTTGCAGTGAGCCGAGATTGCACCACTGCACTACAGTCAGGGTGACAGCGCAAGACTCCATCTCAAAAAAAAAAAAAATTTTTTTTTTACATGTTCACTTTCAAAAGTGAAATATGCATTTTATTTCATTACAAATCATATTAAATTGCACTGAAGTTAAAAAATATAAGTGAATAAAGAACTTTGGGACCGGGCATGGGGGCTTACACCTGTAATCCCAGCACTTTGGGAGGCCAAGGAGGGGAGGGTGGATCACCTGAGGTCACGAGTTTGAGACCAGCCTGGCCAACATGGTGAAACTCCATTTCCAATAAAAATACAAAAATTAGCCATGCGTGCTGGCATGCACCTTAGCCCCAGCTCCTTGGGAGGCCGAGGCAGGAGAATTTCTTGAATCCAGGAGGTAGAGGCTGCAGTGAGCTGAGATCACGCCACTGCATTCCAGCCGGAGCAACAGTGAGACTCTATATCACAAACAAAGAACTCTGGGAAAAAATTAGTTAAATGTTATAGGCTACAAATATGAACCATAAAAACGACATACTCCTTTATTTCTCTTCTTACTTTTAGTAGAAGAAACATGGTAGTGTGGTAGTTATTTCAACAACACGACACATATAGGAGGTTATTTTTTTTTTCTGTTTTTAGGAGGTTATTCTTAATGTTACCTGATGCTTTGTCTCCACATACTACGCAAAGATCAAAAACCTTATTTGGTCCTTGGTCTGGAGAATTATCTGTTAGGAGCTAAAAAAAAAAAAAAAAAAAAAGAAAACAAAAACGAAAACCTGTTGTTACTCAACAGCACTCATTCTATTAAAAAAATTAAAGAACATTCAGTTGGTCTTGCTTTGTTGCTTTCTTTTTCACAAGTTATTTTTAAACTTTGTACTCTATGAAGAGCTCAGAACCTTTCCACATGTAATGACGACAAAAATAAGCTTATAATGGCATAAAGAGATAACTCTAAACCTTTTAAATAGAAAAGGGGCTATAAATAAATTTCCTTGAGGTAATTATAATCATGCAGATGTGCTCGCTATACAAAGGTATGGACTTAAAAAGCTCATCACTAGGCACAGCTAATAAGATACTGGCAAAGGAAACTAGTTTCTTCTTTAAAAAACAAAAAAAGGCTGGGTGCGGTGGCTCACGCCTGTAATCCCAGCACTTTGGGAGGCTGAGGCGGGCAGATCACCTGAGGTCAGAAGTTCAAGACCAGCCTGGCCTACGTGGTGAAACCCTGTCTGTACTAAAAATACAAAAAATTAGCTGGGTGTGGTGGAGAGTGCCTGTAATCCCAGCTACTTGGGAGGCTGAGGCAGGAGAATCGCTTGAACCCAGGCGGCAGAGGTTGCAGTGAGCCGAGACTGCACCACTGCACTTTGGCCTGGGAGACAGAACGAGACTCCATCTCAAAAACAAAACAAAACAAAACAAAAAACAGCAAACTAGTTTCTTCCTTTAGGTTTATCTTTCAACCTTTTCATCATTTTCTTTCAATCTTGAAATGTGAACAAATAAATTCAATTAAAGAAAATGGAATGGCATTTGAATTCCTCCAGGAATACTTCTGATTTTATGAACTTTAAATGGTTCTTAAAATGACTGCCCCTTACTATGTAATATATAGCATCATTTCTTCTTATATCACCACAAAAATCAGTCTTCAGTAAGTACTTAAGCTTCTGGTACTAGATGTCCTATGAAAGCATCTATGGCAAGTATTACTCTTTAATAGCCTACCTGTTGCAAATGGTGCTAATCTTTTATCTATTATTCCTAAGTCTGGAAGGAGATATTGAGAGATTAAGGGATTTACCCACATTCATGAGAAAAACATCAGACCAAGTCCAATAGTGGCACATCCTACAATATACCTGGCCAGTACTCCTCACGTAATTGTCAAGGTCATCAAAAACAAGGAAAGTCTGAGAAACTGTCCTAGCCAAGAGAAGCCTCAGGAGACATGTCAACTCAATGCAATAAGGTATCCTGGATGGGATCCTGGGACAAACAAAGCCATTAGGCAAAAACTAAGGAAAGTCTAAACACCTATAAACTTCAGTTAACAATGTATCAGTATTGCTCATTAATTATATCATGAATGTAAAATGTTAATAATAGGGGAACTGTGTGTATTTACGGGGGAGTAATATGGGAACTCTGTTCTATATGCTCAGTTTTTCTGCAAATCTAAAACTATTCTAAAATATCAAGTCTACTACTTAAAGAAAAATTAAGGTACATATAATGTTATACATTTTTTTGTGACTTTTGTCTTGTTGATAAAACAACTTCTTATAAATCTGTGACTGTATCCACTTTCTACCTTTATTTCCAAAACTAATACAAATATCATTGGATGAATAGATGATATCAGGATATACAGACAAAATTTCGTGTTTTATGAATTCAGAGTTTTTCAATCCAAAGAGGAATTTTCTTTCGTGAGTTTTTCATCATAAAAGATAGAACCCAATTTTAAGTAGACCCCCTTCAAAAAGTTTCTGAAGGCAAACTTCAGAGTACATTATATTTGTATTCAATCATAGCAACCAGCAGTGAAAACATCGACATAACCACAGGCATGTGGTGTATAAAAGTTTTTGAGTCTTTGAAGAATAATGTGTAATTTTCTATTCTAGCGAAAACTAAAATGATGTAATGTTAACATATACTACTTCATTCCAGAGTAAAGCAGGAGCCCATGACTGCACTGCTTGCTATTTCATGAAGATGTGCATGACAACAAAGGAGGCACAATGTTGAAGCCAGCAGCTATAGTCCAAACTTCTTGATTTGGCAGCTTCCTGTTTGTAGCACAGGCAGCTTGGTTCTGGAAAATACAGCTACAAAAGCTGCTCCTGATTTGACAATTTCCTAATTATGAAGTAGGAGGTCTCTTAGAAGCCAGTTTTGCAGCATGCTCCAATAGTCGATCTTGAAAACCTGGCCTAGAACTGTTTCTTCAACCTTCCTAACAATTCTGCAAGCTCTCTGTATCCTTTATTAAAGGCTGTTGTCCTGGCTACAATAGCCAGAGTGGATCTTACTGTATGCAACAAAGAATCCCCAAAATATATGAGTGTGAGGAAAGTACAGTGGCCCATAGGAGAGGGCTGTCACTGTAGATACTGTGTTACACATAATTTTATGCATTTTTTTCCTACTGAATATACATAGATCTAAAGTCTTCATGGCAGGGCTTATGATTAAAATTTTTTTTTTATATATGTAAGAGGAAAAGACACTTCTATAGTTATTTACCTGCAGGTGTTGTGCAGACAGATCAGGAGTGGTAAAAAATAACTGGTTGACACCTGCTGCATCTGGAGTTGTAAGGAAAACTTTTCCCGGAGTGGAATCTTGCCTGGCCAGAATGACTTTGCTTGGAGTAGAGCCGTCGTGATTTGTCAGAATGAACTGCTTGCCTTGGGTATTATGATCAAGTGCTGTCACAATCTGGATTTTCTGCCCAGTTTGCTGCTCTGTAACAATCTAACAAAATCATGAAAAATAATCAATGAAACTCAATAATTTTTCTTTAATGACACAATTATCTTCTTAGAAAAGCACATTACATATATATTCAATATAACACACACGTACCTTTTAAACTACCGATTCTATTGCCACAAAATTCTATCCTACAGAAATAAACAAATGTGCAAACAAAGGTACAATAGTAAGAACATTTTGACCTCACTATTTTGATTCCCTCCTTCCCCTTCCCTCCCATGTTCCATTTAGACAAACATATATTGGGTGATTTATATTAGCTGTTCTGCATACTGGGATGTAGCAGTGAATAAAACAAAACTTTTGCCTTCATGAAGCTTTTATTTTAGTGGGGAAAGACAGATAATAAATAAGCAAATAATAATATTGTCATGCGGTACTAAATGCTATGAAGAAAAACAAGGCAAGGTGAGACAGTAACAGAATGAGGGCAATGAGGGAAGCTCACGCTAAGGAGGTGTCATTTTTGCAAAGGCCTGAGTGAAGAAACAGACCAAGGCTTAGGACTACCTAGGGGAAGAACATTCCAGGTAGAGGAAACAGAGCATATAAGTAGGTCCCAGGGCAGGAGGGAGGTGTTTGACACATGTGAGGCACAAGGCACAGCAATAGAGATATATGATGAGTAAGACAGAAGGGAAGACAGGGATTACAGTAGAATATGGGATCTGAGTGACAGCTGGGACTCAGAGGGCTTTGTAGGCCAAACAAAAGTCTAGATTTCCTAATGTGTGAAATGGAGAGCCACCAAAGGGTTTGGAGCAGAGGAGTGACAGGATTTTATTTTTTAAAAAGGAATCAGACAGGCACAGTGACATTATCTATAATCCCAGCTACTTGGGAGGCTGAGGCAGGAGAATCACTTGAGGCCAGGAGTTCGAGACCAGACTGGGCAACACAGTGAGACCCTGTCTCAAAAAAAAAAAAGAAGTATAAAAAAAGCATTCTAAATTTAGTGTGAAGAACAGACTGCAAATGTTCAAGAGTAGGCCGGGTGCAGTGGCTCACGCCCATAATCCCAGCACTTTGGGAGGCTGAGGCAGGTGGATCCCTTGAGGTCAGGAGTTCAAGCCCAGCCTGGCCAAAATGACGAAACCCTGTCTCTACTAAAATATAAAAATTAGCTGGGCATGGTGGCGGGTGCCTGTAATCCCAGCAACTGGGGAGGCTGAGACAGGAGAATCGCTTGAACCCTGGAGGCGGAGGTTGCAGTGAGCTGGGATTACACCACTACACTCCAGCCTGGGCGACAGAGGACTCTGCCTCAAAAAAAAAAAAAAAAAAAAGGGGATGGACACAGTGGCTCATGCCTATAACCCCAGCACTTTGGGAGGCCGAGGCGGGCAACTCATGAGGTCAGGAGATTGAGACCAACCTAGCTAACACAGTGAAATCCCGTCTCTACTAAAAATACAAAAAATTAGCTGGGCATGGTGGCATGTGCCTGTAATCCGAGCTATGTGGGAGGCTGAGGCAGGAGAATCACTTGAACCAGGGAGGCGGAGGTTGCAGTGAGCTGAGATCGCGCCAATGCACTCCAGCCTGGGTGACACAGTGAGAGTCTGTCTCAAAAAAAAAAAAAAAAAAAAGTTCAGAAGTAAAATTAAGGGAGATCAGAAAGGACACTACTGCAGGTACCATCAATATCTGGTTATGACATATGGGCAGAAATACTGACCAGGAACAGGGTAGCAGCCATGCTGGGGGTGAAAAACAATTAAATTGGGATTTACTTACTTATTTATATATTATTTATTTATTTTAAGAAGAGAGAAGTAACAAAATAATGCTGATAGACTGAAGGGGAATATGAAGAAAGAAGAGTCAAGGATGATTATAAAATTTTGGCTTGAGCAATTGGGAGGACAGAACTGCCATCTGCCATCTGGGGGGGAGGAACAAGTTCATGAATACACAGAACTATTTCAGCATTGAGAGTTTCTGTTATTCAGCAAATATATCCCAGATTAAACATCATTAAGCCAATTAAATTCCTTGATTCAATTTTAAAATGGCAAAGTCCGTTTGTTTCTAATTTTCCAAAATTCCAATCCTGTTCCTTCTGTACCAAATTTTTTCTATTTTTATTTTCCTGAAATTATTTCAAGATTCTTTTCTATGCAAAATTTAAAACAAAGTTCTGATTCACTAATCAGTTTATGTCTAAAGCAAATTGTTTGGATAAAAGACTAATAGTTCATACTGACTTCTTAGAGAAGAGCATTTGGCGCATTCATGGTCCAACTGCTCCTGGGTTGAAACATTCTGCTTAAATGAGTAAAAGGACATTACTGCAGCATAATAATTGTAATAATTGAATATTTGGGCAATCCAAAGAGCCTTCAATAGAGAAGAGTAGTAAATTATGTAAACAGTTCTTAGCTTTTAGGACTCTTTATATTCTAAAATATTACTGAGGGTTCCAAAGAGCTTTTTTTTTGAGATGGAGTTTTACTCTTGTTGCCCAGGCTGGAGTGCAGTGGTGCGATCTCGGCTCACTGCAACCTCTGCCTCCCAGGTTCAAGCGATTCTCCTGCCTCAGCCTCCTGAGTAGCTGGGATTACAGGCGCCCGCCACCCCACCTGTCTAATTTTTTGTATTTTAGTAGAGATGGGGTTTTCTGCATGTGAGTTAGAAATTCAAAGAGAAATTTTAAAAATAGTTGATTCATTTAAAAATTAACAACCCATTAAATGTTAACATAATTTTTTTAAATTTATTTTTAATTTTCGTGGGTACATAGGTGTGTATTATCTTTGGGGTACGTGAGATGTTTTGATACAGGCAGGCAATACATAATAATCACATGGAAAACAGGGCATCCATCCCCTCAAGCATTTATCCTGTATGCTATAAACAATCCAATTATACTCTTTTAGTTATTTTAAAATGCATAATTAAATTATTATTGACTGGGCGCAGGGGCTCACACCTGTAATCCCAGCACTTTGGGAGGCTGAGGTGGGCGGATCATGAGGTCAGGAGTTTGAGACCAGCCTGAGCAACAAGCTGAAACCCCATCTCTATTAAAAATACAAAATTTAGCTGGGCGTGGTGGCAGGCACCTGTAATCCCAGCTACTCAGGAGGCTGAGGCAGGAGAATCCATTGAACCAGGGAGGCGGAGGTTGCAGTGAGCCAAGACAGCGCCACTACACTCCAGCCTGGACAACAGAGCGAGACTTTGTCTCAAAAAAAAAAAAAAAAATTATTGACTATAGTCCCTCTGTTGTGCTATCAAATACTAGGTCTAATTCATTCATCCTATTTTTTTGTACCCATTATAACCTATTTCTTAATGACTAAAAAGTTTATTTTCCAAACAAACAAAAATGTAGTGCAGAGAGTGGCTTTGTTTTACATTTCTACAAATTGCTTTAATATCTAGTTTAACAGAAGTTGGAATCTCATATCTGTTTCTTTATTTAATCTGTTAGACTATGTTGTTTTGGTTATAACAAGGCTGGGCACAGCACCTCACGCCTGTAATCCCAGCGCTTTGGAAGGCCAAGGCCAGTGAACTGCTTGAGCCCAGGAGCTCCAGACCAGCCTGGGCAACATGACAAAACCCTGTTGCTACAAAATATATAAAACATCAGCCAGGCACGTGAGCACAAAAAATGGCCACAAAAAATCAGCCGGAAACCTATTTCTTCACCATATATATACATATACATACATACATATATGTATATATGTTAAAGAAAATTCAGCTTCGTATTTATTGGTTGAAAAGGGGAAGGATATTTTAATACCCTTTTCAAACTGTGAAAGTTGTTCGACACTACATCAACTCAACAAGTGGCAGCTTTTCAAAGGTTAGCAGCAATGTAGAGTCATAAACTATATTAAAATCTGTTGGTCTATCCTGCAATTTAAATGGATCCTTCACTCATGCATAATTTTGTAACATTATACACTGGTCATCCGGAAAGCAATGATTCATTGAGTTATGTACACCTTATAAATGCTGACACATTTCATCATATAGTATCATCACATGTCACACAGTCTGTAGAAAATTCCAT
This sequence comes from Homo sapiens, assembly GCF_000001405.40. Classification (NCBI taxonomy): domain Eukaryota; kingdom Metazoa; phylum Chordata; class Mammalia; order Primates; family Hominidae; genus Homo; species Homo sapiens. The sequence continues at coordinate 95,066,787 of NC_000012.12, forward strand.
TGTATACCTGGGAGAGAACAATACTGAAAAGGCAAATAACATTTCAGTATTATTATAAAAATGGTCTTCACCTGGTTGATTCTCTGAAGTGTCCCCAGATAATACTTTGAGAACTTCCAAATTATGTGGTATCTCTTACTAAGTAATAGGACACAACCATTTAAAAAAATGAAGATGTCAGTATTGATGCTGAACTCCTACTGATCCCACCAAAACTAGGCTCAGATTGTACCCTCTAAAAAGAATTCCCTCAAAAGCATTCCTACTCACTCTACAGCTCTTTAATTTCTTTCCTTCCTTCCTTCCCTTCATTCCTTTCAATTTTCTTCTGTGCTCCCATTGCACCTGATACAATGACCTGTCACAGAACTTACCACATTCTACTATGAATTGTCTGATTATTCAACTATCTCTCAGTAGCTTGAAAAGCTATCTTAAGTTAGGGAATATCTTTTATTTCTGGAACTCCAGAACCTGGTATATGCATTTAGTAGGAATTAGAAAAGTTTGGTGGGCCAGTGCATCAACCGTAAACTAGACATACCTCTCCCATCTGTTGTTCAATAATTTGATGTGCAATTTCTTCTATGGTTGCCATGATCTACCTGCCAAAAATAAAAAGATGTTTTATAATTAAACTCACAAAACACTCTTATTAAATAATTTACAAATAAAACTATATGATATTTAAGATTTGCTTCAAAATAATCTAGTTAAGGTGGGAGGGTTGGCTTTTTCTGAAGTTTCTTTTTTCCATTCATGGGTTGCCTTTTCCATGTGTCTTTTTTATTTTTTTTTTTTTTAAAACAAGGCCCACCCAGGCTGGAGTGTAGGGGGCACCATCACGGCTCACTGCAGTCTCAACCTCCTGGGCTCAAGTGATCCTCCCACCTCAGCCTCCTGAGTAGCTGGAACTACAGGTATACACCACCACACCTGGCTAATTTTTTATTTTTTGTACAGATGGGGTCTCACTGTGTTGCCCAGGCTGGCCTCAAACTCCTGGGCTCAAGCAATCTTCCTGTCTCGACCTCCCAAGTGTTGGTATTGGAATTATCAGCATAAGCCACCATGCCCACCCCTCCATGTATCTTTTTTTTTTTTTTTTTTTTGAGATGGAGTCTTGCTCTGTCACCCAGGTTGGAGTGCAGTGGCATGATCTTGGCTCACTGCAAGCTCCACTTCCTGGGTTCATGCCATTCTCCTGCCTCAGCCTCCCAAGTAGCTGGGACTAGGCACCTGCCACCACGCCAGCTAATTTTTTTGTATTTTTAGTAGAGACAGGGTTTCACTGTGTTAGCCAGGATGGCCTTGATCTCCTGACCTCGTGATCTGCCTGCCTCGGCCTCCCAAAGTGCTGGGATTACAGGCGTGAGCCACTGCACCCGGCCCCAGCCCTCCATGTATCTTTATATGTTTATACGGTCTTCCCTCTGAGTGTCTGTGTCCTCTTCATAGAAGGACATCAGTTATTTTGGATTACGGTACACTCTAATGAACTAATTTTAACTCAATTATCTCTTTTAAGGCCTTATCTCCAATATACTCAATTCTGAGGTACTGGTGGTCAGGACATCACCATAGGAATTTGGGATTCATATGATTTTGTGGGAGAACCGAATTCAGCCCATAACACTCAGGCATAAACCCAATAAGGAACATGCAAGATCTAGGTAGGCAAATAAAACTTTAAAATGCTGCCTAAAGACAAGAAAATCTACACTTGGACCGGCCCCGGTGGCTCACATCTGTATTCCTAGCACTATGGGAGGCCAAGGTGGGCTGATTACCGGAGATCAGGAGTTTGAGACTAGCCTGGCCAACATGGTGAAACGCCATCTCTACTAAAAATACAAAATTAGCCAGGTGTGGTGGTACATGCCTGTAATCCCAGCTACTCAGGAGGCTGAGGCAGTAGAATTACTTGAACCTGGGAGGCGGAGGTTGCGGTGAGCCGAGATTGCACCATTGCACTCCAGTCTGGGCCACAAGAGTGAAATTCTGTCTCATAAAAAAAAAAAAAAAAATTAGCCAGGCATGGTGGCGGGTGCCCGTAATCCCAGCTACTCAGGAGACTGAGGCAGAAGAATCCCATAAACTTGGAAGGCAGAGGCTGTGGTGAGCCAAGATCGTGCCACTGCACTCCAGCCTGGGTGACAGAGAGAGACTCTGTCTCAAAAGAAAAAAAAAGAAAAAGAAAAACTACATCTTAAAAGGACACATAAGAAAGAAAATGGATCCAATAAGTACCTCCAAGGAAAGAAACTGCAAGTTTGGAAACAGGAATGGAAGGGAGACTTATTTTTCATTGAATAAGTGTTTGATGCTTTTAAATTTTGCTTAAATACAAGGATTACCACAAAAATTAAAGTAATAAACAAATAAGAAATCTCTTCCAGAAATCCTAAAATCAACACCAGTGTATTGGTGCATTAGACTCAAAGAAGTCACCTCCTAATGAAAACTTAGGGAGATAAACTATTTGTTTATCTGAATGAATTCCAGGGACTCATTAGATCAATATATAGTCATGTACTGCACAATGTTTTAGTCAATGAATGAGACTGCATATACAATAGCGGTACCACAAGTTTACACCCATAACACTGTATTTTTACTACACCTCTTCCACGTTTAGATTTGTTACTTACATAAATACTACTGTGTTAAAACTGCCTACAGTACTCACTAAAGTAACATGCTGTGTGGGTTTGTAAATTAAGAGCAACAGGCTATGCTGTATAGCCTATGTGTATGGTAAGTTATACCATTTAGTTTTGTGTAAGTATGCTCTATGATGTTCATCTGTGATAAAATCACTTAGGGATGCTTTTCTCAGAACACATCCCCATAACATATGACTATATTTTCCAAGACTAAATTTAACTCCGAAGATAAGGCAACACACACATTCCTTTTTTTCCCCCATAATTTTGTGACTGGATGACTGAAAAAAAATGCTTTTAAACATTAATCCATCCATCCATGCATCTATGCATCCATGCATGCATCCATCCATCCATCCAACACTCACTGCTGCTACTGCATGGGGATTCTCAACCTTATAAAAAAAAAGCAACTCTCCCTTTCCCTAACTACACCTTTCAGTTGATTGAGTCCCTGATGTCTTCCAGGATCTATGCCTGACCCTGGGATAGGATAATAAAGATGGTCTCTACCCTGAAGAGATGAGAAAGAAGTAGGTAAGTAATGGTGTAAGTTAAGGCTGCTCTGATAGCAGTGTCTGTTTTCTTCCCATTCTTCCCAACTTCAAATAGGATCCAGCCTGATAAACTGGCCTTGAGTAGCCAATACAAAAGTAAAATTTACAAGTTTTTTTTGTTTTTTGTTTTTTGTTTTTTTGAGACAGAATCTTGCTCTGTCACCTAGGCTGGAGTGCAGTGGTGCAATCTCGGCTCACTACAACCTCTGCCTCCCAGGTTCAAGCAATTCTCCTGCCTCAGCCTCCCGAGTAGCTGGGATTACAGGCATGCACCACCATGCCCAGGTACTTTTTGTATTTTTAGTAGAGAAAGGGTTTCACCATGTTGGCCAGGCTGGTCTCGAATTCTTGATCTCAAGTGATCCGCCCACCTCAGCCTCACAAAGTGTGGGGATTACAGGTATGAGCCACCACACCTAGCCAACACACACATTCTTTATACACTGTTGGTGGAAGGTTAGACTGTTTTAACCTTCCTAGAAAAGTAATTTGCCAATGTATACCAAGAGCCTTAAAAATGTTCATATTGACTGGCTCAAAAATTTATTCAATTTTCTTCCATTCAACAAATCACTTGTTGAATGCTTACTAGGGGCCAGGCATTCACAGAACGACTTATCCTTATTCTCCAGCTTCAGACCATCAGTGCTGCTTTAATGGCAAGGGAACAAAGTTTTAACCCCTTCCCTTGGTATTCATTCAATATTTATTATGCATTCACAAGGTGCCTGGCACTGTGAACACCACAATGGAGAGTTCTTTTATAATCCGACTTCCCCCTATTCTCATTTCCTATCACTCCCAAGAGGGGCCTCTGTTCAGGTCAAACTACGATGTTCTTTATTCCCCCAACATATTCCTACTTTCTCCCTCATTTAAATTCCACCTGACTTTTAAGATTTGGTTCAAGCCAGGGGCGATGGCTCACGCCTGTAATCCCAGCACTTTGGGAGGCCAAGGCACGTGGATCACCTGAGGTCAAGAGTCCAAGACCAGCCTGGCCAACATGGTGAAACCCCATCTCTACGAAAAATACAAAAATTTAGCCGGGTGTGGTGGACGGCGCCTGTGATCCCAGCTATGCAGGAGGCTGAGGCAAGAGAATCGCTTGAACCTGGGAGGTGGAGGCTGCAGTGAGCCGAGATCGTGCCATTGCACTCCAGCTTGGGAAACAAGGGCAAAACTCCGTCTCAAAAAAAAAAAAAAAAAATTTTGATTCAAATAGTTTTTTACCCAGTCTTTCTTGAAGGGTCGAACAATTATTTTGTAGACTAAGGTTGTTAGCTAGGATTCAGAAATAGATTTCTGTTAACTCCTAATACTGTCTGTAAAATTTTATCTAAAGGTGCATTTTTCTAGACAAGTTCATAAAAGACTTCAAGAGGCTGTAGATGGTCTTGTCACTGAAAAACGGCAACGAATTATATTTATACTATTATTTATTGTATGCTGTTTTGTTTTTATTCCCCAAGAGTAGGGATTATACATTGTGTGGCAGACACACAGACGGTGTGTGTTTGGGGATGTTTGCTCCCTCAAAATCCTTCCTTAAGATGCGGTGCCTGTAATTCCAGCTACTCAACAGGCTGAGGCAGGAGGATAGCTTGAGGCCAGAGATCTGTCTGGATAACAAAATGAGGCCCCCCACCATTTCTATAAAACAAAACAAAAAAACCTTTCCTAGAAGAAACTAACATGCCCCTTGAAAAACTAAGATTAGCAACATTTCATAAAACCCACTTTTTTTTTTTTTTTTGAGACGGAGTTTCGCTCTTCTTGCCCAGGCTGGAGTGCAATGGCGCGATCTCAGCTCACTGCAACCTCCGCCTCCCGGGTTCAAGCAATTCTCCTGCCTCGGCCTCCGGAGTTGCTGGGATTACAGGTGTGCGCCACCACGCCCGACTAATTTTGTATTTTTAGTAGAAACGGGGTTTCTCCATGTTGGTCAGGCTGGTCTCGAACTCCCGACTTCAGATGATCCGCCCACCTCAGCCTCCCAAAGTGCTGGGATTACAGGTGTGAGCCACCGCGCCCAGCCGCGACCCACTTTTAATGATAGAAATACACATCGCTTTTTCAGATATACTAACTGGACTTAAAGCAAAGTTTAAAAACAATCATCGGCCGGGCGCGGTGGCTCACGCCTGTAATCCCAGTACTTTGGGAGGCCGAGGCGGGTGGATCAGAGGCGGGTACATCACGAGGTCAGAGTATCAAGACCATCCTGGCCAACATAGTGAAACCCCACCTCTACTAAAAATACAAAAAACAAAAACAAAAACAAAAACAAAAAAACTAGCTGGGTGTGGTGGCTCGTGTCTGTAATCCCAGCTACTCGGGAGGCTGAGACAGGAGAATCGCTTGAACCTGGAGGCGGAGGTTGCAGTGAGCCGAGATCGCGCCACCGCACTCCAGCTTGGCGACAGTGAGACTCCCTCTCCCTCTCAAAAAAAAAAAAAAAAAAAGAAAAAAAAATCGAGTATCACCAACCACACAGCAGAAATGGTTCAAAAAAGCTCAAAATCGAAGGTCCATTTACAAATTCTAGCGGTACTAAACCCTAAAGGCCGTAATTTTAGGTCTTTCTGCTTTTGCTTTCCGGTTACTTTTTTAAAGGCTGACCTACTTACTGAAGATTATGGGACAACCTGGCAACATTCGTACTGCACAAAAATGGTATCTGCCCGAGTTGGAAGAATTATTTCTTAACAAAAGAGCTATCTATCGGAAGCTTGGACATGCCCCCTGCAGTGAGAACCCTGGGGCCGTTCCATTTCTTCTGAAAAGATCCAGGCCCACAGGCAGCGACGACCCTGGCCAGATTTGCCGTGAGAGAAAAGTGAAAGTGGGGGGAGTCATTCTGTCCGTCCCGTGAAAGCACGGGAGTTAGTGACGGGATGCAGGCCGGGACTTGCGGCCACTAGCCGAGGGTCGGCCTCTCCCACGTCTCACTCGTGCCGGCGTTAGCCGTGCGCCCTGGAAGCCCCGGCGCTGCGCGCGGCTCTCCCGGGCGGGGAAAGCTGCAGCGCCGCGGAAGCTTTCCCTGCAGGTTAAAGGTCAGAGGCGCTGCGGTAAGCGCAGCTGGAAAGGGGGTTGTGTGCTCCAAGCCGCTCGCCGTCCGGCCCCGCGTCCCGCCGCCCCTGTCGCCCCCGCCTCTCCCGGGGCCCCGCGCATTTGGCGCCGCAGCTCCGCGCTCCCAGCCGAAGTCGAGCAGCCCCAAGCGGCGCTCCCAAACTGAACGGCTCCGCTGGCCGCAGGACGCCGGCCGGGGGATGCGCTGGGACCGCGTCCGTTGGCGGTTGGGGTGAAGGGCACCCCCTGGCCCCCGCCCCCGACGCGGTCGCTGGTGTCCCCACCCAGCGTTTCTTACCGGCGCTTTTGCGCCCTGCTGACTCCGGCGTCGGGCGCCGACGCGACAGTCCCGCGGCTGCCACTCGTGGATTGGGGGGCGCTCCGGGAAGAGAGGTTGAAGAAAGCCGACGGGATGTGGGATCGAGATTCACGGCGGAGAGAGCTTTCTGTGTTTGGGTATTTCTGGGGGGTCAGAGTTCGTGACCTCTTTCTCGGCTCGGCGGCGCGCTATCCCGCCAGCGCCTGCGCATTAGCAACGGGGAGAAGCGGCGAGAGGAGGTCGTGACGTTCCCAGGGTGGGGTGGAGGGATCGGAGGGCCGAGCAGCGGCTCTGTGAGTCCACTGCCCCCTTTTGGCTTGGAGGCAGAGTGCCCCGCCAGAGCTACGCGTTCCCAGCCAGGTAATTTTTGAAGCCACGTGCAAAGGTTTAAGCATCGTTTGCCAAAGGTGGGCATTAGGGGAGGTTTTGAGTCAACGTTTTAGATTTGAGTAATAAATAACCCTCTGGGTCTTAGGCATATCTGTTTCTAATTTCTGGAAAACTGGGCTCTGGGGTAGAGTCCAATCATATTTAAACTTTTTTTTTTTTGTATTACACTTTAAGTTCTAGAGTACATGTACACAACGTGCAGGTTCGTTACATATGTATACATGTGCCATGTTGGTGTGCTGCACCCATTAACTCGTCATTTACATTAGTAAGCTTTATATATAATGACAAGCTGAGGCCGACTCATGCAAATGGTAAGGCAAAGTTTCACTTATAAACTGTTGTGAGTAAAGAGACATAATGGCTAAACAGGGCAAGAATATAATCACTAGAGACTGGGCACGGTAGCTCACGCCTGTAATCCCAGCAAGTTGGGAGGCCGAGGCGGACGGATCACTTGAGCCCGGTTGTTTGAGGCCAGCCTGGCCAACATGGCGAAAACCCGTCTCTACAAAAAAATTAGCCAGTCCTGGTGGCGCGTGCCTGTCGTCCCAATTACTTGGAGGCTGAGGTGGGAGGATCACCTGAGTCAAGACGGCAGTGAGCCAAGATCACACCACCGCACTCCAGCCTGGGTGACACAATGAGTCTTTCTCTCTCTCTCTATATATACACACACACATATATATGTATATTCCACATCCTCTCTATAATATATATATTATTATATATTGAGGATTATCCTCAATGGCCGTTTTTTGTCTGTTTTGCTCAGTGATGTATTACCAAGCACATAGGACAATGCCTGCTATTCAATAATGATGTATGAAATGAAAGCCAGGCAAGTGGCTGCTGGGAGGCCAAGGAAAGATCACTTGGGGCCAGCAGTTGGAGACCGGCTTGGGCAAGATAACAAAACCCTGCCTCCACAAAAAAAATTTTTCAAATTGTGAAATGAAGAGACATTGGTGGAACATCGCATTCTGACAGTGGCCACCTGTAGTGGCAAGGTGTGGCAGGAATAACTGCCCTGTGTGCAAAGTACTCTGCGCTTTAGATTTTGAAGCATTCTTGAAATTTCTAGTTTTTTTTTAAATCTCCTTTGTTTTGTCATGAAATTTCTATTTTATCTAGCTTAGGTCGGCACTGTAGGAAAGCAGCCACAAACTCAGGGCAGAAATCCAAGGAAGGAAAAACAAACGTTTGCTGGGAATGAGAACATCTCTGTTATTTCTCTCTGGAACTAGGCAGACGGACAGAGATCAAGGCATGAAACAATCCCTAACAAGTAAAAATATGCTTTATCCCTCATTAAAAATCCACCTCTGCTGAGCACAGTGGCTTCTGCCCCCAGAGCCTTGGGAGGCTGAGGTAGGAGGCTTGCTTGATGCCAGGAGTTTGAGACCAGCCTGGGCAACATAGTGAGACTCCATCTCTTAAAAAAAAAAGAAAAAAAAAAGGCATGGTGGTGCAGGCCTGTATTCCTAGTTACTGAGGAGGCTGAGGTGGGAGGATTGCTTAAGCCCAGGAGTCTGGTCCAGTGTTGGCACCATTGCATTCCAGCCTGGGCGAGAGTGAAACTTTTTTTTTTTTCCAACCTCTACCTTTTAGCATTATTTGTTGTGTATTTGGTTTGGTTTTAAGGGAGACCCCTGCCAATACCATAAGCTGGTCCCAAAGGTGAAAATTATGAAAGTATAGTCACGTCAGGGATATGTTCTGAGAAATGAGTCCTTAGGCAATTTCATTTTACTCTCATCATAGAGCGTACTTATACAAACCTAGATGGTCTAGCCTAGACACACCTAGGCTGTATGTTGTAGTCTGTTGCTCTTAAGTCACAAACCTAGGACAAACCCGTACAGCATGTTACTGAATACTGTAGGCAGTTGTAACATAATGGTAGGTATTTGTGTATCTAAATATATATAAACATAGAAAAAGTAAACTAAGTCCTTTTAAAAAAAAAGTGCAGTAAAAATAGGGGATTATAATCTTATGCAACCATTATTGTATATGTGGTCTGTCCTTGACTGAAATATTGTTATGCAGTGCATGACTGCACTATAGGCCTAATGGATACAGGCAATCTGAGACCTCTTCACTATTCTTGGTGGAGAATATGTATGCCTATAGTGATGCTTGTGGTTACCCCTTATCACCCAATTAATTCACTTAAGTCACAATAAGTTGACTTGTTAAAACTTGGAAGTAGAAGCCATTTTAGGAACATCATTTGTAGGTGAAGAAGCGTTTCCATTAATTATGCTTCAGGAAAAGAGGTAAATGAAGTTTATTTATTTTTGAGACAGAGTCTCACTCTGTTGCCCAGGCTGGAGTGCAGTGGCTTGATCTCAGCTCACTGCAACCTCCGCCACCTGGGTTCAAGAGGTTCTTGTGCCTCAGCCTCCCGAGTAGCTGGGATTACAGGCGCACACCACAATGTCTGGCTAAGCTTTTTGTATTTTTAGTAGAGACAGGGTTTCACCATGTTGGCCAGGCTGGTCTCGAACTCCTCACCTCAAGTGATCCGCTCGCCTTGGCCTCCCCAAAGTGCTGGGATTACAGGCATGAGCCACCGTGCCCAGCCGAAGTTCATCTTTAAATGTGTGACTCTAGCCGAAGTTCATCTTTAAATCTATGATGCTGGCCAGGCTCAGTAGCTCACGCCTGTAATCCTAGCACTTGGGGAGGTTGAGGCGGGTGGATCACCTGAGGTCAGAGTTTGAGACCAGCCTGGCCAACATGGTGAAATCCCGTCTCTACTAAAAATACAAAAAATTAGCCGGGCATGGTGGTGCGCACCTGTCATCCCAGCTCCTCAGGAGGCTGAGGCAGGAGAATTGCTTGAACCCAGGAAGTGAAGATTGCAATGAGCCGAGATCGCGCCACTGCACTCCAGCCTGGGCGACAGAGCAAGACTCTGTCTTGAGGGGGAAAAAAATCACACCAACAAAATATATTATAGTAAATTTATTTTGTATAAATACATATTAACATTATTTACAATGCTAATTTTTTTATTTATAAAGTATATATGGACAAAAAGATACAAACTGTTATCATTTTAAGTACAAAGTATTTCTAGAAATACATTATAAGCCATTAAAAAAAAAACGATATTTCAAGATTGGTTCTTACATGCTATGACCAACTCATATGAAAGAGCAAGTTGCTCCCCCTTCATTCCTTCCCCCAACTCCAAAGGGAAAGGAATTTGATATTTAGGCTTTAAAAAATTTCCTACTACCTTTATCTTTTAAAAAACCCTACTCAAAACAACTATCTCTTATAAGGGAAAATATCATAGATAAGATTTTCCTTTAGAAAATGACATTAAAAGTGGCATGAGCCCTAGAATGATATGTGTATTAGAGGCACTTAAAAAAAATCAGAAGGGATCCATAGGAAGGAATTTAATTCAGCAAATACTGAGTGTCCACTGCATGCAAGGTACCCTGCCAGAAATCTCAAATGAGTAAGTTGTCCTTAGGGATAGAAGGTGCTAAGCATCATGCAAAAGATATGAACTGAAGGCTGTGTCGGGGCTGCAGGAAGGAGACAGGATCTAGTCTGGAGGAATAGGGGAGAGAAAGACTAAGGGTCAGCTATCACAGAGAAGTCTTGGATAAACAGAGATGCGGATGGGTCAATGAGGAAGGAAAAGGAAACTGTGTGAACAAAGAAAGGTTGGGTAAGAGTTAGCTGGAATGTATGGCAACTGAGGACGTGTTCCATGCCAAGTCACTGGGAAAGCCACTGAGGCATGTAAAAGTGGGGATGAAACTAGATTAGAGCTATGTTGTTGGAAGACTGCTCTGGCCGTGTTTAAAATGGGATCACACAACGGCATTGGAATTAGAAGTTATTGCAATAATGGGAACAAGTAACAAGGACTTGAACCAGGGCCTATGTAATAACAGCAGGGCAATGAGGATGGAAAGGATACTTGAGTAATTGCAGAGTCTTGTTGAGAGTTAGAGGCAGATTCTGGAGTCTCAAATGGTATCTTTCTCTTACAGAAGAAAATAAACAGATTTGAATGGGAAGGAAGTTGAGTTTTATTCATGTAAAGTCTGAGATGCTTGAGGACTCATATAGATAGCCAATAGGTAGTTACAGATGTAGCTTTGCAGGATAGTGGAGAAAGTAGGTCTAAGGTCCAGGTTATAATGTGGATATTTTCAGGCTGTGTTGGAGTTGTAGATGACAAGAATCCTGTTTTCAATTGAACAAATATTTTCTCTTTAAAGACCCTCCTAGGAAGCCAGGCCTGGTGGTGCATGCCCCTGTAGTCCCAGCTACTCCAGAGGCTGAGGTGGGAGGATTGCTTAAGCCCAGGCATTTGAGTTCAGCATGGGAAACATAGCGAGACCCGGTCTCTTAAAAACTAAAAAGACCTAGGGCAGTATTATGGAAGACAGTGATATATTAAGTACAGTATCTGCCTTCAAGGAGTGTGTGGTACACTAAGAAAAACAATATGTATCTCTGGAAATCCCATTGACTACATTTGACTAAAGTGGATTTCAAACTTTTCAAAAGCTGAGCACAATGGAAGCACACTCCAAAACATACCAACATATGCTGTGATATAACATTTACATTTTAACTAAATTACCAAATAGGAGACTTTCCCCACATCTAGATATATTCTATGAACCAAATATAAAATACACATTTGGCTGACAATTATACTTTAAAACTGTCGCCTTCTCTTTGTTGTGTCATTACAGCTTTCATGTGAATCAAGGGTTGGTCTGATGATCTCATTTTAAGAAATGCTACTACACACTCAAAGAATCAAGAATCTTGGGCAACCAAAATACAATAGGGGGATGCTGGGTACATTACAGAAAAAGGGAAAAGAGATTGGAAAGAGTCGGAAATGTGGATGATGCCAGAGATAATTACTCTCATTTTCTTAGGACTCTGATGGGTCCTGTACATTTATAGCTGCCACAGATAAAGGTGGACTGCTAGTTGGGGACACTAACAATGCCAGCCTTCCCCTGGTTCAGCCTGGCGTCTCATCTACGTTATGCTTAGCATCATTTTTAGCTTAGCTTTATAAATGCCCTACTCTTTCCTCCTTATGAATTAAAAGGAGATACCTGAAAAAGGGTTTGATGGAAGCACAGGCACACATATCTGTATAATAAATATAGTATCCTTGGAATCTAGATACTACTTAACTTTTCTCCCCATTTATAGACTGTGCCCAATATCATTTTTCCTCTAAAATACTAGCAAAATATATTTTTATAGCTTTTTTTACAATAAATTGCATATAATTAGGTTCTTAGTTGACAATGAATGAGCCAGGTTACATAAATAACAATTGGTCAGCTTTAGTAAGTTATGAAGGACTCATAAAGGGGCAGGGGAATGTAATACTATTCCACATTTAAAACATCTTTTTGGGAGAAGGATAATTGGATAGCTTCCACAAAGACTACACATTTTTCTAAACCCTCCATGGGGCTAAGCCAATAGGTAATACAGTCACATGCATTTTACATGTAATTAAAGAGACTGTAAGTTTGTGCCAGATTTCTTCCCTCTCTCACTCTCTTTAGATTTAGAACTGGCTCATGATTCAGCCAGGTCTTAGAAGATAGAATAGCCTGGCTGATATTTTTTAGATTATAAGGCTTAAGCCAAACCTTGTAGTCAGAAGGCTGAGAGCTCAAGAGGAGGGAAAGAAAACCCAAATAACTTGTCTTGCTAAATGCCAGACGCAGAAACAGTTTATAAGGTACAACTTTAGCCTCCAAAAAGGAATACACTAAAAACTGCAACGATTCTAACATGGAAGCCTTATTTATGTGATCTTGATTATATAAAATTGAGCTACAAAGAAATTTTAGTGTACCTGCTATGACAGAAAGGGGATGGCATGTTAGGATTGTGTATGAGGTTCAAATGACTCCATGGCAAAAAATCGCCACAAAAAACTATAGCAGCCAACTCTAGATCTAGTAGGGACTCTGGTGCTGTACCAAACAGCATTCAAAAGGCCCCAGAAAGGCACTCAGTAATCCTCATGGTTGCTGTTAAGGATCACACTGAATTAGGAAATCCTTTATTTAGAGGCAGAAAGGAAAATTCTTGTACCCTTTAAAGAAATATTATATGGATAACCTTGCTGTTCAATTTTTTTTTTTTTTTTTTTTTTGAGATGGAGTCTCGCTCTGTCATCCCAGGCTGGAGTGCAGTGGCACCATCTCGGCTCACTGCAACCTCTGCCTCCTGGGTTCAAGCGATGCTCCTGCCTCAGCCTGCTGAATAGCTAGGACTACAGCCATGTACCACCACGACCGGCTAATTCTTGTATTTTTAATAGAGATGGGGTTTCACCATATTGGCCAGGCTGGTCTCGATCTCCTGACCTCAGGTGGTCCAACGGCCTCGGCCTCCCAAAATGCTGAGATTGTAGGTGTGAGCCACCGCTCATGGCAGTTAAGATAATTTATAGTTTAAACTTAGTTAATAAATTGTGTATTGTGAACATCAGGGATGGCTTTTATCACAGTGTTATTTCATTTTCTTCTGCTAATCAACAATTGTATGTGCAAGGTAGTTCATATGTTAAACAGTAAGTGCACCAGAATTATGAATCTAAATCTTTCCTAAGGAGGTGTGCTGATAGCTGCTTATAGAGAAAGGATTTGTTGTTTTTTTTTTTAATTAGGAGGGAGGATATCACAAACTGGCAGAAAAAGACCTTTTGAAAATGAATACTATAGAATTTCAGTTATTACTGGCTTATAATTATGCTTTTCTGATATAGTAATTCCAGTTCCATTTGTAATGCACAATATTTTTGGAAATGTAACATTACTTATAGATACAAATATCATCATTGACTTGGGCTCAGAACTCTTATAATAGCAGGGAATATTATGTGACATAATGCTTGCTATATTTTGCTATTTTAAAAAATGATACATTTATGTTTGTTTCGAAGTGGTAGATTTTTTAAAAGATTGGACTTAAAAGCCGGAAGAGTTGGTTATTTGTGGTATTCTGCAAATAAAAACATCTTCATTCCTACTCACAGTTTTAAAAAATTCAGATTCTATCTCTTTGCTATAATTCTTTGATGATGTAATATTAACTCCTGCCAAAGAGGTACCTAACAACAGAAATACTTTAGATAATTTACTGAAATTTCAGTTCACAGTTACTGAGGTAGAAGCTGGCCATGTTTTTCCACTAAAAGATACAAATATTCACCCAAGTTTATTGATTCAAAGACATGCATTTTTTTCATCAGCAGTTTTATAATAATCACAATTCCTAAACCAAGCACTTTGTGGAAATTTGCTCCTTGCTATGTGTTTTTTCCTTACAAAGACTTTCCACCAGTAAGATTGTTACAATGTAAGGTAAGAAAACAGTGTGAACTATGTCACGAATAGTTAATACAGTATACAGTATTAAGATAGTTTTTCTGGTCTCTAAAGAAATGGTACTTTAGAATTCAGTGTGTCTCAGAAATAATTCTGACCATTAAGTAAACATCAAAATTTTAATAAATAACATAAATGAAAAAACAAACACCTTTTAAAAATTGCTTATACCTAACAAAACAATTTCTTTGATGAAGGGTCTGGTTGGCTTTATCTTGGCAGTGTTCATTTTTATACAATTTTTGAATTGCATTTACTCCATTCTGATGAAATTCCACCTCTTTGGAATCACAGAAGAGATGAAACCAATACTGCTACAATATTGTGCCTTCCTGAAATGCTTCTATCCACCTATTGATAAGAGAAATCGGTTAGATTTGTAAAACCTAATCATCTGACGTGTGAACACCATATAGATGACAGCTGGGCCTGTGGTCCTCATTACCATAACAACATAGGTAAGATATATATATATATGTATTTTTTTTTTTTTTTTGAGACAGAGTTTTGCTCTCGTTGCTCAGGCTGGAGTGCAATAGTGCTATCTCGGCTCACCACAATCTCTGCTTCCTGGGTTCAAGCGATTCCTCCCAAGTAGCTCGAATTACAGGCATGTGCCACCACACCTGGCTAATTTTGTATTTTTAGTAGAGACGGGGTTTTTCCATGTTGGTCAGGCTGGTCTTGGACTCCCGACCTCATGTGATCGGCCTGCCTCGGCCTCCCAAAGTGTTGGGATTACAGGCGTGAGCCACCGTGACCGGCCAGTAAGATCTTTTCTTGCAGCAAATTGGCCTTCTGCATACATGGAACTACCCTTTATTTGGTAATTTGGTCCAAAATTTAGCCTGGAAAGTGTGCCTCTCATTTCTGATAGGCATAAGGAAGGGACCATTTCATGTATAAAGGTTCTATGAAGTCTTGATGCTACCAATTAATTTATTTTGGAAGTTGATATTTCAGTGAAGGCTTTATTACAACTTCTTTTTTATCTGGAATTTGGACTCAGTGCTTTTAGGAACACTAGTTCCCTGTCTCCTCCTACCTTAACTCTAGCTATCAGAGTTTCCTTGTATATCCCCTAATCCAGACCTGTTTCAAGATTTGCAATTAAAAGGAATCTGGCATCTAGTGTTGATCAAAAGTTTGCATGCTGTATGAGAGCTTCTCGGCTGGGCGCCGTGGCTCATGCCTGTAATCCCAGTACTTTGGGAGGCTGAGTTGGGCAGATCACCTGAGGTCAGAAGTTCGAGACCAGCCTGGCCAATATGGTGAAACCCTGTCTCTACTAAAATACAAAAATTAGCTGGGCGTGGTGGTGTGCGCCTGTAATCCCAGCTACTTGGGAGGCTGAGGCAGGAGAATTGCTTGAACCCAGGAGGCAGAGGTTGCAGTGAGCTGAGACTGCGCCACTGAACTCCAGCCTGGGCAACAGAGCGAGACTGTCTCAAAAAAAAAAAAAAAAAAAGAGCTTCTCAAAGTTTCACAGACATCTTTCCAAAATTCTTTAGTCTCAAAGTTTTATCTGACAATATACACAGCTGCAATTATTCAGAAGATACTTGAGAGTAGTCTTTTTCCTCCCTACTAATGTAATTGCTTCTGAACTTTTTCTTCTTTCTTATGGAAATATCATTTCTTACGGTATTATTTTATGTAGGCTGGGCATGGTGGCTCACACCTGTAATTCCAGCACTTTGAGAGGCTGAGATAGGTGGACTGCTTGAGCCCAGGAGTTTCAGACCAGCCTGGGCAACATTGCTAGACTCTGTCTCCATTAAAAAAAAAAAAAAAAAAAAAAAAAAAAATATATATATATATATATACACACACATACACACACACACACACACACACAGAAGAGAGTCCAGAGAACTATGAACACTTGAAATCACTCAGTTTAATTATTTTGTAAAAGCAACCTATAACAGATTCAGTTCAAATTTTAAGGAATTTTCAAAAATTTAATATTGAACATAAATAGCATGTTATACTGCCATAGCAAGGCTTTTTTCCCACTAAAATTAATACATTTTAATATTCTGTCATGTACTTCAAAAAGCAATCCATATGATATTAATAAAGAGAAATTTATAATTTAGCCTGGGTCAATTCTAAATTATAAGTAAACTGACTTCCTTTACCTAACTACATGTAATTCTGTCTTGGTGGCATTTCTATCTTGTCAACTCAATGATATAAGCAAAAGATGACATATATTGAAAAGCAGTACTTTTTTTCAGTTTGATGAAAATTGTAAGAAAGCTAATATCTGACAATATTAGGGCAATTACTATTTTGTCTAAATAATTTTTATAGAAAAGATGGTTAAGTGACATAATTTAAAAATATTCTCCAGTAGCCAAAGGAAAATATTTGGAAGAATAGCTATATACTGTTGGATATCCTAAAATAGACTGAAAAAAGAGTCTTACAGAGTGTGTGTAACATTGTGCCTGGCTGGTATTCAGGGATGTGTGCAATTCTGGTACATTAATCTTAACTGTCTTAAGAAACTAAAAGCTTTGCTCACTCAAAGCATTCTTTTTTATTTTCATGCACTTTTAAGCTTGTGGAGAACACATGAACACCTCTTCCTGAAAACAAAAATGTATTCTTTTGTGAAGCCAAGGTAAAAATCAAATGAGAGATGATGAACTATTTTGTTCAAAAGAGACCTAATTTCACAGAGGTAGATACGCATCTCTATGTTAAGCAAACTGATAACATCTAAGTAAAGATTCTTGCTGGAATTCTGAGGAGACTGTTTCAGCCTTTGCCATCTAAACTGATAGCCATTTCCTTCTACTCAGTCACTGGAACAGCATGGGAGTCTCTTAATGTGTTTGACCTTTTCCCCAAAGAAGTTAGCGAGCAGCTGTTTAAACTCCTGCTGTTCCATGGCACAAATGAATCGCTGGATTGCCAAAGTCCTGGAATGTTTCAAGGGAAGATTCTTACCCTCATAGAAGGAGAGGTCAAATGCCTTAGCTTTCCTTCCTTTCAGCAGAGCAGCATCACGCTGCTTCCTCTGAGATCACGTGTAGATAAAATACTTTGTATAGGACTACCTATTTTCTTTTCCCCTCTGCCTCCTGAAAATATTCCAGATACCCCTGCCTTGTCTTTAAAACAATTCTGAAGAGTTTAAATAATACGTTAAATCTTTCTAATTAAAATCTCTGATGTAAATTTTGAGTTGTCCCCATGCCTTAAAGTAGGTCATTTTACAAGCAACCATTAAAAAACTGAAATCTCATGAATAAAAGAAAAATATGGCCAGATTACTTACTTCTGAGCCGAATGAGCATCCTCTGCTTTGAATACATAAAATAACATGTTTTTGTGCAGTAACTGAAATACTTTAGACTCGGAATTCTCATCTTTAACTTGAATAACAGTGAATCCTAATAAAGGCTGACTCTCCAAAGCGGCCACGTCCTAATTTAAAAACATACAAATGGAGAAAAGTTTTTAGATTGAGACAAAATTCAGATTTGAAAACTCTTGATCTACATAGCTCTAATTTAATTTCAATTATTCACATATAAGGTAATGATAATTCTAACAACTTACTCACTTCTCATTTATTCAATAATATTCATTGAGCCACTCCCTCCCTAGGTACCCTATATGCCAGGCACTGTGGCACACAATTTCTGGCATGTTCACATCTACTGAATTTCACAACATCCTCACTAAACCAAGGAAGGCACGTGATTATATTACTTTCATTTTATGGATGCAGAAAACAGCTCAGAAAGGTAAGCTATTCACCTGGATCTCACTAAGGAAAAGTGTGGACCCTACAGCAGTGTTTTCATAGGATGGTGGAACACAGGGTGATCAGGTAGGAGAAAAGGACAGAATTAGAGTAAACTGCTAGAATTGTTTATAATCCAAAAAAGCCTATCTTATCTATGCTGCTGTCAGATCAATGCAATCTAACGATGACAGTAAAGGGAGTATCACTCAAGAGAGCTTGGCAGAAAGAAACACAGCTCTGCCTTTTTTTTTTTTTTTTTTTTTGAGACAGAGTCTCTCTGTTGCCCAGGCTGGAGTGCAGTGGCACGATCTCAGCTCACTGCAACCTCTGCCTCCCGGGTTCAAGCAATTCTCCTGCTTCACCCTCCCAAGTGTCTGGGATTACAGGCACTCCACTAATATTTGTATTCTTAGTAGAGACGGGGTTTCGCCATGTTGGCCAGGCTAGTCTCGAACTCCTGACCTCAGGTGATCCACCCCCACTCAGCCTCCCAAAGTGCTGGGATTACAGGTGTGAGCCAGTGCACCTGGGGGCAGCTCTGCCTTTAGTAAAGTAATTAGTAGTCACACGACACACACAAAAATTGCATTTTAATAATATGGAAAATTCCTAACACATTTGAGAAAGAGCTCTCCAGGTACAAAGCAAGAACACTGTTCACATTAAAAATAACAGCAACAACACCTCCCCCATCCAAAAGCAAAGCAAAAAATCTTATGTAAAATAAATGGATTTTTAAAATATTGTAATTACTTGCAGTTGGCATTACAAAACCCCAAATTACTCATCTTTAGATTTCAGATCTTACCTCACTTGCAGCATATGTATATAGTACTTTATTTTTTATGACAAACCAAAAGTGTTTCCAGGGTTTTTTATTGCCCTTTGATCTGTACAAGTAGCCACTCATAGAAGAATCCTCTGTGTTTGCTGATACCTAGATAAGAAACCCCATACAAAGTTTAATGGTTTTCAGACAAATTATAACAGCAAAATTATTTGCAACCAATAGGTGCTGAAAGCAATAACTGTAATGATAGAATGTTTCAGAATGAAATATATTTTCAAAGTGCTACTATACAAATTGAACTCTGCTATTAACATGAGCACAAAAAAGAAGACAACCATGTTAGAGGCAATTATAGAATTTTACTTGGTTTAACTGTGCCTGCACGTGTTTGCGTATGTTTCTTGGTGGGTTCATCTGTGTTTTCTGGGTTGGCAGGTGAAGAAAAATAGTTCCAGAAGACTAAAATGCTTTTCTAAAAGCTGGATTTGGGGACTTGGGGATTTGTTTTTTATTGCTCTTATTTTGGGGCATCAGGGAAAATTATTTGAACCTTTAATTCTGTTCCTAAAAAACTTTTTGGACTTCTAAAAACCATACAAACAGAATAATAAACAGAAAATTCTACTATTAAGGAAGCTCATTTTAAGAATCAATCTTTGCTTCCCAAATTATAGTAAGAAAGAAAAGAGGCTAATTTTTACTTCATAAAAAGTTGAAAATGTTTTCATCTCTATGCAAAAAGACAGTAAGCTTTTACTGATTGATTTTTTTTTTCTTTTTTTTTTTTTTTTTTTTTGAGACTGAGTCTTGCTCTGTCACCCAGGCTGGAGTGCAGTGGCCCGATCTCAGCTCACTGCAAGCTCCACCTCCCAGGTTCACGCCATTCTCCTGCCTCAGCCTCCCGAGTAGCTGGGACTACAGGCGCCTGCCACCACGTCCGGCTATTTTTTTTTTTTGTATATTTTTAGTAGAGATGGGGTTTCATCATGTTAGCCAGGATGGTCTCCATCTCCCGACCTTGTGATCCACCCGCCTTGGCCTCCCAAAGTGCTGGGATTACAGGCGTGAGCCACCACACCGGCCTTTTTTTTTTTTTTTTTTTTTTTAAGACAGTCTCACTCTGTCACCCAGGCTGGAGTGCAGTGGCACAATCTCAGCTCGCTGCAACCTCTGCCTCTTGGGTCCAAGCACTTCTCGTGCCCCAGCCT
Organism: Homo sapiens; assembly: GCF_000001405.40. Classification (NCBI taxonomy): domain Eukaryota; kingdom Metazoa; phylum Chordata; class Mammalia; order Primates; family Hominidae; genus Homo; species Homo sapiens. Next base: position 95,086,970 of record NC_000012.12, read on the forward strand.
CCCGAGTAGCTGGGATTACAGGCGTGCACCACCATGTCCAGCTAATTTTTGTATTTTTAGTCGAGACAGGGTTTCGCCATGTTGGCCAGGTTGGTGTTGATTTGCCTGCCTTGGCCTCCCAAAGTGCTGGGATTACAGGTATGAGCTATCGTGCCTGGCCTATTGACTCTAATAATGGTTATTAAAAGCTGTGTTCTTAAAAATGTAGGAGTAGATAAATAACAAAATGTTTAGGATCTACCTTAGTAATGGTATGGCAGGCACACGCTTAAGGTGGCTTCCCATGACCCTTGCTGTAGAGAGTCACACTGCTGTACATTCTCCTCCCCCTGAGTGTGGACAGGACCTACGACTTGCTTCTAACTAAGAATTTGGTGAGGGTGATAGGATGTCACTCCCATGATCAAGCTACCTTATATATGGCCCTGTCTTGTTAGGAGACACTCTAGAAACTTTCTTCCTTGCTGGCTTTGAACAAAGTAGCAATGTTGAGAGGTCCACATGGCAAGGAGCTGAGGACCTCCAGCCAAAAGCTAGTAAGAAGGCAAGGCCCCCAGTCTTGCAAGTACAAGGAAATGAATTCCCAGATGAGCCTCTAGATGAGAACTCAGTACTTGCCAAAACTTTGATTATAGCCCTGCAGAGTCCCAGCTAACCCATGCCTGGACTCTGGAGATAATAAATGTATGTTGTTTTAAGCTGCTAAGTTTGTGGTAATTTATTATGCAGAAATGGAAAACTAATACACATGCGCTCTGTGAATTTTTAAAGTGTATCTTTAATTATATTAATTTCTTATAAATTTCATGAAAATAATTATATATTGTTTAGTGGGAAATTTAAGATCTAACATTAAATTAGAAATATTTGTTAAGCAACAGTAGGTTTATATAAATACATCCTTATAAAGACTACCAAGTAATTTTTTAAAAAACTAGAATTGTTTCCTATCTCAGTGAAAAAAAAGAGGAAAAAAATCCAACTAGAATGTTTAACATTCAAATGAGATTTTGCTTAAAATATAGTTACATTGGAATCCTACTATATTCTTATCTAAGTTGTTATTAATGTTGCTCAAAATATATTACATTTCTCCTTTATACCAATTTAGGACCAGTTTAGTAGCCACACAAGAAGATCAACCATAATACTGAATAGCCATGACTAGACCTATATTTTCAAAGATAAAACTGGTGTTCACCAACTTAATCACCTAACTGATCCACAAAACATGTCTTCCAATGATTTGATTATTTACAAAATAAATCAGGGTTGTGGGGGTGAGGGACTATAAAACTACATTTTGGGTACACTGTATACTGCTCAGGTGATGGGTGCACTAAAATCTTAGACTTTACCATTATACAACTCATCCATGTAACCAAAACCCACAGGTACCCCAGAAGCAATGAAAATTAAAAAAAAATAATCCAACTCCAACTCAAAAGCTGTAGTCTGCCATTACTGAGAGTACTGAGGCTCTAAATGTAATTCTAAAAAGAGGAGTTTCTAAAAATATTTTAAACATTACTAGAATAAGAACACAACTTCCCAGTTCCTCAAAAAGTTAAACATAGAATTACCATATGAGCAAGCAATTCTACTTCTGGGTATAAACCCAAGATAAATGAAAACATATGTCCACACAGAAATTTGCACATGAATATTTCTGTCAGCATAATTCGTAATAGCCAAAAGGTGGAAACAACCCAATATTCAACAAGAGATGGGTGGATAAACTGTGGTATACACAAACAATGAAATATTATTCAGACATAACAAGAAACGAAGTATGGATACGTGCTGTAATTTCCATGAACCTCTAAAACACTGTGTTTCAACTGGGAATATACTCGTAACTTTACATAAGAAACATGATCTTGATCAAATTTTTAGAGTTCTTTCCTTCCACTATGTATGCTAGAACACCTCCTCAGTAAAAAAGCAAGAGAACCAAATTAAAAACTACTCTGCTGGCCACAAAACTAGCACAGGCGGACCTCACTAATAAACTGATCATAACGGAGTAGCCAAAATGGCAATGCTGTTTGTTCTTTGACATCTAAATTTGAGGAAATGGGATAGGATATCAACAAAGTCTGTGGATTACACCATTAGCAGGTCTAAGCATACAGGCTATTATCACTATTTAAAGTTTTCTTTTAAAGGAAGTTTAAAGGAAAGACAACCTACTATCAGTGATATCAGCTGTGCATAACCAACCAATGCCTACAAATAAACCGTGCAGATCACTAAATGCTAACAAAATGCCCAAAATATCCTGTGGACTTCTTCCCTCTGGCAAGGATCTTGCTCAAAGTCATTTTAAAAAATTCATGTGTGTCCAACTTATCTTTACTTTCTATCACTGCTATTAAATGTTCTCTAAACCTTTCAATAGCCATTTTCTAAATGACTTAGGTCAGACGGGAGACCAAGCAAGATTGTGAGGCATCAGCCACATCCATCATCAGTATTAAAATTCATGACTTAATAGTTGTGGGAAATGACATCTTCCTTTATGAAAGAAAAACGGTGTATTATATGCATATGAATAATTCAGCCTCTATCACATTGCAAATTTAATGGAAACACTTACTTCTTTGAGAGCAGCTGGGATTTTTTTCTGTTTCCTCCCTGATGGAATGCTATGTAAGACTGATGATAAGGCACTTGAAGGAGATTTGTGATTTCCAGGAGATCCAATCCTAGGGGAGTGCTGGTGATCTAGAACAAATCAGGCATGCTTATGTAGGCAATGCTCAGCATTTTGCAATTCAATTTCATTCAAATCCATAAACACTGTTGCATAAAATATCCATGGAAGGACACTAAGAAACAACATTGATAACTCCTGGAAAAGGACAATGGATGGCTGGGAGTTGAGTGGCAGGAAGACTTTCTACTATCTATGGTTTTATACTTTTTGAACTTTATGTGAAAGGATTACTCTTGTGTGCCTTTAGAATTATGAAACACGTGACTATACTACCAACTTAAAAAAAATCCAAAAAACCTTCCCTACTGCCGTAAACCCCAAAGAACCCTGGTATTGTTAAGTGTCTAGATACTAGACCAGCTACAATGAACAAAGCAGCTTAAAAAAGGGGGCTATCGGACACGGATGAAGAAGTAATGAATTCTGATTGCAGAGGGTTCAGGGAAAGCTGAGAAGATAATAAGATAAAAGCTGGCCATGATGGAGTAAGTAGGAATTTGCCAGGTTAAAACAAGCAGGAGGAACACTGTGCGCTAAGAGGTCAGCATGAGCAAAGGCAGAGAGGTATGAAATTAAATCATCTATCTGGAGAATAATGAGGCCAGATTAAAAAAAAGGGGCTGGTTTGAAGCAAACTGGACTGTTGTTTATATGTTTTAGGCTGGGGAGTGACATGAGCAGATTAAATTTGGAAAAATAGATTATATCTGGCAGTACTAAGGAGAAAGGACTAACAGCAAGAAAACTTGTTAGGAAATTATTATAGTTGTCTAGATGAGAGATAACGAAGGCCTTATTAGGGCTGGGATGGAGAAATCAAGACAAAGATTTTTGATGATAAAATTGACAAGAGTTACTGACCAAATGGGTATAGGTGATGAGGAAGGAGAATTCAAAGACGAATTTTGAATGTTTGCAGCTTATACCATATACCCAGACTAAAGAGAGGAACATAAAGGAAGAGATGGATGGGTCTTCTTGGAAAATGTACACAAATAATAATAAATTATTCATCTAGAAATATGTGGACTCTGAAATACCATGTCATCCACTTAGAAATTCCTCCTTGCTAATGAAAAGCTATCCTTCAGGGAAATGAAGAACAGACTTTCAAAAATTTAGATCCTGGCCAGGCGTGGTGCCTTATGCCTGTAATCCCAGCACTTTGGGAGGCTGAGGCGGGTGGATCATTTGAGGTCAGGGGTTCGAGACCAGCTTGGCCAACATGGTGAGACCGCCCCGCGTCTCTACTAAAATACAAAAATTAGCCTGGCGTGGTCACGCGTGCCCGTAATCCCAGCTACTCAGGAGGCTGAGGTACGAGAATCGCTTGAACCCGAGAGGCAGAGGTTGCATATTGTGTCACTGCACTCCAGCTTGGGCAACAGTGCAAGACCCCATCTCAAAAAATATATATAAATAAAATTTAGATCCTACAGGTTTCAGGAATTTAACTAAAAATCTCTTCCCAAAACATAGACCTGAGCAGTCCTGCTAAGCTGCATTCATTTTACTGGAGGATACCTGCAAATAATGAGCAGGGAAATAGGAAGTATCATTTTTGTGTTCGGTCAAAAAGCTGCACATTCAGATGTACATTAACATCTCACTAAATCAGATTAACTGACTAGAATTAAGCTAACGAAGTGCCACCTAAGTAAAGAGAATTACTTTACATATAGATAAAATGATTTGTAATGAGCACACTATCATGTGAAACTATAGACTTCAAAATTACTTGAAAGTTAAAGTTCCCTTTTACTGTTTTAAGTGTTTTACCCTGTAATTACATTTCTACAGTTTTCTTAGCAAAACCTTTTACACAGACTGAAACCAAATTTCAGCCCAACCTCTCCCAGAATTACAACAAAATATGAATTAAGAAAGCTTACTACAAATTTGGAGATAAGTATCAACAATCATATTGCTAATGTACCGAAGGTGTTTCTCTCAGAAGGTTGTTTGAAAGCATCTGGGGAATAAAGGAATTTTTGGTTAAATCCTTACTTATATATTACCTAATTTCTGCAGTTCTTGGAAACAATGTTCACATACTCTTGCTGGTTGATTTTTCAGGTAATCTAAGCCATACTTATTAGACGAACAAGCTTGGCATACAATCTGAAAACACATTGGAATTATGTCATTAATTTCATTAGAATAACTTGTGTTTCTACACCATAAAGTATGTTACAATTTACAGTGCTATCCACTTTTCAAAACAGTTTCAGAGTCACTGAGTCTCACTTCGTCTCAATAATAACTCTGGAGTTCAGGCATATAGTGAACTAATGCATAGTACCACACTTGAAAGATGAAGGGGCCACAGATGATTACTTACAGAGGGCTGACTACATAAAATAATAAAGTAAAGCAGTTAATATATGCAAAATGCTTAGAACCGTACCTGGCATGCAAAAAGGCCTGTGAGGTATACTGATCACCAGCACTGTCATCATCATAATCACTGCTGCAGCAACGACCACGTCTCTGCAACTCTACCAAGTTTTTGGGCTCCATACTAAATGCTCTCTAAATACAACCTCATTTAATTTTTAGAGTGACTCTCTGATGTCACTGTTTCTACACCCATTTTACTAATGAGATCATGAAGGCTTAGAAACATCACTAGAGATAACTTCAACACTGAACATTCCCCGTACTGAATACTATGGATACTTAGTACTAGAGAGATGCAGTTTAAATAATAGCTGTAAATGTGAGGGCCTGTTTAATTGTGGATTTGTTAGATTTTGTTTTTGAATCAGTTATTACTGATGTTCTAATGTAACTCTGAAGTAGGAGGGTGGAAGTTCACTAAGAAGATTGCCCCTGCCCCCTAAATATTTAGAGAAAACACCATTCATGTTTGCTACCATTAACATAATAATAATAATAGTTATTGTTATTCTTGAACTATAATGGTTTATGAGGGGAAATATGCTTCCTCACTATGTACAGCCTGGAGACAGTAAAGACCACAATGGAGATGGGTGTTATCATCGCCAACCTTTCCACAGGCCCGGCAGTGGTGTCGTCTCCAGGTGAGAGTGAATTCGCTTGTGCAGATCATACACATTGTGGCTCTGGTATCAGGAATCCAGATGGGAGCCTTCGATCCAAGAGGACTAACTTCTTCTTTATTTTCTGAGTCTGCCTGTGGAAGAAGAACAACTTCTGATTATCTCCATGCACACTGCCTGCCTTTTTATTCGGCAGTGGCATCTCACACTACCAAGATGGGGATGAGGGTCAGGCACAGCAGCTCACGCCTGTAATCCCAGCATTTTGGGAGGCCGAGTCGAGTGGATCACATGAGGTACGGAGTTTGCGACCAGCCTGGCCAACACAGTGAAACCCTGTTTCTACTAAAAATACAAAAATTAGCCGGGTGTGGTGGCGGGTGCCTGTGATCCCAGCTACTCAGGAGGCTGAGGCAGGAGAATTACTTGAACCTGGGAGGTGGAGGTTGCAATGAGCTGAGATTGTCCCACTGCACTCCAGCCTGGGCAACAGAGTGGGACTCCGTCTCAAAAAACAAACAAACAAAAAAGATGGGGATAAAATATGGGCCATTGGCTGGGCATGGTGGCTCACGCCTGTAGTCCCAGCACTTTGAGAGGCCAAGGTGGGCAGATCACAAGGTCAGGAGATGAAGACCATCCTGGTCAACATGGTGAAAACCTGTCTCTACTAAAAATACAAAAATTGCCAGGCGCGGTGGCTCACGCCTGTAATACCAGCACTTTGGGAGGCCGAGGCGGGTGGATCACCTAAGATTGGGAGTTCAAGACCAGCCTGACCAACATGGAGAAACCCTGTCTCTACTAAAAATAACGACAATTAGCATGGTGGCGCATGCCTGTAATCCCAGCTACTCAGGAGACTGAAGCAGGAGAATTGCTTGAACCTGGGAGGCGGAGGTTGTGGTGAGCCGAGATTGTGCCATTGCACTCTAGCCTGGGCAATAAGAGCAAAACTCTGTCTCAAAAAAAAAAAAAAATACAAAAATTAGCTGGTCATGGTGGCACGTGCCTGTAGTCCCAGCTACTTGGGAGGCTGAGGCAGGAGAATCACTTAAATCTGGGAGGCAGAGGTTGCAGTGAGCCGAGATTGCACCACTGCACTCCAGCCTGGCGACAGAGCAATACTCCATCTCAACAAAAAAAAAAAAGAAATATGGGCTATTGGCCAGGCACAGTGGCTCATGCCTGTAATCTCAGCACTTTGGAAGGCCGAGGCAGGCGGAAAACCAGAGGTCAGGAGTTTGAGACCTGCTTGGCCAACATGGTGAAACCCCATCTGTACTAAAAATACAAAATTAGCTGGGCGTGGTGGTGCATGCCTGTAATCCCAGCTGCTAGGGAGGCTGAGGCAGGAGAACCACTTGAACCCAGGAGGCAGAGGTTGCAGTGAGCTGAGTTTGCGCCATTGCACTCCAGCCTGGGCAATAAGAGTGAAATTCTGTCTCAAAAAAAAAAAAGAAAGAAAAAGAAAAGAAATATGGGCTATTATATTTTTCACGTGCTCGGAATACTAAGTTTAGCTACAATCTAAAAATTTTCTAATACAAAATTAACTTAAAAAGACGCCTGTGGTAGTGGGATGGCAGCTGATTAGTTTCTGCCTTAAACTGTTTCGTATTTTCTAAATTTCCTACAATGAAGTTTTATAGCTGGGAAGAAACATGAATATGCTATATGCTATCACAGACTTGCAGTGAGACAACAATAGGAGGATAAACTTTTAGCGCTGAAATGAGACATTAATCTGTAGAGTAACTCTCTGATGTCCAGTCCAATCATTTTCTGAAACACATGTTGCTTTCTTAAACCCCTGTGAAATGTTTAAGGTAAAAACTTTGAAATGCACTGGAAAAAAAAAAAAAAGGAGAAAACAATACCTCATCAAGACTCCTACTAGGACAGAAGGTGATTCTTTTCTTGGCATACTCTTCTATTGCCCTGGAAATCGCTTCTAGCCATTCATCCCTTTCTGTGGCAGAACTGTTGGGGGCAAAAGGTTTCATCAACCAGATGTCAGTTTTTGTTCTTTTCCTTTTTCTTCTTTTCTTTCTCCCATGGCAACAGATCCCACCACCCTCCAACAATACCAGTCAAAAAAGTAGCAACTCCTCAGAGTTGAGGCAGGTTTAGTGAACAGATCATCAGAACAGACAACAGAGAACCCGTGATGGCATTTTAGCAAATACAATGCTTATTTTTTCTTTCCAAAAGTTCTGCTTTATATTAAATAGCTTTTGAACTCTCCTAAACTTGAAAATATTTTTGGTTTGGTTTAAAGGATAATTGTACAATTAATAATTATGATTATTTATATAGCCAGGGAGTTTCTTAAGACATCATCCTAGAATTTAAAAACATTCCAATAAGTCAAGTTTCAAATTCCAATTTATAGCATAGAATACTAAATATCTTTAGATTACTAAGGATTACTAAAATTTTCTAGGAAGGGCACTGGGGTGAAGGGAACATATTTTTTTGTATTAGAAAGCAGATGTTGACAATGAGGTTCACACGGTAAAGGCTGCAGTTTTTGTTAGGGCTTCTCTACCTATTTCACCCACCAAGTTCTCTGTCCCTACCCAGCTCATCAGGAGGTATCTTTAATTCAGCGCTAGATGGGAATGGGCCAAATAGGGGCAAACTTGGTCAGACAAGGGTATTTTTTTTTTCTGTTTTTCCAACCATGCCTTTTTCCCAAAACCATGTTAACTCCAAATCATTACTGGTATCAGCATACTTATGAAACCACTGTTTAAATTTTGTTTTGTATATTTAAAACTGAGAGGCACATGTTAGGTATTATAAATAAAAATAAATATATAAATCTATACATACACAGTACAGAAAGAGCAGAAAAGAGGAAGGGAGAGGGAATGAGAGAAAGAAAGACTTTAATAAATAATTAAAACTCCATCATAATAAAACAAAATTCATCAGAATGGGATTGTGACTGTGTTAAAAAAAAAAGTCTGTAGTTTAATTTACAGAGGCATTTTGAGGTATACAGAAGTAAAATCGGCCAGGCGTGGTGGCTCACGCCTGTAATCCCAACACTTTGGGAGGCTAAGGCGGGTGGATCATTTGAGCTCAGGAGTTCGAGACCAGCATGGCCAACATGGTGAAACCCTGTCTCTACTAAAAATACAAAAGTTAGCCGGGTGTGGTGGTGCATGCCTGTAATCCCAGCTACTCAGGGGGCTGAGGCAGGAGAATTGCTTGAACCAAGGAGGTGGAGGTTGTAGTGAGCCGAGACAGTGCCACTGCACTCCAGCCTGGGTGACAGAGCAACACACTGTCTCCAAAAAAAAAAAAAGCAGAAGTAAAATGACCTGATATCTGCAATTTGTTTTAAAATAGAAAATTATGAAACAGGAAAATCAGTGGCAAAATCTTGATGATTATTTTTAGTTTGGGTGCCTGAATATACAGTTTCTGGTATTATTTGCCCTAACTTTAAGTATATTTGAACTCTTAAAGAGTGTTTCTAAAATAAAAAATTCCACCATTAATAATGGTACATATAGACATATGTTGCTGTATTTTAGAGAACCCAGGTCAGATCAAGAATAGAAACCACTCACCTTCCCTACAATCATCATTCTCAGAAAGCGCCTCCCTAATCCATGGCTTGAGTGCCATTTAGAATGTTCATTCATGTGGATTAAAAAAGGTAGAGATCCACTTTACAAATAAAATTTTAAATCAAATTAATTTCTCAAATTTTCATTACATACAAAGAACAGCAAAAAAGAAATAATCTCTTTCTCTCTAAACCAAACAAAACCCTGCCTTATTTACCGCTACTATTCTAGCATTACTGCCAAAACAAGATGCCATTTAACAGTTACTACGTCAGCCAACTCTGCTAAATGCTTAGCAAATGTCACCATGTCTCACCCTCAGAGCTTCCCCATGGAATACACATTGGATCTTACACCCCTTGCCCCCAACTACAACATCATCACCCACCTTCACCATTTACAGGTAAGGAAACTGAGAATTAGTAATGTTTGATAATTTGCTTTATAGACAACAGACTAAGTGATGAGCTGTTATTAAACCCAAGTGTAGTTAAGGACTGGACCTCTCACCACCAGGTCATTGCTAGCCTCTGCTCATGTTCTCTGCAGAACTACATGATGAGAATACATGCTCAGGGTTCCAAGCAAACATTCATAAAACATTACCATCTCTCCCTCCCTCCCCGGCTCCTCACCAGAAGAGTAACAGAAAGCAGAGAGGCAGATGGTAAATTTGAGAATTGCTGTTGGATTCTTCTGGAGCCCGGGGAGCATGTGGAATGTGATTCAACTGTGTAAATCATGTCACATATGCTGTTCTTTCATTTAATCATTCCTGGCTCTCTCCTGTGTGGGGTTCTGCCAAGACAATGTTTACCAGCTCTTGATAACACATTTCTCACAGACCACACACATTTGCCCGCAGCATCCAGTGGAGATATTCTAGTCTCCTTTTGTAACATGATTAGCAGAAGAATCAGCATCTTCTTCAAACTGAAAAACTGTTAAGTCAAGTATTATTTTCTTTATAGAATGTGTATAGTACAAGAAAGCAAATTTGTGTCAAGTAAGTACCACTTTCCCAATGACTGGGATGAATTGCCAAGGGTTAAAAACCTGGCCGGGCGTGGTGGCTCATGCCCGTAATCCCAGCACTTTGGGAGGCCGAGGAGGGTGGATCACCTGACGTCAGGAGTTCGAGACCAGCCTGGCCAACATGTGAAAACCCTGTCTCTACTAAAAATACAAAAATTAGCCAGGCATGGCGGTGCGCACCTGTAGTCATTGCTACTCAGGAGGCTGAGGCAGGAGAATCACCTGAACCTGGGAGGTGGTGGTTGCAGTGAGCTGAGATTGTGCCACTGCACTCCAGCCTGGGCAACAAGTGAGACTCTGTCTCAAAAAAAAAAAAAAAAAAAAAAAAAGACCATGCCACACCATTTACTACATGGACTAACTGCAGGATGCTTCTCTGAGGTTCAAAGGCCACATCACTTTGATTTGTGAGTAACGCTGTGAGTAACATTCACTGGGAGCCTACTAAGCCAGGACCTAAGCCAAGAACTGGGCACACAAAATATACCTCACTTGTAAGGATGCACACTGAATTGAGGTGAAACATGTATTAACATATGATATGACAAATGTAGATAAATAACATAGAAGTAGTAAATTACCTTATGTAAGTAGCAGGGATGGCTCTGCAAAGGTGATGACAAAGTTAGGACTTAAAGAGTTACAGGAGTTTGGCAGGGAACTCTCTGTGTACCCTCATTCAGTCTGCCAGCCGTGGTCATCTCTAAGCTAATGGTGCCCAAATATATGTCTCTGGCCCCTACTTCCCTCTGAAATCCAGATCCTTACAGAAACTGCCCCTTGATGGCTGCATTTGGATGTTGCATATGCACCTCACATTCCATATGCACACCTGAAACTCAACTCCCAATTTCTCCCCTAAAGCTGTTCCTCTCCCAGTGCTCCCTGTCACAGTGCATGGCACCATCTCCCAATTCATAGTATATGCTGGAGTCTCCTCTGAAGAACTCCTCTTATACCCTGTGTCCAATCAGTCCCCTCCTTTAGGCCACCTCCCAAACCAGATTCCATGCAGCAGCCGGATACTCTTTAAAAAATGCCAATCTGATCACATCATTCCCTTGTATAAGCCTTTCAGCGGTTTCCTGTGGCTCTTAGGCTAAAGACCAAATCCCACAAGATGGTTCTGCACCATCTAAGTCACCTGTCCCTCCAGGCTTATCCTGGGTCATTCTCTTCCTCATTCTTGAGCTCGTGCCACACTGACCTTCCAATTCTCTGAATATGTCATGCCCCTTCTCACCTAAGGACCTTTGTACACAGTGCTCCTAATGACCAGGAGGCTCTTCCTTTTTCCTCTTTGCCCCTCTGACTCCTACTTATCTTTCCTAAGTCAATATAAACAGCAGGGTTTGTAGGAAAGAGGCTGCCCTCTCTCCCCCATTGCAGTTTAAGGTCCTTTGCTTTACAGCCTCCTAGCCCCTGGTACTTTTTCTGTGCACCATTTAATCACCACAATACTTAATTGTGTTAATATTTGCTAAGTGCGTGTCCTCCTCCATGGAATGTCAGCTCAGTGAAGGAAGGGCCCTTTTAATTTTTTTTTTTTTTTTTTTTGAGACGGAGTCTCGCTCTGTTGCCTAGGTTGGAGTGTAGTGGTGCGATCTCGGCTCACTGTAACTTCTGCCTCCCAAGTTCAAGCAATTCTCCTGCCTCAGCCTCCAGAGTAGCTGGGATTACAGGCGTGTGCCACTATGCCCAGCTAATTTTTATATTTTAATGTAAAATATTAAACGGGGTTTCACCATGTTGGCCAGGCTGGTCTTGAACTCCTGACCTTAAGTGGTCCGCCTGCCTTGGCCTCTGAAAGTGTTGGGATTATAGGCGTGAGCCACTGCACCTGACTTGACCCTTTTAATTTTTAATCCACTGTGTCCCGATGCGCAGCACAATGCCTGGCCCAAGGTAGAGGCTCCATATTCCTTACTGAACGAAGGGATGAACTGCAGGTGGAGGTAACACCTGTGGAAGGCAGATGGCTGTGGAGTTGTCTGGCATGCATGGAGTCACACGCAGATCCGTGCTGATGGAGCATGCAGTGTGTTGGTGGGAAGAGATGGAGAGACTCCTTACCCACTTTAATATGGGATGCAGTACCTGCCTAACTGGTTGGAGGAATCTGGAAGGAGAGCATGGCATACCGATGACATTCAATATGCCTTAGCTCTCTTTCCCTCATGCCAGCTTGATCCTCCCTTGGAAATTTATTTTTCCTTTATCAAGAACTTTTCAGTTCAATGATTTCCCCTGCAGAGCCCACATTCAGCCCATTAGTAATCCTATTGGGTTTTTTTCTGATTCATACCATTGTTCATCACTTTAACCCAAGACACACCATCATCTGCTGGGCACTCACTACCTGGCTGCCCAACTTCTACTGTAGTCTCCTGATGGTCTGTCTTCTACAAAGAAGCCGGTGTGATCTTTCACAAACATAAATTAGATATTATCACTTAGCTGAAAACTCTTAAAAATTCAATGACCTTACTATGGGTGGCCCCTAACTCTTGCCCCTAAACTGTAACTCACATTTAATCTCCCCTGGTACTAGGGGAGTACTAGGCTCTCCCCGGAGTACTAGGCTCTACCTATATTGGAATTCTTGCTGTTTCTTTAACATACTATACCCTTTCCTGCCTCCCTGGTATGTCTTTTGTTCCTGCTGTTCCTTCCATCTGGGATTTGCTTCTGGTCTCTGATGCTCCTCAGAGATAACTTTTCTGATCCCCCCCCCCCCCACCCCATATAAGTTCTTGACCTCATCACTTTCTATCTGCTCAGCCTACTTTATTCTTCTTTATAACATTGAATACTCCAAATTATTTCTATGTGCATAGATATAAATAAACCTGATTATTATGTATCTCCCACTTTAGAATAAAAGCTTATCCTTAAGGACAGGGATTGCACACCCCCAGCTCCTGGACAGGGTAGGTGATGCCCAGTAAACATTTGTTAATGGTTGATAGCAGACAATCGCCTTCCCTCATAGCTCTCCATATGCCAGTCTCCAAACAATGACTTTCTCTCATCACTAAAGTTAGTTTGACTCAGCAATGATTGCTCTCAGTTATCACTGCTTATCACTAAGCCCCAGACTACTAACAAAAGCACAAACAGGACTGCCCAGACCAGCTGGCTGCTTGCTGCCGTGGCTACACTGTCTCGCCCACCATGTCACTACTGCTGCCATCCACAAGGCTCCCAACTCGGAGGCTAATCGCACTGTTGGCTGTATCTGTTCCCACGACTTTCTAGGAGACTCCTGTGGCATTCTTTTTTCCCACCCTTGGGACTCTAAACCAGTGTGCACTATGGAGCTTGGCAGAGCTGCAAAGCTGGCACCAGAATTCACCAAGAGCAATGTGAAGTTGACTGCCCTTGCAACAGACAGTGCTGAGGACCATCTTGCCTGGAGCAAGGATATCAATGCTTACAATAGTGATGAGCGAACAGAAAAATGCCCTTTTCCCAACATTGATGGTAAGGATCAGGACCTTGCCGTCTTGTTGGGCATGCTGGATCCTCCTGAGTTGGAAGAAAAGGGAATGGGTGTCAGAGCTTATGGTGTTTATTTTTGCTCCTGACAAGAAACTGAAGCTGTCTACCCAGCTACCACTGGCAGGAACTTGGATGAGATTCACGGGGTAGTTATCTCTCTCCAGCTGACAGCGGAAGAGAGGTTGCCACCTTGATTGATAAGAAGAATGGAAATAGTTATGTTGCTGGGCATGGTGGCTCACGGCTGTAATCCCAGCACTTTGGGAGGCCAAGGTGAGTGGATCACTTGAGGTCAGGAGTTCAAGACCAGCCTGGCCAACATGGTGAAACCCCATCTCTACTAAAAATACAAAAAAAAAAAAAAAATTAGCCGGGCATGGCGGCGCACCCCTGTAGTCCCAGTGACTCGGAAGGCTAGGGCAGAAGAATTGCTCGAACCCGGGAGGTGGAGGTTGCAGTGAGCCAAGATCGCGTCACTGCACTCCTGGGCAACAGAGCGAGACTCTGTCACAAAAAAGAAAAAAGTCACAGAAATATAAATCTTGATCAGAGCTGTTCATTACACCTGTCTGGTACTGATCTGGAAATCATGAACATCCAGATATTCACCTAACAACCAAGGAAAGAAACATTCACTATAATTTCTTGAATGATTTAATCTTAATAAAATAGATTACTGTTTTTCACCAAGGCTCATTTTTACTTGGGAAATAGAAGTGCAATTAAAACTTGACTTTTCTATAGGCATTTCTGCCTTGGAATTTTGAAAATAACCTCTTGATTTTAAGAACCAAGCTCAAGCACTCACTGGGAACATGATATACATGGTCTTAATGTTCTTTGAACTTTCTTTTTTTTTTTTTTTTTTTTGAGATGGAGCCTCACTCTGTTGCCAGGTTGGAGTGCAGTGGTGCGATCTCGGCTCACTGCAACCTCCACTTCCTGGGTTCAAGCAATTCTCCTGCCTCAGTCTCCCGAGTAGCTGGGACTACAGATAAGCGCCACCACACCCGGCTAATTTTTGTATTTTTAGTAGAGACGGGGTTTCCCCACGTTGGCCAGGATGGTCTCGATCTCCTGATTTTGTGATCCACCCGCCTCGGCCTCCCAAAGTGCTGGGATTACAGGCATGAGCCACTTAGCACCGGCCTTGTTCTCTGAACTTTTGTTCAAACTCCTCTATCCCTCAAAAACGAAAAAAGGGCTGAACACAATCCTGCCTGTAGCACTTTGGGAGGCTGAGTGGGGGTGGATCACCTGAGGTCAGGAGTTCAAGACCAGCCTGGCCAATATGGTGAAAGGTCATCTCTATCTTAAAATTAAAAAAGATGGCCAGACGTGGTGACTCACGCCTGTAATCCCAGCACTTTGGGAGGGTGAGGTGGGTGGATCACTTGAGGTCAGGAGTTTAAGACCAGCCTGGGCAACATGGTGAAACCCTGTCTCTACTAAAAATTAAAAACTTAGCTGGGCATGGTGGCGCATGCCTGTAGTCCCAGCTTCTTGGGAGGCTGAGGCACAAGGATCGCTTGAAGCCGGGAGGCGGGGGCTGCAGTCAGCCGAGATCGTGCCACTGCACTCCAGCCTGGGTGACAGAGCGAGACCCTTTCTCAAAAAAAAAAAAAAAAAAAAAAAACACAACAACAATAAAGGAAAAGAAAAGAAAAAGTCACAATGCTAAGTGATTGAGAGTTTACCTGCACTCTCTAAATATTGGTATCTGGTGGATGCTTCAGGTACCCCCAAGAAATTTGCTTGTTCTGACTGCTAGCTGCGAAGCATTTGACAAACCCTAGACACAGGTATTTGTCTTCTCCTGTCATCCTGTATGTCAGGCAGCAGTAGCCATTGCATTTCAGAGGAGTAGCACACCCCAGGATGACTCTTGTGGTCCTCTGATTTTGGGAAGTCAGACATTTGGTTTGAGTCCTTGACATTCATGGACGTAAGCAAAATTATAAAGGTTGTCAGAAACACCTAGGTTCAAATCACAGCTCCACTGCTTACTACTCGTGTAACCTTAGATGTGTTATTGAACCTCTCTGAGCCTCCATTTTTCTAATCTGGAAGATCAAGATAATATCCACCCCACAAAGTTATCATAGAACTTAAAAGAGAAAATAAATATAAAACGAAACATGAGCACTGTGACTGATGCAGAGTAATAAATGATTCTGGCCACTACTCCACCTGCTCCTAAGATCCTAGTTGATTTCAGTGGTATGGACAATTGGAAACAGACTGCCTGGTTTCAAATCCTGGCTCTGCTAGTATAGCTGAGTGGCTTTTCTCAGCATAGAATGGGTATAATAACGACAACTTGCCTTACAGGTTGCTGTGAAGATGAAACGAAGTACTACACATAAAGTCTTTATGATGGTGCCTGGCATACAGTAAGTGTTACAAAAGCGTTTGCTTCTATTTTTATTAGATCAAAGGTTAGGTCTGAGAAGACAGTGTCTCATTATTTAGATTGTGCAGTGGAGCATGCTATGACTATTGGCATCTCTCCCTTCACCAGTCAAACCTTCCCAAATACCCACTTCCGCCACTCAGTCAGTAACTCAGTAATGTATTTTTATGAGTCATAGAGTTTCAGGTTTCCTCAGCACTTGAATTACATTATGGCAACATATTAAGTCACTGCAGGTTCCGGTCTGGGGCAAGGTGGTATCATAAATAATAATGGATTTCTTTTCCCGCCCTCCCTCCATTCTTTCTGAGATGGAGTCTTGCTCTATCACCCAGGCTGGAGTGCAGTGGAGTGATCTCGGTTCACTGCAACCTCCACCACCCAGGTTCAAGTGATTCTCCTGCCTCAGCCTCCCAAGTAGCTGGGATCATAGGCACATGCCACCATGTCTGGCTAATTTTTTTGTATTTTTAGTAGAGATGGGGTTTCACCATGTTGGCCAGGCTGGTCTCAAACTCCTGACCTCAGGTGATCCACCCGCCTTGGCCTCCCAAAGTGCTTGATTACAGGCGTAAGCTACTGCACCCAGCCCATAACAATGGACTTAAAAGCAAAAGACTTCGATTTGCATCCTGGCTGTGTCAAATATGTATCCGTAAGACAGCAACTCCATTTTTCTGTAATTTAGTTTCCTAATTTTTAGAAGGAGATTACACCTACCTCATAGGTTTGTTAGAACCTTTAAGTGACACCTACAAATTTCCTAATAACCTATAAAGCACTAGTTGTTCTTAAAAACAATTTGAAATAGCCACTTAAAAAATGATCAGCAAAGCACTTTCACCATTGTTATTCTATTCAGAAGAACATTTTAATCTCTGTGCTTCTAGCATACTGTTGCCTCTGCTCTCAGCCACTTCCTTGCATGGTAAATCAAGAGTAAAACTGCACGGTATTGGGAAAGAAGAAAAAGAAGAACAAAAAGTCAGTAGCTAACCTAAGTGCAAAAAGTGTTGGCAATATCTTTCCCTGTTATACTCACAAAAATCTATGTTTATGTATTCTTAAAAATAGGCCGGCACAGTGACTCACACCTGTAATCTCAGCACTTTGGGAAGCTAAGGTGGGAAGATTGCATGAGCTCAGGAGTTCAAGATCAGCCTGGGGAACATATGGAGACCCCATCTCTAAAAAAAAAATTTTTTTTTTTGAGACAGAATCTCTCTCTGTCACCTAGGCTGGAGTGCAGTGGTGGGATCTTCGCTCACTGCAACCTCCGCCTCCTGGGTTCAAGCAATTCTCCTGCCTCAGCCTCCTGAGTAGCTGGGACTACAGGTGCCTGCCACCATACTTGGCTAATTTTTGTATTGTTAGTAGAGATGGGGTTTAATCATGTTCATGTTAGCTAGGCTGGTCTCAAACTCCTGACCTCAAGTGATCTGCCCAGCTCAGCCTCCCGAAGTCCTGGTATTACAGGGGTGAGCTACCACACCTGGCATACAAAAAAATATTTTTAAAGTTAGCCGGGTATGGTAGTGCATGCCTGTGGTCCCAGCTACTCAAGAGGCTGAGGTGGGAGAACTGCTTGGGCCATGGAGGTGGAGGCTGCAGTGAGCCGTGATTGTGCCACTGCATTCCAGCCTGGGTGACAGAGTGAGATGCTGTCTCAAAAAAAACCAAAAACCAAAATTTTCCTGACATTCCCTAGCAAGCAGACTCAGAATGAGAAAAAAAAAAAAAAAAAGAAGAAGAAAAAATTTACCTGGCTGAGAGAATGAAGGAACGTTCTACACTTTCAATCTTTAATTCATTCTGATAGGCTTCTTGGGTAGGTTTTCTGACCTGGAAGAAAGCACAACAATTTGAGCCGACTCATCCTACTGAAAACCATATCAATGAGCTGAAGTTGTCCAATGGCCCTGGCTGCTTACATCCACAACCAATCTTCCTATCCAGCTTTCTCTACTGCTGTTCTCCTTCATCTACTCTATGCTTCAGATGAATTGAAAAGCCCACACACCAGCCCACCTTTCCCACCTCCAGGACTTTGCTCACAGTATGCCCTCCACCTGGAAT
This sequence comes from Homo sapiens, assembly GCF_000001405.40. Lineage (NCBI taxonomy): Eukaryota > Metazoa > Chordata > Mammalia > Primates > Hominidae > Homo > Homo sapiens. The sequence goes on from NC_000012.12 coordinate 95,105,321, forward strand.
GCCTTTCCCTTACATCTCAGCATGGCCAAATGTGACCTATACTTTAAGGTCCACTGGCTCTTCCTCCTCTTTCTCCTTCTTTCCTAGCTGCTCTCAAAAGCTACAGGCCAGTCCCCACCATGACCATCAAACACTGCAAGTTCTTTATTTTCTGAATTCCCAAAACTGTAATTGTGCCTTTATAGTGATATTTATTACTGTCTACTTTATAGGTATTTACGTGTAGTGTACTGTCTTCCCAACTAGTTGCTAAGTCCCTGGGGGAGGAAAGACAATAAGAATCATGCTTCAACTTATCTTCATATCTTCCACCAAACCCATTACTGTTTTGTTTATAGTAGTTCTCAATAAATATCCTATGAATACATTAATGCATGAGTGAACAAATGACTACATGAATGAATAATCAAATGCATAAACAGGCAGGGCGCAGTGGCTCACGCCTGTAATCTCAGCACTTTGGGATGCGACGGTGGGTGGATCACTTGAGGTCAGGACTTTGAGACCAGCCTGGCCGACATAGTGAAACCCCGTCTCTGTGAAAAATACAAAAATTAGCTGAGCCTGTAGTCCCATCTACTCAAGAGGCTGAGTCAGGAGAATCTCTCAAACTCGGGAGGCAGAGGTTGCAGTGAGCTGAGATCGCACCACTGCACTCTAGCCTGGGTAACAGAGTGAGACTCTGTCACAAAAAAACAAAACAAAACAAAACAAATGCATAAACAGTAACATATATAGACAGAAAAGTAAAGGATATAAGAAAGATGTTTATCTTAGGGAATTTTCTCTAAAATATATATTTGTTGTTGTTATTATTTTTAATAGAGATGGGGGTTTCACTGTGTTGCCCAGGCTGGTCTCTAACTCTTGAGCTCAAGTTATTATCCTGCCTCAGCCTCCCAAAGTGCTGGGACTACAGGTGTGAGCCACTACGCCCAGCCTTTATTTGGGCTTTTTTTTTTTTTTTTGAGAAGGAGTCTCACTCTGTTGCTCCAGCTGGAGTGTAGTCGCGCGAGCTCAGCTCACTGACACCTCCGCCTCCCAGGTTCAAGCGATTCTCCTGCCTCAGCCTCCTGAGTAGCTGGGATTACAGGTGTGCGCCACCACGCCTGGCTAATTTTTGTTTGTTTTTTTTTTGTATTTTTAGTAGAGATGGAGTTTCACTATGTTGGTCAGGCTGATCTCAAACTCCTGACCTTGTGATCCACCGGCCTCAGCCTCCCAAAGTGCTAGGATTATAGGCATGTGAGCCACCACACTGACCTTATTTGGGTTTAAAAACAAATCACCTGGGTGGGCATCATGTCTCACACCTATGTAACCCCAGCACTTTGGGAGGCCAAGGCAGGCTGATCACCTGAGGTCAGGAGTTCGAGACCAGCCTGCCAACATGGTGAAACCCGTCTCTACCGAAAATACAAAAATTAGCCAGGCGTGGTGGTGGGTGCCTGTAGTCCCAGCTACTCAGGAGGCTGAGGCAGAAGAATCACTTGAACCCAGGAGGTGGAGGTTGCAGTCAGCCAAGATTGTACCACTGCACTCCAGCCTGGGTGACAGAATGAGACCCCGTCTCAAACAAAACAAAACAAAACAAAACAAAACAAAAAACAAAACATCTAACAGATGCACACACCTTCATTCCAGCCAGTGAGAGCATGTTGTTCAGTTTATACATCCCAGACTGCACTGGTGTTGTATACAGCAGGGCATCATTAAACTGAAAGTAGAAACATTTCAGGGGAGAAAGTAAAGAAACACATTACTGCCACAAAGATTTTGACAAGATACAAGATTAAAGGATAAATAATACCTCTTTGCTAATAGCTCTCTGAATAAAATACTTATATTCTGCTATATACACTAGAACTACCCAGAATGTTTATTAGAATATAATTTAAAAGGCACTTTCTGGAAAACGTGCTTTATTTCCAAGTTCTGTAACAGATTTAATGTTTTTTGAATTCTAAATCCCACAAAGGTATTAGTCTGCCTAAACAAATGATTAGAACAATTTTCCAAGTTAGAAATGGAATAAATTCCAAAAAGAAATAATCTTCTGGTTATACATCATAACAGACGTTATTTCCCATACTTGAAATGCAATTAAGTGGTACGGCCAGTTCAAGAAGCTGGTGAGGCTGATATTTGAAGGTGCTAAGCTTATCTACCATGTATAAACGTCTCCTTTCCTTAAGCAACTATCCCTACCTCGGCCACATCAGAACTACACAAGTCCTCTTACCAGGAAAAACATTCGAGGTTGCATCACTTTCCGAGACAGCTTCATCAGAATTCCTTCTTTGAGAAAAACCTGATTCACCCAAACAAACACCCATTTAGTCCTACCATCACAACACAACGACAATATAATTTCCTTTTCAACTTTCTTCCCTGAGAATTTTTTTCATGACAGACTGGGGAGCCACAGTTTCCTTGAGATTTTTTACAGTCATAGTTAATTTTAAACCCTTAAATCATTTAGGAATCGGACAAGCAAGCAGGGTTGGATAATTCCAATATTGGCCCCTGGGATACTGTATGGAGGCACATGTAATTGACTGAGCGTGTACTTGATCCTGAAGCATACCCAACATCCTGACAACCGCATTTTGTAATTTTCCCGAATTAATTCCCTAGGCCACTTTTGTGCTATATGAGGAGGATCAAAATACCAATCTCCCCCCTCCCTTCATAATCCTCTCTTACATTAAAGATGTTAAATGAAATTGTCTTCAAAACTGTGTGAGGTCGCTGGCATCACACAAGAAAACGATCCCATTAAATCAGATACTCTGTGGGGTCCCTTGCCGCTCCCCTAATTGAACTGGACTTACTTCATAAATGGGCTTATTCCTAATTGAATTGTCACAGTGACTTACATCATGAATGTTTTGAACGGATAAAGTGATCAAAATTGAATCAATGAAGAGTAACAAAAACAACCTATTTTTATAAAATGATAAACAGATACAGATGGTACCTAAATGCATCGTATTAAGTTTGCGAAAAGCAATGTAAAATGCTTACCCGACCAGGCTGCACAATTTCATGGTGTCCATTTAAGCTGTACTGAATTTGCATAAGTTTCTGAAAGTTGTCCTACAGAAAGACAATGGAAAGCATATGAAGGCCTGGGCTTTCAGGTTCAAGACCACACCAGCCACTGACAACAAGACACTTACTCCTTGCTTCATGGTGTCATTGGCGTGGTTGGCTACCTCTATAACAACAGCAAGGGCATCTGAAATAGGCAGGAACAAAACGTGCATTTAGTAATTACAATGGAAACAAATAGTTTGCAACATTAAGCAATTCCAGGGGACAAGATAGCTAGTTTATAGCAACCAACCTCTGGAGGAGCTTATTGACTGTGAGTAGGCAGAAATATAAGGTTCAATGAAGGCAAAACCAAACCAAACCAAACAACACCACCACCACCAAAAACCTGGCCAAAACAATATATAGGGAAACAATGAGCCAAAAGAAGACTCTAAAGAGACACTGTAGACCATGTTTACTAACAGTATGAATGTCAGGGTTGTTTTGTGCTGTGATTTGATTATCCTATTCAAGTTTACAAAGATAAGGATGGGATTTCACCTGGAAGATAAGGACCAGCCCAGTATAAACTGTCTTGGGAGAAAAGGATCGTGAGGAAAAAGGATCTTGTTATAGGAAATAAAAACTACAAGAAATGACTAAGATCAGGTCTCAGTCTCTTAGTCTGATTCCAAGAGGCATGAATTAGAAATGGGGGAAATGCCACATGGAAGCATCCCAGATCTTAGGAATTTGCAAGTGTCATTTTGTGAGCTGGGTTATTAGCTTCATGGGCCTATCTGTGTTTTATTCTTTTTATTAACCCTTTGCCTTTAGCAAAGTGTTTTTCCATACTCCAGCCTTGTCATCTTTATAACTAGGTCTAAAGGAAAAAGTCTGCATTTTCTCAGCTTTGGGGCTGCAGTTATTCTCAACCCAAGGCCATAGTGCTCCCTTAGGGACATGTGAACCTGTGTAAAGACAATTTTTGCTTGTCACAATGACCAGGAAGATCCACTGGCCTTTGGTGGGTAGGAGGCAGGGATGCCAAACTCCATGCAATACTCCTTAGAAACCCACACAAAGATTATTCAGAACAATATGACAGTAGCATTCCCACTGAGAAAAACTGGTAGAGTGTTAGAGAGGGAAGCATCTCCTCCTGAGGCTGCTGTGGCAGTGACAGTGGTCATCAAAAAAAGGACTATTAAAAAAAAGAGTGGCTGGGCGCGGTGGCTCACGCCTGTAATCCGAACACTTTGGAAGGCTGAGGTGGGCGGATCATTTGAGCTCAGGAGATCGAGACCAGCCTCAGCAATAAGGTAAAACCTTGTTTCCACAAAAAATCCAAAAATTAGCTGGGTGTCGTGGCTCATGTCTGCAGTCCAGCAATTTGGGGCGCTCAGGTGGGAGGATCATTTGAGCCCAGGAGGTCAAGGCTGCAGTGAGCCCAGATCACACCACTGCATTCCAGCCTAGGTGACAGAATGAGGCCCTGTCTCAACAAAACAAAACGAAACAAAAACAACAACAGTAAATCAATTTCTGAAAAGGGGTTGAGGTGTTTTGGTCCAGTTATTGTAATCTATCAAAGGACTGTCTTCCTGGTACCAGCCGTGGAGGCTTCTGTATTCTTTTTTTTTTTCTTGCTCTGTCACCCAGGTTGGAGTGCAGTGGCGCGATCTTGGCTCACTGCAAGCTCCACCTCCCGGGTTCACACCATTCTCCTGCCTCAGCCTCCCAAGTAGCTGGGACTACAGGCACCTGCCACCACGTCCAGCTAATTTTTTGTATTTTTAGTAGAGACGGGGTTTCACCGTGTTAGCCAGGATGGTCTTGATCTCCTGACCTCGTGATCCGCCCGCCTCAGCCTCCCAAAGTGCTGGGATTACAGGTGTGAGCCACCACACCCGGCCTGTATTCTTTCCACATGTATCATCATCACTATTATTAAAGGAAAGCAGGTTTTTCCTTATATAGAGACCCTGACTATATATCAGAATTTTTTTTTTTTTTTGAGACAGTCTTGCTCTGTCTCCCAGGCTGAAGTGCAGTGGCATGATCTTGGCTTACTCAACCTCCGCCTCCCAGATTCAAGCAATTCTCCTGCCTCAGTCTCCTGCATAGCTGACATTACAGGTGCACACCAGTATGCCCAGCTAATTTTTGTATTTTTAGTAGAGACGGGGTTTCGCCATGTTGGCAGGGCTGGTCTCAAACTCCTGACCTCAGGTGATCCACCCGCCGCAGCCTCCCAAAGTGCTGGGATTACAGGTGTGAGCCACGGTACTCAGCCATGTATCAGAATTTACGGTGCCTGGTACCCTTTTCACAGCAGGTTCAAGAGGTTACCGTGGACACATTTCCTGCTTTCTGGCCTGCTGGAATTCCCGGTGGACAGGGGAGAGATGCCTTAAGATTTAATGGATGACAAAGCTGCTGCTGCTACTTGGTCACCTGGTCTCCCAAGCTCTACCTTCCCTACTCCATGCTGTGATTCTACTTTCCCCACGTCATCCCGTTAAGAGGCCCTGATGCCTCTATTCCTTTAACTCTTCTGCCTACCTTTCAAAGTTATTCTTGCCTCACCTTCCCTCACCCTTGAAGTCTCATCCACACTGCTCACCACTCTTTTTTTCCTGAGACAGAGTCTTGCTCTGTCGCCCAGGCTACAGTGCAGTCGCGGGATCTCGGCTTACTACAACCTCCATCTCCCAGGTTCAAGCGATTCTCATGCCTCAGCTACTGAGTACCTGGTATTACAGGCATGCACCCCCATGCCCCACTAATCTTTGTATTTTTAGTAGCAAAGGGTTTTGCCATGTTGCCCAGGCTGGTCTTGAATTCCTGGCCTCAAGTGACCCACCTGCCTCGGCCTCCCAAATTGCTGGGATTATAGGCATGAGCCACCACGCCCGGCCACTGCTCACCATATGATTGCTGTGCCTCTGGCCATACAGTGGGCCTCACTGTTCACTGGTTTTCTCATCTATGTCTTTGCTGTCACATGTAATTTCCTTTAAATAAGCTCCTTAATCTCTGACCCTGAATTTGTTTTATGTGTAAAATGGAGCTAATAACTCACTTTCATTGAAGGCAGAAGCCCAGGACCCAGGACAGATGTTTTCTTTCTATTCTATAAGTTCCATGTATAATTTGTATCCTCACGAGAGGGGCTGCCGTCGGGAATGCTCATTTTTCCTCTCACCCACTCTCCCACTCATCTCCAGTCCTACTTTTTCCTGCAAAGCTTCCCTGCCTCTTTAACCTTCACACTTTTCTCTGTCATCCAAATAATTCTGTCCTGCTCGGTGCACCCTTACTTTGAAGTCATTTGCTTTGTTCTTTATTTGATGGATATTATAAACTTCTTCATCAACTAGATATGATCACTGAAGACAGGAAACTTGTCAGATCCCCAACCACAAGCTTTTCCTTTAAAAAAAACCGCCTTTAAAAGCATAATGTACACAAACAGAAGATGTTAAGAGAAGTAAAATGATTAAAAGAATATATAAGAATCTCTACAAAAAGGGTTAAAAATGTTCACTTTTTACTCTGCAAATGTAAAGGATATACAAGAATGTGATCAGGCCAGGTGTGGTGGCTCATGCCTGTAATCCCAGCACTTTGGGAGACTGAGGCAGGTGGATCGCTTGAGCTCAGGAGTTCGAGACCAGCCTGGGCAAGATAGTGAAACCCTGTCTCTACAAAAAATATAAAAATTAGCAGGGTGTGATGGTATGTGCCTGTAATCCCAACTACTTGGAGGGCTGAGGCAAGAGAATTACTTGAGCCCAGGAGGTTGAGGCTGCAGTGAGCCGTGTTCATGCCACTGCACTCCAGCCTGGGTGACAAAGTAAGACTCTGTCTCAAAAAATTAAAAAAAAAAAATGTGATCAAAATTCATAAAATTAATGGACTTGCTTAACATGTTTCTGCAGTTAGACCCAGGCGTTGCTGGGCATGGTGGCTCACATCTGTAATCCCAGCACTTTGGGAAGCCAAGGTGGGCAGATCACTTGAGGTCAGGAGTTCGAGACCAGCCTGGCCAATATGGTGAAACCCCATCTCTACTAAAAATACAAAAATCAGCCGGGCATGGTGGTACATGCCTGTAGTCCCAGCTACTTGGGGGGCTGAGGCAGGATAATTGCTTGAACCCAGGAGGCAGAGGTTGCAGTGAGCCGATATCGTGCCACTGCACTCCAGCCTGGGTGACAGAGTGAGACTCTGTCTCAAACAAAAAAAGAACAAGGGGTATACCTGTGACATTTGAAAGAGGTTGTTGGGAATAAACAGAAACACCCAAACAGAATTAATCTGTGTGTATGTGTGTGTATCTGCGAGAGAGGGAGGGAGAGAGATTGTGAGGGAGAGAGACACAGGCACACAGACACAGGAACTCCAATTATCCCACTAGCTATGAGTCCCTCATGTTGTAATGGATTGTTTCCCTTAAGTACTACTAGGGCTGAGGGAAGGCTAATATCCTATTGTTAGACAGTGCCAGAATAATATGCTTTTTTAGACTCATCCCTGCTTTGTAGTTTAGTCACTTCATGGACTCATGATTTTGAAGCTTGAGGACCTTGCAGATCTGGTTCAATCCCTGTTTTTGAAAGACAAAGAAATGGACCTCTAGGGAAACTGAATATGGCACGGGCACAGAGTGACTGAGCACAGGAGGGCAAAGATTCCTGACCTCAGCCACCACGCTGGCTTCACAGTCGCAAGAGGCTGGTTCCCATGCAGGGCTGGCCATGGGTCTCCCCTGCCCATATCATCTCACCTATCCCCAGCACTGCTTTACTACTTAACTGGTTCTATGTTAATCTGCTCAAAATGGAGTTTCCAGGAAGGCCTCAAGTCTTTTTTTTTTTTTTTTTTTGAGAAGGAGTCTCGCTCTGTCGCCCAGGCTGGAGTGCAGTGGCGCTATCTCGGCTCACTGCAACCTCCGCCTTCCGGGTTCAAGCAATTCTCCTGCCTCAGCCTCCCAAGAAGCTGGGATTACAGACGTGCACCATCACACCTGGCTAGTTTTTGTATTTTTTTTAGTAGAGAAGGGGTTTCACCATGTAGGCCAGGCTGGTCTCAAACTCTTGACCTCAGGTGATCTACCCGCCTCGGCCTCCCAAACTGCTGGGATTACAGGTGTGAGCCACCGCACCTGCCCTTCAAGTCGTATGAAGAGAGTTTGTAATGGATTTTGTTATCAATATATTTTTACTTTCTAGCCCTACCTAAATAAACATAATATAAAAACTTCTGCAACCACAGAAGTTATTTACCTTGAGTGTCTCTGTAATCTCCAGCATCTTCTATGAGATTCTTCAAATAATCTAGAAAAGAAGAAAAAAAAGTATTTAAGTACAATAAACCAGTGAGCCCCAAACACATATCTTTCTTTTTCAATACTTCATTAGTCTTGCTGGTTAATATACATGCTAGTCCAACTTGTGCTAACTTTCTAAAAATGTGAAAAAATAAAGCCCTGAGATCAATTTGAAATCAAGACATAGAGTCAGAGCTAGAAAAAGCCTTGGAGGAAACATTGGTTATTTTAGAGATGAGGAATCAGATTACTGAGCAAAGGATCTCACCCAACTCACACAACCTCTAGTTGGCAGAGCCAGCATGAGAATTCAGGTCTCCTAATGCCCAATTCAGCTTTTATCCCAACACATAGGAAGTACTTTAATCTTGAGATCAGACACACGTCTAGTATAAAATTCTAAGGCATTAATCCAATCCCTAAAAGTCTCCTGGATTTGTTAATCTAAGAGTCTAACAATGCTCAGGACACCAAGGGAACTCAATATATGTATTTAAACAGGTGGTTTTCAAATGGGGACAAATTTGCCCCCTAGGGTACATCTGGCAATGTCTGGAGACAGTTGTGGTTGTCATAACTGGGGAAAAGCGGGGGCTACTGGTGGCTAGTGGTTAGAAGTCAGAGATGCAGACTGGACTCGGTGGCTGATGCCTGTAATCCTAGCACTTTGGGAGGCCAAAGGGGGTGGATCACTTGAAGTCAGGAGTTCAAGACCAGCATGGCCAACATGGGGAAACCCCATCTCTACTACACACACACACACACACACACACACACACACACACACACACACACACACGTCAGACGTGCTGCTAAATATCTTATAATGCAGCCCTGCAACAAAAAAAAAAATTATCTGACCCCAAATATCAATAGGTCTGAAGTTGAGAAACCTTGGTTTGGATAAAGATAGTCTGTAAATAAGTAATATGGTATATAGTAGTTCTTGTAATACAGAAAAAGAGGTAATAGAAGAACCTATATTTAATAAATCTTTAACACCAAGGTAAGTCATGGAATTTCAAGGCAATACTTCCTTCTCTGTTGAGAAATGCTGGATGGCCTCCCATTACCTGTTAAATTAATACAAATTCCTTTCTGGAATTTAAAGCCCCCTGCTACATGGTCCCTATCAATTTTTCTCTCTCTCTTGCTACTGCCTAAAATGGGCCCTTTGTTCTGACTAAATTTGATCTGTGCAACCCCTTAAACACTCCCCATGTGTCCCCCTGGCTTCACACCTTTTGTCTCTAATAGTCCCTTTTTCTCCATCCCTTCCTCTGTCTCGCTTATACAAATTCTACTCACACTCTTCAAGGCTCTTCTTAAATGCCCCTTCTCTTACAAAATTTCCATTTGAAAGAAACGTTTTCTGCCTTTGAATAACACATGACACAGCAGTCTCACTTTATGCTTCTATCATTTTCTTTTTCATTAGACTCAAAGCTCCTTGTGAGCAAGTCATCTGACACATCTTTCTCTCACATAGCACTTAGTCAGGGGCTTTGCACAAAGGGGACAATAAATGCTTACTGAATAAAAACAGTTCACTTACTCATTCAAGACAGAGTCTCACCCTGTCGTCCAGGCTGGAGCACAGTGCTGCAATCATTGCTCACTACAGCCTCAAATTCCTGGACTCAACCAATCATCCTGCCTCTGCCTCCCAAATAGCTATGACTACTGGTGTGTGCCTCCATGTCTGCTTTTTTTTTTTTTTTTGCAGAGGCAGGGTCTCGCTTTATTGCCCAGGCTGGTCTTTAACTCCTGGCCTCAAGCAATCCTCCTGCCTTAGCCTACCAAAGTGCTGGAATTACAGGCAGTGAGCCACTGCACCTGGCCAAGAATATATTATTTTTTAGATAGGATTGTATTTTAGTTGAGGTAAAAGGCAATAAATGCTGAAACCAATTCTAATGCCAGTGGGAACTGAGGAAATGAAAGGAGGAAAGGTGTGTTCAGTGACTGAATATATCTTTATCAGACCCAACTGCTAGTTAGTACTATTATGGAATAGATACAACTTCATCTCATGGATTTATGACATCATGCTCAGAGGAACAAAGGAAAACAGGGGTATTGGTGCCAGATCTTCAAACATAACAGATGACACAAACACGCGCCCAATTGCTGAAACTTCGTAAGTCTTTGAGACAGTGATCTAAGAGCCTGTGTGAGTCTAGACGTGCACCTTATAAATATCCAGCACTGGCAATAAGCCATGGTGAGATGTTATGTATAAACATATTAAGCTTCCCTGCGCCATGGCATAGGTTCTATCTTGCCAGAGACCATCGCTAGCAATTTAGATCTTAATCTGAATGAAGAGAGCATCCCCCGCAAAATATAAAGGAAAAATGAAGTGGGCACACACAAAAAATAAAAAATTCCCAAATTAACAAAATACATAAGTTATATGTTACACTTAGCCCCATCTGGAGATGAAAATAAATATTCTCACTCTGACCCCACTCAGAATGCATTCAATATATTACATAATCCGTGTCTGGTGAGTGCAAACATTTAACATTTCTATGGCTGACAGTTGACAGGGTTGGGGAGACAAACTTACCCTACCCTCCCTATTAGATGTTCTCAAACCCTAAGCTACCTCATTAATCAAGTGATTTTCCTTAAGCTGTTAGATAGTTACTATATCTTGTTGTGGGAAGGAATGCAGATTTACCTAAATATTGGACTCATGGCGACTTCCTAGTTTGTCTTAAATTTCTGTTTTTTAATACAGAAGTATATCCATGAAAACAGAGACATTTCTCTAAACCAAAAGGGCTCCCCAGAAGATGTCCATATTAGGAAATCCTGACCTCAGAATCACTGTGCTGAGCCTCATAAACTTCTAAGTTGCATTTTCTTTGCTTGTACTCAAACATGAACTTTTATGAACACAGTTGAAATACACTGAGCAGAAAACCCACCGTTAACACGTTGCAACATCATGCTATTAATCAAGGAAGTAACGGAGTTAGGTTTACCCTCCTTGCCAATTTTTAAAAATATCTTTATGGTCTACAAAATCCAACTCTCCAACTTATCCATCCATCCATCCATCCATCAACCCATCCATCCATCCATTCATGTTTTTAGGGCATCTTCTTGCAGTATATCTTTTTGAGAACTTTTACCTTGGCAAAGAGAGCAGGGCCTGGATCTCCTTAAACAGTTAAGAATCACCTGGGGCCTTAACTGCAGCATAAGAATGTGACTGATCACCCTGAGTCAGATGGGAGGAACAGGAAACCAGTAGCTGCCCCAGTAACTGTTATAACCCAGGTGAAACCCAGGAAAGGAGACCAGACAGACACGCCTATATTGGTCATAGTGAACCACCTATTACCTATCACTTAGGACCTGGTATTCGGCAGAAGCTTTCCTAATAACAACGAGGAGAGCAGTCATTTCAGTTTGCCATGTTAGACTGGTAGTATTCTATGACCTTTCTGCTCCTGCCAAAACAAATTGAGCATTATTCAAAACTTCACTAATAAAACTGCCTCAAATGCCACTGAGGTTATTTTTATCAAAGGAAAAAAAAAGCAGATGTTGGTTCAGCATGTAGGTACACTACAAAATGTACTCTCTGGCCACCAGGTGGCATCACTGATTAATAAAAGTTAATTAACTCCATCACCATCACCCAACATGAGTAGCAAAAAATTAACTGGAACACAACATACTATGTGCAACTTCTAGGGATATGCAAGCTGCCTTTTTTTTTTCTTTCTTTTTTTGGAGGGTCTCGCTCTGTTGCCTAGGCTGGAGTGTGCAGTGGTGTGACCAATGCTCATTGTAGCTTCAATCTCCCAGGCTCAAGTGGCTGTCCCACACCTCAGCCTCCCAAGTAGCTAGGACAACAGACCTGTACTACCACGTTGGGCTAAGTTTTTGATTTTTTGTAGAGACGATGTCTCACTATGTTGCCCAGGCTGGTCTTGAACTCCTGAACTCAAGTGATTCTCTCACCCTGGCCTCCCAAAGTGCTGGGATTATAGGTGTGAGCCACGGTGCCAGTACAAGTTAATTTTGTTCTCATATAAAATGCCCAAGGCCACCGGGCGCAGTGGCTCATGCCTGTAATTCCAGCACTTTGGGAGGCCGAGGTGGGCGGATCATGAGGTCAAGAGTTCGAGACCAGCCTGGCCAACATGGTGAAACCCTGTCTCTACTAAGAATACAAAACTAGCTGGGCATGGGGGCGCATGCCTGTAATCCCAGCTACTCAGGAGGCTGAGGCAGGAGACTCGCTTGAACCTGGGAGGCAGAGGTTGCAGTGAGCTGAGATCGTGCCACTGCACTACAGCCTGGGTGACAGAGCAAGACTCTGTCTCAAGAACAACAACAATAACAAATTCCCACGGCCAGGCATAATGGCTCATGCCTGTAATCCCAGTACTTTGGGAGGCTGAGGTGTGCAGATCACTTGAGGTCAGGAGTTTGAGACTAGCCTGGCCAATATAGTGAAACCCCATCTCTACTAAAAATATAAAAATTCACCAGGCATGGTAGTGGGCACCTGCAATCCCAGCTACTCAGGAGACTGAGGCAGGAGAATTGCTAACTCAGGAGGTGGAGTTTGCAGTGAACCGAGATTGTACCTCTACACTCTAGTCTGGATGACAGAGCGAGACTCTGTCTCAAAAAAAAAAAAAAGAAAGAGAGAGAGAGAAAGGATGAGGACCCAATATATACTATATCTTGTTGGAAATCTAAGTTTTCTGTATAAGGGTTCCCAGGGAGCCTTACCACCACTCATTGATTACCTAATCAATACATAACCAACTTAGAGCAGAAACTAGTCGGAAGTCCTGTTAACCATTAATAAAAATTAGTCATCTGTGGGAATCTGGGACTTTTTGCATTCAACACCCAGTCAGATTCCTGGACCGTGCACTGAGAAATGTTTGGCAGCAAAGCACAGAGGAAATGAGTGTATAGGAGGGATAACATTCCAAAGTCAAGTGTTTTGAATTTGAGGACATGTCTTGCTTTGTATTTTTCAGATTTCTTCTTTCCTCCATAAATATGTAGTGGGATCAGCAACACATACAGAATTATGGGATCCAGAGAAAAGTAAGTCTAGTCAATATGACTTTGTAAAGTTTTATGAAGTTTCAGATTTTGCAAGAAACAACCTAAAATTAGCCTGACTTGTGAAACAAAGTACTGATCATTTTAAATACCAAAAACAAGCATCAAGTGTCAACTTACAAAACATACTGACACTTCAAGGCAGCTTGGCGAAGTGGTCAAGAGCCCTTGCTCTGGAATTAGAAGACAGAAATTCCTGGGCCAGGTGCGATGGCTCATGCCTGTAATCCCAGCACTATGGGAGGCCGAGGTGGGAGGATACAGCCTGGGCACATAGTGAGACCCATCTCTAAGTCTTTAGATGATGATGATGATAATAATAATAAAGATAGAAATGCTTACTCTGCCTGGTCCAGCCACATCTAGTTGAGGCATGGGACTTTGGCCATGCCCCATAGCATTTTTGTGTGTTAATATCCTCATGCATAAAATAACTAGGCTGAACCAGAATGAAAACTGTAACGATTCTCATTCCAAAATATCATGAAACATATTTTGTTGAATAAAATAAAAAATGAAAAATTTGAAAAATTAAATAATGAGGAAAACTTAAACTATGAACATCTCTGAGAAAAACAATTACTAAACTATTTCCTTGTTTTTATAAATGCTTGATTTGACTTAAAAACCATCCTAGGGGTATATCATACAGTACTTAGGTGTTCTATTAGCTCTTTAGTGCATTTAATTTGTTTTGGCTATTTACATAAGTAGGATGGCAATACAACCTTATCTCCCCATATAGTCCTGCCTTATACCTGCTGTCCAGGCATAATTATAAATACTGTCCTCTTTTACTTTTGTAAGTTAATGGGTTTGGATTTATAAGTAACACTGATTAGCACTGTCGGCTGGTGTGGTGGCTTACACCTGTAATCTCAGAACTTTGGGAGGCCGAAGTGGGCAGATCACCGGAGGTCAGGAGTTTGAGACCCGCCTTGCCAACATGGCAAAAACCTGTCTCTACTAATTAGCTGGGGGTAGTGGCACACGCCTATAATCCCAGCTACTCGGGAGGTGGAGGCAGGAGGATCGCTTGAACCCAGGAGGCAGAGGTTGCAGTGAGCCAAGATTGTGCCACTGCACTCCAGCCTGGGTGACAGAGCAAGACTCCATCTCAAAAAAACAAAAATAAAAATAAAAAAATAGGCCAGGTGCAGTGGCTCATGCCTGTAATCCCAGCACTTTGGGAGGCTGAGGCGGGAGGATCACGATGTCAGGAGTTCGAGACCTCCCTGACCAACATGGTGAAACCCCATCTCTACCAAAAATACAAAAGTTAGCCGGGTGTGGTGGAATGCTCCTGTAGTCCCAGCTACCCAGGAGGCTGAGACAGAAGAACTGCTTGAACCCAAGAGGCGGAGGTTGAAGTGAGCTGACATCACGTCACTGCACTCCAGCCTGGGTGACAGAGTGAGTCCGTCTCAAAAATAAATAAATAAAAATAAATAAATAAATAAATAAATAAAGCATGCCTTCTTCCATATTTCAGATTCTTTTCTTGGGATCAGGGAGAATAATTTATTTATTTATTTATTTATTTTTTATTTTTTTTGCTTCATGATTTGTGATATAGAAAAAAATTAAAGTTAAAAAAAATTTTAGGCTGGGCATGGTGGTTCATGTCTGTAATCCCAGCACTTTGGGAGGGTGAAGGAGGTGGATCACCTGAGGTCAGGAGTTCAAGACCAGCCTGGCCAACATAGCGAAACCCTGTCTCTACTAAAAATACAAAATTAGTAGGGCATGGTGGTGTGCGCCTATAGTCCCAGCTACTCGGGAGGCTGAGGCAAGGAGAATTGCTTAAACTCCGGAGGCAGAGGTTGCAGTGAGCCGAGATCGCACCACTGCACTCTAGCCTGGGTGACAGAGTGAAACTCCACCTCAAAAATAAAATGAAATAAAATAAAATATTAAATTATTTTTGGGTGCTTGATACATATCACAAAAAACCTTTCCTAAAGGGATGTGAAACTTTTAATACAAATATATGAGAATAACAGTTTCAGTAAATGCCAATTTTGTGTGCTGCAGTTTTTTATTGCTAATAGAATTGGTAACTGTTTTATTTGATAGTTATCATTCGAAGGACACAATACACCACTATATATTTATTATGTGCTCTTTTTTTCTAAGTTATTATATTTGTTCATATTTTTAGTCTAGATGTCTATTTTTAGTATTTGTGCTGAAATGAAAATTTCCTAGAGGTATATTTTCTGATGTGCTGTTTGCCTTTTTACTTTGACTGTATTTTAAACTTTTATAATATTTTAATGTTATTATAATGGTGCAAATGTGCCTCAAAAAATAAAATAAATAAAATGAAATGAAAAGTGTCAATATTTTCATTTACAGGCTGGCTGCTGTGGCTCACCCCTGTAATCCCAGCACTTTGGGAGGCCGAAGCGGGCAGATCACTTGAGGTCAGTTGTTTGAGACCAGACTGGCCAACATGGTGAAACCCTGTCTCTACTGAAAATACAAAAAATTAGCCGGGCATGGCGGCAGGCACCTGTAATCCCAGCTACTAGGGAGGCTGAGGCCGGAGAATCACTTGAACCCCTTGAACCCAGGAGGTGGAGGTTGCAGTGAGCTGAGTTCACATCATTGCACTCCAGCCTGGGTAATAAGAGTAAAATTCCGTCTCAAAAAAAAAAAAAGATATATATATATATATGTATATATATATATATATATATTCCTTTATAATTAATTTTTCTGGGCCTACAAAACTATCTTTCATCCTGTCCTCATTTTAGAGTTTCAATAAATAGCCAGTTTTATAATTCTTCATATTTAGCTCTGATTTTATTTGTAGTATATGTATTAATGTAGGAACCTTAATTTGTTTTTCAAATTATTATTATTTTTGAGATGGAGTCTCTCCTGTTGCCCAGGCTGGAATGCAGTGGCATGATCTTGGCTCACTGCAATCTCCGCCTCCTGGGTTCAAGGGATTCTCCTGCCTCAGCCTCCCCAGTAGCTGGGACGACAGATGTGTGTCACAACGCCCAGCTAATTTTTGTACTTTTAGTAGAAATGAGGTTGTACCATGTCGGCCAGGCTGGTTATTTTTCAAATTATTAATAGGTTATTTAATAAACAATCTTTTTTCTATTGTCTTGGGTTTCCTACTTTGTCATACATTAGATTCTTATAAACAGTCCATTTCAAGTTACTTCCTTATTACATAAGGAATAATTCCTTTTATAAAAAAATTAATAGATCTATTCTTGCAATGCTATTGTGTAACTTTAATTGTTGATGCCTTAGAATATGTATGCACTGGCATTTGCCTCCCAGAATATTATTTAACAATGTACATATCCTATTTATTTCTATACACAAAATCATTTTGACAAGTAACAATAAAACTCCAAAATTCTAAGTTAAGTTTAATGAGAATATGTAATGTCATGAATATATTAGAAGCTAAGTAAATGGTACTATAATATAAGGTATCATTTTATGCACAAATGCTAAAACTGTGGCCTTCCTGAGGACAGAAAGCCTGATTTTAATTATTGTTGTAGCCCCTGCACCTAGAAGAAGATCTGCTATGCCAGGCACAGTGGCTTGCACCTGTCATCCCAGCACTTTGGGAGGCTGAGGCAGTTGGATCACCTGAGGACAGGAGTTTGAGACCAGCCTAGCCAACATGGTGAAACCCCGTCTCTACTAAAAATACAAAAATTAGCCGGGCGTGGTGGCTCATGTCTGTAATTCCAGCTACTCGGGAGGCTCAGGTGCGAGAACTGCTTGAATCCAGGAGGCAGAGGTTGCAGTGAGCTGAGATTGCACCATTGCACTCTAGCCTGGGCAACAGAGCGAGACTCAGTCTCAAAAAAAAAAAAAAAAAAAAAAAAGGCTCTGGCCTTTGGCTCTAATTCTTCTGCTTCTCAAATACTCATTCAATTCTAGTCCTTGAATCTGTATGTGGCCTAGAACCACCTCTTATAGATGTGGTGCTTGCCTAAGTTAGAAAGTGTCATCTCGGGAGGGGCACAGTGGCTCATGCCTGTAATCCCAGCACTTTGGGAGGCCAAGGTGGGCAGATCACATGAGGTCAGGAATTCGAGACCAGCCTGGCCAACATGGTGAAACCTCGTCCCTAATAAAAATACAAAAATTAGCTGGGCATGGTGGTGCATGCCTCCAGTCCCAGCTTCTTGGGAGGCTAAGGTAGGAGAATCACTTGAACCTGGGAAGTGGAGGTTGCACAGCCTGAGCGACAGAGTGAGACTCTGTCAAAAAAAAAAAAAGCGATCTTTCTGGGCTCTCAGGTTGCCTTTCTGTGAATTAGAAAAGGTCCCTTTCCTGGGCCAATGCACCCCCTCCTCACCAGGGCACAAAATATGGCAAGGAAAGGATCACCTGAGGACAGGAGTTTGAGACAAGCCTGGCCAACATGGTGAAACCCTGTCTCTATTAAAAATACAAAAATTAGCTGGGTATGATGGCTCATGTCTGTAATTCCAGCTACTTGGGAGGCTCAGGTTGGAGAACTGCTTGCAGGCATCCTTGTCCAAGAATTATGTAAGGAAGCCCTGATCTATCCTAGACTTTGACACAACCCTGGTCCTGAGGCGGCATCCCCACAGAACTCACAAACCAAACCCAACTCCAGGCTCATCCTAAGGCAAAATTTTGACACAGATCTCATGATAGATGGTATCTCCCCAGGTCCCTTTTTAGTGGGAAAGTCTAGCTAGGCATATCCAGAATGTTCTAAGAAGAGGCAAACTGCAAAAGTCAATATACATTTTTTTTTTTTTTGAGATGGGGTCTCTCTCTATCCCCCAGGCTGGACTACAGTGGCGCTATCTCTGCTTACTGCAAGCTCCGCCTCCTGGGTTCATGCCATTCTCCTGCCTCAGCCTCCCAAGTAGCTGGGACTACAGGCGCCCACCACCACACCCAGCTAATTTTTTTGTATTTTTAGTAGAGATGGGGTTTCACCGTGTTATTCAGGACGGTCTCGATCTCCTGACCTTGTGATCCACCCGCCTCGGCCTCCCAAAGTGCTGGGATTACAGGCGTGAGCCACCACGCCCGGCCAATATACACACTATTTTGACTTGACTTGTCTGAGACTGCTTTTCTTTCTTCCTTTTTTTTTTTCTTTTTTGGAGACAGGGTTTCCCTCTGTTGCCCAGGCTGGAGTGCTATAGCTCACTGCAGCCTCCACCAACCTCGACCTCCTGGACTCAAGCGATACTCCTGTCTCAGCCTCCTGAGTACCTGAGACTACAGGTGTGTGCCACCATGCATGGCTAATTTTTTTTTTTTAAAGAGGTGGGGTCTCCCTATGTTGCCCAGGCTGGTCTTGAACTCCTGAGCTCAATGGATCCTTCTGCCTCGGCCTCCCAAAGAGCTGGGATTACAGGCGTGAGCCACCGTACCTGGCCTGAGACTGCTTTTCTTAGTGGATACATTTTCTAGTAGCTGCCAGTTTATTAAGCAGGAATCTTAAGTGTACGGAAATGGCCTTGGCACAGTCGAGCCACACTTAAAAGAAGCTGTTACCCATATTTGGTCTGTACCACCCTGAGTATCAACAAAGCAAACTTACGTTTAGGGACATAAGCACATTTTATTACCTAACAGCCAAGCGAAGAATAAAGCAAATGTAAGCACCACAGTTCAAATTTGATTAAAGTTCAGTGTTTTCTCCAACTGAAACAGGTCCTGATGAGAGCCCATGATTCTGACTAAAACTGTGAGAGCAACTTTAGCAACAGATTCTGCTTGCTATAGCTCTGCCAAGACAAGTCCCAGCAACAGAGGCAATTGGTTACTTGCAGGAAATCTGGGTCAAATCTGCACTTAGAATTGGAAAAAGAATGGCTTTGTAGCAATGTCTATGGGTAGAATTTGGGGTATCTGCAAACTTGGAGGGCAAAAAGAGGCACACAAACAAACCCACCCTATTTTCACTAACCTCTACGTGTAAAATAGGATTTTCTTCCATCATAAATGTAGGTGCAAACCACAACAGTATCAGTGATATCTGTGACTTTATCACCACAGATATTTTTATAGCATATTACAGTTGTGGCAGACATCTTATCCCTCTTAGCACTCCTCTCACCCCTACTTCAAAATCGTGGTACTTATTACATCTGCCACCTGATCTTATTTAATGCAGTACTAAAGAAGTGCATGCATTAATTACTATGTCATGATTAAAAAATATTTTATTACTGTGATTGTGGTATAGCAAAAAAAAATTTTTTTTTAATAACTGTACTTCAGCCCAGTTGGTTTTCCCTTTAATCTTATGTAGTTTATTCAGCACTTAAAAAAAATTATTCTGAGAAGGGCTCATAGGCTATATCAGACTGCCAGAAGAATCTAGGCACAAAAAAATTTAAGAACTCCTGTTCTACAGAGAAACTAAGATTACATTTAAAAGCTCTAAGCTAATAAAACAGGTGGATGAAATGTGCTACCCTTGATCTTAGCCAAAAGGCCGAGAAGCGATGATGAAATGTGCTTGCCTCATATACCCTAAACACTTTCCATAGCATTAAAATATTTCATGGATGGCTAGGTGTAGTGGCTCATGCCTATAATTCCAGCACTTTAGGAGGCTGAGGTGGAAGGATCCCCTGAACCCAGGAATTCAAGATGAGCCTGGGCAACATAGTGAGATCCCATCTCTACAAAAAAAATAGAAAAAATTAGCCGGGTATGGTGGTGCATGCCTGTAGCCACAGCTACTTGGTACGCTGAAGTGGGAGGATCTCTTGAGTCTGGAAGGTTGAAGCTGCAGTAAGCCATGATCCTGCCACCACACTCTAACCTGGGAAACAGAGCAAGACCATGTCTCAATAAATAAATAAATATTTATATTTTGTGGATACCTGGATACAATTTATTCAATACTATCTCTCAAAATACCTTTTTCACAACTACAATTAAAAATGAATTCCTTCTCACCGACTGCCGCCAATATGGTGTTCAGGCACTTCATGGAGGTTGGCTGGGCAACCTACGTCGCCTTTGGACCTCATGCTGGAAAATTCATTGTGATCATAGATGTTATTGATCAGAACAGGGCTTTGGTTGGTGGACCTTGCGCTCAAGTGAGGAGACAGGCCATGCCTTTCAAGTACATGCAGCTCACTGATTTCATCCTCAAGTTTCCATACAGTGCCCACCAGAAGTATGTCCCACAAGCCTGGCAGAAGGTAGACATCAATACAAAATGGGCAGCCACACAATGGGCCAGGAAGATTGAAGCCAGAGAAAGGAAAGCCAAGATGACAGATTCTGATCATTTTAAAGTTATGAAGGCAAAGAAAATGAGGGACAGAATAATCAAGAATGAAGTTAACAAGCTTCAAAAGGAAGCTCTCCTGAAAGCTTCTCTCAAAAAAGCACCTGTTGCTAAGGGTGCTGCTGCAGCTGCTGCTAAATTTCCAGCAAAAAAGATGACCGCTGTGGGCAAGAAGGCTCCAGCCCAGAAGGTTCCTGCCCAGAAAGCCACAGGCCAGAAGGCAGCACCTCCTCCAAAAGCTCAGAAGGGTCAAAAAGCTCCAGCCCAGAAAGCCCCTGCTCCAAAGGCATCTGGCAAGAAAGCATATGAGGCAACTATAAAAACAATAAAGGTTCTTTAAAAAAAACAAACAAAAAACAAAGGCCAGCCATGGTGGCTCACGCCTGTAATCCCAGTACCGTGGGAGGCTGAGGCAGGTGGATCACTTGAGGTCAGGAGTTTGAGAACAGCCTGGCCAATATGGTGAAACCCTATCTCTACTAAAAATACAAAAAAATTAGCTGGGCATGGTGGTGCATGCCTGTAATCCCAGCTACTCAGGAGGCTGAGGCAAGAGAACTGCTTGAACCCGGGAGGTGGAGGTTGTAGTGAGCCGAGATCACACCACTGCACTCCAGCCTGGGCGACAGAGTGAGACTCAGTCTCAAAAAAAAAAAAAAAGAAAAAGAAAAAGAAAAAACAGAACAATAAAAATTAGCCAGACGTGGTAGTGGGCACCCATAACCCCAACTACTTGAGAGGCTTTGGTGGGAGAATTGCTTGAACCCAGGAGTCGGAAGTTGCAGTGAGCTGAGATCATACCACTGCACTCCAGCTGGGGTGACAGGGTGAGACTTGGTCTCAAAAAAATAAAAAATAAAAAAACAGGAATTGCAACAGAACAAGAACTGAGCAAATTACAACATGAATTCTGAATTCTGAGTTGCATTATCTTCCTAATTTAACATGGTTGGAACTACCTTATATCAGACACCTTTGGGCTCGTCAGAAACTAGATAACTAGATTCCTTGTCTGGAGTGCAGGACAGCCCTACTTTTTTTTTTTTTTAAATCAAGTTCTGCCTTAGAGAAAGTGTTAAAATAACTTTGATACATACAATTAACCCTAGGTTTTAAAATAAATACTTGCTAAACAGAAGTTTTCCGTAAGGGTTTTTAAAAAAGAGTCATCTATTAGCGGCTGGGCGTGGTGGCTCACGCCTGTAATCCCAGCAGTTAGGGAGGCCGAGGCAAGTGGATCACGAGGTCAGGAGTTCCAGACCAGCCTGGCCAATATGGTGAAACCCCGTCTCTACTAAAAATACAAAAATTAGCTGGGCATGGTGGCACGTGCCTGTAGTCCCAGCTACTCGGGCGGTTGAGGCAGAAGAATCACTTGAACCCAGGAGGTGGAGGTTGTAGTGAGCCAAGATCGTGCCACTGCACTCCAGCCTGGGCAACAGAGTTAGACTCCATCTCAAAAGAAAAAAAGTCATCTATTAATTTAATTGTGATCTTTTTTATATGCGCTTGTTAGCCTGTACATAGCTCAAATTTATAGCTTCAGAACACTATAACAGATGTTTTAAATATCTCATTTTCTACCAACATGAGAAATCCTAGATTTCTAAAACCTAGAGGCAGTTAATATCATCCTAAAGGCAAAGACAACGAGAAAAAGTAATATAATATGTTGTTAAAGTAGCCTTTTATATAACATAAATATTTTGAACAAGATCAAAGAAACCACCTGATCCACATTTAATCAAAGGACTATTTTTTTCTAACTACATAAGTGGAAAAGACTTATCAGAGGAATTTTAAAATTCCTGTATCTTATATTTTCTCTATCAGGATCCTTACTGATTTAACTTGTTTCAACACTAATGTAATAACCTTCCACAAATGAAAGGCTTTTTTCTGAAAAACAAATTATACAACATATAGCACAGGTAGATGGAAAAAAACTAAAAGGATATGTGATAGCCATCTCTGGATGGTAGAAGATGAAAAAAGACTTAGTTTTTTCATAATCCTTAAATATTTTTGTATGCACAAAAGATCCCTTCAAAGACAAAAAGTGGCCCTTACAAAAATAACACATCACCAGAATATACTTTCTCAAACTGAGTGAGTATCTTTTGTGACTGCTACTTGCACTGAAGTCTGCCTCTGACTTTATTTTTTTGAGATGGGGGTCCTGCTGTGTCGCCCAGGGTGAAGTACAACAGGCACGATCATGGCTGATTGCAGCCTTGAACTCTTGGGCTCAAGTGATCATCCTGCCTCAGCTTCCTCAGTAGCTGGGATGACCGGTGTGTGCCACCACACCCAGCTAATTTTTAAATTTTTCTTTTGTAGAGACAGGGTCTCACTATGTTGACTAGGCAGGTTTCAAACTCCTGGGCTCAAGCGATCCTCCCAACTCAGTGCTGGGATTACAGGCACGAGCCACCATGCCCAGCCCTGCCTCTGACTTCAAGGGGTTTACAATCTAGTGGAGAAGATAAGGCACAGATCCATGGTATAATTAAACAACTAAAAGATTTAGTCACAAGACAAAGGGCAAGATCAATACAATTTTTAGGAATTGAGAAGGAGAAGGCTCAGTGGGGGCCTAAGTGATTGGGCATGACCTCAAAGAGGAAGACTGTAAGCCCCATCAGGGCAGGGGCCACCACTGGGTTGTCTGCCAGTGTATATGGGTGTCCAGCTCAGGGCCAACTTATATAAATATTTGTTGGTGGAGTAATTAATGGAGGAGAGAATCTGGTTTTGAAGGACAGCTTTCAGGAGACAGCAAGAAACCTACTATAGCTAGACTAAAGGAAAAGAAGGTTCAGGTAATTCTGGGTTATAAACTGGTCTTTATACTATGAATAAGTGGGTTTTCAACTTTTCTAATAAACAGAATGAAAGTGTGTCCTTGGAAGAGAAATTAGGCAGTAACTGTGCTAGGCTACATGGAGGGGTGATAAGAGGTAGCATGACCACCAGCAAGATATTGCTATAAAATGGCGTGAGTTTAGAAGGGCCTGGCCTGGAGCCTAACAGAGAAATAGAAGGAGCAGAAACTAGAGGTGGAGGAAAATTTGCTGGCAGATCCTACAGGGAGGAAAGAGAAAAGGGAAGGATTTCAGTCCTTTCCATAATTTTGTGACTGGATGACTGAAAGAATGCTTTTAAACATTTATTAATCCATCCGTCCATGCATCTATGCATCCATGCATCCATGCATGCATGCATGCATCCATCCATCCATCCATCCATCCATCCATCCATCCATCCATCCATCCATCCAACATTCATTGCTGCTACCGCATGGGGATTCTCAATCTTATAAAAAAGAGCAACTCTCCCTTTCCCTAATTACACCTGTCAGTTGACTGAGTCTCTGATGTGTTCCAGGATCTATGCCTGACACTGGGATAGGATAATAAAGATGGTCTCTACCCGGAAGAGATGAGAAAGAAGAAGATAAGTAAAAGTTAAGGCTGCTCTGATAACTACAAGTTAAGAAAACAGATAAGTCTGTTTTCTTCCCATTCTTCCCAACTTCAAACAGGATCCAGCCTGATAAACTGGCCTTGAGTAAAATTTACAAGTTTTGTTTGTTTGTTTTTTCTGAGACAGAGTCTTGCTCTGTCACCCAGGCTGGAGTGCAGTGGTACGATCTCAGCTCACTGCAACGTCCACCTCCCAGGTTCAAGTGATTCTCCTGCCTTAGCCTCCTGAGTAGCTGGGATTATAGGCGCATGCTACCACGCCCAGCTAATTTTTGTTTTTTTTTGTAGAGACAGGGTTTCACCATGTCGGCCAGGCTGGTCTCGAACTTCTGAGCTCAAGCAATCTGCCCACCTCAGCTTCCCAAAGTGTTGGGATTACAGGCGTGAGCCATCATGCCCAGCCAAAATTTATAAATATTTAGGCTTAAATTATATAAATCACTGATTTTGTTATACAACTATATGCATTCTTTTAGATCCGGTTTGAACTGATCTTAAAAAAATACTAACAAGAATGTAGGTGTAAGTGTTTTACTACCATGCAGGAAGAGATTGCCCAAATAGAATACCCTATAGAAACCCAAAGTAAGTCCAGAAAAGAAAACACTGGAAGACAATACCATGGTTATTTGAACAGCAGTGACAGACTGCTCTATCTGGGGATTTCCGCTGATCTTTTCTAAAAGGATTCCAGAAGAAACCATCTTATCTTATCATCTATGCATATCTCAGTGGGAGGCACAAACCTACTTACATTGAATCAGGCAGGACTCCTTCCCCTTCTCAGCCTGAAACTTAAAACAGCAAAGTTGCCAGGAGTTGCCTCAAATGAATGAAGTACCACTCCTGCCTGCTCTTGTATATTTTGTGCATTTGGAATCAATCCAAACTCCAAAATGGAAATAAAAGTACTTAACCTCACAAAGTTGTTGGAGGATTAAATCATTTGAGCTTTATTATCCAAAGTAATTAACATGTTTGAAAGATGCAAATTTAAGACTTAAAATCCAACTTTAAAAAATCTCAGACTGGGCCCAGTGGCTCAGGCCTGTGATGCCAGCACTTTGGGAGGCCAAGGCAGGAGGATCACTTGACCCCAGGAGTTCGAGACCAGCCTGGGCAACATGGGGAAACCCTGTTTTTACATAAAATTTAAAAAAAAAAATCTCAGTGCCTAGACAGCAGTACTTTCACAGCAACAGTAGATATGTCTTGCAAAGTAAAGAGTAATCAGAACATCACAAAAATGAGTACTGGAAAATCAGAATTTTAAATAAAAATAAAAAGCATCAGTTAACAGGATGGATCACTTAAATACAAAAATAAAAATAAAAAAGCAAATCTTTAGTATTGACCTGCAAGGTTATAGGAATGTCCTTAGGATTATAGGAACATAGGTGCTTCAATTAAAGCTGTGTAGCCTTGGGAGGACATTTCACCTTTGTGCTTGTGCCTTTCTTTTTAGGAGAAGATATCATCTCTAATATAAATGTTGTCTCAATGTCATTCTTTGGACAAAAAACATTTTGGCTAAAGAGTTTTTTTTTTTTTTTTTTTTTGAGAGGGAGGTTGCTCTTCCTGGCTAGGCTAGAGTGCAATGGTGCGATCTCAGCTCACCACAACCTCTGCCTCTCGGGTTCAAACAATTCTGCCTCAGCCTCCTGAGTAGCTGGGATTATGGGCATGTGCCACCATGCCTGGCTGATTTTTGTATTTTTAGTAGAGATGGGGTTTCTCCATGTTGGTCAGGCTGGTCTCGAACTCCTGACCTCAGGTGATCTGCCCGCCTCAGCCTCCCAAAGTGTTGGGATTACAGGCGTGAGACACCACACCTGGTGAGATGTTTTAAACCTAGCTTAAAACCAATCTAAATTACTTCCTGAACAGCTTCAACATATCCAAAACTGACCCAGATATTTTGGAGGCCACTAAATTATAGATATAAGACACACTCCCTGAACTCAAGGTTGGAGAACTGAAGCAATCAGAGATGGCTACAAAGAGAATGGACTTCTGACCTGACTTCAGGTCAGGCTTAGGGGAAGGAAAGAATTTTAAGCAATGGAAGAAAAGGCATAGGATGAAGAATACAAAGTCTACTACGTTCTTTAATTTTAGTCCTGATTTCGTGGCCTTGAATAAGCCATTCATCACTTTTCCCCCTTCCCAAATCCACCAGTATCGAGGGCCTATTATATATAAGGTATTGTGCAACAATTAACGAATGGAAAAGCCGAGGTGGGCAGATCATCTGAGGTCAGAAGTTTGAGACCAGGCTGGCCAACACAGCAAAACCATATCCCTACTAAAAATACAAAAATTAGCCAGGTATGGTGGCAGGTGCCTGTAATCCCAGCTACTTGGGAGGCTGAGGAGGGAGGATAACTTGAACCTGGTAGGCGGAGGTTGCAGTGAGCTGAGATTGTGCCACTGCACTACAGCCTGGGTAACAGGCAAGATTTCATCTCATAAATAAATAAATAAATAACAGAAAAGATTTCCCAATCTAAGATTAAGTAAGAGGTAGCTCAAACTAAAAATAACTCCAAGCTCACATGATGTTGGTATTATAAAACAAAATTCTTCTTCTTTTGTTTAAGAGACGGAATTCTCACTGTCACCCGGGCTGAAGTGCAGTAGCATGACCATGGCTCACTGTAGCCTCAAATTCCCGGGCTCAAGCAATCCTCCCGGCTCAGCCTCCTGAGTTGCTGGGTTATAGGCATAAGCCACTACACCTAGTTAAAATCTATTTTAGTAAAGAGAGTTTTTTAAAACCTGCTTTTGTCATTTCACACTTTCTCAATAAAAAACAAACTAAGCATGAAACCTAAATTTAACATATGTAGACTTTTTACTACTTAGAACAGTCGTAGTGTGTAAAATAAAATAAATAATATGGCCGGGCACCGTGGCTCATGCTTGTAATCCCAGCACTTTGGGAGGCCAAGGCAGGCGGATCACAAGGTCAAGAGATCAAGACCATCCTGGCCAACATGTTGAAACCCCGTCTCTACTAAAAATACAAAAAATTAGCTGGGCGTGGTGGCATACGCCTGTAGTCCCAGCTACTCGGGAGGCTGAGGCAGGAGAATCTCTTGAATCCAGGAGGCGGAGTTTGCAGTGAGCTGAGATTGCACCACTGCACTCCAGCCTGGCAACTGAGCAAGATTCCGTCTCAAATAAATAAATAAATAAATAAACAAATAAATAAATAAATAATATGTAAAAATTAATCTTTGCACTAAATTTTCAGATTCTTGTTCCATTCCCCTCCCATTTGAAACTACAGCTGTCTTTTGCCACTAAAAACAGTACTTCATTTGACAGCTATGGAAAGAGCCTATGCCATTCAATAGCTGGTTTATGAGAAGCACTGAGTTTATCTAGCAAAAACACAACATGTGTATCAGTACTTCCCTTTGTCCTGTGTATTCTAAATCTCTGCCAAAAGCAGAAGTAAGAAAGTACAGAGGGACAGGATATCCTTAAATTATTCAGTTGGCTTTATGTCATTCCAGACAGAAACCTAGTGCCTGATTCATCCTTAGAAATTTAAATTAAGGGCCAGTTGTGGTGGCTCACGCCTATAATCTCAGCACTTTGGGAGGCCAAGGTCGGCAGATCACTTGAGGTCAGGAGTTTGAGACCAACCTGGCCAACATGGTGAAACCCCGCCTCTACTAAAAATACAAAAATTAGCCGGGCATGGTGGTGCACACCTGTAATCCCAGCTACACAGGAGGCTGAGGCAGGAGAATCGCTTGAACCTGGGAGATGGAGGCTGCAGTGAGCCAAGATGGCGCCACTGCACTCCAGCCTGTCCTGGGGCTAAAAGGTAGGTCTTCCTCGTGAGCAGTCTGTCACTAGGCAAGCTTTGAAGTGCTGAAGCCTTTTCCCTAAAGAGAAATGAGGAAATCCTGGTTTTTCAGGATTCACCTATTATCTCCAATATAGCTCTTGGCTTAAGAGAGTGAAGTTAAGAAGAAAAGCATGGACACCATTTCTTAAGGAGAGTAACAGAAACCCAGTACCTCCAAATTTACTTATAGAACACATTGACTTTACGGTTGTGGCCACATTTTGACGTTCTTGTCCATTTTGATACAATTTTAATGCGTATTATATATGCATATTAAGTCACTGTACATCCAATACAGTTCAGCAAATATTCCAGAGACCCTAGTAGTAGGTGTTGGGTAACTATGTTTGGTACTGAGACTACACTAGCCTTTTTGTGATGCCAAACCACTTAATTTCAATAAGCCTGTTATCTCATCTGTGAAGATAAAACTGATATTTGCAAGGCTATGGTGAGGATTTAAAGAGCCAGTGAATATAAAGGCCTGATTACAGCAAGTTCCTTCACTCAAACACAGTGTTTTTGCTTTTTTCTTTCCTTCTTTTTTCCTTACTAAACAGACATAGCTCTATAATCTTGAAGCTTACAGTCTAGTAGAAGATAGACTATTATCATAAGGAAATAACTATCAGGATAAGAATACTACTATTACTAATAATAGTAAAAGCTAATACTTATGTAGAACTTGTTATAATTAAAGCATTATTCCTGTTTTTTTTAGACAGGGGTCTATGTTTCCCAGGATAGTCTCAAACTCCTGGGCTCAAAGATCCTCCCGCCTCAGCCTCTCCAGTAGCTGGGACTACAGGCGTGTCCACTGCACCCAGCTACGGTACTATTCTAAGCACTGTCCACATTTAGCTCATTAATCAAACCTTATAACAACCTTCTGAGGCAAGTAACTAGGGCTATGATAATGCTATATAAATATGTGGGAGTGACCCTCTAAACTCCACTCTCGAGTAGTTGGGGAACGTACCTTCTTGGAATTAATAATATTAGCCAGGTGAAATGATGCACGGGTATGGGCTTGGGATGGTCAAAGATGTTCTGAATTAAAAAGCAGCTACATGTATGAATGCCCTGAGGTGAAAATGCACACATGGATGGATGATCAAAGAACCGAAAGCCGTTCAGTTCAGGCAACGTATATGTAAAGTATATAAGCAATCTACAAATCCACGTATTAGGCAACGTGGTGACGGGGGTGATATACAAAGAGAGGCACCCGAGTTTCATAAAGGCAAGAAGAGTTGGCTGATGGATAAACCAACTGGGTGGTTGGCAAAATGCTGGAGAAGCCCACCTGTCAGCAACAGCCTGTACTGGGGGATCCTCTGAACCGGCTTGAGCAGGTAGTGCTTGAGGGCCAGATTAGCACAGCGAGGGCTCATCTGAAAGGAGAAGGCATCTAAATTAACACAGTGTTTTCTAAGAAGCAAGGGACCCAGATTCAAGTGCTCAGGAAGCCAAACTTTAAACATCAAGCAACTCTGGAAGGAGATTCGTAGAGAGGCTCCCTTTTATTTTAAGGTACAGCTGTTAGATACACTGAGAGTGAACCCCAGCCAGACTGACCACCAACCTCCACCCTTTCCTGTAGGCAGTCCCTGAAACCATTTGCTCCTAGGAAAAACTTGTTAACAACCCTCTCAAAGAGCGTGGTAGCCACAGTCTGTGTCCTAGGCTAGTTAGAGCCCACCCTACTCAGCAGCTCCCACTTGTATTGATAAATACAAACAAATCCCAATGGACCAAGAAGGAAATGCATGGCCCCTAAAATAAGGCAGTGGAAATACAACTGCCAGGAATTGGATTCAAATGATAATCAGAGCCTTGTGGTCAATATAGTCAAAATAATGGTGGTGGCAGGGAGAACTGTAGAAAGTAAAGATAACCTGAAAAGCGGCCTTGCTAAGTATCCCTTCTTTAAGAAGTCTGAAGAATGTAAAAGTCTTTTGCAGATGAATGGCCTTATAAAAAGATAGCCCCCAAATCACAGCATTTATAGGAACATTTGATTATGGAACCACATTTTGGCTTGACTACAAAGACATTTGGTTATCCCTTGAAACCTCTCTTCCTTAGTATGTACAACAGACATCTATCTCGGCCCATTCCTGAGCCTCACCCTCATTCTCCAACCTAAGAGTTTACTGTGAGGTGGCATCAAAAAGGCCAAGTGAAAATGTCCCTGCATCCTAAGAACTACAAAAAAGAGTCACGCTTCTAACATAGCGCAAGTTGGTTGATAAGTTTTGTTAGATTTGCTCAGACTTTTATCATTTTCTAAATATGTACCACCACTATCTGGTACACAGAGTGATTATGAAATTATAATGATAATGCATGTTAAGAAAGTATCTTTCATCCAAGCATCATTAACCCAGATTACTAATTCTCCTGGCCTTATGGCTCCCCGTTTTCTTTTGCTAACAAGGTAACACAACTCACTGGACTCTTACCAAAACCTGGGTCAATCATCAGTTGCCACAATTACATTGCACTTTGTTTTTTGATAGCACAAAGACAACAGAGGAGAGGAAAAGAAGAAAAAATTACAGATGACTTTAAAATTTAATTATTTGTCTATTGCACAAATCAGAAATCAGCAATACCATACTATTTTAAAAACTTTTCATTTTGGTTGGGTGAGGTGGCTCACTCTTGTAATCCCAGCACTTTGAGAGGCCAAGGTGGGTGGATCATGAGATCAGGAGTTCGAGACCAGCCTGGCCAACACAGTGAAACCCTGTCTCTACTAAAAATACAAAAATCAGCTGGGCATGGTGGCACATGCCTGAAATCCCAGCTACTCGGGAGGCTGAGGCAGGAAAATCACGTGAACCTCGGAGGCAGAGGTTGCAGTGAGCCGAGATCACACCACTGCACTCCAGCCTGGGCGACAGAGCTAGACTCCATCTCAAAAAACAAAACAAAAACAAAAACAAACAAACAAAAAAAACCCTTTTCACTTCTAGTTTTGTGTGACTGGAATTCACCGATCTTTTAAGCTTCAAAACAGAGAAGTACTAAAATACAGTACGCAAATTTTACTCCAAACTGATGGAGGGGACTTGTGATTTTATCTCTAATTAAATCAGGGTTCCACCCTCACAGCTCTGAGTTAAAAGTCAAAGCTTTGGCTGACACATGCTCTGAACAGGTTATTACTTTTTCTTAACTTTGGCACCAAAACCATGTTATTTATTTATCTAAAGGGAAATATAAATTCTATTTCCCATCCATCATTGTAAGTTAATTGTTAGGATAAAAGAAGAAGTTAAATTAAAAGTTAAGACATGTTCCTTAATCAAGTTCATTGAGTCAGAAAGCAGAATGGTGGTTGCCAAGGGCTGGGAGGGAAGAGAGAATAGAGTTAATGTTTAATGCCTATAGAGCTTCAGTTTTGCAAGTTGAAAAGAGTTCTGGGGATCTGGTTGCACAAGAATGTCAACGTACTTAACATTACTGAACTATAAACTTGAAAACTGTTAAAATGCTAAGTTTGTGTTGTATGTATTTTACCACAGTTTAAAAAGTCCCATCAAAATATTCTTTCCAGCTAGGCACAGTGGCTCACGCCTGTAATCCCAGCACTTTGGGAGGCCGAGCAGGGTGGATCACCTGAGGTCAGGAATTCGAGACCAGCCTGGCCAATGTGGTGAAACCCCATCTCCACTAAAAATACAAAAAATTAGCCAGGTGTGGTGGCACGTGCTTGTAATCCCAACTACTCGGGAAGCTGAGGCAGGAGAATCACTTGAACCTGGGAGGCGGAGGTTGCAGTGAGCCAATCTACGTGCGAATGTACTCCAGCCTGGGCAACAGAGCAAGACTCTGTCTCAAAAAAAAAATTCTTTCCAAGTCAAAATATTCCCATGTGCAATAACAGATTTTCAAAATTAAGTCATGTACATTCTTGAGTTCTCACCATTTAAATTGTTCAATTCCATCTTTGATTTTGAAGGGATTACTTTTTAACTTTTTCTTTGTTTGCAAGCTTTGTTTTCAATGACTGCAACTTGTTATTAAAGCTTCAACAACAAAAAGAAAGAGAAGTGTTCAACATTAGATAGTAGCAAATACCTCAAATTCTCTAACAACAGCAGCAAAACCTGGATTTTTCTTGCACTGTTCATCCAGCAAGGCTATATTCTTATCAAATTCTTTGATGTATGTGGAATACATTTTTAGATATGGTCCCTTCTTTACAAAGATATCAGCAATTCTTTGTTGTTCAGTCCTATGGATAGAGAAGAGATACACAAAAAAATATAAAGAGAGATTGATGAACATATGCAATGATACGCAGAGTCCACATCTAAGCCGCCAACTTATCTTTTTTTCTCTTCTTGTAAGACATACCTCAAAATGCCTACTTTTCACCATTTCCACTGCCACCATCCCATCTTGCCTGGACTCTAACTGGTCTCCCTGCTTCCATTCTTGCCCTCTCCAAACCATTCTTCAACACAAGGAGAGACTCTTAAAAAATGTTTACCATGGCTGGGTGCAGTGGCTCATACCTGTAATCCCAGCACTTTGGGAGCCGAGGTGGGCAGATCACCAGAGGTTAGGAGCTCAAGACCAGCCTGACCAACATGGAGAAACCCAGTCTCTACCAAAAATACAAAATTAGTCGGGCATGGTGGTGCATGCCTGTAATCCCAAGACAGGAGAATTGTTTGAACCCGGGAGGGGGAGGTTGCAGTGAGCCGAGATTGTGCCACTGCACTCCAGTCTGGGCAACAGAGCAAGATTCTGTCTCAAAAATAAATAAATAAATAAATAAATAAATAAATAAATAAATAACTCACTCACTCCTTGGATGGGCACGATGGCTCACGCCTGTAATCCCAGCATTTTGGGAGGCCGAGACGGGCAGATTACTTCTGATCAGGAGTTTGAGACCAGCCTGGCCAACATGGTAAAACCCTGCCTCTACTAAAAATACAAATATTAGCTGGGCATGGTGGCAGGCGCCTGTAATCCTAGGTACTTGGGAGGCTGAGGCAGGAGAATCGCTTGAACCCGGTAGGTAGAGGTTGCAGCGAGCCGAGATTGTGCCCACTGCACTCCAGCCTAGGCGACAGAGTGAGACAATGTCTCAAAAGAAAAAGAAAAAAAAAAAAAAACTTCTTACCTGGCATACAAAGGCCTGCCCTTTCTGACCCCTGTCACACTTCTCTTCCTCTTCCCCATTTCTCTCCCACCACACTGGCCTTCTTTATCTTCTTTGGAGACATGGAATTCATTTCCACTATGCAGACTTCCACTAATGGTTCTACATGCCTGGAAATATAGAACCCTGGCTGGCTGCTCCTTTCCTTTCAGATATCACTGTAAATATGCCACCTTCACAGAGGGCTTTCCCTGACCACTCAAGCTTCATTTGCTACCACAGCGTCCTATTTCAGGTCTCTGCAACTCAGAAACTGCTTCTGGTAGTTTTCTTGTCTATTTATCTGGTCCTTCCCCTACTAAATGTCTGCTCCATGAAAGCAGGATGTCTGTTTTGTGCACTGTGATATCCTCTGCATACTTAAGAGCACAGACTAGCACATAGTAGATATGCAAACCTTCTTGAATGTGAAAATAAAATATTTCATCAATTGTTGTTAAAAGCCAATGGAAAAATGTTATTTCAGAAAGTCAACTAACACCAAAGAATATGTATTGACTTGAACCCTAAGAGAAAAATATTTTAATAAATAGAAAATTAGGCTAGGTGCAGTGGCTCATGCCTGTAATCCTAGCACTTTGGGAGGCTGAGGCGAGAGGATCACTTGAGCCCAGGAGCACAAGACCAGCCAAGGAAACACAGGGCAACCTGTCTCTACAAAAAATTAAAAAAATTAGCCAGGCGTGGTGGGGCACACCTGCAGTCCCAGCTACTTGGGTGGGTGAGGTGGAAGGATCACTTAAGCCTAGGGAAGTCAAGGCTGCAGTGAGCCATGGTCACACCACTGAACTCTGGCCTGGGCAAGAGGTGAAAATCTGTCTCAAAAAAAAAAAATCGGAAGCAAATAAGCCCCAATTTTTTTTTTTTAACTTAAGAAAAAAAAAAAGATTTGTTTTTTAGTAGAGACAAGGTTTCACCATGTTGGCCAGGCTGGTCTCAAACTCCTGACCTCAGCTTATCTGCCTGTCTCGGCCTCCCAAAATACTGGGATTAAAGGTGTGAGCCACAGCGCCCAGCCAGTTATATTTTATTTCTATCATGACTTTTTTTTTTTTTTTAAAGGAGTCTCGCTCTGTCACCCAGAATGGAGTGCAGTGGCACAATCTCGGCTCACTGCAGCCTCCGCCTCCCAGTTCAGCCTCCCGAGTAGTTGGGATTACAGGCATCTGCCATCATGTCTGGCTAATTTTTGTAAGTTTACTAGAGACGAGGTTTTGCCATGTTGGCTAGGCTGGTCTCGAGCTCCTGACCTCAAGTGACCCACCCGCCGCAGCCTCCCAAAGTGCTGGGATTACAGGCATGAGCCACCGTGCTCGGCCTATCACGACCTTTAAAGACTACATTTTAGTCATTTCTCAGTCCTAAATTGTGTATTATTTTATACTTAGGCTACGGCTATGTATTAATTGCTTATCTGCCATATTTACCCAACATATAGAGGCAAGATATTTCCAAAACAAGCAGAGGTATTTTTCTGGTTTATATATAAAGAAAGCTTAGAGAAATTTTGAACATGAAAGTAGGTGATACTATTTTCTTATTCTAATCATGTTGTGTTCCCCATGGTTTTCAACAGTAAATTCAATCCTCCTACACCCATCTTTCTACATTATTTCCACAGAAGTCACCAAGCCTCTGCATACTTATTTTCTTCAGCCTAGTGGAAGTAGCTTCCAATACCAACCTTTTGGTATTCTTTTCCTATTCTTAAATCTACAGCTTCTACAAGCATGTCATACATATATAAATTTGCCTTTCTTTGGGAGGCCAAGGCGGATCACCTGAGGTCAGGAGTTAGAGACCAGCCTGACCAATATGATGAAACCCCGCCTCTACTAAAAATACAAAAATTAGCCAGGCATGGTGGCATGCGCCTGTAATCCCAGCTACGCAGGAGGCTGAGACAGAAGAATCACTTGAACCTGGGAGGCAGAGGTTGCAGTGAGCTGCGATCGTGCCATTGCACTCCAGCCTGGGCAACAAGAGTGAAACTCCATCTCAAAAGAAAAAAAAAATTGCTTTTCCAAAACAACCATCCTATTATTTCAGTGAACGGCCTCTTTTTCAAAACTGGAAAGGGAGTTTCATGACCTGCAGCTCCAGAAGGTAAATAAAACATTTAGAAACTATTCTAATGTGAATATAGCATATAGCATCTATCTACACTGAATCTCAAAAATCTTGATTGCCCAAGTTCACCTATAGAAATTTAAATCGGCTGCATCTTGCTTCTGAGGCAGGATTACGAAAGATTTGTTTAAAATAATAGTATTGAGCTTGGTGTGCCAAGGTTGTGAATTTTGGGCCATTGAAAATAATCAATCTGGTCAGGCATGGTGGCTCACACCTGTAATCCCAGCACTTTAGGCAGAGGCAGGCAGATCACCTGAGGTCAGGAGTTCGAGACCAGCCTGGCCAACACGGTGAAACCTCATCTCTACTAAAAATACAAAAAATTAGAAAGGCGTGGTGGCACACGCCTATAATCCCAGCTACTCGGGAGGCTGAGGCAGAAGAAACGCTGGAACCCGGGAGGCAGAGGTTGCAGTGAGCCGAGATTGTGCCACTGCACACCAGCCTGGGCGACAGAATGAGAATCTATCTCAAAAACAAAAAACAAACAAAACAAAATCAATCTATGGATAACTGCAAAGACAATATATTCAAACAACTCAATGTAATGAAAATATATCTCTGTCACATGTGGGGCCCTTATGGCTTCATCTAAAATTGGAAACACTAGGAAAATCTGAAAACGGTCCATTTTTACCAGTGCAACATTCTTTCCTCCAGTTCCTTCAAGAGATCCCGGTTGAGCTCATACAGCTGAGGCAAGTAGTATAGGATCTGATTTAGAATCCGGTCCTCAATCACTGGTTTCCCAAGTTGCCTGGAAGCATGAGCTACTGCATCCCGGAAATCCTATTACAGTCCAGAGCAGGAAAAACAATACACACACATGTAACTTGATAACAAGCTTTTATCCTCAGTCCCCCTCCTCCCTAAAATGATACAGATTGCACAGCTGTATTTCTCATGCAGAATTACAAATCTAAAGTACCCCCTTCCTCCTACCCCACTCACCTAGATAGGAAATTAAAAATAAAAAATAGTGAGACGATTATTTGATTTTCAAACATACTATATGATATTTATCTTAAACCTTTTAGTTTGATCTCTAAACTTAGCAATTATACTAAGCGAGTGTCTGGAAATTGTAATGCAATTCTAAATAGTCTTTAGAATTATTCCAATACCATCAATATAAACACAATCCATTTATTTTAAAAGTTCCCAGGAGATCTTAGCTAATTTTATTCTGGATTTAAGAGTCCCACTGTCCACTTTCAGTCATCATTTCCCAACAACTGGAGCATCCTAGGTGAGGCATGTGGAGAGAGGCACGTGTTGTGGGTCTCCCTCTGTCATCCAGGATGGAGCGCAGTGGCCCAATCTCAGCTCATGGCAACTTCCCGAGTAGCTGGGACTACAGGCGCGTGCCACCATGCCAGGCTCACTTTTGTATTTTTTTTTTTTTTTTTGAGATGGAGTCTCGCACTGTCACCCACGCTAGAGTACAGTGGCGCGATCTTGGCTCACTGCAACCTCCGCCTCCCGGGTTCAAGCTATTCTCCTGCCTCAGCCTCCCGAGTAGCTGGGATTACAGGTGCCCACCACCACACCCAGCTGATTTTTTGTATGTTTTTAGTAGAGACGGCGTTTCACCATGTTGGCCAGGCTGGTCTCGAATTCCTGACCTTCTGATTCGCCCGCCTCAGCCTCCCAAAGTGCTGGGATTACAAGTGTGACCCACTGCACCCAGCCCATTTTTCTATTTTTTGTAGAGACAAGGTTTCACCTTGTTGCCCAGGCTGGTCTTGAACTCCTGAGCTCAAGAAATCCTCCCACTAGGGCCTCCCAAAGTGCTGTGATTATAGGCATGAGCCACCGTGCCTGGCAGGCACATGCTTGATAATCAGAATCCTGGATCCAAGCCTTTGCTCCTTATTTACTGTGTTTCCTTGGGCCAGCCTGATTTCCCTCATCTGCTAAATGAGTATAATACTAGTTATGAGACTTTAATTAGATATTGCACATAAAACTTTTTTTGCAATGCAGTTGGCACACAGAATGAAACATTTTAACTCTGGACCTGAAATTCTCCCCTCCCTCTTGTCAACCTCTCAATAAATTCACCAGGGTTTACACTTTTCACAAATAAGAATCTTTCTCTTCACCTATTATTTTTCATTTACTGTTCTCTAGACTATCTGTACCATGTTTTAATATAGGTCAATATCACCGCACCCTATTACTCCAGAGCACTTGGAAAGGGTGGGGTAGGAGATAAGTATTTGCCTAGATTTCATTGTCCCCTAAGGGTGGGCCTCAAGATATAAGTAAAACAGAGTGAAATCTGTTCCACAGTCCTGAGGATTCAAAAACAAAGATTTTTTCCTTTTTAGAAACAGCAGTTTTAATTAAAATCTGAAAGCAAAGTTTGGGTAAATGACTAATAGGCCTTATCTTCCCTTACCTTTATTTCCAACTGCTTTCCCTTCAGGGATTTACCGGGCAAATGAAATCAACCAAAAAAGTATACTGTTCCTTCCAATGATCCTTTCAACACCTGCCCCTAACATACATATATTAACCATGAGGTTTGTTTTTTTTTGTTTTTTTTTTTTTTAACTCTGGACAACCAAAAACCTCATAGATAACTTAAAGTATATGAA
This sequence comes from Homo sapiens, assembly GCF_000001405.40. NCBI lineage: Eukaryota > Metazoa > Chordata > Mammalia > Primates > Hominidae > Homo > Homo sapiens. The sequence continues at coordinate 95,143,354 of NC_000012.12, forward strand.
AGGATTCTTTTTCTAAAGGATGGCTATTTTGAAGAAGTCCAGTCCTCTTATGCTTAATCAATGCTAAAAAACCTTTCACTTAGGACTCAGTACCTGGGACTAAGTTTATTGATCCCACAGTCACATTAGCCCAAAGGAGCCAACTACTCACACCAGTAACTAAAGGACTAACTTGTATACCTAATTAGTATCATATAAAATAAGAGCATTTAATTCTCATAGTATTATAAGCTCTAATCCAGAAAACCACTCAGAACATCTCCAGAAACCAAATGGATATCAGCCATATTTCACCTCCCAACAGCTTGCTTCAATCAGCACTCACATTTACTAAGAGAAAATAGAGCCACTTAACACTTTTGAAAATCATTAGGCTGTCTGCTATCATGCAGGGCTATAGAATACATTTACACATCATGAATAATGTATTCAAAGCAGAATAGTTAAACATCCTCTATGGTTATCTTTTTTGCTTTTGTTTTGACCAGTTTAGTGATTAATATAATCTGGATGCAAGAGTTCCTTGCTCAGCAAAGCAATAAGCGCCACCCTTTCTTCTGGTGGAGTAAGTAATGGCTATATTTGTCTCCTGGCAGCAGGATAACTTTTGTTTCCCAGTTGGAAGGTATTTCCTCTGCCATGACAGTGACAGTGATGTTAGCTGCTAAGTAACTTAAGGACCCGGTTTGACACAGCTTTTGCCAGACCCTGCATTCCATATGTCTGCCACCATTGCCAAAAAGGGAACTTGTTTATTTAAGACGCATTTAACAGAGACCAGCCAAATACAAACTGAACTGACCAGTGAGATGGCTGCCTCTAAATGGAGGCCCTTGTCACACACCAGGCAAAACTCTGCTTTTCCCAGTACTACTGGATGTTTTCAGGTAGCTCGGAATGGACTGATGGCCCACAATGTTTTCTTTTAAATTAAAAGCAGTATGTCAGAATAAAATAGAAATTTAATAATTAAAATAGCAGAAGTACACTTAATAAAGGCTATAAGAATTTTGAGAGTATATATCCATGAAACCCACAGAGTTACTTTTTTTTTTTGAGACAGAGTTTCACTCTGGTTGCCCAGGCTGGAGTGCAATGGCGTGATCTCAGCTCACCACAACCTCCGCTTCCCGGGTTCAAGCAATTCTCCTGCCTCAGCCTCTTGAGTAGCTGGGATTACAGGCATGTGCCACCACACCTGGCTAATTTTGTATTTTTAGTAGAGACAGGGTTTCTCCATGTTGGTCAGGCTGGGCTCGAACTCCCAACCTCAGGTGATTCACCTGCCTCGGCCTCCCAAAGTGCTGGGATTATAGGCATGAGCCACGGCGCCCAGCTTACTTTTTTTTTTGAGAAAGAGTTTTGCTCTTGTTGCCCAGGCTGGAGTGCAGTGGTGCAATCTCAGCTCACTGCAACCTCCACCTCCCGAGTTCAAGTGATTTCTCCTGCCTCAGCCTCCCAAGTAGCTGGGATTACAGGCGCTTGCCACCACGCCTGGCTAATTTTTGTATTTTTAGTAGATACGGGGATTTCACCATGTTGGCCAGCTGGTCTCGAACTCCTGACCTCAGGTGATCTACCTGCCTCAGCCTCTGAAAGTGCTGGGATTACAGGCGTGAGCCACCGCACCCGGCCTTTTTTTTTTTTTTTTTTGCGACAGAGTCTCGCTCTGTCGTCCAGGCTGGAGTGTAGTGGTGCGATCTCAGCTCACTGCAACCTCCGACTCCCAGGTTCAAGCCATTCTCTTGCCTCATCTCCTGAGTAGCTGGGATTATAGGTGTGTGCCACCACATTTGGCTAACTTTTTGTATTTTTAGTAGAGATGGGGTTTCACCATGTTGGCCAGACTGGTTTTGAACTCCTGGCCTCAAGTGATCTTCCTGTCTCAGCTTCCCAAAGTGTTGGGATTACAGGCGTGAGCCATTGTGTCCAACCAGAGAATTACATATTCTAAGTAAGCACTCGGCAAAGATTCTGTACTGGTCAGGTTCCTGAATCTTTTCTTAGGCCCATCTGTGCACTTTCTTGTAAAATCCAGTTTTAGCAAGAACCTCCCACCCTTTATATTGTTCGGGTTCTTCATCCTCTACCATTGCCCAGGTGATGTATGATCACCCTGGCTGGTCCGTCTTCAGCAAGAATCCTCTTAAGTTGGTTTAGCCAGAATCTCCCCTGCTCCTGAAGTTTCTTGTTAGTAATTTTCCATCCACTAACGCCCACTTTGCTCCTCCTTGGCTATAAATTCCCACTTGCCCGTAATATATTTGGAGTTGAGCCCAATCTCTCTCCACTACTGCAAAATCCCATTGCAGTGGTCCCTATGTCTGTTGTTTTTTGTTTTTGAGATGGAGTTTTGCTCTGTCGTCCAGGCTGGAGTGTGGTACGATCTCGGCTCACTGCAACCTCTGCTCTTGGGTTCAAGCGATTCTACTGCCTCAGCCTCTCGAGTAGCTGAGATTACAGGCATATGCCACCACGCCCAGCTAATTTTTATATTTTTAGTAGATATGGGGTTTCACCAGGTTGGCCAGACTGGTCTCGAACTCCTGACCTCAAGTGAACCACCCACCTTGGCCTCCCAAAGTGCTGGGATTATAGGCACGAGCCACTGCGCCAGGCCCCCTATGCCATTGTGATAGTCCTGAATAAAGCCTGCCATACTGTGCTTTTGCTTCAACAAGTGTCACTGAATAATTGGGCTCCACTCCCAATTTTGGCCTCCATAACCACATGCAGCAGCCCTGGCCCCAGTCTCATTCCCTCACCTCTTGGGCCACCATTTCCTGACAGCTGTGTGCTACAGCCCCAATGCCAGATGTAACTAATTCACACAGGAACCACACGCAGAATCTTTAACTTCTCAGCTCTTCACGAACCTCAGCCATTGTCAAAACTGGTGCCACTGGGAGGAGGTGACATCTTTTTTTTATAAAAGGATTATTACAACATATGTCTGGTTATTTTTCTAAATGTTAACAACCAGGATAATTTGGGAAAGTGTGATGACACTTAAAAGCCAGAGGCAAAGCTATTTTGAGGCAGAAGAATCTAAATTCACTAACACCTCCTTGACAAAATCGGTGAGGATGCAAGACAGCAGGATTAGCTCTTCAAAAGTTAGATCCAGAGTTTAATTTTTCACACTGGAAAAGCTGGGTAAATAAAATATTAAAATAGTGGGGGGAGGAGTTAAGAGTGTGAAAATGTTAGTTAGCTATAGAGTTTGTTAGCATCAAGTACCTCGACTTCATCCTTACAACAAAACCTACCAAAGATTCTGCATGCAAAATTGAACCACCTACACTGTAGTTTCTGGTCATAATAACCAAATGCTTGTTTAATGTGGAATTTGTAGAGCTAGAAATGGGCCTCTGAATTATGAAGCATATGATAATATTATTCTTACTAATTCCCCAAAACCTACAAATCAGAATCAGATTAACTTTAAGTTGATCTTTAATTCTTTTGAGATATTAACATACCAGCTTGGCCAGCTCGAATCACTTAGGGAAGACCTAAGCAAAAAATCAATGCAAATAAAATCAAGTATGAGCATCTGAGGCAATGAAGCACAAAACAGATGGCCTTGTTCATGGGGTCAGGTTTTATATCTCCAGCACCAATGAGGGGTATGTGACTTAATTACCAGCTGTCCTGACCCAGCTGCCTGACCTCAGGGCATTACTGAACTACTATCATGACACAATGAATTACAAAGACCAAATGAACATATGGACAGACATGGAGCCCTACAAGGTTCCCTGTCCTCATGAAGGACACCAGGAATCACTTCACTTTAAGCAAAAGCAAAGCAGCTGTGGAGGTCAAAGTGCTATGATAAATATGCAGAAATGAGTGTGAAACTATGGAGTAAAAGTAGAGGTGGGAAAGTCCCCACATTAACCATTTGACTTTGTTTTTAAAATAAAAATATTTTCCCAATGAAATTATTCTTCCCTCTCTATATGTAGACCCAGTGATACGGTATATAATCATCAGTGGTGCATAATCATCAATGCAAAACTGTAGAAAACATAATTGAAAGCAATCTTTTATGTCTAGTTTCCAATCTCCTTTAATAACACTAACAAGTAATCATCATAATAACTCTAAGTGACCAAAATCTAGCTTCATTGTCATCTTTAGAAGATGAAAAATAAGTTTCTCTGGTTTCCAGGGCAACTAAAAGAATTCTGAAAGCAAGCTAATATATCCAAAGATACACTATATCCTATACAGCATGGTAGAGATTTCAAGTAATAATTTTCAATCAATTGCTAAAGAACAACTAAGTACAAGGGCTCAGACAGACCAGACTTGAAAGTCTGGTTTTCCTATTAAGTAGTGGGTTATTTTTGACAGTTAGCTTACTTTCTTCATTGAAAAAAATAGGAATAACATCTATTTGACAGGGTTGTTACGAGGATTAAAACAGATAATTGATGTAACATAGCATGCTGCAAGGAACATAGAGAGCACTTAATAGAACACCATTTATTTAACTAAAGGGGATTTGGTTAAGTTAAATGATTAGATGAACATCATTTAAGATCCACAAGTCACCTTCCCTCCCTCTCTCCACAAGTCCCTGAAGGCTTGGAAAGACAGCTGTGAAACAGAGGCATCTAAAGAGAAGGAAATACCAAACCAAGGTAGGGAAAACACCTCAGCAGCAAAACAAAGGTACTCTGAACAATGAGCTTCATTCAGTGAAGAACAGTTCTCACATGAAAGAAGCTGCTCCAGAGTGAAGGTTTGGTAGCCATGTCAACAGAAGCTAGAGAAAGATTCTTTACAACTAAAGAAAAAATGCTGAAAATGGTTCACAAGACTCAAAAGTCAGGGTGTATTCAGTGAAACAGCATGAAGTGATTTTAACATGGAAAAAAAAATGAGAACTGAGAAAGTCTTCTATTCCTTTTACAATGCAAAAAAAAAAAAAAATCTATTTAGTAACAGACATCTGGATCCAGGCCTAGGGTAGCCTTGCCTCTGGCTCTATGGATTTTATTGAGTCTCTCAAATTTTCAAGGAAATGTACGTCTCCACCTAAAGAAATTAGTGAAGCAAAGATGCTTCATTACTAATACTATATAGCCAGTCCATCTTTGTCTAAAAAATCCCTTCCAAATATATATATAATATAATATATAGCATATATTATATTATATATTATATAATATATAGCATATATTATATTATATATTATATATTATATAATACATAGCATATATTATATAATACATAGCATGTTATATATATTATATAATACATAGCATATGTTATATTATATATATTATATATTATATAATACATAGCATATGTTATATTATATATATTATATATTATATAATACATAGCATATGTTATATTACATATATTATATATTATATAATACATAGCATATGTTATATTACATATATTATATATTATATAATACATAGCATATGTTATATTACATATATTATATATATTATATAATATATAGCATATATTATATATATTATATAAGATATAGCATATATTATATATATTATATAAGATATAGCATATATTATATATATTATATAAGATATAGCATATATTATATATATTATATAAGATATAGCATATATTATATATATTATATAAGATATAGCATATATTATATATATTATATAAGATATAGCATATATTATATATATTATATAAGATATAGCATATATTATATATATTATATAAGATATAGCATATATTATATATATTATATAAGATATAGCATATATTATATAATATATAGCATATATTATATATTATATAATATATAGCATATATAATATTATATATTATATAATATATAGCATATATAATATTATATATTATATAATATATAGCATATATATTATATAATATATAGCATATATATTATATATTATATTACATATAGCATATATAATATTATATATAATATATTATATTATATAGCATATATTATATAATATATTATATAATATATAGCATATATTATATTATATATAGCACATATTTTATATATATAGCATATATTACATAATATATAGCATACTATATAATATATAGCATATATTATATATAATACATAGTATATTATACATCACATAGTATATATCACATATATTATACATAATATATAGTATATTATATATAGTTTTATATAGTATTATATATATATAATATATATAGTATAATATGTATAAGAATCCCTTGAGCCTAGAAGTTCAAAACTGTAGTGAGCTGATTGCACCACTGCACTCTAGCATGGATGACACAGCAAACCCTTTTTTCAAAAAAAAAGGACAATATTTTGTCACCCTAACAAATTTGTTGAGTGTCAAGCTTATTGTCATTTCATATAAATTATGTTTGATAAATAAGTGACTATACATATAGTATTATATATAGTATATATAGTATATTATATGATATATAATACTATATAATAGTAATCATTATATATAATATATAGTACATATACTATATAAAATATGTATAATATATAATAGATTGCTATACTACATATCACATACACTATACTATATAATTATATATACAATACAAAGTATATTATATATACTACATATCATACTATATATTATATAGTATACTATATATGCTATATATTACACACACACACACACACACACACACACACACACACACACTTTTTTTTTTTGAGAGGGAGTTTCGCTCTTGTTGCCCAGGCTGGAGTGCAATGGCACAATCTCGACTCACCGCAACCTCTGCCTCCTGGGTTCAAGGGATTCTCCTGCCTCAGCCTCCAGAGTAGCTGGGATTACAGACATGTGCCACCACGCCCGGCTAATTTTTGTATTTTTAGTAGAGACGGGGTTTCTCCATGTTGGTCAGGCTGTCTCGAACTCCTGACCTCATGTGATCCGCCTGCCCTGGCCTCCCAAGGTGCTGGGATTACAGGCATGAGCCACCGTACCCGGCCCAAATATTTTTTTAAATGCAGACTATTTGTACGTTTACATAATATTTTTATTGAGATATTTACTAAGGCTAGCTCCCATCAGAGAGCAATAAGACAACCAAAAACCTTCCTATTAACTTGTACTTAATTATATCAGATGTCTACGGTGTGGTGGGGATGTTCAGGGCAGAGCAGCAAATATACAAGAAATTCATTTTGAAAAGCCACTTATTTATTAAACATATTATAATTTATATGAAATGACAGTAAGCTTGCCACTCAATAAATTTGTTAGGGTGACAAAACATTGTCCTTTTTTTTTTGGAAAAAGGGTTTGCTGTGTCATCCATGCTAGAGTGCAGTGGTGCAATCAGCTCACTGCAGTTTTGAACTCCTAGGCTCAAGGGATTCTTTTGGCTCAGCCTCCTGAATAGGTGGGATTATAAGTGTGTGCTACCCATGCCTAGCTTTGTCCTATCATTAAAAAAAGAAAATCTATTACAAAAGAGAACTGGCTGGGCATAGTGGCTCATGCCTGTAATTCCAGAACTTTGGGAGGCTGAGGTGGGCAGATTGCTCAGGAGTTCGAGACCAGCCTGGGCAACATGGCTAAAACCCATCTCCACTAAAAATACAACAAATTAGCCTGGCGTGGTGGATGGCTGTGGTCCCAGCTACTCAGGAGGCTGAGATGGGAGGATCGCTTGAGCCCAGGAGGTAGAGCTTGCAGTGAGTGGAAATCATGCCACCGCACTCCAGCCTGGGTGACAAAGTGAGACACTGAGTCATTAAAAAAAAGGAGAGAGAGAGGAAGAGAGAACTTATCAATATTACCAATATAGCCAAAAATCAATGTGAGAAACTATTCACAGGGAAATATTTTCTCAAAACACATTAGCAATGTTAAGAATTTTTAAAGAATTTCCAAAGCTACAGATTTTTCACATAGGAATCAGGCCCCTATTTTTGTTTTGTTTTGTTTTGAGACAGAGTCTTGATCTGTCACCCATGTTGGAGTGCAGTGGTACCATCTTGGCTCACTGCAACCTCTGCCTCCTGGGTTCAAGTGATTCTCCTGCCTCAGCCTCCTGAGTAGCTAGGACTACAGGCATGCCACCACACCTGGCTAATTTTTGTATTTTAGCGGAGATGGGTTTTAGCCATGTTGGCCAGGCTGGTTTCAAACTCCTGACCTCAGGTGATCTACCCGCTTCAGCCTCCCACAGTGCTGGGATTACAGTCATGAGCCACCACACCATGCCAGGCCCCTGGGTTTCTGTTGGACCAAGTACAGAGCACAGGTAATCATTTAGTGAATGTGAATCATGCCTAAGTGTAACTTACTTTTCATGTTTGTATGTATCCATTCAAAGAAAACCTGAAAATAATGATACTGTTTGCCAAGACTTAAATGGATGTATATTTGGTGAACCTTTCATTTCTCCACAATTAAGCCTAATTTATGATGTTAATAATTACACCACATAAGTAAACTGTCACTTCAACTCCTTTTTTCATTTTCATCTACCTTTTCCTTTTGTTTTACCCCTTTCTTAAGTCTTAATATCTTGCCTAAATATAATTGAAATAAAGTAACCCTAAAAGCACTTTAACTGTCAATGCATAATGAAACTTGTGAAAACCTGCAAGGACAAAGGAGTGCATGAGAAAAATGAATATGCACCCTGACACATATCATAATTCTTTCCTAACAAGTCTGTTCAAGTTGACAATTATAGGCTGGCTGCAGTGGCTCATGTCAGTAATCCCAGCACTTTAGGAGGCCAAGGCGGGTTGATCACTTGAGCCCATGAGTTTGAGATCAGCCCGGGTAACATGTTGAAACCCCATCTCTACAAAAAATACAAAATTTAGCTGGGCATGGTGGTGAGTGCCTGTAGTCCCAGCTGCTCAGGAGCCTGAGGTAGGAGAATTGCCTGAACCCAGGAGGTTGAAAGGCTGCAGTGAGCTAAGATCGCACCACTGCACCCTAGCCTGGGCAACAGAATAAGATGCTCTCTCAAATCAAAAAAACAAAAAAAAGTTGACCATTTAAAAAACAGAAAATAGAACTAAAACTTAGTTGTAAAAATGTCTATTTCTAATCTCTCCTAAATGGAGGTAGTAAAAGGAAAAATAGTAAGAAAATTGCCTATTTCAAATCTGTTTCTGGGAGCTTATTTAGGTAGGAGAAAAACACTTTTGGACAATGATAATGATGCTCTTCATGTATTGCTAATGCAAAACTCTAACAGCAAGTATCTTCAGCAAATGCCTAAGAAAATATATTATCACCTTCAAAACTGTTATGAAGACATAAAGTTTGAAGACTTTGGACATATAGCTACTAAGACTCTTTCAGAAATCATGTTATCTACATATATGAAATACATACATTTTAGAAAATGTCTATCATTAAGTTAGTAATGCTGAAAACTTCTAGGGGTAGGGAAAGTACAAAAGGGAATAGTCTTAGACTTCAAGAAAATATTAGCAGATACTTACAATATGCAAAAGTTTTAACACATCCACAAACCTGTAAAAAACAACAATGAAAAAAATGTTTTAAATGTGCCAATGGGGGGAAAACAGTCTTCTGAATTGTAAACTAGATACCTACACTTTCTCTGAGCTCATGATCTCCTTGGCAATATGATGAACTTTACTTTTCATTCCATTATCTTCATCCTGTGGATAAGAGCACATTTAACATGAACTCATAAAAGAATAATGAAGATCAGCTATGAGCTAGTCAGACACGAATTTTAACTCTGATACTTGTAAGTTTCCTCCTAGCACACAGTTCATACCATATAACATTTCAAATGGCAAACGTGGAGAATTGGATGAGGGATAAACCATGTCACAGGAATAGCTGAGAGCAATCAGTAATCTTCACTGTCATTAGCTGGATTGATGAACTGCCCTGAGTAGCTCCAGAACCTTGCTGGGATGCAACCATCAGTGGTTCAAAATGGAAGTCACAAACTAAAAAGGCTACAGGGGAAGTGGCCCCTTACAGATAGATACCAGAAGAAGACTCCTTTGGGTGTGTACAAATAATTTAAGAATTTGGCTGGGTGCAGTGGCTCACGCCTGTAATCCCAACACTTTGGGAGGCCGAGGCGGGTGGATCACCTGAGGTTGGGAGTTCAAGACCAGCCTGACCAACATGGAGAAACCCCGCCTCCACTAAAAATACAAAATTAGCTGGGCATGGTGGCTCATGCCTGTAATCCCAGCTGCTCGGGAGTCTGAGGCAGGAGAATTGCTTGAACTCAGAAGGCAGAGGTTGCAGTGAGCCGAGATCGCGCCATTGCACTATAGCCTGGGCAACAAGGGTGAAACTCTGTCTCAAAAACAAAAACAAACAAACAAACAAAAATAATTAGTTAATATCCAATAGGAATGTAGATGAGAACTTCACCATAAGTAAAGGTATTTTAACTCACAACTTAAATATAGTCTGAACAGGGCTCTTCTTCAATCTATAACAAATATAAGTCAAAATTACAGTCACAGGCTCTCCGAATTTCCTTAAAATCCCTTTTAGATATATGCTTAGAGAGTCAAGGCAGTTTTATGCTAAGGAGCTGAAATGAAATTCGTGTGTGTGTGTGTGTGTGTGTGTGTGTGTGTGTGAGTGAGAGAGAGAAGAGACAGAGAGAGAGAGAGACAGAGTCTCGCTCTGCTGCCCAGGCTGGAGTGCAGTGGTGTGATCTCAGCTCACTGCAACCTCTGCCTCCGGGGTTCGAGAGATTCTCCTGCCTCAGCCTCCCGAGTAGCTGGGACTACAGGTGCGTGCCATCACGCCTGGCTAATTTTTTTGTACTTTTAGTAGAGACGGGGTTTCACCATGTTAGCCAGGATGGTCTCGATCTCCTGACCTTGTGATCTGTCCACCTTGGCCTTCCAAAGTGTTGGGATTACAGGTGTGAGCCACTGTGCCCGGCCATGAAATTCTTTTATTATGGACTACTTTGTATAAAAACTAAATGCCCTAGCAGGAACAAAAAAAATGTGCATCTTTAACAAAATAATAATAAAGATGACTCAAAAAGAGGTCTCAGTATTTAGGTGAATTTGTTGTTGTTGTTTTCAATAAAATATCGAGAGTTGGATTTAGTTCCAGGGAAATCAGAGAAAAGGAGAGAAGCTTCTCTCCATTTATGTTCCAGTTCAAGATCAGAACACTACAGTTCCACAGTAAAGACCAAAAAGAGTAAATAAGGAACAAGCAAGTATAAATTTTAGATGTTACACCTAAGGTGAAAATGATGACTGCTGACATTAAAACGAAAATGCTTGGATGTTTCTTTGAAGAAACGTCAGACCTGGTTTTAGAAAGAGGTCTCTTTGCATTCTCGTAGGCACTGGCAACACCAGGACACGGTTATTTTGTGCTGACCAGGGTGCAGCTGGACAAGGCAATGACATGATAAACATTAAAAATGACCATGACAGTCCAGCAGTCATTCATTAATGAAATGCCACAGGAAAAAAAAATATGGTAGCAACTTCTCTCTAAAGTAGTCTTCTTTTTAACATTGGAATCATGGATCTAGCAGATCTGTTTCCCTGAGACTCACTGTGATGGATCACATGACTATGTTAGTTCTTCATTTGGGAAAATTTTTTTTTCTTTTTTCTAAGTTTCCACATACAACACTGAGGGAAAAAACTTTTTTCGACTGCTTCCAGAATTTCAGTGTCACAACCAAGGTAAAAAAATAGATGCAGGTTTAACAATGAAACCCTTCTGAAAATTACATTTTAATAAATTAAAAAAAATATGACTATATATGTTCCATACATACACTGAAACCCTTTTATTTGTTACTTTATTAAAGCATGGGTGATGTTCAAGTGAATAAATGAGGAGAGGATTCCTCAAGGTTTTATAGTATGTTAAAATTTAGATTTTTAAAAACTGTAATCAGGCCGGGCGCACTGGCTCACACCTGTAATTCCAGCACTTTGGCAGGCCGAGGCAGGTGGGTCACCTGAGGTCAGGAGTTCGAGACCAGCCTGACTAACAAGGGGAAACCCCATCTCTACTAAAAATACAAAAAATTAGCTGGGTGTGGTGGCGCATGCCTGTAGTCCCAGCTACTCGGGAGGCTGAGGCAGGAGAATCGCTTGAACCTGGGAGGTGGAGGTTGCAGTGAGCCGAGATGGTGCCACTGCACTCTAGCCTGCGCAAGAAAAGTGAAACTCTGTCTCAAAACAAAACAAAACAAAAAACAAAAAAAACCTGCAATCACTTCTATGCTCACAAGAAGTCAGAGAACTATAGGGGAAAGTTTTATTTTTGCATTCATTCTTTTTATTATATTGAGAACCATTAGAATCATAAATAGTAGTCAGTCATTAGAGTGAATGAAGTCAAACACAGGGACTACGTAAAGTGAGAGTTGGACCAAGAGCACAGTCCCAAAGAACACCCACTTAAAATAGGGATTTGCCAAGACTCAAAGTTGACTATTTGTTGTGGGAAGTCAGGAACCCCAAATGGAGGGACTGGCTGAAGCCATGGCAGAAGAACATAAATTGTGAAGATTTCACGGACATTTATTAGTTCCCCAAAATTAATACTTTTATAATTTCTTATGCCTGTCTTTACTGCAATCTCTGAACATAAATTGTGAAGATTTCATGGACACTTATCACTTCCCCAGTCAATACCCTTGTGATTTCCTATGCCTGTCTTTACTTTAATCTCTTAATCCCGTCACCTTCGTAAGCTGAGGGGGATGTATGTTGCCTCAGGACCCTGTGATGATTGTGTTAACTGCACAAATTGTTTGTAGAGCATGTGTGTTTGAACAATATAAAATCTGGGCACCTTGAAAAAAGAACAGGGTAACAGCAATGTTCAGGGAACAAGAGAGATAACTTTAAACTCTGACTGCCAGTGAGCTGGGAGGAACAGAGCCATATTTCTATTCTTTCAAAAGCAAATGGGAGAAATATCGCTGAATTCTTTTTCTCAGCAAGGAACATCCCTGAGAAAGAGAATGCATCCCTGAGGGTGGGCCTCTGAAATGGCTGCTTCGGGGCCGGCAGTCTTTTATGGTCAAGCTGTAGGGATGAAATAAACCCCAGTCTCCCATAGCGCTCCCAGGCTTATTAGGACAAGGAAATTCCCGCCTAAAAAATTTTTGGTCAGACCGGTTGTCTGCTCTCAAACCCTGTCTCCTGATAAGATGTTATCAATGACAATGTGTGCCCGAAACTTCATTAGCAATTTTAATTTCGCCCCGTCCTGTGGTCCTGTGATCTCGCCCTGCCTCCATTTGCCTTGTGATATTCTATTACCTTGTGAAGCATGTGATCTCTGTGACCCACACCCTATTTGTACACTCCCACCCCTGTAGAAATCACTAATAAAAACTTGCTGGTTTTACGGCTCAGGGGGCATCACAGAACCTGCCGACATGTGATGTCTCCCCCGGACACTCAGCTTTAAAATTTCCCACTTCTGTACTCTATCCCTTTATTTCTCAGACCAGCCAACATTTAGGGAAAATGAAAACAACCTACGTGAAATATTGGGGGTGAATTCCGCCCAATATCTGGCTGAATTTCCCCCAATAACTATTAGCACAGTTGGAAAAAGAACCCAGATTTCCCAATATTTAACCTACAAATAATTTTATTACACCTTGAATCTCTCTTCAATATCTGCCAGTAATCTCAGCATATCCTTACAAATAATTACTGCTAAACCTAATACCCACACATCCACTCTCCCACCAAGATTTAACAAATCCAAACATTCTGAAATACTTGTTTTAAATCTTTCTGTGAAACAAATTGTTAAATTATGATATTAAAGTTCTCTTCTTCCTCTGACAGAAGTAGCCACTAATCTTACAGTTTGTGTATATTTGTCCCTTCATGTTTTCTTACTTTACTACAGAATAATTTATATGCAATACCAAGAAATCCTGACCCTTCCATAAGAATATAAATACTGGGCTGGGTGCGGTGGCTGACGCCTGTAATCCCAGCACTTTGGGAGGCTGAGGTGGGTGGATCACCTGAGGTCAGGAGATAGAGACCAGCTTGGCCAACATGGTGAAACCCCGTCTCTACTAAGAGTACCAAATTACCCTGGCATGGTGGCAGATGCCTGTAATCCCAGCCACTTGGGAGGCTGAGGCAGGAGAATCACTTGAACCCAGGAGGCAGAGGTTGCAGTGAGTCATGATCGTGCCACTGCACTCCAGCCTAGGCGACAAGAGCAAAACTCTGTCTCAAAAAAAAAAAAAAAAAGAATATAAATACTGTTATGCAAAAAATATTCAAAGAAGGTTGTGAAACCAACTACTTGTGAAAATAATCTTTAAATGGATTACTAATTCAGAGTCCAGTCTAATGAGCCTAGGATACTTTTTTCATGCTACTTTACCTTAGCTCTCAAACTCTACTGCTAAAAGGACAATTAGATAGACAGATGAATATGACCTCTATTCCTGTTATTATTCCTCTTTCCTAATGATGGAGACTACCAGGTTGGATATGTTTTACTCAACTACATTCACTCACTTTTTGTTTTGAGACAGAGTCTCGTTCTGTCGCCAGGCTGGAGTGCAGTGGTGCAATCTCAGCTCACTGTAACCTCCACCTCCCGGGTTCAAGCGATTTTCCTGCCTTAGCCTCCCGAGTAGCTGGAACTACAGGCATGCACTACTACACTCAGCTAATTTTTGTATTTTTAGTAGAGATTGGGTTTGACCATGTTGGCCAGCATGGTCTCGATCTCCTGACCTCGTGATCCACCTGTCTCAGCCTCCCAAAGTGCTTGCTGGGATTACAGGCATGAGCCACCGTGCCTGGCCATACATTCACTCACTTTTTTTTTTTTTTTTTTTTTTTTAACACAGGGTCTCACTGTTGGTCAGGCTGGAGTGCAGTGGCGTGATCTTGGCTCACTGCAATCTCCGCCTCTTGGGTTCAAGCGATTCTCCTGCCTCAGCCTCCTGAGTAGCTGGGACTACAGGTGTGTGCCACCATGCACGGCTAATTTTTTTTTTTTTTGTATTTTTAGTAGAGACGGGGTTTCACCGTGTTAGCCAGGATGGTCTCGATCTCCTGGCCTTCTGATCTGCCTGCCTCAGCCTCCCAAAGTGCTGGGATTAGAGGCATGATCACTCACCTTTTAAACTACACATAGCTATATTCCTCAGGAAGACTGCAGTCTTAAGCACAGTCTGACCTTGACCTGGCAGACCACATATCAGGCACTAAATAATCATGATTACATAAGTGTCTACACACACATACACACACACACACGGATAACTGTTATTTTGAAAACATATTTTAGCAAGTCCAAACTTTTCTATCACAATGGGGTTCTCCATATAATCTGTAGATAGAAAAGTTTAATGTTTACAAAATACAGTGTATAAATTTTAAATTAGAAATGGGCTTGGCATGGTGGTTCATGTCTGTAATCCCAGCACTTTGAGAGGCCAAGGTGGGAGGATTGCTTGAGCCCAGGAGTTTGAGACCAGTCTGGGCAACATAATGAGACCATGTCGTTAGTAAAAATAATAATAATAATAATAATAACATAAATAAAATTAAAATTACAAATGCATTATAAGTGAGAAAAACAGAAACCAAAACCATTCAGGGAACTGAAGCCCTGACTCTTCATTTCCAAATAATGTGACATCCCTTAAAGGTCAAGAGCGGATCTTATCAGTAGCTTTAAAGAAATGCAGGCACACTATAGATGTGGAAGCATTTGACTACTGGAGTCAGCTAAAATGTGCACGAGCTCGACACAAAAATTTCAAGTAGCTGTTAATTTATTTTTGGCACCTACCCTTTGTTTCCTCTCCTCTTTTTATCACTCTCCTTTTGTTAGGTCTCTACTCTGTAACTTTTTTTTCTCTCCTTCTCAGGACCTTGCTCTGCCAGGGCCTGCATTACACAGACTTGTGTAGAGGAGGCTACTCCATACAAAAATTAACTAAAAATGTGAAAACTGTAAAACTTCTAGAAGAAAACATTTTAAAAAATCCTTATGATCTTGAATTAGGCAGAGTTATTAGATATGACACCAAAAGCATAACTCATGAAAGAAAAAAACTGATAAATGGAACTTCATAAATTGTTCATGCTTCAAAAGACATCATTAAGAAGATAAAAAGATAAACCATAGACTGGAGAAAATATTCGCAAATCATGATTCTGAGAGAGAATTCGTAGCTAGAATACATTAAGAACTCTGATAGGGCTGGGAGTGTTGGCTCATGCCTGCAATCTCATATTTTGGGAGGCCAAGGCAGGCAGATTGCTTGAACACAGGAGTTCGAGACCTGGGCAACAGGGTAAAACCCTCTCTCTACAGACAATACAAAAATTAGCTGGGCATGGTGGTGCACACATGTAGTCCCAGCTACTCAGGAGGCTGAGGTAAGAGGATCACTGAACCCAGGAGGTTGAGGCTGTGGTGAGCCATGATTGAGCCACTGCACTCCAGCCTTGGCAACATAGCAAGACCCTGTCTTTACAAAATAAAAAAATAAAAAACAATTAGCCAGGCATAATGGCACACACCTGTAGTCCCAGCTACTTGGGAGGCTGAGGTAGGAGGATCACTTGAGCCCAGGAGTTTGAGGCTGCAGTGAGCTATCATCACAATATTGCACTCTAGTTTGGGTGACAGGGTGAGAACCTGTCTCTTAAAAAAAAAAAAACAAAACCAAACTCTGATAACTCAATATAACTCAAACAAAAAGGCTGTGTGCGGTGGCTCACGCTTGTAACCCTAGCAATTTGGGAGGCTGAGGTGGGAGGATCACTTGAGCACAGGAGTTTGAGACCAGCCTGGGTAACAAAGCAAGACCTCATTTCTATTTTTTTTTTAATTAAAAAAAGAGATAAAAGATGTGAATATGTGAAGAAACATTTCACAGAAGAAGATATAAGAATGGGCAATAAGTATATAAAAACTTGTTCAACATAGTTATTAGGGAAATGTAAATTAAAACCACAATGATATACTTCACACCCACACAATGGCTATAATAAAAAAACAAACAAACAGTAAATACCTAGTGTTGGTGAGGATGTGGACCAACTGGAACCTTTATATATTGTTGGTGGGCATGGTAGCCCCTACTCATACGGTGTGAAAAATGAAAAATAGCTCAGAGCAAACTGAGCTATGTGAGGTATGCAAAATTTATCAGGCCCAGAGAAACATGGGTATGAGACTTCAGTGATGGCCCAACCCCCATGCCCAGGTGCAACTGTTTGAAGGCATTTTTGTCCCTGACCAGCTGCCTCCACCCATAGTCTCCATGTTCCTAGAATTTGTGAAACAAAGAACAATGTAAAGTCAATCAAACAGCTTATGATATTTTAATATAAATTACTGACAAACAACTTAGGAATTGCCTCTTCTTTTCCTTTAAAAAACCCACCTGTGTGGGAGGCTGAGGCAGGAGAATCGCTTGAACCCAGGAGGCAGAGGTTGCTGTGAGCCAAGATCATGCCATTGCACTCCAGCCTGGGTGACGAGAGCAAAACTCTGTCTCAAAAAAACAAAACAAACAAACAAAGAACCCACTTGTGGCCAGGCATGGTGGCTCATGCCTGTAATCTCAGCACTTTTGGCCAAGGCAGCCGGATCACTTGAGGTCAGGAGTTCAAGACCAGGCTGGCCAACATGGTGAAACCCCGTCTCCACCAAAAATACAAAAATTAGCTGGGCATGGTGGCACACACCCGTAATCCCAGCTACTTGGGAGGCTGAGACAGGAGAATTGCTTAAACCAAGGAGATGGAGGATGCAGTGAGCCAAAATTGCATCACTGCACTCCAGCCTGGATGACACATTGAAACTTCATCTCAAAAACAAAAACAAAAACAAAAACACCCACTTGTGGCTGGGCCAAGTGGCTCACACCTGTAATCCCAGCACTTTGGGAGGCCAAGGTGAGCGGATCACTTGAGGTCAGGAATTTGAGACCAGCCTGGCCAACATGGTAAAACCCCGTCTCCACTAAAAATACAAAAATTAGCCAGGCGTAGTGGCAAGTGCCTGTAATCCCAGCTACTAGGTAGCCTAAGGCAGGAGAATCACTAGAACCCAGGAGGCAGAGGTTGCAGTGAGCCGAGATCACACCACTGTACTCCAGCCTGGGCAAAAGAGCAAGACTCTGTCTCAAAAACAAAACAAAACAAAAAACCCACTTGTAACTGCTCCTAACAGGAGTCTTGGATCTATGCTCCAGGCTTGTAGTCCTCAAATTTGACCCAAATAAACTCTCTACTTACATTAAGTTTGCTCATTTTTTTTCCCATTAGGTCGACAGGGTTTTCTTCTGTCTCCTAATGTCACTGAGCACAGAATTCATATTTCTTCTCCTTGTTATTCTGAGATCATTTTCAAGAGAAAGATGTCAGTACCATCTTTACACTTTCATTTTAAAATCTGAAGTTAGTAACTGACTTTCTGTCATTTGATAGCAAAGTTAATAAGAAAAAACTGTTCTACCACCCGCCCATTCACTGCTCTACATATAAATTTGAAAACATTAGTGATCATTAGAATCACAGGCAGATCTTAAATTTCAGATTCCCAGGTACTGTCTTAGAAATTCTGATTGTGTAGGTCTAAAATGGAGCATTAAAAGTAGGTGTTAGAAGAAGGAATTACACAGGGCACCATGGTTCACATTTGTAATCTCAACATTTTGGGAGGCAGGAGGATCACTTGAGGCCAGGAATTCAAGGCCAGCAAGGACAACATAGTGACACCTGAAAAATACAAAAAAAAAAAAAAAAAAAGCCAGGCATGGTGGCATGTGCCTGTAGTTCCTAATCACTTGAGAGACTGAGGTAGGAGGATCACATGAGCCCAGGAGTTCAAGGCTGCAGGGGACTATGATAAATAAGAATAGCCCCAGTTGGCCAGGTGCGGTGGCTCACACCTGTAATCCCAGCACTTTGGGAGGCTGAGACAGGTGGATCACTTGAGGCCAGGAGTTCAAGACCAACCTGGCCAACATGGTGTAACCCTGTCTCTACTGAAAATACAAAAACTAGCTGGGCGCCGACAGTGGTGCATACCTGTAGTCCCAGCTACTTGGGAGGCTGAAGCATGAGAGTCACTTAAACCTGAGAGGCGGAGGCTGCAGTAAGTCAAGATTGCGCCACTGTACTCTCCAGCCTGGGTGACAGAGTGAGATTCTGTCTAAAAATTGAATGAATAAATAAATAAATAGCCCCAGCCTTCAAGAAGTGAACAATGGAAACGAACTGAACATACAAATAACTACATATAAGCACAACTATGAAAAGTGCTGCCACCTTGAAGAAGAGAAAGACCATAATCAGGCAGAGGTGTGTCAATCAGGAAAGGCTTCACAAAGAATAAAGCATTTGATGACTCCAAATCACCGTTTAAACACAATCCATCAGCTACTCCTATACTAGCTACTGTAGATACCAACTCATTAATGCCAGAAACCTGGACTCTTCTTTTTTGTCCCCATAGTCACCTTTTATTATTACAACTGAGTCAAGTCCTATCAATGTGTCCCGAAGATTTAAAGCTTAAATGATCCTTTCCTCTCCTTTGATGTTGCCTCCTTACCTCTTGCCCTCACTATTACAGCAACCTAAAAGGTTTCCTTGGCTCTGTGTTTACCCCACTGCAACCCCTTCTGTACACTGCCACTAGAATATTTCTAAAATGCAAATATAACCAGGTTAGTTCTCAGGCTAAATGTTAGCAGCTCCCTATCACAGATGGATAACAAAGATTCAAGTTTCTTTCGCCAAGGGTATTAGGCATTTCTCAACATGTCCACTCACCTTCACCAGGCTTCTCCCTCCTCCTCCACACTGTGTACTCTCTAACCCACCACGCTGCAACTCCAGCCATGCTCTCCCCTTCTGTGTCTGTCCCTTTGCGCATATACCTTTCCTTTTGCCTTGACTTGCTTCCCCAGCACTTCTCCTTCTCCCTGAAGATTTCTGCCTTTCATATTCCAAACGTCCTTTAAGACAACACTCCAACTTTTTTTTTATGATGGCTCCCTTGACATTCTTTCCCTCCTACTATCAAAGGACAAGATAATTTTCTTATTCATGTAATATTTATAGGACTTAACCCAGTAGACTGTGTTTACTTGCTGAAATGTCTGAATTCCCTCTAGTCTCCGATCTAATTCACCCTGTATCCTTCTGCACATAGCACGCTGCTTGGTCCACTGTGCAATTAATATTTACGAATAAGCAAATGTGTATAAGGATGGCTGCCACCTTCTCAGAATCTGAGACAGAGCATATTGCTTTTGAAGATGTGTTGCATAACACAAAAATGCAAACTCGAATGAACTAAAAGCTTTAATCACATAAAAGAGTAGGAGGTTGGACTAAATGATTAAGGTCTTTTCCAATTCTAAGGTTCTAGGAGTCTATATATTCCATTGTCCATTTTACCTTCTAAACCAGGAAAGCTACAGAGCTAAATAAAGAGGTATAAAAATTATTAGAAATAAGTCAATGGATTATAATCATCTTCAAAGTGGACAGAAAGTCAAATATAAATTAAAAAAAAATTAAAAGCTCTATATTATCTCCAACTTGTAAGAACAATGACTGATTGTGACCCAAGTCAAACAGCGATGGAAAAACACACACCCCATGGCATCTCAACTTTTCAGCTAATGAAAATCCTCACTTAAATTACATTGCATTTCAAAGCAGTTCCCTGTTAAATAACAGCGTCTCCCAAAAGTACACTGTTGTGGAAGTTGAAACATGAGCCACAAATGAAATAACTTTGTCAAGGTCATAAAATAAGTCAAACAAATTCCAAAACAGAACCTTTGATCTGAAATCTAGTTTTATGTTCCAATCTCTTGACGCTAGCCCAGCTTTGTAAATTCTTTTTTTTTTTTTCCTTCCTTTTTTTTTTTTTGAGACGGAGTCTCGCTCTGTCACCCAGGCTGGAGTGCAGTGGCACGATCTCGGCTCACGGCAAGCTCCGCCTCCCTGGTTCACGCCATTCTCCTGCCTCAGCAGCTTTGTAAATTCTTAATTGTGTTCTTATCATATGTGTTCACTACAAGTGACATTCAGTGAAATTTATCCATTCCTTTTTTTTTTGAGACAGAGTCTTGCTCTATCACCCAGGCTGGACTGCAGTGGCGGGAATCTCAGCTCACTGCAACCTCCACCTCCCGGGTTCAAGCAATTCTCCTGCTTCAGTCTCCCGAGCAGCTGGGACTACAGGTACACACTGCTGTGCCTAGCTAATTTTTGTATTTTTAGTAGAGATGGAGTTTCACCATGTTGGCCAGGCTGGTCTCGAACTTCTGACCTCAAGTGATCCACCCACCTGGACCTCCCATAGTGCTGGGATTACAGGCAGGAGGCACCATGCCCAGCCTATCCATTACTTTTTAATAGAATTATTAAAAGGCCTCTTCTATCCTACTCTAGAGTTCTAATAAAAAACAAAAAATGTTAACATCCAGACTGCCTGAGAAACATCTCTTTATCATTAAGTTATTTCAAAAATGAGGTGACATCATGATTAATCTCTAAACAATGCTCTCTTAGGTTTTCGCCCTTTCTTTATGAAAGTATGTATCATATGAGCTACTTTACAAAGATTTTTTAAAAAAACAAGGAAATCAATATATAAGAAAGATGAAGACGATGAATATTCTAACCACAAACAAGTAGAATAAATACATCTTACTTTTTAAACAAGCATTTAAGCCCTGAAAGGAAAGACCAAAAACTATAAAAATAAAAATTTAGAAAAGGGAACAGGACAGATCAGCATGGCTAGGTATTTCACCTCAACATGTTTCATTGACATCATTCAGCTTCCATGGCTGTACCAAGTTGTTAGTAGAGACAGATTGGGTTAAAAACCCCAACTTGGGGTTCCAAGGCAAGTTACTTAACTTGTATAAGACTCCTTTTCTTCATGCAACATGAAGAAAAACAGTACCTATGTCAGATGTGTATCAATTTTCTTTTTTTCTTTTTTTTTTTTTTGAGACAGTGTTTCACTCTTGTAGCCCAGGCTGGAGAGCAATGGTGCGATCTCGGCTCACTGCAACCTCCGCCTCCTGGGTTCAAGGGATTCTACTACCTCAGCCTCCTGAGTAGCTGGGATTACAGGCATGCACCACCACGCCTGGCTAATTTTTTTTATTTTTAGTAGAGACAGGTTGGTTTCTCCATGGTGGTCAGGCTGGTCTCGAACTCCCGACCTCAGGTGATCCGCCAGCCTCAGCCTCCCAAAGTGCTAAGATTACAGGCATGAGCCACCGCGCCCGGCCAATTTTGTTTTTTCCTAAGTGAGATGAGGCCTCCCTGTTGCCCAGGCTGGAATGCTGTGGCATGACCTCCACTCACTGCAACCTCCATTTCCTAGGTTCAAGTGATCCTTCCACTTTAGCCTCCTGAGTAGCTGGGACTACAGGCATGAACCACCATACCTGGCTAATTTTTTGTGTCTGTTTTTTTTTTGTAGGCATGGGGTTTTGCCATGTTGTCCAGATTGGTCTCGAACTCCTGGGCTCAAGAGATCTGTCCACCTCAGCCTCCCAAAGTCCTGAGATTACAGGTGTGAGCCACCATGCCTGGCTTGTTTTTTCTTTTTCTGTTTTTTTTTTTTTTTTCAATAGGGTCTTGCTCTGTTGCTCAGGCTGGAGTGCAGACTGGAGTGCAGTGGCCTGAATATAGCTCACTGTAGCTTCAACTTCCCAGGGGCTTGCCCCACCACACCTGGCTAATCTTGTTTATTTTTTGTAGAGACAAGGTCTCACTATGTTGCCCAGCCTGGTCTCAAGCTATCCTCCTTCCTTGGCCTCCCAAAGTGCTAGGATTATAGGCATGAGCCACCATACCCAGCCTGATATCACCGACTTTTCCTGAGTTGCTAGAAAGCCAAATTTGTGGCCCATCCTCAGCTAATGAATAGGACTACATGATATACATTACTCTGTACAAATCTTCCATTAGCACTATTGTTTTTCCTTCAGCAAGGTTTATTTTATAACAGCTTTGTTGAGATATAATTCATATACTACAAAATAGGTTTTTACCCTTTTAAAGCATACAATTCAGGCCAGGTGCAGTGGCCCATGCCTATAATCCCAACACTTTGGGAGGCCAAGGCAGGAGGATTGCTTGAAGCCAGGAGTTGGATGCCAGCCTGGGCAACATGGCAAGACCATGTCTTTAAAAAAAAAAATTAGCCGGGCATGGTTGTGTATACCTGTAATCCTAGCTACTAAGGAGGAAGGGACGAGAGATCACTTGAGTCAAGGAGGTTGAAGCTGCAGTGAGCCATGATCTCACTACTGCACTCCAGCCTGGGTGACAGAGCGAGACCCCATCTCAAAAAAAATAAATAAATAAATAAAAAGAAACTCCATGCCCATTATCAGTCATTCCTCATTCCTATTTTATGGCTGAATAGTATTCCATTGTAGGAATATAAAGCATTTAGTTTATCCACTCATCATTTGATTAGTATTTGGGTTCTTTCTACTTTTTTTTTTTTTTTTTTTTGAGTCAGAGTCTCACTCTGTTGGCCAGGATGGAGTACAGTGGCATGACCTTGGCTTGCTGCAACCTCTACCTCCCGGGTTCAAGCAATTCTCCTGCCTCAGCCTCCCAAGTAGCTGGAATTACAGATGTGCACCACCACACCTGGCTAATTTATGTACTTTTAGTAGAGACGGGATTTCACCATGTTGGTCAAGCTGCTCCCGAACTCCTGACCTAGTGATCTGCCCACCTTGGCCTCGCAAAGTGCTGGGATTACAGGCATGAGCCACTGCACCTGGCCCTTTCTACTTTTTTGACTATTATGAATAATGCTGTTATGAACATTCCTCTACAAGTTTTTGTGTGGACATATGCTTTCATATCTCTTGGGTGGATACCTAAGAGTAGCATTGCTAGGTCATATGGTAACTCTACATTTAAACTTTTCAGAGCTGCCAGACTGTTTTCCAAAGTGGCTGCACCATTTTAGATCCTATAAGGACTCCCATTTCTCCACATCCTGACTAGCAGTTGTTACTGTACATCTTCTTGATTATGGCTACCCTAGTGGGTGTGCAGTGGTACCTCACTGAAGCATTGCTTTGTATTTCTTTAACGGCTTATGATGTTGAACACCTTTTTACATCTTTATTGGCCACTGTATATCTTCTTTAGTCTATTCAGATTCTTAAGCCTGGGTGATTGATCTTTTTACTGTTTGAGGTTTTTTTTTTTTTTTGAGATGGAGTCTAGCTCTGTCACCCAGGTTGGACTGCAATGGTGTGATCTCGGCTCACTGCAACCTCCGCAACCCGGGTTCAAGCAATTCTCCTGCCTCAGCCTCCTGAGTAGCTAGGATTACAGGCATGCACCAACACACAGGGCTAATTTTTGTATTTTTAGTAGAGATGGGATTTCACCATGTTGGCCAGACTGGTATCGAACTCCTGACCTCAAGTGATCTGCCCGCCTCGACCTCCCAAAGTGCTGGGATTACAGGTGTGAGCCCCCGCGCCCAGCCAAACCACCGCACTGGGCCTGAGTTGTTACATTTAGGTCTATAATCCATTTTGAGTTAGTTTTTGTGTATGTTGAAAGGAAGGGGGTCCAATGTCATCCTTTTGCAGGTGGATATCCAGTGATTCCAGCACCATTTATATGTTGACAACCTGATTTCTTTAAAAAAAACATTTTGACTTTTTGTATTACACACATTTTTTTTAAGTCACCTGAAGTCAATTGTGAAGTGATACTCGTGTAAATAAACTGACTTTAAAAAATTACTCGACCAAGGTCATACAGTTAGTAAGTGACAAATCTAAGACTAAAACCCAGGTCTTAGGATGCCAAATTTCAAGTTTTCCCATTAAACAAAATACTACCTTACATGTAAATAAGTTTCATATTTACTCATCAAAGATAAGAAAAGCCAAGCCAGAAACAATATATTTATTGGTAAGATTACAGAAAGCTTGATTTGAGATGTTTAAGATTTGGCTTGCTTATTTTCATAAAAATCGTTAATAGCAGCCAGGCGCGGTGGATCACGCCTGTAATCCCGGCACTTTGGGAGGCCAATGTGGGCAGATAACCTGAGGTCAGGAGTTTGAGACCAGCGTGACCAACATGGAGAAACTCCGTCTCTACTAAAAATACAAAATCAGCTGGGTGTAGTGGCGCATGCCTGTAATCCCAGCTACTCAGGAGGCTCAGGCAAGAGAATCACTTGAACCCTGGAAGCAGAGGTTGCAGTGAGCCGAGATCACACCACTGCACTCCAGCCTGGGAGACAAGAGTGAAACTTCATCTTAAAAAAAAAAAAAATCAATAATAGGTAAAAATCTACTAAGCATTCACTTTGTGTTAAGCTCTGTTCTAAACAGTGTATAATCACTTAATAATCACAACAATCTTAGAAAATAAAGTCAAGTGTCCACTTTTTTTCCTCTTCTTTTTACAGATGGGGAAACTAAGGCAAAGTAAAATTAAGTAAGTTGTTCAAGATCACAGAGCTAGTAAGTGGTGGGAACCCAGGCAATCTGACTCCAAAGACCGTGTTCTAACAACTATGAAAGCAAATTACTTAAGAGAAGGGCATTCACCAGGCTGTGGCCAGATGGATTAACAAGTGTCTGGAAAGAAAGAGACTATTCTATTAGTGCTATTGTTGTCTCAGATGAAGAGACAGAAAGAGAAAATTCATTAGCGTGGCTGAGAATTCTAAAGGAGGGAAATTATTAGTACTAGTGGCATCAGGTAAAAAATGTTCAATGTCCATAATTAGGGGTGGAGGGTATTGGGAATATTTAATGGGTACAAAAACACAGTTAGATAGAATGAACAAAATCTAGTATTTGATAGCACAACAGAGTTATTACAGTCAACAATTTATTGTATATTTTAAAATAAGAGTATAATGGGAATGTCTGTAACACAATCACATAAAGGCTTGGTAAATGCTTGAGATGATGAAAAAAATAAATGTACTCTGTTGCACTAAAAACAATGTCCATGATTAACTAAAGAAATAGTCCTTTAAAAAAAAAAAGGATAAAAATTTAACAGGGCTACTGCAATATAGCACAACTAATAACATAAAACAGTAATATAAATACAGGAAGGGAAAGGAAAGGCAGGCACAAACGCAGAGGAAGGAACCCTGGGAGTCTCCACTGCCCACAGAATGAGTGAGTCAACCAGGCGGTGTTATCACAGGATGTGTTGGAAACAGACATAACACTGCTGGGTTAAAGATTAATCCTTCCTTTATACGATGTATCAGTGAGATCCCTGATAGAATGTGGAAACCAATTTTGGTCAGTGCTCCAAGAAGTATGGAAAGAAATGGGAAAAGATTCACGCAAAACAAACAACTAGACCAAAACAATAGAAAAGAGTGTCTGCTAGGAAAAGAAAAAACTTGGGAGTTGCTTTTCAAAGAGAGTCAGGATTGATTTAATTATGGCCCTCAAGAAGACAATTTGAGGCCAGGCGTGGTGGCTCACACCTGTAATCCCAGCACTTTGGGAGGCTGAGGCGGGTGGATCACCTGAGGTCAGTAGTTTAAGACCAGCCTGGCCAACATGGTGAAACTCCTTCTCTATTAAAAATACAAAAATTAGCCAGGTATGGTGGTGGGTGCCCATAATCCCAGCTACTCGGGAGGCTGAGGCAGGAGAATCGCTTGAACCTGGAAGGTGGAGGTTGCAGTGAGCCGAGATAGTGCCACTGCACTCCAGCCTGGGAGACAGAGCAAGACTCCGTCTCAAAAAAAAAGAAGACAATTTGAATGTTCTTCCTCAAATTCTTCACAGGCTTTGGTTCTTTCCAGTCATTTAAATCCCAGGCAAATATCATTTTCTAAGAGGCTTTTTCCCAAAGTACCTTCCTGGGTTTGTAGCACATCACTCTGATTTGTTTCCTTCATAGCTTGTAACACTCTGAAGTTCTTCCTGATTATGATTAAGCACAGTAGGTTCCTCTTATCCTGTTAGAACATAGGCTAGGCCGGGCAGGGTGGCTCATGCCTGTAGTGTTAGCACTTTGGGAGGCCCGAGGTGTGTGGATTACCTGAGGTCAGGAGTTCGAGACCAGCCTGGCCAACATAGTGAAACCCCGTCTCTACTAAAAATACAAAAATTAGCTGGGTATGGTGATGGGTGCCTGTAATTCCAGCTCCTCAGGAGGCTGAGGCAGGAGGATCACTTGAACCCGGGAGGCAGAGGTTGCAGTGAGCCGAGATCGCGCCATTGTACTCCAGCCTGGGCAACAAGAGCGAAACTCCTTCTCAAAAGAAAAGAACGTTGGCTACATAGAAGCTTAGAACCTGAGTACTGCTTATCTCTAGTAAATACCAGTGGTACCTGGAACATAGTGCAAATTCTATAAACATTTGTAGAATCTATGTCCATGAAGCTGCAACATGGAAAACGAGCTTTCAAATTAAAGCAAGACAGACACCAGTAAGACACAAAAGGAATTACTTGATAGTCAAAGTAAAATCTATACATTGCTGAGTGCTGTGGGTCTTTAAGAAGAGAGTCACTCATCTGTCTTAGGGGTTTTACAAATTCACTAGCCTAAGTAATTTATAGTGGTTATTCCCAACACCATGATTTAATACTTCACAGCATAGAAATGAAGTCTGGCTAGTTATAAATAAATGATCACTGAGCTATTATGTGCCGATCAATATTCTAATGCTTTCCATGTATCAGATTATTTAATCTTCACAATTCTATGAGTACTATTCTTTTTTTTATCTATAAAATGGTACTCTTTAGTCCCAAAAGGTTAAATAATTGGCCCAAAGTTGACCAGATCATAGCTGGTGGATCTGGGACTTAAATTCAGACTGCTGCACGTGGGCCATTCATTTAAGCCTGAAGATAAATTTAAACAGGGCAAAAATATTAAACAGGAAGAACAATAGATTGATAAAATTATGGCACAGGAATTAGGCGAAATTATGGCACATGAATTTTCTCCATGGCTTGCTATGCTATGTGGATCTTTTCAAATTCCATATTGCTGTAACATTCCTGGGGATATTGTTGATGTACTAACTTTTTCCCTTTAATAATGTCTCTTAAAAAATGTGGTTTCAAATGAAAGAGATAAATATATTCATGCCAAACTAGAGAGACATTATAATGAACCCCTGCATCATGCATCTTTTTTGAGACGGAGTCTCACTCTGTCACCCAGGCTGGAGTGCAGTGGCGTGATCTCGGCTCACTGCAAGCTCCGCCTCCCGGGTTCACGCCATTCTCCCGCCTCAGCCTCCTGAGTGGCTGGGACTACAGGTGCCCACCACCATGGTCGGCTAATTTTTTGTATTTTTAGTAGAGATGGGGTTTCACTGCATTAGCCAGGATGGTCTTGATCTCCTGACCTCATGATCCACCCCCCTCGGTCTCCCAAAGTGCTGGGATTATAGGTGTGAACCACCGTGCCCAGCCCTCATGCATCTTAAACAACTCTGAACACATAGACAATCTTCATGTATGCTGTGCTCCCCCCAAACTCATACACACACTGGATTATTTCAAAGCAAATGATGATGTACTATTAACAGCCATCTTTATTCTTTCCCAAAATAATTTGAGTCTAAAATGCATATAATTTCTTTATTTCAAAAAAATCTACAAAAAATTGGTAGCAGTACAGGGAACAATTCTAAGGGGGGGGGGGTTGTTATCAAAAAGCAAGCCATTGGACATTAGGAAAAAGAATTTCTTTGCCTGGCACCATGGCTCACGCCTGTAATCCCAGCACTTTGGGAGGCTGAGGCGGGTGGATCACTTGAGGTCAGGAGTTTGAGGCCAGCCTGGCCAACATAGTGAAACCCCGTCTCTACTAAAAACACAAAAATTAGCCAGGCGTGGTGGCAGGTGTCTGTAATGCCAGGCACTTGGGATGCTGAGGCAGGAGGATGGCTTGAACCCGGGAGGTAAAGGTTGCAGTGAGCTGAGATGGCGCCATTGCACTCCAGCCTGGGCAACAGAGCAAGACTCTGTCTCAAAATAATAATTTCTCAAAAATCACTAAGTAATCTCTAAGTGATACATACTTGGTAACATGAGAATATTTTAGGTGCCACATTATAGCAGGAATTAAATTTAAATTTTGAAAGTGTTTTATAAGTTTTAAGAAAACTCACAAGGGTTTCTGTGCCTATTATGCAGACAAATATCATTCCCAAGCATAGGGAGAGGTCAAGAAGCAATTAAGTACCAAAGTATACCTGTTTATCTTCCAGTGGGTCAGGCTCTCCTTTACTTGACTCAGAGCTGACATCATCTTCATCAGAACTGTTGATGATTTCCTCCTCATCAGAGGGAAGGTCACCAAGACCAAGATCATTCTGTTCCTCCTGGGATGCTCCTGAACTGCATTCAACAGAAAGCAGGTATTAGTCACCTTCAATAATAAGAAGTGCTAGCAAAACAAAAACCAAATCAACATCTTATCTTCATAATGCAAACAAGATATATCTAAGGGATGTGGAAGAATGAAAAGACCCAGATCAGCCAACTTTCCCTTCCTTCACCCTGTCTCAGCTGCCAAAAACTCAAATTAATTTTTTGAATTTTTAATGTTAAGAAGGTGGGTGGGAAGCAAGTTTCCCAGCTGCTCCCATCCTATGCTTCTATATATCCCTCCCAAAGAAGATCAGGTCTCTACTCCTAGAATAAACTAAGAAGCTTTACAGAAAGTGAGCTGGTTTACCATAAAAGGCTGCCAGGTATACCAGAAGAATTGCTGTTTCCTTGGGCCTTGGTGTTTAAAACAACAACAAAAAACAAGTAACAAATCTATGAGGACTCGGGGGTAATAATGGTGACGACAATCAACAGTGCAGGTGCAACTGTGAACATGTACCCTGCTCTATGGTTATCACTGTTCTGTTCACAAGACATGGGGAGGAAGAGGAAATGTTACAAATTCTCAGATTATGCTCAAGACCTGCTGCATTAGAACTACGAGGGGCCCAGGGCCCAGCAATTTGCCCAGCAATTACAACTACCTGGGGCACAGGGCCTAGCAAATAATAAGTAAGCTTGTTTAATGCTTTCCAGGTGATTCTGATACAAGCTGAACTTGGAAAACCACAGAGCCAGGCCATTTACCAATTCCTCCTTGCCAGCCTGATATCATCAAGGTTCCTCCGTTTGTTTTAATATAGATCTCATGAATCTAAAAGCCACTGTTGCAATCCAATCTGTGGGGGGAATTCCATAGGAAAGTTCCCTAAGAAGAGATGAAAATAATTCCTTCTAGCATTGGCTGGAAAGATTCAGGAGCCAATTGCCTGTAGCAACTGCTTTTCTGTCGTAAGTCTACAAGAATATCTGCAGAATAGAAGAGTATAGGTGGGGTCAGTAAAAGATCCACAATCATCAGGAAAAACACTCAAGCAGAATAAGGAGACAGTTGCATTCCACTCTGGCAGGCTCTTTCAGCAGGTCACAGGCAGGTCACTCAACAGCCAAGGTTACAAGTTACGAGAATCTCTAATGGGAATCTTAAAAGCTAAAGATAAATTTTCTGCCAGTTCCTGATTACACATGGTAGGATACAGACTTGCCTCAGAAGCCATTCCTGGAGCCCAACTGTTACACAAACCAGCTGGCTGGAGGCACAGTGCCAAAAGGAACACCTCTCACTGCTAAAGACGGGGTTTTCCATTACTCAATGGCTGGGGCCTCTGGGAGTCATATCATAGCCTCGTAAGGTGGGTGCATACTTTATCACAGCTCCCCAAGACATGCAGGAGACTCACTCCCCGGGGGTAAGTGGTGGATAGAGGATAGCAACTTTCTGGTTAGATCACTGGCAGGATTCACTGTCTCTGGGTGCAGGGATAAGAGCCAACCCCGCCGGATAGTTAATTGTTGACTGAGATTAGCGAGAGCAAATGAGAGTTAACAGGGTGGACAGACTATAGGATCCAACCATATAGCTAGAAGAAAAGGTACCCCACCACTTGTTTTTATCGTAATTCCTTATCTCTTTATATCTTCTAAAACCCTGTTAACACAACACATGTTCAATTTCCAATCGGCAGCAGCATCACCTGGAAGCTCCTCAGAAAACACACGCTCAGGCCACCCACAACCCACCGAATCAGGATCCGTGCTGTAACAAAATCCCAGTCTATGTGTGAGAAGCTCTGCTCTAAAAGGCTTTTTGATCCAGCCCATCTGGGTACTGTTTTAGACTCCTAAGTATAATAGATTCAGATAGTTAGTAATAGGGCTGTGGCACCTATGAAGAAATTAGGTTTATTTGGCCAGGCGCGGTGGCTCACGCCTGTAATCCCAGCACTTTGGGAAGCTGAGGCGGGTGGATCACGAGGTCAGGAGATCGAGACCATCCTGGCTAACACGGTGAAACCCCGTCTCTACTAAAAATACAAAATATTAGCCAGGCATGGTGGAGGGCGCCTGTAGTCCCAGCTACTCGGGAGGCTGAGGCAGAGAATGGCGTGAACCCGGGAGGCGGAGCTTGCAGTGAGCCGAGGCTGCACCACTGCACTCCAGCCTGGGCGACAGAGTGAGACTCCATCTCCAAAAAAAAAAAAAAAAAAAAGAAATTAGGTTTATTTTGTCTGAAGAGAGGGGTGAAAGGTGTTTCTTGGTCAAACATCATTTGGAAGGCTATTATTAAGAATATAGTAACTAGGTGTTGCCACATCCATTAGGGATACAAGAGGGATTAAAGTACAAAGTGAACATCTGAAAACAAGAAAAAAGCTTTAAATATTAAAACTACATGAATCAAAACACAATGCCATGAAACAAGGAGAGATTTTGGTGTCTCTTCTGAATCCTTTAACTATCTCACTAAACTGCACTTGGTGGTAGACTTGTTTCCCTCATTAAAATGTAAATTTCCAAAGACAAGGAAATTGAAATTGTGTTTTCCAGCTGAATCCTCACCATACAGCCCAACACACAAGAGA
Organism: Homo sapiens; assembly: GCF_000001405.40. Lineage (NCBI taxonomy): Eukaryota > Metazoa > Chordata > Mammalia > Primates > Hominidae > Homo > Homo sapiens. Next base: position 95,175,321 of record NC_000012.12, read on the forward strand.
CCCTCAAGAATTTTTCACCAAATAAATGAAAATGATATCAGAAAGCAACAGGTGTTGAATTTTAATGGTGCAGGTGGCCTGAACCAGGGTGGCTACATCAGGAATTGAGAGAAAGGGATGGATGTAAGAGGAAGAAAAATCAGGGCCGGGTATGGTGGCTCACACCTGTAATCCCAGCACTTTGGGAGGCCAAAGTGGGTGGATGGCTTGAGCCCAGGAGTTTGAGACAAGCCTGGCCAACAGAGCTAAACCTGTCTCTACTAAAAATACAAAATTTAGCCGGGTGCAGTGGCATGTGCCTGTAATCCCAGCTACTAGAGAGACTGAGGCAGAAGAATCACTGGAACTCAAGAGGCAGAGGTTGCAGTACTCAGGAGGCTGAGGTAGGAGAATCGCTTGAACCAGGGAGGTGGAGGTTGCAGTGAGCCAAGACTATGTCACTGCACTCCAGCCTGGGTAACAGAGTGAGACTCTGTCTCAAAAAAAAAAAAAAAAAAAAGAAAAAAAAAAAGAAAAATCACCAGGACTTAGGGTAAAGGGGTGAGGAGGAAAAACTTATGGAAGACATCAAGGTGTCAAGTCCAAGTCACAAGCAGAATGAGGGTGACATGAACTGAAACAAATGTTAAAACAAGGGAGCAGATTTTAAAGGAAAGATAATGGTTTAGCAGCAAAATCTAGGATCCACATTTTACATGTTCATTTCTAAAACAATTACTCTATTTTCCCAAACAACTGTTGTCAGCTTCTGAATCTACCTAGATAATTTTAGATTTCTATTTTTATTTTTTTGAAAAAATAGACAAGGGTCTTGCTGTGTTGCCCAGGCTGATCTCAAACTCCCAGGCTCAAGCAATCCTCCCACCTCAGTCTTGCCAAAGTGCTGGGATTACAGGCATGAGCCACCATATGCAGCCAATTTTAGATTTCTGATAATGAAACAAGGACTCCTTACTAATGCCAATTGTATAGTTTGGAGTTCTGTTTATTTCCTTCCCACTGTCCGAATGATAACATCCTAAGACTGTCTGCTTTGTGGGGTAAAGGAACAGGACATAGGGCTTCCTCCACGTCTTTCTGCCTAGTTAGTTCATAATTTGATATCTGAAGTAAAAGGAAAGTAAGCTCCAACAGCAACCAGAACAAAGAGTGGGCTCTACTTCCCCAAGCACCCTAAGTCAGATTTGCTTCTGCAAGAAGCCACAGTTTCTAGAAAATCAGTTTGTTTCCAGTGCACTGGAATTAAGACAAACAAGTAAAGCCAGACTTAAATTCCTACTGATGGGTAACTGTTTCCTTCAATTCCACATGCTAACATCTACACATCTGAAGTGAAGACTACATGATGCCATCACTTTTTAAAAGTTATTTTTTTCTATATGCTAGTTTCTATATATTTACAGCACACCTCCACTGGAAGTATATCAAATTTTTCTTTCAGGTAATAAGTCACAACTAAAGTGAAGTCCTTCTCTTTTAGAAGGAATTATCTTTTAAAATTTTAATTTATTTTATTATTATTTTTTGAGATGGAGTCTCACTCTGTCACCCAGGCTGGAGTGCAGTGGTGTGATCTCAGCTCACTGCAACCTCGCCTCCCTAGTTCAAGCGATTCTCCCATCTCAGCCTCCTGAGTAGCTGAGACTATAGGTGTACGCCACCATGCCCAGCTAATTTTTGTATTTTTAGTAGAGACGGGGTTTCACCATGTTGGCCAGGCTGGTCTTGAACTCCTGGCCTCAGGTGATCTGCCTGCCTCAGCCTCCCAAAATGCTGGGATTACAGGCATGAGCCACCATGCCCAGTGGAATTATCTTTTTTAAAAATACTAAATCCATTTCCTCTAAGAGTTTTTAGGAACAGAAAACCTGTACAATGATAAGCCAGCATAGCAACTGCCAGGTTCACCAAAAAACATCCTTCTGAGCCCCTACTAAATTAAAAATTCCAGCAAGGAGAAGGGATAAGGGATCGGATGGCCGAGAGAAGGAAAGGAAAAGCTGAGTTAAGAATGGCTTCTCTGTTGTTGACAAATTCCAGCTATCTTTTTCTTCTTTTGCCTGTGGTTTTATTCTGAGCCCCTTTACCAAGGAATGTTTCATGTAATTCCTCCCAAGCTTGAAGAAAGAAGTTCTTTCCAATTCCCTCACCTTCAGAAGTTTCTTTCTTATTTCCAAGTCACCACATGTAAATCTCAACTTCTGTGGTCTTTCTCTTCCTCTTCTTTCTACTCCTGGCCCAAACTGAACAGAAACCTGCTTGTCCTCAGGATGTTGTGATAATTTTTTTTCAAATGCTGTCTCATTATGACTTGGTGATTATGTGTTTCCTTTGGCACATTTCATATTTATCACAGAATGAGGGGAAAAAAACTACCATTATGGGCTTTAAATTAGCAAAATAAATTTCAAGTTATTTAGTAGTTATTATAGCACACTAACTATAAAATTGGTATACAATTTTCACCAAAAAATTATTTCTATTTTGTTTTACCAGGAAACATTTCCTTCTGTTACTTCAGTTCCCTTATAGGACTGCAGATTCCACTGTCACAGTAAAACCATGAATCAAATCAATTTTAAACAACAATTTATTTATTTATTTATTTATTTATTTATTTATTGGTACAGACAGGGTCTCTCCCTACATTGCCCAGGCTGCTCTTGAACTCCTGGCCTCAAATGAACCTCCTGCCTTGGCCTCCCAAAGTGCTGGGATGACAGCATGAGCCACCGTGCCTAAAAAAAACTATTTAAAAAATCCTTCTTACTCTCCTTTTCAGGTCTTCTCAATTACACAGCAATTCTAGAATTTTCTCCATCCCTTACTCAAGTAATGTTCTTGAGGTCTACCACCAAAATGAGTTTGGAAACATGGCACGACTTGTGAAATAGGCATAGTTGGCCATTTGCATCCTCCAAAAAGCAACCGTCACGTATGCACATCATGTTTTTAGGTTTTTCAAACACAAGATGGTGCACAATTATTTTAAGTATGTGCAGAGCCAGGTGACAGGACTGAACAAATATCAAGTTCAACCAGTGTGACTCCTGAGTGCTGGTAGGTAAAGTAGGTAAACTAGGTAAACCAGATCAACTAGTAGGTCTTTCTCCACTCCTAACTGCTTTCACAAAAAAGAAACATCAATGCTTCAGTAATACGTAAGGCTATGGATGCTGATGTTCTTATTGAATAAGTATAATAGCAGAAATCCTTCCCCCTGAAAGAAAAGGACATCTATCAATTTTTTTATGTCCTTGCATTATAAAGGTATCAAATATATTGATTTTTAATCTTCTCTTCGAGAGGTTGCTTGATTAAAGGTTAAGACAAATTTTAATTTAAAAATTAATGATTTTATTATCTCAATTTCAGTTTTTAAAATCCTATAATGTATATATGTAGTGTATAAACTTTTTGAGTTAAATTCTTTAGTATTCACAAAATAAAAATAAATAAAATCACTAAAATACTTAAAGGGACAGTACCACAGAATTTTGTTACTTAAAGATAGAAAAAATGAATAAACAAAGAAACTTACAACATAAAATGTACACGATCAGTGTTTTATTTTTTCATTCTTAAGTTTTAGAGGTTTTAACAACTGAGCCTTTCAAACTAGCAAGCTAGGGTTCTATGGCTTCAAAAAAAAAGAAATCACACAAAAATATCCAGCTTCCCTGAAATATAAACCAGAAACTGTTTAAAACTGTCTCTGGGTGACTCTGTTAGGGTAAAATGCCAGGCTTCAAATGATGGATATTTTTTAAAAACAGGCTTGCTTCATTTTCCAGAAGCAACCTCCACCTTTGCGAATACCATTACTATCACCTTCCCCCAAGTAATTACGAGGATTCTTAGAATTGTATGCTACTGACTAAAGACATAATCAGAGCCGGGGTGGTGACTGATGTCTGTAATCCCAGCACTCTGGGAGGCTGTGGGGGGTGGGGGTGATTGCTTGGGCCTAGGAGTTCGAGACCGGCCTGGGCAACACAGGGAGAGACCCCATTTCTATGAAAAAAAAAAAAAATTGCATGGTGGTATGTGCCTGTGGTCCTAGCTACCTAGCTACTTGGGAGGCTGAGGTGGGAGGATCACTTGAGCCCAAGAGGTCGAGGCTGCCTTGAGCCACAATTATGACCTTGCACTCCAGCAGGTGAGGGACCAAGACCTTGTCTCATAAATAAATAAATAAGACCAAAATCATAATCAGTACCTTGAGGCTGCTATTTAAAATACAGTCCTCACAAGACAACTCTGAAAATTGTTTAAAAAACAAATAGAATGCAAAATTCTTTAAAATAGAAGAGTACCTACCCATATGCTTGCAACTTTTATATGTAATTGGCTTTAAAGTCATTCATTAAGATTTAACATAAAGAAGCAGTCTTAAAGGGATCTTCCTTCAATAGCCATTAAAAAAAGACCGGTTAAATAAATTGGGGTTATACATTCATATAATGAATTACTAAACAGTTATTTAATTTGTTTAGTAATTACTAAACAGTTATTTAACAGGCTAAGGCAGGTGGATCACCTTAGGTAGGAAATTTGAGACCAGCCTGACCAACATGGAGAAACCCCATCTCTACTAAAAATACAAAATTAGCCAGGCGTGGTGGCACATACCTGTAATCCCAGCTACACGGGAGGCTGAGGCAGGAGAACTGCTTGAACCTGGGAGGCCAAGGTTGCGGTCAGCTGAGATCCTGCCATTGCACTCCAGCCTGGGCAATAAGAGCGAAACTCTGCCTCCAAAAAAAAAAAAAAGGAGGTAGATCTATGCACAGTGGCATAGATCATTCTCCAGGAAATATTGTTAGGTTAAAAAGAAATCAAGGCACAGAGTGTGCTCCTATTTGTGTAGAGAAGCAAAAAGAAGAGTACATATACACAAAACCATGTAAAAAGTGTGTATATTTGTGTGTGTGTGTGTGCACAAACATGCTGACATATACCAGGCTGTCCCCGAACACATTCAGAAAAACTGATAAATATAGTTGAAGTACAGTTGCCTCTGGGACTAAAGTCCTGAGAATAAAAGACAGATTTTTTTTTTTTTTTTTTTTTGAGACAGGGGCTTGCTCTGTCACCCAGGCTGGAGTGCACACCCAGGTTAGAGTGCAGTGGTGTGATCACAGCTCACCGTAACTTCTGTCTCCCAGACTCAGTGATCCTCCAGCCTCAGGCTCCCAGGCACTTGGGACAACAGGTGCGTGCCACCACACCTGGCTAATTTTCGTATTTTTTCTTTTGTAGAGACTGGGTTTTGCCATGTTGCCAAGGATGGGCTCAAACTCCTAGGCTCAAGTGATCTGCCTGCCTCAGCCTCCCAAAGTGCTAGGTGTGAGCCACCACTCCTGGCTGAGAGATTTTATTATTTGCCCTTCAGTACATTTTTAAAAGTTGTTATCACGTGCATTTTTACTTTTTCAAAGTTGACCACCCCCCCGACACACACAGAGTCTGAAAAGCTTCATAAAAGGTGGTTCAAAGCATATATGTATTTATACATATATACACATATTTTTATATGTATATAAACTCTTTAGGGATAGTTTATTTTCTTCCCAGGATGATGAGATTAAAGATATTTTCTCCTGTTCTTTCCCTTTCTCCCCCAACCCCCAGACTTGGAGGTCTGTGTAAACATTTTCAGGATTGCCGTTTCAAAAAAAAAAGAAAAAATCTCTTTTAACTATTGCTTAAGTTGTTAAGATATATAAATTACGGCTTTCCCTTACTGCCGAGAGGGGTTTGTTTGGGAGAACCTTAAGTCTAAGTCTCTAAATAATAGGTAGGAAGGGGAGATCTGGCTAGCCAGTTGATAGCTTTAAAAAAGAAAAAAAGAAGTCAGTAGAGGGATGTTCAACAGCCTGCAGGGCCCACAGAGTAACCACACAACTTGTTGACTACGTCACAGTGAACAGCAACATAATAATAGGGTCCGTCTCCCATAGTTCTCCATTTGGTTGTGGGAGAGCTTCCTGACCTGCAAGTAAAGATGATCATGTGCTTCAGGGTTCCTGGTCCTATCTTAATGACACAGGAGGAGCCCCATGGTGACAAGAGTCCAACAGACACTCTTGGCCATCTAGCTTAGCTGGGAGGCATCCAGGTCAAACTTAGCTAGAAGGAATCCAGGTCTAGCTAGAAAGGAATAAATTGTTACAAAAATGTCTCCTGAAACAAGCACTACATAAAATAAATCTGCAACATTTAATTACCATCAATTTTGCTTTCTTAGAATTGGGATTCACATCACGAAATGTGGACAACTTTCTTGTTAATACAAATAGAAAAGCATTCTGAGCTTGAGGTTGCCTCCAATAAAATATGGCAAGTTCCAGTTGGGCACAGTGGCTCACGCCTGTAATCCCAACACTTTGGGAGGCTGAGGCAGGCAGATCACAAGGTCAGGAGATCAAGACCATCCTGGCTAATGCAGTGAAACTCCATCTCTACTAAAAATACAAAAAAATTAGCTGGGCGTGGTGGCGGGCGCCTGTAGTCCCAGCTACTCAGGAGGCTGAGGCAGGAGAATGGCGAGGCAGAGCTTGCAGTGAGCTGAGATCACGCCACTGCACTCCAGCCTGAGAGACACAGCGAGATTCTCTCAAAAAAAAAAAAAAAACAAAGGCAAGTTCCCAATCCAATTCCATCATTGCACCAAAGATGATGTTTCTCTTATTGAAAACGAAAAAGTTTTAAGACAAAGTTAGAGTTGACTTAGTATCATTTCTCCCCTTCACATCCTCATTATGTAATATACTGTCTGTTCCTACTTGATGCCAGAAAAAATAAAGGCCATTAGAAATAAATAATGAGGTTGGGATGGCTACAAGAGAATACTTCACAGTTGCATACACATATTTACACATATATATGTATACATACTTTTTTTTTTTTTTTTTGGAGATGGAAGCTGGAGTGTAGTGGCATGATCTTGGCTCACTGCAACCTCTGCCACCCAGGTTCAAGTGATTTTCCTGCCTCAGGCTCCAGAGTAGCTGGGACTACAGGTGCCCCACCACGCCCGGCTAATTTTTGTATTTTTAGTAGAGACTGGGTTTCACTATGCTGGCCAGGCTGGTGTCGGACTCCTGACCTCAGGTGATCCACCTGCCTTGGCCTCCCAAAGTGCTGGGATTACAGGTGTGAGCCACCTTGCCCAGCCTATACATACATTTTTAAAAATACTTTTGTAATACTTAGAATATATAAAAATGGTGATGCCATTTATTTCAGTAAACATTTATCGAGGGCCTACTATGTTTCATTTACTATTTTAGGAGGCAGATGAAGATAATATTGAATTAGTTACAATGTTCAAACTACAAATTCTATTGACTGCTTCTCTTTATTTTCCTACTGAGACCTTCTTAAACAGATGAAGGCAGAAGGGATTGAGATAACCACAGTAATTTAAGACAAAGGAAAGAACCACTTTCTAAAAAGAGACAACTTGGCTGGGCACAGTGGCTCACGCCTGTAATCCCAACTACTCGAGAGGGGCAAGACTGGTTAGTAAGTTAGTAGAAAAAACAGCTCATCCTTTGACTACCTTCTCTAACAGGGTGACCACTTTGTCCTGGTGTCAGCTGTACACACCCCTTTGCTTCCTCTAAGGTCTTGTCATCATAATCCTAACAGCCACTGAAAAGGTGGCGAGCCTTTTGGAAAATATGACTACTCCGCCTGGCCACGCTATGCTCTTGATTGTGAGTCAGCACAAAACCATTGCGGTGCAAGGCTGAAAATTAAGGCCCAATATTATGCTCTGCCTTGACATCTGGGGAAAATCAGAAGGGCTCCAAATGGTCTCACTACACACTGCCCTTCCCACTATGCTTCTGCTGATAAAGTCCCCTGGCCACCCTCTTAGTCACAAGGACCAGGTGCAGTGTCTGCCTAGCCCTGAGAAGTGGGTTTTAGTTCCCTGCCAGTCAGCAGAGAGTCATTTAAACAAGCCAATCACATCCTCTCATGGGAACCAGGAGTGACCCCCACCCTCTTGTATACAGCCTGCCTCCCGCAACCCCTAGTTGTTCCTGAGTACAGGCCTGGGTGGCCAGGTGTGGCATGCTGTGCCCTCCTCTAGGCTGGGACTACATGTGAATGAGAAACTGCTGTTGATCTCACCCGTCCAGTGTCGAGCATCAGGATTCAGCCATTCCCGTAACCCTAAGCAGAAATCCCTCCCTCACTAACGGGGTGAAGAGGAGGTAATTCAAACAACCTCCAAGGCCAGGAGCGGTGGTTCCCAGCAATTTAGGAGGCCAAGGCAGGAGGATCATTTGAACCCAGGAGTTTGAGATCAGCCTAGGCAACACATGGAGATCCCATCTCTACAAAACATAAAAAATTAGCCAAGTATGGGGGTGAACACCTGTGGTCCCAGCTACCTGGGAGGATGAGATGGGAGGATGGCTTGAACCCACAAGTTTGAAGCTGCAGAGAGCAGTGATTGTGCCACTGCACTCAGGCTGGGTGACAGAGCAAGAACCTGTCTCAAACAACAAAAACAACAACAAAACAACCTCCAAAAAAGGTGCCATTGTCTGGGATCGCGAGGTACAAAGCAGGTGCACTGGCAGATTTTAATAAGATTATCCTGAGAAATTACATTGAGAGGTGTACAAAGTCAGCTTTGTGTTTACCTAAGTATATTTTGCATATACATCTAGACTCTGCCATGATACACTCAAGCAATTTTCAAGTTAAAGGCATTAACTTACATGTTCCAGAAATGTGGCATATTCCATGTTACAGAATGCTAAATGTTACATTATATACAGACCCCACTATAATGAAAGGGTAGGGGAATTACAAGGAAACCAATAGCCAAAACCAAAGGACTTCTGCAATCATTCCCAGATGTTATTTTATCTAAACCTATTTAAGTGTATCAGTTTCCAATAGGAACTACAATCATATCTGGGATTTCCCACTAACATGGGGGAAAAGGATCAAAGGCTTCTTGGGAGCCCATGAGGAGCCACAGAGGGGGAGGTTAGTCATTGCTCAAGAATAAATCTGTCTACTTCCTTATTTAAAACTATATACAAGTAAGCCTATTTGCCATCTTTCTTCTTCAGATTCTATTCACACAAATGATATGTCTTCAAGGTCTACTCTAGACCAGTTATAAACCATCAATAACCCCCCAAAACCATAAGGAACCCACATCTTTCTGAGACAGCACCCTGGGGAAGCTGTAGAGGGTGTCAGGAAAAGACATGGATTTCTTCCTGCACGTTTTTTTTTTTTTTTTGAGATGGAGTCTTGCTCTGTCGCCCAGGCTGTAGTGCAGTGGTGCGCGATCTTGGCTCACTGCAACCTCCGCCTCCCAGGTTCAAGCGATTCTCGCGCCTCAGCCTCCTGAGTAGCTGGGATTACAGGTGTCCACCACCAAGCCCAACTAATTTTTTATATTTTTAGTGGAGATGGGGTTTCGCCATGTTGGCCAAGCTGGTCTCAAACTCCTGACCTCAAGTGATTTGCCCGCCTTGGCCTCCCAAAGTGCTGGGATTACAGGCAGGAGCCACCACACTCAGCCTTTTTTTTTGAGACGGAGTCTCACTCTGTCATCCAGACTGGAGTGCAGTGGTGCGATCTTGGCTTACTGCAACCTCCGCCTCCCAGGTTCAAGCAATTCACTTGCCTCAGCCTCACAAGGAGCTGGGATGACAGGCGCCAGCCACCATGCCCAGCTAATTTTTGTATTTTTAGTAGAGACAGGGTTTCACCATGTTGGCCAGGCTGGTCTTGAACTCCTGACCTCAAGTGATCTGCCTGCCTCGGCCTCCCAAAGTGCTGGGATTATAGGTGTGAGCACCCGGGCCCTTCTTCCACTCTTAATCCCACGCATCAGTGAGTCCTTACACCAGTTACATTGCTGACTAGTTCTGTGTTTATTTTTAGCTTCTTTGATTGGGAAACCAAAAAAAATCACTACTTTTCTATCAAACTCAGATTACATCTTCGAAAGCGAGAGTCAGGGAAAATGGAAGGGAAGTGAAAATAAACGTGTATTCAAGTAAAATAAACATTCGCTTCTGACAGGATCACAAACATTTATCACAGTTTCATACATTTCTACGAGGGAAGGAAAGGCAGCAGAGAAGAAAAAAAAAATGCTCTTTCAGCCTAAGAGACCTGCATTTGAAGGCAGGGTCCACCACTCATGGCTGTGTGTAACTGGCTAGTTAATTGGACTAAGTTTACATTTCCCTATACTATAAAATTGAGATAATAGGCCGGGCGCAGTGGCTTACGCCTGTAATCCCAGCATTTTGGGAGGCTGAGGCAGGAGGATCATGAGGTCAGGAGTTCGAGACCAGCCTGGTCAACATGGCGAAACCTCGTCTCTTCTAAAAATACAAAAATTAGCCAGGCATGGTGGTGCGCACCTGTAATCCCGGCTACTCAGGAGGCTGAGGCAGAAGAATTGCTTGAACCTGGGAGGCAGAGGTTGCAGTTAGCTGAGATTGCACCATTGCACTCCAGCCTGGGCAACAGCGCAAGACTCCATCTCAAAAATAAAAATAAAAATTGAGATAACATACCACCTGCAATGAAGATTAAATGAGATAATGTGAATATATCTGTTATATGCAATGGACAGGAAATAAAGACAGCTTTTTAAAAAGCAGGCATGAGAAAGGGGACAACATCATAGTTCATCCAGTAAGCAGAATGGCAAGAGGAACTGAAAGTTGTTCTTGTTCCCCCTAGAAATCCCAAAATGTAGTATAATACCTTTCTTGCATGAATGTATTAACAAATGAATGGATTCCATCCTAATATCTCACACATACATAGTATAGTATGATTAGGCAAATCTAACCTGCTGCCTGTTTTTGTAAGGTCTATGAGCTAAGAATGCTTCTTATATTCTTCTTCTTTTTTTTTTTTTTTTTTTTTTTTTTTTTTTTTTTTTTGAGACGGAGTCTTGCTGGGTCACCCAGGCTGGAGTGTAGTGGCACAATCTCGGCTTACTGCAACCTCTGCCTCCTGGGTTCAAGCAATTCTCCTGCCTCAGCCTTCCAAGCAGTAGAGATGGGGTTTTGCTATCTTGGCCAGTCTGATCTTGAACTCCTGACCTTAAGTGATCCTCCTGCCTCAGCCTCCCAAAGTGCTGGGATTATAGGCATGAGCCACTGTGCCCAGCCTGGCTCTTATATTCTTAAATCATGAAAAAAAAAAAAAAAGAACAATATTTTGTGACACATGAAAATGATTTTCATGTCCATAATGAAGTTTTATTGGAAAACATCCATGCTCATTTGTTTCTGTACTATCTGTCACTGCTTTTGCACTACATTGGCAGAGCTGAAGAGATGCAACAGAGACCTATGGCCTGCAAAGTCTAAAATATTTATCATCTGGCCCTTTACGGAAAACGTTTGCTGATCCTTGGTACAGCAGATTACCCAAAAGAAGCAGTATATTTCCTTTGGGGCAAAACTGCCTGTGTTCGAATCCGAGTTCTGCCACATACTAAGTAGGTGAAATTGAGTCAGTTTTTAACCTCTCCGTGCCTCAGTTTTTCCTCCATAAAATGAGGATCATAATATTGCCTACCTGACAGAATTTTGTGGGGATTAAACAAATTAATACAAGCAATGCACTAACAATGCCTGGTACACAGAAAGCTCGTTTGCTCACTCACTGTTTCTCTTGTATATACTTAAAAGTCTAGAACTGTATAAAAAGTGACTTCAGGCCGGGCATAGTGGCTCATGCCTGTAATCCCAGAACTTTGGGATGCCGAGGCGGGCAGATCATGAGGTTAGGAGATCGAGACCATCCTGGCTAATACGGTGAAACCCCATCTCTACTAAAAATATAAAAAATTAGCTGGTCGTGGTGGCAGGCGCCTGTAGTCCCAACTACTCGGAAGGCTGAGGCAGGAGAATGGCATGAACCCAGGAGGCGGAGCTTGCAGTGAGCCGAGATCGTGCCACTGCACTCCAGCCTGGGAGACAGTGCAAGACTCCATTTCAAAAAAAAAAAAAACAAGTTACTTCAGGCTGGGCGTGGTGGCTCATGCCTGTAATCCCAACACTTTGGGAGGCCGAGGCGGGCAGATCATGAGGTGGGCAGATCATGAGGTCAGCAGATCGAGACCAGCATGGCCAATATGGTGAAACCCCGTCTCTACTAAAAATACAAAGATTAGCCAGGCATGGTGGCATGCATCTGTAATCCCAGCTACTTGGGAGGCTGAGGCAGGAGAATCACTTGAACCTGGGAGGCGGAGGTTCCAGTGAGCCAAGATTGCGCCACTCACTCCAGCCTGGGTGACTGAGCGAGGCTGCGTCCCCAAAAAAAAAACAAAAAAAAAAAAGTGACTTCAGAGAGGAGCTTCTGCATTATCAATCATGTGAAACAGCTCATCACCAGCTTAAAGGTCTGAGTCAAGAACTCCTACAGTGAGGTCATGTGAGCCACGGTTTTGCAGCAGGTTACTCCTAGAGCTCATTTTCCATGTTTAATTTCACTACTTATTTTTGGTAGCTTACTACTTGTACAGTAATATCCTGAAGCTCAGAATAACTACAGTTTCATGCATATCTCAATATTCTTTCTTATTTCTAAAACAATTTTAGTCACATATAATGACGAATTCACAGGTATTCCACTAGATCTCAAAGTACCTTTTCAAGTATGTTTTGAAAAGCTGGCTTTGTCCCTCTTTGCTTAATAATGATCACATTGATGCGACAAAGGCCAAGGTGGCCGATGAATGACACTGATAAGCATACCTCACGTATGCAATAAAGTTGCTGATTTCTCTAGTAATGTAAACTTCATTTTGCAATATAAAGCAAAGAGTCCTATTTCTTTTCTAAATGGAAATTTTCATATTGCACTGAACTAGAAAAAGCCCAGTAGAATGCAATTTCAAAACAGTGATCACTTGCTCTGAGCTACTAGCTGAAGGCACAGAAAAAAAATGGGGAGAAGAGGGAAGCAGAAGAAATGAAGAAACCAGAAAACAGTAAGTAAGGCAAGGTAAAGGAGAGAAATAAGCAGATGGGCAAAGCACCATCCGTGTGTGTGTGTGTGTAGAGGACATGTTACCACAGACACAGGAGAAGGAAGACAAGGTTCCTGCCCTGGGGAAAATGGAGCTGTCAGCCTTTGTCTTTCTCATGTACCTCAAAGATAACAATAACCTCATAGGGACAGAGTTTACTCCTAAACTTTCCACTTATTCTAAAACTTTCCATGTGAAAAATCAAAACAAACAAAACCCCCAAAACCTTATCTCTCCAGTGGAACGGAGGTGGATAAAGAGAAGAAAAGGAGGGAGGATTTTACTTTTCACTTCATGTACATTTAACTTTTTTTAAGACAACAATTTTATATAACTTTTATAACTAAACAAATACGTAAAGAACTGAAAATCCCCATTCTCTCTTCTCCAAGTTTACTAATCTCAGTTATTTCAAGTATTCCTTAAAAACAACTTTTTTTTTTTTTAATACTTGGTAAGGAAAGGTCAAAGGTAAAGCAGGCAGAGAGGATGAATTAGAGAAAGCTATCCCCATCTGCTCTTCCCACAAAATGCAAAGAAAGAAAAGAAAAAAATCTGGACATGTTGACATGTGGATTACAGCAATAGTTTTTGGTCTACTTCATGTAGATAATCTCAAAATGAATTCTCTAATTCCCTAGACCACTCCCCGCTCTGAAAATAATAAATTCCCTGTACTTTGTAAGGTAAACCCAGTGAACAAAGAATATTTTCACCCTGGGCATCAGGAAATTATGTATAGCAAAATGGAAGCTTCTATACACCCCCACACCCGTGTTCACAGTCACAGATTTTACTTAACAGAACCCATCCACAGGGTATTAGCTGCATAGCCAGCACAGATATTTACTGGGGCCAAGATTTCAAAGACCAGGCAGAGAAGACATTAATTTGTAGAGTACAAAAGAGCACACAAAAAATGTTTTTGCTTCTTAACACTGTGAGGGCTCAATAAGAATTAAAGCTGCTTAGAATCACTGCTATCAAGAGTCAATCTAGCTGGGTGCAGTGGCTCACGTCTGTAATCCCAGCACTTTGGGAAGCCGATGAGGGAGGATCGCTTGAGCCCAGAGTTCGAGACCAGCCTTGGCAACATGGTGAAGCCCCATCTCTGCAAACAAATACAAAAATTAGCTGGGTGTGGTGCCGTGGGCCTGTAGTCCCAGCTACTTGGGAAGATGAAGTGGGAGGATCACCTAAGTCTGGGAGGTTGAGGCTGCAGTGAGCTGTGATCTTGCCACTGCACTCCAACCTGGGTTGACAGAGCGAGACCCTGTTTCATAGGAAAAAAAAAAAAAAAAAAAGAATCTAGTAAGGTCATATTCAAGAAAAGGAGAAGCATCAACAGTTAATCAAGTAACCACTGGGTATAAAAACATACTTAAACTAATTTTACCATCAAAAAAACCTCCTAACCTAGCTAGAGCTAATATATTTGCTTATTTTCACAGTATTTAAGTTTTGCCCTACAGAAAGATTTCACAGAGTATTTTAAAAAGACAAAATGGATTTCCTTAATAGTAATAGAAAACTTTCACCTTTCAGATCTTTAATATTCTTCGCTTGTTAGTACTAACTTTCATTGTAAAAGTTCCTTTTATATTCAAATATGGTGCTCCACACACAGTGAATGTGCAGTAAGTACCTGTTAACTAGAAAGAGTATTTAATACATTGAGAAAAGATGTACTATATTAAATAGTTTTCAGTTTGTCTTTACAAATCCTTTAAGCATTTTACCTGCCTTCTAACAGCTAAGACATGGGATTTTATCTGTTGTACAGTAGGAATAAAAAGATAAGATGTTTTCTTTTGTTTTTGAAATGGAGTCTTGCTCTGTCGCTCAGGCTGGAGTGCAATGGCACAATCTCGGCTCACTGCAACCTCCGCCTCCAGGGTTCAAGTGATTATCCTGCTTCAGCCTCCCGAGTAGCTGAGATTACAGGCGGCCACCACTGCGCCCGGCTACTTTTTATATTTTTAGTAGGGACAGGATTTCGTCATGTTGGCTAGGCTGGTTTCGAACTCCTGACCTCAGGTGATCTGCCTGCCTCGGCCTCCCAAAGTGCTGGGATTATAGGTGTGAGCCACTGCACCTGGCCAAGATGTTTTCTTAAATTAATATTTTTCTAAAAGATTTTATAGCTCTTAGGTAATACTCTTAAATCTTTTCCATATCGATATCTAATTAGTCCATTCCAGGGCTCGGAAAAAACTGTATTTTATTTAGGCCGTACCCATATGTTACATGGAGACAAGACAGCAGAGTCTAAAATACTATATTTTGGCCAAAAAATATATGTTGAAATCCTGAACTATATGGATTATTCATCCTGTAAGAGAAAACATGCCTTCCATAGCCAAATCATTCTGATATTTCCCCACATATGTAAAAATTTTGGGCGAGGCATGGTGGCTCACACCTGTAACCCCAGCACTTTGCGAGGCCAAAGCAGGAGGATTGCTTGAGGCCAGGAGTTTGAGACCAGCCTGGGCAACATAGTAAAATTCTGTCTCTATATTTTAAAAAAAAGTTAAAAATTAAAAAATACATTAAAATGTCACTAGACCCTTCACCAGAACATTTTAGTAAATTTTTGCTAACTCCAAAGCTACCTACAGACTGCCTAGATTTTTTCAGTTTCAGTCTTACTACATGTAAGACTACAGGGACAGTTCTTTCATTTACAGTTCCATCAAACTAGATTTTTTTAAGTGATACATCTTCTTTGCATTTTCTGAGTAGCACATTTAGATATGGTAAGACCTGTACTAACCAAGAAACTGTCAAAACTGCTTTTGATTGGCATGGGAATTTAGACTCCATGCTTTCTTTCTGCAGGTTTGGTGAGAGGACTGGTGGAATGGAGTGCTTCTTGCATAACCATCCCACAATACGGAAGGATGCTCACCATGTATCTAATAAAGACAGATGCATGTGAGGTCTTTTAATTCAATTTCTCTTCTCCAAGGGAGCTTTGTTTTAGCAAATAGCAGTAATTCTCCACACCAGTGTAATTGCTTTCCAAAATTAACAGATGTTTCCTGTACATTCTGGAAGCCTGGTCAGTGGGACACTGGTTTACTCAAAATGCAGCTGGATTCTGACTTCACACAAGCAAAAGCAGTGTTTAACCTGACCACTGTTTGCTCAGATGTGACTACTTAATTTGTGCCAGGTATCTGCTGGGGCCAAGGATACAAAGGTGTTGTAATCTCTCACAATATTTATTCTTACATAGTTGTCCCTGGGTATCTGTGGGGGATTGGTTTCAGGACCCCCCACAGAGACCAAACTCCATGGATGCTCAAGTCCCTTATATAAAATGGTATGGTACTTGCATATAAACTACATATATCCTCCTGTATACTTTATTTATTATTATTTTGAGACAGTTTCGTTCTTGTTGCCCAGGCTGGAGTGCAATAGCACGGTCTCAGCTCACTGCAACCCCACCTCCAGGTTCAAGCAATTCTCCTGCCTCAGCCTCCCAAGTAGCTGGGATTATAGGCACCCGCCACCACGCCTGGCTAATTTTTTTGTATTTTTAGTACAGATGGGGTTTCACCATATTGGCCAGGCTGGTCTCGAACTCCTGACCTCAGGTGATCCACCTCCCAAAATGCTAGGATTACAGGCATGAGCCACCACTCGCGGCTCCTCCTGTATACTTTAAATCACTGTTAGACTAATTATAACCAACTAATATAAATGCTACACAAATAGTTGTTATATTATTTAGGGAATAATGACAAGAACTAAAAGTCTAAAAGTCTGTACATGTTCAATACAGATGCAACCATCCATTTTCCCCCAAAATTTTTTCAATAAGCAGCTTAGTGAATCCATGGGTGTGCAACTGATGAATACAAAGAGCAGAATGTACATGTATTTTTTAGGGGGGAAGCAGAGGGAGGTTAACAAAATGTTATGATAGAATGATGAGTTGGTGCTGTGCAACAGTAGAAGACCAAGGAAAGGGGTCCATTGTACTGTTTGATATGTAGTTAAAATCAATATAGTAAATGTTAGCTATTTTTATTATACCATAAACAGGATATGCCAGGCAATATGCTAGAGAAGGGAGTGGAGGCACAATGTACAAAAATTCACTTCCTCATTCATTCTTTCAATAAATATTTACTAAGCACCTATGTGTCAGGCACTGTTCTGGGCACTGAGGACAAGGCAGTGTAACAAAATTTAGGATCCCCCATCCATGCAGGCTGTTTTCTAGTAGGAGAGACACATAAGCAAACAAGTAGATAATATACTGACAAGAAGAGGCAGTGTTAGAAAGGAAGAACGAGATGAGTGGATGGAGAACAATGGGGAAGATTGGGAGGGGAGTGTATTTTGTTACCTTTCCTACATTGGAAGGGGAGGATTTCCACAAAAGGTAGCATGTGAATTAGGTCTAGAAAGATGAAAAATTCTCTGTCTGGGAAAAGGGTTTTTTAGGTAGTGGAACAAAGCCATGAGAGAAGAGCATGTTTTGGAATGTAGAATGTGGTCAATTTTGTGTAGATGGGCAATAAGATGATCAGACTGGGAAGGCAGACTGCCATAATGTGATATTACTGCACACCTGTCAGCATTGCTAAAATAAAAAACAGTGACAACTACCAACTACCAAGTGCTGGTGAGGTGTGCAGACACTGGGTCACTCATACATCGCTGGTAGGAAAGCAAAATGGTATACCTACTCTGGAAAACAGTTTGGCAGCTTCTTATAAAACTAAACATGCAATTCCCACACAACCCCTAATTGCACTTTTGGGCATTTATTCCAGAGAAATGAAAATATATTCACACAAAAACCTGAATATGAATGTTCATGACAGATTTATTTGTAAAAGCCAAACAGTGGAAATGGCCCAGATGTCCTTTAAGTGAAATACTACTAATATTTAGCAATACTTAGCATTAAAAAAGAAAAAGCTATTGGCATACGCAACAACTTGGATGGCTCTACAGAAAATCATGCTGAATTTTTTTTTTTTTTTGAGGCGGAATTTCGCTTTCATCACCCAGGCTGGAGTGCAACAGCATGATCTCAGCTCACTGCAACCTCTGCCTCCTGGGTTCAAGCAATTCTCCTGCCTCAGCCTCCTGAGTAGCTGGAATTACAGATGCCCACCACCACACCTGGTTAATTCTTGTTTTTTTTTTTTTTTTGAGACGGTGTCTCACTCTGTTGCCCAGGCTGGAGTGTAGTGGCGTGATCTTGGCTCACTGCAACTTCTGCCTCCTGGGTTCAAGCGATTCTCTTGCCTCAGCCTCCCAAGTAGCTGGGACTACAAGCATGCACCACCACACCCAGCTAATTTTCATATTTTCAGTAGAGACAGGGTTTCACCATGTTGGCCAGGCTGGTCTCAAACTCCTGACCCCAGGTGATCCGCCTGCCTCGGCCTCCCAAAGTGTTGGGATTATAGGCATGAGCCACCATGCCTGGCCCATGCTGAATTTTTTTAAAATGCCAATTCCAAAAGGCCACATGCTATATGATTCTATATTTTTATTATTTTGTTACATTTTATTTTCTACTTTATTATTTTATATTTTATTTTTATTTTTTTGGAGACAGGGTCTCACTCTGTCACCCACGCTAGAATGCAGTGGCGTGATTACAGCTCACTGGAGCCTTGACCTCCTGGGCTCCAGTGATCTTCCTGCCTCAGACTCCCAAGTAGCTAGGACTACGGGCATGTACCATCACGTTTTTAAATTTTTTGTAGAGATGGAGTCTCGCCAAGTTGCCCAGGTTGGTTTTGAACTCCTGGGCTCAAATGATGTTCCTTCCTTGGCCTCCCAAAGTGCTGGGGTTATAGGCATGAGCCACTGTGCCTGGCTGTGATTCCATTTTATATAACTTTTTTTTGAGACGGAGTTTCACTCTTGTTGCCCAGGCTGGAGTGCAGTGGCATGACCTCAGCTCACCACAACCTCCACCTCCCAGGTTCAAGCGATTCTCCTGCCCCAGCCTCCTGAATAGCTCAGATTACAGGCATGAACCACTATGCCTGGCTAATTTTGTATTTTCAGTAGAGTCGGGGTTTCTACATGTTGGTCAGGCTGGTCTCGAACTCCCAACCTCAGGTGATCTGCCCACCTCAGCTTCCCAAAGTGCTGGGATTACAGGCGTGAGCCACCACGCCTGGCCTTATATAACATTTTTAAACAACAAAACAATCTGAAATAGACTAGTGGTTGCCAGGGGTTGACGGGAAGAGGTGGGAGGGGGGTGGGTGTGGGTATAAAAGGACAAGAGGGGTCTTGGTGGTGATGGAATGGTGAAGATGGAGATGCAAACCTACACATCTAATAAAATTATATAGAATTAAATACACATGTGAGTACAAGTAAAAACGGGGGGAATCTAAAGATCAGTGTGGATTCTGTCAATGTTAATATACTAGTTGTGATTCTTTACTATAGTTCTATAAAATGTTACCATTAAGGGAAACTAGCTGAAGCAGACTAGTTTCTCTCTCTATTGTTTCTTTGCCACATGTGAATCTACAGTTATATCGATAAACATTTCAATTAAAAACAGTAATAAACCACATTGCAAATTCCTCCTGGGTAAGAACTATCCTTAATTTCTATGCTGTTTTTTCACTTCCACTTCCAAATGCCGAGAGCAGCCTCAGATAAGGACATAATCGGAGGTAATTTATTTGTTTCCTGGTTTTCCTGAGGGGACATGAAGTTTACTGACTTCTATAAAAGTAAAATCTATTATTTTGCTATAAATTTTATATTTAAAATGCCATATAAATTCTATGAAATAAAATCTAACAATCCAAATCTCTCTGAAGCACCTGATTAGCTACAACGGACTAAAATCACCTGACAACATCCCCTCCAGCAGGTAAAATGTCACTATGTTTACATAAGAATCAGAGATCTCTGAAATCAACTGTCATCAGGTAGGAATCTCTGCCAAAGAATACTGGCAGATTGAGGCCACAGGACTTCACCAGGTTCTATAACAAAAGCCTTCAGAGCAGCATCACACCACTGTCCCTTGGCCATCCTCTGTTTTGTTTTTAGCATAAAACAGGGAAAGGCAGGAAACAAGCGATGAAAGGCAGTGAAATGGACACGTACCTACACCTGTAGACTAAAAACTGAAAGCCTATACTTATATGCCCTTTGATAACGAAATGTCCTGGCAACCAGGCCAACTGTGTCGCTATTTGTGGGTAGATTTTAATTTAATTTGAGAGGAAAAAAAATTACAAATTCATTAAAAAGTCAGAATTATAGGATATTTTAAATAAAATACAGTTTGAAAGGGCCGGGCATGGTGGCTCACGCCTGGCCTTATATAACATTTTTAAACAACAAAACAATCTGAAATAGACTAGTGGTTGCCAGGGGTTGACGGGAAGAGGTGGGAGGGGGGTGGGTGTGGGTATAAAAGGACAAGAGGGGTCTTGGTGGTGATGGAATGGTGAAGATGGAGATGCAAACCTACACATCTAATAAAATTATATAGAATTAAATACACATGTGAGTACAAGTAAAACCGGGGGAATCTAAAGATCAGTGTGGCCAAACATGGCCAAACCCCGTTTCTACTAAATATATAAAAATTAGGCAGGTGTGGTGGCGCACGTCTCTAATCAGCTACTTGGGAGGCTGAAGCAGGATAATCGCTTGAAACCGGGAGGCGGAGGTTGCAGCGAGCTTGAGATCACGCTGCTGCACTCCAGCCTGGGTGACAGAGCTAGACTCTGTCTACAAAACAAAACAAAACAAAACAAAAAAACATTTTGAGTAATTTCGTATTTTTAAATATACCTTTAACAGCCAAGTACAGTTTTTCAAATCAGTTTGGCTCTACAGAAGCCTGTTACATAATTAGCACAGTAACAGCAGGTTGTGCATAGAAGGAAGTTATTATTTATTTATTTAGAAACAAGGTCTTGCTACGTTGCCCAGGCTGGTCTTGAACTCCTGGACTCCAGTGATTCTCCTACCATGGCCTCCCAAAGTGCTGGAGGCCACGCCCAGCTAATTTTTTGTCTTTTTAGTAGAGACGGGGTTTCACTATGTTGGCCAGGCTGGTCTCAAACTCCTGACCTCGTGATCCACCCACCTTAGCCTCCCAAAGTGCTGGGATTACAGGCGTGAGCCACTGCACCTGGTCAGAAGGAATTTAAATATGCTTTCTATACTATGACTATGGCATTTATTCACTTAAAACAAGACAAACCAAGTTCAGTTCAGCATAGACAGTATTAATAAACATGCCAATTTTTTTCTTTTTTTTTTTTTGAAACAGGGTCTTGCTCTGTCATCCAGGCTGGAGTGCAGTGGTGCAATCTCAGCTCACTGCAACTTCTGCCTCCCAGACTCAGGTGATCTTCCCACCTCAGCCTCCCAAGTAGCTGGGACTATAGGTACATGCCACCATGCCTGGCTAATTTTTAAATTTTTTGTAGAGACAAGGTCTCACTATATTGCCCAGGCTGGTCTCAAACTCCTGCCTCAAGTGATCCTCCTGCTTTGGCCTCCCAAAGTGCTGGGATTACAGGCATAAGCCACCAGAGCCAGCCAGATGACAAATTAAAAAGTCACAAAGAGGCATCTCAATCCGTTTTACCTTGGAAGTAGATTCAGCAAGCCTTTTGGGAGACAGGGTCAGTGACTATAACCTGTGTTCCAGTAATGCTAGCAGTGGTTTGCCTAAGAACTTCTCTCAACTTATAGCCAGACTGAACATGCTCCCTCATCCAGTATCCAGGTCCTACTCTCTCACAATTCAATATGCTCAGGCCAGGCACGGTGGCTCATGCCTGTAATCCCAGCACTTCAGGAGGCCGAAGTGGGTGGATCACTTGAGGTCAGGAGTTTGAGACCAGCCTGGCCAACATGGTGAACTCCGTCTCTACTAAAAATACAAAAATTAGCCCAGTGTGGTGGTGTGCACCTGTAATCCCAGCTACTCAGGAGGCTGAGGCAGAAGAATCGCTTGAACCTGGGAGGTGGAGGCTGAAGTGAGATCACGCCACTGCACTACAGCCTGGGCAACAGAGCAAGACTCTGTCTCTAAAAAATAAAAACAAACAAACAAAAAGAACCCCAAAAGGCTCCATAAAGTCTTCCTTCTCTAAGAAATCTTCAACTAATTAGAGGGAACATATCACCTGCGTCTTTTGGGGGACTATACCCCTACCATTCATTTAAATCTATTTTTTCCCTAAGTTAATAAGGGTATTATCTTATTACAAAAAGTATTTTAGCCTTACAAAATATTTACTTTGGGGACCCATAAATAACATTATTAAATAAAAGTGCTTTAGACGTCAGAATGTACTTGACAGAGAGAACAAAATGAGAAACAGGGATAAACTGGTTAAAAAAAGCAGCTCTCATGTAAATCAGTGGGGAAATATGAGACATGCATAATCCTTTCCATGCCATTAATGTCCACATGCAACTAGTAAATGACAGGAATCATATTTAACTTGCTTTGAATAGCAGCCACCACCTACCGGACTAAATGCAAATATGACATAATGAATTCAGTTTCCAACCTTTGAAACACCTATTACCTAACCACAAGAGCTTTCCAATCAATGAACTCTTCCTGCATGAAAAATCTGGGGTCTCTACAAATGCTCATTAATTTCTATTCCTATCACTGCAGGTGTCTCTGTGTTTTCCCTCTAAATAGTGAACAAATTAAAGACAGAAATAGTTTGTCCCTTGTGGTCCCTTGGGTAGAAGATTCACAGACCTCTACCAATATTAATAATAAAAAATAAAATAATAGTGAAACCATGGCTCACAGCAAAGCACAACATCAACATGTTCTGATTAAATGTCAGTCTGTCTCAGGATCAGAAAACTTGGTTCCATACTTCAGTTTATCTACAAGTTAGCTCTGTGCCCTTGAGCAAGTTATTCAACCCCATTAAGTCTTAGTCTCCTCATCTGTTAAAGAAAACAATAATATCTATCTTAAAGGACAAAAGGGACGAAATGGTACACGCAAGAGCTCCTAGCATAATGCTGGCATATCGGAAATCTTGAGTAAATCCAAGCGATTACTATTTTTTTTTCTGTTTTTTGAGACAAGAGTCTCGCTCTGTCACCCAGGCTGGATTGCAGTGGCGCTATCTCTGCTCACTGGAAGCTCCGCCTCCCAGGTTCACGCCCTTCTCCTGCCTCAGCCTCCCGAGTAGCTAGGACTACAGGGGCCCGCCACCACGCCCGGCTAATTTTTTGTATTTTTAGTAGAGATGGGGTTTCACCGTGTTAGCCAGGATGTTCTCGATCTGACCTCGAGATCCACCAGCCTTGGCCTCCCAAAGTGCTGGGGTTACAGGCGTGAGCCACTGTGCCCGTCCACGATTACTATTAAGCCTAAAACTCATGCTATTTATGTGAATGGCACTTCTAATCCTTCCTCTTGTCTGGTTCATAGACTTTTGGTGAGGTGGAGTAAAAACTGGATTGATGGGGAGTCAGTTTGGGGGAAGAAAGTTTTGTTAACGTGTATTAGTAGCATCAGATTATTTGTTTGCTGAAAGTTTCTGCCTGGTTTGAATATTCACCTTGCTGAAATCACCATTTTAAAAACAGCCATATAATTCTGTGTTCATATGCATCTGTGTGTGGGGCCTCCTTCCTCACAGCGGTAACAACACTGTTACAAAAGGAGAAAAAAGTGCAATGATGCAAGTAAACCTGAACCTTTGTGCAACAACTAAGATCACTTTCGTCTTCTAAATTTTGCTCACTTTCTCTATAAGGCTTTCCACCCCAGCATTAGAAGCTCCAGGCTGGAGCTCTGGTTTTGGAATTTCCCATTTCTGTGGTGTGGGCAAAGTCGACAAGTCTTCACGGGCTTTGGTTGCATCAGTGAGTGAAGAGACTTTACTGCATGATTTATAATGATTCCTTTAGTTCTAAACTTTAATGATCCTAAGACTATATTTAACCTAAAATCATTAACAGACATATGTTAATTTCTCACTTTTTTCAAACCACTTGATTACACAACAAAAAAAAATCCTTATTTATTTTTTTCTTACCCCCAGACTTCTAAAAGACTAAGATTTCAGAAACTTTTGTTATCAAGCAAATCATACCTGGACTTGTAAACGATTTCATTATCTATCCCTGCCTTCCTCCCCAGTAAGAAGGGCAGTAGAGATGGACTGTGCTTTATCTGCATGTTTTTAGTGGAGCTATGGAAAGAAAAATTAAGTAGTGGAAAAGCTACCTTTTTTTTTTTTTTTTTTGAGATGGAGTCTTGCTCTTTTGCCCAGGCTGGCTCAATCTTAGCTCACTGCAGCCTCTGTTTCCCATGTTCAAGCAATTCTCCTGCCTCAGCCTCCTGAGTAGCTGGGACTACAGGCACGTGCCACAACACCCAGCTAATTTTTGTATTTTTAGTAGAGACGGGGTTTCACCACATTGGCCAGGCTAGTCTCGAACTCCTGATCTCAAGTAATATGCCTGCCTGGGCCTCTCAAAGTTCTGGGATTACAAAAAGCTACATTTCTACACTGAAATCCCTTTCTTCTTGGGACTGTGGGATACATCAAAAGACCAAAAGAAAGTTAGGGAAGGTGGGGATAAGCTACAAATTATTCCTTCTTTATACATTTTGTCGACTTAAAACTACAGTTGCCCAACAATTCAAAATCAGAACTGCTTTTCAGATATAAAACAAAACAAAACAGGCTATTCTAAGTTTATTAAAAACCATATCTACTCTTTAATTTCTAATGTTTCATACGATACTAACATATGCCAAAGTATGTCAACTGTTATAAATGTTATCAAAAAAAACTGACTTCAAAAAATAAATGATCTAAGTAAAACATGAAGTTTTCGACTGAATCCACAGGAGCTAAAAGAACAAGCAGTTACACCATTTCAAACATAAAAAGCCTAAATGTGTTTGTTTTCCTTTTAATTTTTATGGAAACATCAGGGGGAAACTGGTTTTCTTTGTTCAGTGTTTATTATTTCACCTTTCCTGCATCAGAAACCAAAATACTTTGATAAATGGGAGAGTCTGGTAAACAGACCCTTGAAGATGAGGGCTCAGAACCACTAATCCATCGCATTTCCATCACTGTTCATTTTTCATGAAATCACTTAACCACCATAACTCAATTTCTTTGCATATAAAAGGGTAACACAGCAACCTTACTCCAATTCATGCTTATATAGAACCAAAAGGGGGCCTATAATAAATGCAAACAAGAAGGGCTGAGAAACCTGGGAAAGAAAACTGAAAGAAGACAGCTGTTCTTCCCAGAAATACAATCATCATATTTACTCCACTGACAGTCTATTTGGCCACTCCTATTTTTATTGCTCCAATCATAGATTATCTCTGCCTGCTGTCAAAACTACTTACAAATACAGTTTTTGCTCCAGAGATCCACGAACACAATTACCAGAAGCAGGCTAAGCCACCGAAGTAGTTTTTCCATACCACCCAGAAGAAAGTAGGCAGTTCCATTCCTGAACTTAAGACACTCAGCATTAAAAAAAGGCCAGTACTTCTTTGTAGCTACCCACACCCAAATGTGCTATAACACGAACTGTTCTTTGTACCTAACATAGTTTCAAGAAAGTATTAAAATAAATAGGCTGATATAAACATGTCTAGTCTGCTTTTTTTTTTTTAATCCAAAAGGGCTTCCCTAAAGACCAAATTTATCTATGCGATTCCAGGAATAGATAATGAATTTTTAAAAAATGTCTAGAAGAACATAAAAAGCTATCAAATGTAATATACAAGCACAGGCATTACTTATGAATATGTGAAATATGAATACTCATTCCCTTCCATAAAGACACACGCCCAGATCTGGAATTCCCCTGAACCACCTGGAAGATCAGGGAGATAAAAGTTCATCTCCACCTCTTCATCCTGTTCCCTTCCCCCTTGCTATTTCCCTCCTCAACACACTAACCTTTCCCTTCTTGAAGGCACCATCATTCAAGAGTCACAAAAGCCATTTATTTAACTTCACTGCTGTTTTATTACTGCCATAGTCTCATTTCCTATTACTTTCTATCACATTTTTCATA
Organism: Homo sapiens; assembly: GCF_000001405.40. Taxonomy (NCBI): domain Eukaryota; kingdom Metazoa; phylum Chordata; class Mammalia; order Primates; family Hominidae; genus Homo; species Homo sapiens. Next base: position 95,201,443 of record NC_000012.12, read on the forward strand.
TATTAGAAGCTAAATATGTTCTTGTGGGCGGGCTGGGAAAGCAACCCCCACTCAGTTATGACTACTGCAAAAATGCATTCCGATTTCCAAACACCCTACTGCTAGGTTTTATCCATTCCTTGACTGAAGGATGATTGTCTGATTACCTTTATATATCAGGTCATTACAAGAAGTGCAAATACTTAGGAGAACATAGTGGGCCCTCCTTGTCACCCTCCCCACTTCTGCCCTTCCCAAAAGACTTACACTGGGGACATTTCTCTAGGACCTAGGTCAGAAATTCACTTTACAAAGCAATGTTTGTCTCACTGATTAACTCAAATTTTATAAAAACAAAATAATCATATCCTTGGCTAAATTTAAGATTTTTAGATCTTTATTATTCAAGAACTTGATGAAAACACAGCAATGGAAAACTAGTTAGCTCTAAAAATAATAATGCAATCTTTTATTCTCCCAAAGTGTGCAAATTTCAGCTATCTCAAAAAAATGTTTTACTAAGCAGGACAGAATACACACACACACACACACACACACACACACACACACACACACACATCTTCTTCTTCCATACATTTTTGTAGTCTATATTTTTTTCTTCTATCTCTAAAAATATGTCTCTAAAAGTGTAGAGTGACAGTCTACCACACAAAAACATACATATGGGCTGGCCGCGGTGAGTCATGCCTGTAATCCCAACACTTTGGGAGGCCGAGGTGGGCTGACTTGAGGTCAGGAGTTCAATACCAGCCTGGCCAACATGGTGAAACCCCATCTCTATTAAAAGTACAAAAAATTAGCTGGGCATAGTGGCAGTGCCTGTAATCCCAGCTACTCAGGAGGCTGAGGCAGGAGAATCTCTTCAACCCAGGAGGTGGAGGTTGCAATAAGCCAAGATTGCACCACTGCACACCAGCCTGGGCGACACAGTGAGACTCCATTTCCCAAAAAATAAAATAAAATAAAATAAAATAAAATAAAATAAAATATCATTTATCTGCTTTGGCAGGAAATGAGACCAAAGTAACACAGCTGGACAAAATACTGCAATTTAATTCCTAATATTTAATTGATACTCTTCATAATACTTATTCCTAATTCCTTTAAAAAAAATTTGTTTCTCCTTTTTTTCATAGAGATAGGGTCTCACCATGTTGCCCAGGCTGGTCTCGAACTCCTGGGCTCGAGCAATCCTCCTGCCTCGGCCTCCCAAAGTGCTGAGATTACAGGTATGAGCCACCATGCCTGGCCCCTAATTCCTTATTAAAAGGAAAAAAGAACAGCTTTATTGCCAAGAAAGAAAACCCAATGCTTCTGCTGCAATTTCAAATGCAGGGTAAGTATGCAAACAAACAGATTTGCCAGAACTGTGTGGCTACAATTCTAACACGAGAAACACAAAGTTAAAGAGGCATACAGATTTTTTACATTTCCTGAGCTGTCTCTGAAAATAACTTACAGGAAAGGGCTGCTGTTGAATATCAGTCCCAACCCCCACCTTCTAACTGTGCATAATCTTAACTGTGCTACGACAACATGGAAATGTTCATAGGCTGTTAATGTATACTCTAATCCTTACATTGAAATCCAACAATACCATGAGGTGGTAAATGTAACCAAAGAGAGAGGTCTTCTAGACTAGGTTTCCTGATTTACAATGAAAATCCCATAATAGGACTTGCAGTGTCATTCAGCAGCTCTTCAAGACCAGTCTCAAATTTAAAATGGGGAGAAACAAAAACTTAGTACTTTCTTTCATCAGAGATGAGGGTATACTGATTCATTTAAAAGAAATAATTTTGAAGTTCAATTTATGTTGAATTCTGGTGCTTGAAGACCAAAAGATAAATCCAAACCTGTCAAATGACAGGCACTTCTGGGCAAAGTTTCAAGGGACAACAATCCACATTTCTGATTCCACTTCCTCTCTTCTCAGTCCCAGTTTGCAATCTGGCTCCTTCTCCAACAGTACCACTAAAACTGCTCTCACCAACATTAAAAAACAACCTCCTAAACACCAGATCTAATCACGCCCATTTAAAAAAGACTTGGTTCAAGTGTTGCCATGTAGGTGATGTTTTCTTTAATACCCTATTCAGGGTACAACTAAGAAAAAGACAACTAATTAGTAAAACCATGTATTATAAATTTCTGTCACCTCAATGGGCAGAAGTTCCTTGGGAGTAGGCATCACTTTTCACCTTTGAAAGTACAATGCTTGACATATGGTCAGTATCTGTGAAATAAATAAATCGAGGGTTTGCTAAGTTGCCTAGGAAAACCCAATTATCATACTTTTTCTTTGAAATATTTATAATAAGAACAAATTGAAACAACACAGGAAAAACTTGGAATGTTTCCAGGGACAGTTTTCTTTATAGAATCAAGAAATCTGCCTCAATTTCAAAAAGGAAATTCCAACATTTGGACACTATTATTTTGCTGATTTGTCTATAGCCCTTGAATAAGGGTTACAGACAAAGGCTCAAAGGCTCAAATTTTAGGAACTTCTCTCTGAACATCAAACTTCTTAAATAAAAATAGTAGTAAATGGGTACCCATCACCTGAATATCAATAAGATAGAAAGATCCTTTGCCTGCTGGCTATTTTATGTTTATTATATCTGAAACATTTCAAGGAAGAGGTCTCATAACTATACTCCCAAAATGTCAGAATAATCCAGAGTGGCTCACAGTTGCACTACCAACAAAACTGCCTCTGAGAACCCGGAGCGGTGACTAAATGATGACCTATCTGGAACACCTAAAGCTATGGTTTCTCCAGCCATGGGAACTTCCCTTCCAGTCTCCTTCATCTTCAGGTTTGGCTGTTCGTCCTTTCTCCTCTGGGGTTTCTCAGTGCCACTCCTTACACCCTCATCCAGTCTCCTCCTCTGGTTTCTTCTACTCACTCTGCCAGGCATCAGAAACTCAATTAGCCGAATGATGCAGTTAGCAAAGGAGAACGGGGAGGGAAAGAGAGAAGGGATTGGAATAAGAAGAAAAGGAGGTAGAGAAACTCACTGCCTACTAATTCCCAGCCACTACCCTACCCTTCCCCCTTATCACTCCTGACGACTTTCAGTCTTCCACACAGCTCACCCAGCCCCCAGTTTCCTCATTCTTCCTTAGTCATCTCATCCTTCCCACAAACCCTGGGGCCCCAGGCCTTGTAGATTTGCTCCTCTGAGATCCCAGGTGCTTAACCCCACCCTGGCTACCGCCTCAGCCCCAGCTTGCATCACAGGGACACACGTGCATGCACGCGCACACACACACACACATACACAGTCAGAGATAATTCACCTCCCTTGGGCTGGGGTAGGGAGAGGAGTGGAGGGGAAGACAGGGCAGTAATGGTTAATATAACCTGCGGACTAAACTGAGGACTTCACCACCATTTCAAAGCTGTTTCTTTGGGAAATACACTCTGAGTTCCAAATTACCATGAACTTTTAGAACACAATCCTTTTAGGAATTGGGGACTGCCTACAACTACTTTCTGATAAATTGTAAACATGTTGTTATAAATTTGTAAATGTAGGCTAGGCATGGTGGCTGACGCCTATAATTCCAGCACTTTGGGAGGCTAAGGCAGGAGGATGTCTTGAGACCAGGAGTTCGAGACTAGCCTGGGCAACAAGGTGAAACCCCATCTCTACAAAAAATACAAAAATTAGATGGGTGTGGTGGCACATGCCTGTGGTACCAGCTACCTGGGAGGCTGAGATGGGAGGATCACTTAACCCCAGGAGGTCAAGGCTACAGTGAGCAGTGATGGTGCCACTGTACTCCAGCCTGGGCAACACAGCATGACTCTGTCTCAAAAAAAAAAAAAGTAAATGGTAAGCAATGGATTTATGAAACATCTATATTCTAAAGAATAAGACCATATGGGCTACACCCAAGCTTGTCAAAAGTCTGTTTACTAACCAGAATTTGGTTGGTCACATGTGTAGACTCTGTAAAATACATGATTCAGTGAATTAGAGCCCTGACCCAGACTTTCTTCCCTGAAGGTTGAGAAACTAAGACACCCTTGTGATGACCCCAGCAGAAAAATCTTAAACAGAGTTCATTTTCACTTTTTCTTATCATTTTAGAACCCCAGTCAGTGTACTGGATTTTGAATTAAGTATTCTAAGGCACAGGTCTGTATTTTCAACAGCGAGATTACCAAACAGGACCCTTTGAGCTCACCTGAAATGTATGCCTCACTGTTCATTTATTTGATCTCAGGGTGTCAAGGTGTCCTCCTCAGGAAGACTTGAATTTCTTTTCTCCTCTATTCAATGTTGTTTACAAGAGGAACAACCTCCCAGGCAATACTGTGATTCTGACCCTATGACTCAGGGCTTTTGATTCCTCTGGCACATTTTAGTAGTCTCAAGCCTGTTGCAGGCTCCCTGCTGCAGGCCTAAACAAAAGTCTCCTTGGAAAGCGAAATTCAAAAGCAAAGCTCACCCAGCTTTTACCAGGCTGCCCTACTTGACAGCCTATAACCTGTCCAAAGCCGCCCTGGTTTCCTGTGGCCTCCAGAAAGAACTCTCCTTATGCCACTGGCTGGCTGCGTCCATTAACCCCTTCTCACCAGCTTCCACCCAGTCGAGTAGCAGGCCCTAACAAACTAAGCAGCATAACAGATAAAAAACAAGCTCCAGGATTGGCAGAGATAATGGTAAGCCCTTAGGGTTTAAGCCTGATGGCCAACAGAAAACACACCCCAATGGCCAAACCTCCAATTTCAAGAAAAAATTGTACTCATTCACAAATAAAGTGATTAAAAAAAAAATTTATCTTAGGCAAGGATAGTAGTACATTGTGAAGAAGCCAACCAAACTTATTACACACAAAAAAATATGCAAAAGCATGTTTAAAAAAAAAAAGGATAGTACCAATAAAATGGTTCTGCAGAGAAGAGCAATCCTGAAAACAGACAATTTGAAATATTTATGCCAAGAACCGGTAGTGGTGGCTCATGCCTGTAATCCCAGCACTTTGGGAGGCTGAGATGGGAGGATCACTTGAGCACAGGAATTTGAGACCAGCCTAGGCAATACAGGGAGACCCTATCTCTACAAAAAATAAAAAATAAAAATCAGCTGGGTGTGGTGGTATGCCCCTGTGGTCCCAGCTACTTGGGAGGCTGAAGGTGGGTGGGGATCACTTGAGCCCAGGAGTTACAGGCTGCGGTAAGCCTTGACTATACAACTGTACTCCACCCTGGGAGACAGAGAGGGGACCCTGTCTCCAAAGAAAAAAAAAAAAAAAAAGAAAAAGAAGTACTTATGCCAAGGAAGGAGCTTTTTGCCTAGGTACTAATATTCAGGAAGCAGAAATATGAAAACAGAATGCAGCTGGCTGTGAGAAAAATTAGACAAGGGAGGAAAGTAGCCATTTTTAGGCAAAAGGAGGAAGGGCAGGAAAGACTGACTACGAGTAAAGAGAAATGCTATGAGAATACCTGACAGTTAAAGGAACTTAAAATAATTTACTTTACTTGGTACGCTGACTTGCTCGACAATTTTATTTATTCAATTCACCCAACAATGCTTTTTTTTTTTTTTGGAGCCCCCAAGATATGCTTTGGCTGTGCCCCCACCCAAATTTCACCTTGAATTGTAGTCCCCATAATCCCTACATGTCGTGGGAGGGACCCGGTGGGAGGTAATTTAATCACGGGGGCGGTTTTCCCCCAAGCTGCTGTTCTAGAGATAGTGAGTGGGTTCTCACAAGATCTGATGGTTCTATAATGGGCTTTTCAATCTTTCGGTCTGCACTTCTCCTTGCTGCCCCCATGTAAAGAAGGATGTGTTTGCTTCCTCTTCCGCCATGATTGTAAGTTTCCTGAGGCCTCCCCAGCCATGCTGAACTGTGAGTCAATTAAACATCTTTCCTTTATAAATTACCCAGTCTTGAGTATGTTTTTATTAGTAGCGTGAGAACGGACTAATACACCCCACTATGTGCCAAGTATTTTCTAGAAAAGTCACATTTCAAGACTTGAATTTCAAAGACCTGAAGTTAGTGGACTAAGAACAATCTAAAGATTTCCAAAAGGGTCCATGTGCTTTTTTGTTAAACACAAACAAACATTAGAAATACAATGGAAAAGCTACCTATGCGACTATGGAGAGAAGGAAGCCGCTGCAGTGGTTGCTCTCTTGGCCTATTTTCATTCATTCTCTCTTAGACCCAATCAACATCTACTGATTCTACTAGGCCTCTTGCTTGGCTTTATCCAGGGCAAAGAGATGACTAGAACTCTTCATGGAGCTTAAAACCAAATACAGAACATCAGACATGCCAATAAATAGTTATACATTAAGACAGCCTGAGATGAAAGGATATCACAGCATAACTGGGTGGTCAGAATAGGAAGTAAACACTTCTGACTAGGTAATTGTAGAAGCTTAATGAAGCCAAAGACTGAGGGGGTGGATTATTGAGGATGGGCACGATTTTAATAAGAGAGATGGAGTAGGTATTCCACAGGTAGGAAGTGCACACACAAAAGTGAGAAATAGGCCCAGTGTAGTGACTCATGCCTGTAATCCCAACCCTTTGGGAGGCAAAGGCAGGAGCAGTGCTTGAGCCCAGGAGTTCAAGACCAGCCTGGGCATGATGGCAAAACCCTGTCTCTACAAAAAATACAAAAATTATCTAGGCATGGTGGCATGCACCTATAGTCCCAGCTACTCAAGGAGGCTGAGATGGGAGGACTCCTTGAGCCTGGGGAGTCGAGGCTGCAGTAAGCCATGATCATACCACTGCACTCCAGCCTGGGTGACAGAGTAAGACCTCATCTCAAAAAAAAAATTTTTTTTTAATTAAATTATTTTAAAAGTGAGAAATAAAGAGTAGTTACGTGTTTCCTGCATTTTTCCTATATCCACTTGAGGTCAGCAATTAGCCATCAACAGGTAAAATGACCAATCTTCAAAGAGTGGTGAACTTCTAAAAATGTGGAGGTTCCACCTGATAAGCGCACCACACGTAAATGCCTACATATTTCAGTAACTTCAGACTTCTTATACCTAGCAAATAAATGTCATTGAATTGGCCAATTTCCTGCCCCAGGTTTCCTGATATGACTTCTGAGCTGGTGTCTGGAGGCCCAGGACCTCTCTGTTCCACGCCTTCCTTGCAGCAGCACCTACATTGCCACTGGTTCAAATTCTTTGAATCGGTTACTAAAATAAATTAACTACTTCAAGCTTGTATTGCAAATACCCATTCCAACTGTATGCTAAAAGGAGGCTGCACTTGAGAATAATTACACATTTTCTAAACTATTCCTTCAACCACGTGTTTTTTTTCCCCCTGCATTCCTAACTCACCAGGCTGTTGAAGGTTAATTGCAATGATGCATGCAAAAGTGTCTGTCTGGCACCTGTTACCTGGAATGCTGATGTCTGGGTCCAAGCTGCAGCTGGCCATCTGGAGCTTCATACGGCTCTTCTACCTCATACACATTTGCATCAGCGTCCTCCATGCTGCTGGAATTCTGCCATTCCAACTCTTGAGTTTTCCGTATAGCCATAATAAATGGCAAGTTCTCGTACTCTGGTATTTCCTCATAATGGCGTATATTTTCATACTCCGGTGCACAGAGGCTTGTAACAGACTTGTAAGGTGCCTGAGATGATGACTCCCGGGAGAGCATTTGGTCATCCAAAGACTCAGCTCTCAGACCATTAGCTGCACTGGTCTGGCCCCGAGACTTCTTCCTCTTCTTTTGAGATTCCAGGCTATAGTTTTCTGTGGAATATGCCTTGATGGGTTTACTTCTCTTCTCCTCTCCTACCAACAAGCCTTGCCAATCACTTTCAATCCCCTTCTGCTCCCCACTGGAGAGGTGGCCTGTGGTGGTGTCTCCGAGTTGGCTACTCTTGGACCAAAATTTTTGAAAGTCACTCTTCATGAAACAGATGGACAGTTTCATGCTGAGCAACTTTTTAAAAGAGTTTTTCTTTGTAGAGTCTTTGCAAGGCTTAGTGCACTTTTCCACATCCATAGCAGATAACGATTTTGCTCTGGGCTTGGTTAGGGCTGTTGAAGGCTCACTGTTTGACGATACGGTGACAGACTTTAAGAATTCTGGGTTCCCTGAAAAGGGTAAAATAGGATGAGGTAACTTCCACACTGGCTTTTCTGAAGCCCGTTTAGGCATATCAAAGGAGGATGACACACCACGGTTTTGGGCACACAAATGCTGAAGGTGATTTCTTTCTAGACTCTTCTCTGAACTTTTTTCTTCACTTGAAGGATAAGAACTTTTTTCCAAAAGCTCCTCGGAGGCAGCCTTTTTAAGCACTCCTGTAGCAGGCAAGCTATGTCTTTGAGGTTTTTTGGGGACAATTCGTAGAGAATTTTCCTCTTTTATAACAGATTCCTTTTGCATTTGAGGGGCAGAAACTCCCAGGTTTCTCCCAGATTGCAAATGTTCATTGCAAGTTAATTTGAGCTGCTTAGGCAGGCTCATAGATACAGTACATCTTATAAAACCGGTCCCTTCGTCCACAGCAAGCGACATACTAGAACCATCTACAGTTGTGCTGTCAGAACTCAAATTAGAGTCTTTATCAAAAGAAGGTGCCATTTTTTCAAAGGAAGTTGTTTCATTACACATGGCTTTCTGTGAATTGACTAAGTCCTGTGCATCACTGTTGGATTCCATATTCAATTCACTTTTATTTCCTAGCTTCATTTTATCCACCTGTTCCTGCTTACACAAAACATTCTGATGCAGAACACTGATTTTATTGATTTTCAAACTATTTTCAGTAAGACAGGAAGAGCTACTGTCTGAATTCCCCGGTTCTTCAGTGCTTTCACTAGGAGTATCTACACACTTTTGGCGTAACAGACGAGCAGTTCGTGTCTTTCTGGGCTTGGGAGTTGGAAATTTTGGGGTATATGGTACTAAATGAATTTCTAAGGGACCAAGGTCTTTGACTTCTGATTTCTTACTAACTCCATCTGAAGATATTAAAGTACTCCTTTTCCCATTTTCCAGAGCCTCTAGTTCAGATGACTGAAAGCAATTATTGCTTTTTTCACTGTCATCCTGGCAAGTTTCAAAATGTTCACATTCATCACTAGGAAGCTGTAAGTGGCAACTGTGATGATCAGGAACTTTTTCAAAGCTGGATGGGGAAGGTGACAAATCCGCAAATTCAATTCTGAATTGTCCATTTGAATTACAGCCACCATTCATTTCTGGGCTGTCTGTGGGCCTGTGCTTCTGTGCAGAAATAAAAGGTGGCATTTGGTGTATTAAGGCATCTTTGAGCTCCTCTTCTAAAACGCTTGCCTTTAAAACAACCCCACCCTGGTTCTTGGCTTTTTCACCATACAAATCACATTTACTCCTAGTTTTTATAGTCAAAGTCTCATCAATTTTACTGTTTTCTAAATTTTCATTCATTTCCAGGGGCTCTAAAACAAGCTGCTTTACACACAAATTCTCTCTATGGCCCAGCTTATGGATACACTCAGAACTGCAGGAACACATTGGTGAAATATAATCATTGCTCTGATTGCCTTCATATTTACAATTAAAGTTGTCAGTGCTTTCAGCTAATTCCTGTTTATGCCCTTCCAGGTTCAACATGATTTTCCTTGATGGCGACTGCCCAATCTCTCGAACAGGTGAGGTCTTCAGGACTTTTGGTTTTGGGGCTATTGCTGGTTTCATTTTCTTTGTCGACTGTGGAACACTAGAAATCACAATGTCGGGTTTAGGTGCAATAGGAGGTGGGGCTGGCTTATTATTTGCCACAACAAACTTGGGCTTGGGGGCCACTGGTGGCTTCTTTATCTCTAGAAAGGAAAAAATAATAATTTGATGTCAAAACAACCAAAGCACAAAATGATACATGATTAAATCTGATAGCATTTTTTATTTTTAACAATATGACCTTGCCTTTTACTGAGTATGTTACATTATATAGTATCAATATTACTCCTGAAAATTCCTTAAATTGTCTTTCAATTCCATACATAGCTTTGGGTCTATTGTACATTTTTAAATAAATCCAATACAGTTTGTTTCTCCAGCTTTGGAACTGTTACCATATCTTTTTTTCTTTTTCTTCTTTTTTTTTTTTTGTGAGACGGAGTCTTGCCCTGTCGCCCAGGCTGGAGTGCAGTGACATGATCTCGGCTCACTGCAACCTCTGCTTCCAGGGTTCAAGTATTTCTCCTGCCTCAGCCTCCTGAGTAGCTGGGATTACAAGTGCGCACCACCACATCCGGCTAAGTTTTGTATTTTTAGTAGAGATGGGGTTTCACCATGTTGATCAGGCTGGTCTCAAACTCCTGACCTCGTGATCCACCCACCTCAGCCTCCCAAAGTGCTGGGATTATAGGCGTGAGCCACCGCGCCCAGCCCATCATATCTTTCATTGACAAAAAATGAGATAATTGACTTCAGTTTGGGACCCACATAGTTGTTCTTCAATTCATTTGCCAAGTGCTGAAAGTTGAATTTGCCTAAGTTAAATGTAGGATGCAGCTCTTTAAACTTCAGATCAATGATCAATGATCTGTCTACCTCGATAGATAGAACCCCAAAACAATATTAAAAAAGGAAGACAGAAATCAGAAATTTTCTAAATTTAAAAACTGAAAATTAATTCTTTGGTATTATTTAAGGCTCATAATAAACCTGGTATTTCTTTCTCCAAGAGTTATTGGTTGGGAATTTTCATTATATTCCTTCACGGAGCTCTATTTTTTAAAAAGTCACATGTCTAGGTCCTACCCTAGAGTGAACTAGTTAGTTTCTGGGGATAGATCCTGGACATCTGTACATCTTTTAAGTTCCACAGGTTATGTTGTTTATCCCTCATTAACATCCACTGTTCTACTACATTTAAAAGATAACTACAATTTCTAGTGTAGCAATTCTTCCTAAACATTATATATAAGGTATTTAACTAACACCTATTATACAATGCTGCATCGGTACAGATCTGCTCCTATACTATAGGAACCTAATAAAAGCTTTACACAACAGACCTATAAAGCGAAAAGATAAATAAAGCCTGTATATCTGTAAGTTCCTTTATGTTCTTCCACCTACACTGTCATATTATTGACCACATTTCCCCAAGGAGACATGTCATAAAAAATATTTTATCTTTTACATTTATATTTGTTCGTTTGACAGGATCTAACACTTAATAAAAACTTAATTTACTGAAAAAACTTTTCAAAATATCTGCTGCAAAGGACTGCTGGACGTTGTTTAATTACTTGAATAGACAGGGGCTCTGATATTTCATTTGGTGATGACTTACTTTTGAACAAAGGAAATTAGTCACGACACTTGGGAAGCTATTACACGGAACTGAGTTTTTTTAAAAAAAAGAGGAGTAGGGTGCTCTACTTCCTTTTACCAACCAAGGAAGAATTCCCTAAATCTCTACTTCTATGTGTGCAATAAAGATTATATGATGTATATGATGATACATGTCCTCTCACTCAATTTCTAGGTATAATGTCATCATCAATAAAAAATTATTTTCAAAATAATGCAAATTCCTATACTACATAATTTCAGTTAGCTGTTCAATCATCATAGTTAATTTTGTCTGAGTTTTTTTTAGGCAGAAAATAACTGAAAAACCCTTCAAATCCTAGTGAGAAACCTAGTTGTAAATGTCTATTAAATCAAACCCTCCATTTAGTAAGTCAAGTCTTAAGAGAAAGTATGAATGCCTTAGGCCTCTTCCCAACGGCCCATCTTACTCAGTACGACTGTCAAGTTGATTTTATTTCTGTAACCATTATCAAAACATCCTACCTCTGGGATTTTTCAAAGAATTTTTTAAAAATTAGTTTTGGCAGCCTGGCATAGTGGCTCATGCCTGTAATCCCAGCACCTTGGGAGGGCAAGGTGGGAGGATTGCTTGAGCTCAGGAATTGGAGACCAGCCTGGGCAACACAGTAAGACTCCGTCTCCATGAAAACAAAAAAAATAGTTTCGTAAAATGAAGAGTTCTTGAGATTGGATGTACCATGTGAATGTACTTAACACTTCTGAACTATACACTTAAAAATGAGTAAGACGGTAAATTTATCTTATGTGCTATTTTACCACAGTTGGAAGAAAACTTCATCTCTCATCAAATTAATCTTTTACTTTCCGTATCTTAGAACCTTGTCAGAAGCTTTAGGGTCATTTAAATATCATTTTTAAAAAATCCCTGGTACCAATTTTACTCTTTTTAAAAAATGCGTTTTGTACACAAATCTGCTTCCAAGAGATATAAATTCCTGTTCTAGTGTCACAGAAATTCAATTAACTACGTATGTGCTGGAGTTGATTCCCAATAAATATAGCAAAGTCCTATTACGTACATAAAACCCTCAACGCATACTCACTGAATTCAATTAATAACTGTGAACTTGGGCTTGCCATTGTTAGTTAACTGTGTATTGAAGGAAGTCACAGACATAACTCAGGGAGCTGGCTAACCTAATTGTGGGCCTTGTACAGACCTGGCTGCCTCACTTTCCTTCCTTATAAATGGGGGAGTTGAACAGGCCTCTAAAGCCCATAGGAATCTGAGATGATAACTTCTGAGACACTCATTTCAGAAGAACCTCATGTACTGTGGCCTCTGTCTCCTGCGTTGATGTTTTTTCAGTTCACCTTTGTCTGTGTTCAGCATAAGACACAAGCTCCAGAAGGGCAGGCACTTTGTCTCATTCACTGATGTATCCCAGTGCTAACAACAGGGCCTGGGAATAATCACAGCTGCCACATACACATACTCTTTAATATGTCTCCATAACAGAAAATTTCTTCTTTAAAAATAATCACATTCAAAAATGTACATCCATTTTAATGTAGAATAATATTTTGAAAAGTTAGCAGGAATCAATTTCAATACGATTATTGAAAAATTCCTTAATTATTAATAGGAACAAGTGTTCAACTAAGTCACTGGTAGAGCAATATCCAAAATCCTTCATTATTTTTTTTTCATGGCTCTATTTTGGAAGAAACACAACTCAAAAAATAATAAGCCATTATATTATGGTCTACTCCAATGTGAAATAAGTGCATGACATTTGGCAATAAATCTAGCACCTTTGGATCTTAATACTGCATCAACAGTCAGACCCAAAGCTTCTTAGAGCAAAGCAGCAAATCTTTTATTTACACAGCTGTTTGGCTCCAGGGAAATATAAGGTAAGAAAGTAAAGCACTAGTACCATTTTACTAACTATTACAAACATACTCGTCATCTGTTACACACAGATGGCTGTGGTTCACGTGTACACTCTCTGGCTACTGGACCAGCCAAAACGCAAAGCACAGACAATGAAGACAGTGACCTGTACATGTTCAAAAGGACACAAAATATATACCTATATATACCTATAATTCTCTCTCCTTTTTTCTTTTTTTTTTTTTTTTTTTGAGATGGAGTCTTGCTCTGTCACCCAGGCTAGAGTGCAGTGGCTCGATCTCGGCTCACCACAACCTCCGCCTCGCTGGCTCAAGCAATTTTCATATCAGCCTCCCGAATAGCTGGGACTACAGGCGCACCCCACCACACCTGGCTAATTTTTGTATTTTTAGTAGAGACAGGGTTTTGCCATGTTGGCCAGGCTGGTCTCAAACTCCTGACCTCAAGTGATCCACCCGCCTTGGCCTCCCAAAGTGATGGAATTACAGGCTTGAGCCACTGCGCCCAGCCTCTCCTTTTTCATATACAGCTTAAAATAATTCTGAAATCTCCACTAAGGGCAGATTATTTTATAGATGTAGAAAAACAAAGCAAGCTTTTCTGCTGGATACATATAACCTAGATGTTCTACAACATTCCTTTTATTTTCTTAAATTAAACCAACCCTTCCAAATACCACAGATTAGATTCAAAAGCAAAAATCCCCTCCCTTAACTTCAAGTAACTTTCCTAAACGTTTCAATGAATTTGACTATTGTTCCCAAAAAGCACCATAATCAGCTTGTAAGAACTATGTATACATATAAGAATGGGTAGAAATAAAACCCCAGTTCTCTTCCATATTCCCCATCTAGACACCAGAAAGAATTATGATAAATCCAACAGATGGGTGAGCAAAAAAGTAGTTGATGCTTCTCAGCCAGCAATGCTAAAAACCAACCAACTCGGCTAGACACAGGAAGTGTCCCACTTTAAACACCACAAAAATTTCTGTGGATTTCTTTAATTGTAAAGTTGATAAAATACAAAAATAGCTTGCATTATTTTAGGATAATTCAAATGCAAGAATCATGAACTTCCAGTCTGGGCCCTAGAAATTGGGTTTACATAAATGTGAAATTACATGCTTCTGTGCCTGTTCCTTATAAACTGTTAAGACTGGAATTGAAAACTGATACATATAAGACACGGTTATTTTAAATACATTTGACACCTCCAAAAAGGAAAGAGCTAAAACTGGCTGGAAGGATTTTAAAATTTCCAACCACTTTTAATTTAAATCAATTTCTTGAACGAAGGTAAGGCACAGAAATGTAGGATGAAAATAATTTACCTTATGTAAGTATAAAGCCTCCCTTTGGCAAAGAAAAGAGAGTTTATAAAGATATCTCATATAAGTGCATATAACATCAAAAAGGAAAGACCCACACAACACCCACTTCTTGCTTTCTTTTCCTATTGGCTAACTTCTTGTTTCGTTTGTTGTAATCTGATCACAGGGAGCAATGCAACACTACAATATATCTAGGCTTTAGAAATAATACAAATCAGAACATTTGAGTGCTGTTGGACAGTTTCAAGTTGCAAGAATTTTAAACAAATGCCAAGAAAAGCAATGAAAATTTAATCTGATACTTAAGTGCTGATTCTGGAAGTAACCTTGAGAAGAAGCTTTAAACTATTTCACTATAAAATTTCTAATGAAAGTTTCAACGTGGACAAAAACGTAAAATAACCCATAACACTCTACTTAATACATAAGTTCTGGTTTAAAAATTAACCTATGTACTTACGAAGTGAACGTAACACCACTTTGGTAATTATTTTGTAAAACAGAAATTGTTCCTTAAGAATGTTCAGAAACACAACGTCTAGAATTGCTGAAAATCCACACAAAGATAGAGGCTTTGTCATTTGGATGAAGGGGAAAGAACTATGGGAGGCAGACAGAAAATAAAGCTTTGTTTACCCTAATCAGGTAGAAACAAACAAAATAATTGTAATTGGGTGCAGACAAGCAAAAAAAAAAAAAAAAAAAAAACCTCAACAATCTCAACTCCTCTGCTTCTCAGGTAACAGAGGTAAAACCACCAGGACATGACAATGTCTACGCCTCTTTAAAATGGGTAAAAGGTTTACCAGCAGATACAAGGTTGAAAGCGACTCACTTAGTGGCCAAATTGAACACGCTGAGAACACTGCCTTTACCTATAATAACTGATCTATTAACTTGGGAATCTACACTATTTTCACATGCAAAGGCGAAGTCCTCGCACTGCTGGAGAGATGAGCGAACGCCCTTCACACATCGCATTTCACCTGGTGCAGAGCCCCCAGCACAGTCCCCCTTGGAAGGGAGATCCCGAGAAATCCCGGGTTTCCAAACAGCCCCTCTGGGCAGGAAAAGACGAGAAAGCCGGCAGCGAATCCCATTAGCTCCGCGCTTGCCGAGGTGCTCGGCAAAGGTACGGGGCACACAACTCGCCCACCCCGGCGAAGAAAGTTGCTCGCGAGCCCAAGCCTAGCAGCGCTCGCCACAAACTTTCCCGCGGCAGCGCGAGCGCCGTCACTTACCGGCTGCAGAAGTCATGATTCCCCGGTGCAGCTCGCTTCCCCGCTCGGCCCCTCAATCCATCTTCCCCTTTCAGTCCATTGTTCCCACAGTTCGGGTAGGAGAGAAAAGCCCCCGCAGCGCCCACATTCCGTCCCGCCGCCCCGCGGCGCAGCCTGAGCGCCACACAAAGGACGCGGCCGACTCTAGCGACCCTGCGGCGCTCCCGGGCGCGAGCCGCCGGGGTCGGGCGGGCGAGCACTAGCACCGCCCCGCAGAGCGGCAGGCTGACAGCCAGGCGCGGGCACGAGCAGTGCTCTCTTCGGCTCCGCTGGCGCGTGCCCTTCTCGGGCTCCAAAAATCAGCAGTGCTCCGGGCGCCCCCTGCTAGTCGCGGCCGTAAAAGGCAGACAAAAGCCCTAGCCTCCTCCAATCGGAGGGCTCGAGCTTCAGCTCGCTCCCGCCTCTCTCGCTTACACGCTCACTCTCTTCTCCAATAAGCGGGCTCGAAAAGGGGGCGTGAGCGGCGAGGCATATTGGGAATTGTAGTTTTCTGGACCCACGGGACGGGCAGGAGCTGGAGCTCCGTGCCGCCTGTACTCCCGCCTTCATTTCCCATCGTGCTGAGGCGGGTGGCATGGCGGAGAAGGATGACACCGGAGTTTGACGAAGAGGTGGTTTTTGAGGTAAGAGGAAAATGGCGGTGGGTGTGGATTGCCTTTGTTTGAGAAGGACGAGACGGAAATCGAGGAAGCAAGGCGTTCCCGGGGCGAGGGATCGGGTGACGCGCTCCAGCTGGCCTCGACCACCGAACCCCAGCGATTTCAGGGCCTAGAGTCCGTCGTCGCCTGACAGGTGTAGCCAGAGGCGCCCTGGCCGTGGCCGGCCTCTATCTCGGGCCCGCCCAGAATTCCCAGACGGTGCCCGGTTGCCAGGCTCTGGGCTGGAGCGGTGTCTCTTCCTTCCTGGGAATGGATGTGCGGCGGGGGGGACTGCGCCCGGCTGGGGCGGGGCCGAATCGTGCCTTTTAGATAGTCACAACTTAGCCTCCTCCTTTTCCATCCGCGATTTTTTTGGGTCAGTATCCAGAGTGCTTCAGGTCACTGTTCACCGTCAAGGCGTGGCCCTCGGAATGAAGGCAGCAGGTGCCCGTTTTCTAACACGGTTTAAAGTCTATTTGTGGGACCTACTGTGGGTAGTTAGGGCCAGGGCATCTCAGCATCTAGATTCGATTCTTTTGTCCTTTGCTGTTGCGCTAGGTGTAGCCAGTTCTTCTGACTCGGGGCTCTAGATGTGAGTGCTTTTGTGTGGGACTATTTTAAGACGTTCTCTGCCATCTTGAATGAAAAAAATCGGGCGAGTGTTTTTGATGCCATTTTTTTCCATCAGACACAGGTCAAAACTCGCACCCCTGTACGTATGTGTATTGCATGTATACGCTTTACTTTCATTTATCCAACTAGATTTTAAGAAAATTTAAAAATGAAGTGGCCCATGCCATACAGCGAGAGAGCGAGGCACAGACAGGACAGAATGCTAAATGTTGAAATATGTACAAACTGTCATTGAAGGATTAATTTCTGTTCTTGCGGCCTCCCAGAGGCTACACCCAGTACGCGATATCCGAGGTGAATCTTTAACTATGAATTGGATTAGAAAAACCGGCAGGAGAAAATGTATTACAGGGAAAGAGAACTGATTATGCCAAGCTTGGGAAGTGTGAAAGTACCTGGTGTGCATTTTTAGGGGGCGGGGTGTGGAGGGTGGCTATGTAAAGTGGCTTGATGTGGCTGCAATGAAGAAGCAGTGGAAAATGTGGCCATTTTACCGAAGTGAAGAGTCTAGATATGAGGCGTTCATTAGGGAAGACAAGGGCCTGAGATGAAATGAGAGACGTAATGGAATAATGGCTTGGACAGACACTTGTAAGTTAAAATCGAGGCAATGTTTATAGATTGAATGTGGTAGCTGAAGGAGAGAGAAATATTTTCTAGAGTAAGGGTAACTGATGGGTGTATTTTTTTTACCCATTATTTTTGATTTCTGAATATAATAGTAATATATGCTCAAGGAACATTTTATTGTAGAAAATAAGCCCCCAAGTTAAAATCATCCATTATCCCACCACCCAAAGATGGTAACTATTAACAGTACGGTATGTGTTCTTATAGACTTTATTTCTATGTAAATGTGTGTTTATGTGTGTGTAATTTTTTAGCCTCTATATTAAGACACAATGTGTGTGTGATATTTTTTAAAACAAAAGGTATACCACGTAGAATTTTGTATATATTTTTCACTTGACTTTATCGTGAATCTTTTCCCATTCATCATTCTCTGAAAACATTAATATTATAATATCCCCTCACGTGTATCATAATATAACCTTTTTTTAAAAAAATACCATTGTAATCAACAGTGATATAAGCCTATTTTTAACTACAACTCTGATTTTCCTCAGAATAATTTTTAGAAGTAGAACTAGTGGGTGAAAGAATATGAACATTTAAGACTTACGCAGAAAGGTTATACCAATTCCGGTTTCCATTAAGAATAAGAGAGTATTGGTTTCACCAAATCCTCAACAACAGCCTTAACAGTTTCCTTTAATCTTTGCTAATTTGATAGGCAAAAATAACATTCCATTGTTTTAATTTACATTTTATGCATTTATACATTTATTAGCTATTTTTATTTCTTTGAACATTTCTCTTCATATTTGTTGCTCATTTTCTTATTAGATGCTAGCTTTAAAAAAATTGACTTGCGTGAGTTCTTCATATATTACTAAGCCTTTGTCATACTTGCAGAAAAATTTCCAGTTTGCTGTTTGTTTGCTCTTTGATATACACAATTTTTATTGCAGTATAATTTACATAAGGACAGGGCACAGATCACAAGTGTGTGGATGGTTATATTTTCACATGTTGAGCACACCCATGTAACCAGCACCCAGATCAAGAAACGGGACAGATGGGGCATGGTGGCTCACACCTGTAATCTCAGCACTTTGGGAGGCTGAGGCAGATGGATCCCTTGAACCCAGGAGTTTGAGATTAGCCTGGACAACATGGTGAAACCCTATCTCTACAAAAAAGACAAAAATTATTTGGGCGTGGTGGCACATGCCTATAGTCCCAGCTACTCGGGAGGCTGAGGTGGGAGAATCACTTGAGCCTGGGTAGGTCAAGGCTGCAGTGAGCCATGATCGCACCGCTGTACTCCAGCCTGGATGACAGAGCCAGACTCTGCCCCAAAAAAATAAAAAATGAAAAAAGAAACAACATCACCAGCACACCAGAAGCTCCCTCCTGGTCCTTTCCATCACTACTCCCTACCCCAAAATGATCACTATTTAAACATAATAACCTAGATTAATTTTGTCTATTTTTATTGTTTAGACACTGTGCATTTCCATTTATATACTCTCTTATTTCTGACTTTTTTTTTTCCTCTCTGGCTTTATTTGTGAGATTCGTCCATATTGTTAACATGAGAATTTTTATTTTGGCATAGTATTCCATGTGAATATATGATCATTTTTAAATTCATTCTTCTATTAATGGTCATTGAGTAGTTCCCAGGTTTAAACTAGTGCTACTGTGAACCTTTTTGTATGTGTTTGGTTAAACATATTTCTGGTGGATATATATGTAGGAATGGAATTGCTGGGTCATAGCAAATACCTAGATATTTCTGTAGATATTGCCAAACTTTATTCCAAAGTGGTTGTACCAGTTTATTCTCCAGCCAGGAATGTATGAGAGGTCCCATTGCCCCACATCCTCATCAACCCTTGCTAATTTTAGTGTTTTTCTTTTTATGATTCTAGGGGCTATGTCCTGGTATCTCCTTGTGGTTTTAATTTGTATTTTCTTGATAAAGATGTTAAGATTTTTAATGTGTTTATTAGCCAATTGTATATCCATTTTGTGAAGCCACGTCAAATTTCTTGCATATTTTTCTATTGGGTTGTTTCTTTTTCTTGCTGATTTGAAGGAATTATTTACATACACTGGATACAAGTCCTTTGTTAGAGATGCAGTTGGCCCTCCTTAGCTGAGAGTTCCACATCTGCAGATTGGACCAACCGTGGCTCACGCCTATAATCCTAGCACTTTGGAAAGCTAAGCCAGGCAGATCACTTGAGGCTAGGAGTTTGAGACCAGCCTGGCCAACATGGCGAAACCCAGTCTCTACTAAAAAATACAAAAACTAGCTGGGCATGGTGGCATGCACCTGTAGTCCCAGCTACTCCAGAGGCTGAGGCATGAGAATCGCTTGAACCCAGGAGGCGGAGGTTGCTCTGGGTGACAGAGTAAGATTCCATCTCAAAAAAAAAAAATAAAGGAAATACTCTGGCCCAGTGAGGTGGCTCATGCCTGTAATCCCAGCACTTTGGGAGGCTAAGGTAGGAATATTGCTTGAAGCCAGGAGTTTAAGACCAGCCTGGTCAACATTAACAAAACCCTGCATATTAAAAAAAAAAAAGAAAAAAATTAACCAGGTGTGGTGATGCATGTCTGTAATGCCAGCTACTCCACAGCCTGAGGCAGAAGATTGCTTGAGCCCAGGAATTTGAGGCTGCAGTGAGCTACAATTCCAGCCTGGGTGACAGAGTGAGACCATATCTCTAAATAAATAAATAAATACTCAAAAATATTCAAAAAATAATACAAATAAAAAAACTATACAGGATAACAACTATTTACATAGTGTTCACATTGTATTAGGTATTACAAATAATCTAGAGATGATTTAAAATATGTGGGAGACTGTGTGTATGTTATATGCAAATACTATGCCATTTTATATAAGGGACTTGAGCATCCATGGACTGGGTATTTGCCCTAGTCCTGTGACCAATTCCCCATGAATAAAGAGACAACTGTATATACCTCATATATCTTACCTTGGGCTATATGTGGCCTCTGCACTCTTTTAATCGTGTCTTTCAATGAACAGAAGCTCCTTATTATAATCCAATTAAACCTTATTCTTTTGTGATTAGTGCTGTTAAAAAAATATTTGCCTACTCTAAGGTCACAAAGATATTTTCTTTAAAAGCTTTATTTGACATTTTCCCATTTAGATCTGTCATCCATCTGGTACTGATTTTTGTATGGTAACAAGTGAAGATCAACATTTTTTTTTCCCCGTATGGATGTCCAGTTGACCTGGCACCATTTACTGAACAGATCATTTTTTCCCCACTGAACTGTAGTGTTGCCTTTGTCATAAATCAGGGAATCTTTTATGTGTAGATCTCTTTCTGGACACTGTCTTCTTTGCCATTGATCATTTTGTCTATTCGTGTGTTAATACCACATTATTTTAATTACTATAATTTAAAAAATAGGTTTTAATATCTGATAGCATAAGACCCTTCAGCTGTATTTTTCTTCAGGATTGCCTTTGGCTATTCTTGGCCCATTATATTTCCATATAAATTTTAGAATCAGCCTGTCAGTTTTTGTAAAAAAATAAAAAATAAAAATAAAAAAACCCTACTGAGACTTTGATTGAAATTGCTTTGAAGCTATAAATTAATCTGGGGAAACTTAACATCTTTACAATCAATATTGAATCTTCCAATCCGTGAACATTTATTGCTTGCCTTCTAAATGAATCAAGCAACTTCTCATCTCGTTCTGTGCTCTAGGACTGATTTTACAAAATGAGAATTATCTGTTTCTTCAGAGTATAGCTAAATTGGCCTTTCCTGGGGAAAAGAGACTGAATGTTGTCTATCAGCTCAATTTCTTTTATGGTTATTGCTCAGGTACAATTTTCTATTTTGATAACTTTTTTATTCTGAAAGGCAGTGTAATATAGTTAAAGATATGGGCTCTGGAGCTGGATAACCTAAGAAATCCTAGGTCAGCTATTTATTAGTTATATTAGTTAATGTGACTTTGAGCAGGTTACTTAACTTGTCTAAGCTTCAGTTTTCTCCATATTAAATAAAAATAACAGTAACTATCTCGTAAGGTAGTTATGAGTACTAAATGATTTAATATAAGTGAATTACTTAGATGAGTACCTGACACATTGTAAACACTCAGTAAATGTTACCTTTTATTAAATTTTTCCAACAAATTGCTTTTTATCTAGGTTTTCAAAATTATTGATATATTCTTAGTAGTCTCTTTAGTTTCATTTATAGCACAAATTAGATCTGATTGTTGTTATGTTTTTCTTTTTGTTTTGCATAGATGTGCTGGAGTTTCAACTTACCAGATAGACTTTTCTTTTTTTTGAGACAGAGTTCCACTCTGTTAGCCTTGTCGCCCAGGCTGGAGTGCAATGGCAGGATCTTGGCTTGCTGCAACCTCTGCCTCCTGGGTTCAAGCAATTCTCCTGCCTCAGCCTCCCGAGTAGCTGGGATTACAGGCACCCATCACCATGCCCAGCTAATTTTTGTATTTCTAGTAGAGATGGGGTTTCACCATGTTGGCCAGGCTGGTCTTGAACTCCTGACCTCGGGTGATCCACCCACCTCGGCCTACCAAAGTGCTGGGATTACAGATGTGAGCCACCGTGCCTGGCCTCAGGTAGACTTTTCAAAAAACTAGTTGGTTTTGTTTGGTCAGTTCTATTGAATTTGTTTGTGGTTTTAAATTTTTTTAAAATTTCTACTTTTATCTATTTCCATTCATCTATTTGTGTTTATTTTGCTATTTTTGTTCTGTTTTTTTTAGCTTCTTGAGTTAAAAACCTAAATGCCCAAAATAACTTGTAAGGCTATAAATTTCCCTGAGTATTGCTTCAGTTGTATCACGAAAGTTTTGAAATGTAGTTTGTCTCATGGTTGTATAAGTTCCATTTTTATTTCTTATTTAATACCCAAGTATATAGTTGAGGGATTGATGTTATCATTGGTGATTATTTTTCTCCCTGTGTCCCTCAGACCCATAATTCCACCCTGATCATTATGGACTGCATCACTGCATTCCCTTGTCCTCTGGGTTCCATTTAGGTTCGGCCAGTGGGAAGGACCTGCAGATCAGAGGATGGAGGAAAGAGCGCCAGAGAGGTTTGGGTGTTTCTTGTCTGAATTCTTTCCCTCTACGGCTACTATTTGTTAGTGATTGCATTCCTGTACCTAAAGCCACAACTTTTTTTTTTTTTTTGACAGGGTCTTGCACTGTTGCCTAGGCTGGAATGCAGTGTTAACCATCATAACTCACTGCAGCCTCCAACTCCTGGCTCAGGTGATCCTACCACTTCAGCCTCTCAAGTAGCTGGGACTACAGGCAGGTGCCACCATGTCCAGCTAACCTGTAACTCTTATCACGGGATTCTTCTTGGGAAAGGCTAGGAGCAGCCATCTTATTTCCTGTGTTTGGGCTTTACCACCTATGAGACCTGTAACCCCCTCTACCCCTATTACCACTTTCATTCAACTTAGATCTCAGGCCACTGACTGAGAAAGGCCTTCTTTTGAAGAGCTGAAAGCTTGTAAGGCATGTTTTCTTGCCATCTACCACTTGATTACTCAGCCAGTGGAACATATTTCAGGTTCTGCTGAGTCAGCCCTACTTCTAGATACTAAGTACTGTGTCACCCATACATCCTAATGCACAGTGACTGGTTTTTGGCACCAGGGACTTGTTTCGTGGAAGACAGTTTTTCCAGATGGAGGATGGTTTCAGGATGAAACTGTTCCACCTGAGATCATCAGGCATTAGTTAGATTCTCATAAGGAGCTCACAACCTAGATCTCTCACATGCACATTTCACAATAGGGTTCCTGCTCCTATGAGAATCTAATGCTGCCACTGATCTGACAGGAGGCGGAGCTCTGATAGTAACGCTTGCTCACCCACTGGCCCACCATCCTGCTGGCCTCGGGCTGTATTCCTAACAGGCCATGGACCGGTACCAGTGCTGTGCAGGCCTGGGGGTTGAGGACCCCTGTTAATGCAGTAAACAGGAACCTGTCTATGTGCCATAAGCAGAAAGGAATTTAACATAGGGAATTAATGGTTAGATTATCATCGGAAGGCCTACAGGATCAAGCTCTATCAAAGTTGCTATATGCTCATGAAGACAAGAGCACGTGATCATGATCATAGTTACAATCCAGGAATTAGAAGCCATCACCACTTTGGGAGTCCGAGGCGGGCGGATCACCAGGTCAGGAGATTGAGACCTTCCTGGCTAATGCTGTGAAACCCCATCTCTAGTAAAAATACAAAAAGAAATTAGCCGGGCTTGGTGGCGGGCGCCTGTAGTCCCAGCTACTCGGGAGGCTGAGGCAGGAGAATGGCGTAAACCCAGGAGGCTGAGCTTGCAGTGAGCCAAGATCGCGCCACTGCACTCCAGCGTGGGCGATAGAGCAAGACTCTGTCTCAAACAAAACAAAACAAAACAAAACAAAACAAAAGCCATCACCACATCTGCCTCTCAATAACCTAACAAAGTGATACCTTGGTATTGGAACTTGGAGTCTCTCCACTGTCTCTACCACACCTGCAGCTGTGTTATCAAGAAGCTGGAGAATCCATATTGGAATACTGCTATAGAAACATTTTGCCTCCACAGCTTTGTTTCATAGCAAAAAAAAAAAAAAAAAAAAAAAAAAAAAAAAGAGAGAGAAGGATGGAGGGAAGAGAAGGAATGAGAGAACAGACAAATGAAAGAACAAGGCCAGCAGTGGGGGGATCACTTGAGGCCAGCAGTTTGAGACCAGCTTGGGCAATATAGAGAGACCTTGTTTCTACAAAAAATTATTTTAAAGAATTAGCTGGGCATGGTGGCATGCATCTCTAGCCCTAGCTACTCAGGAGGCTGACGCAGGAGGATTGCTTAAACCCAGGAGTTCAAGGCTGTGATGAGCTTTGATGAGGCCACTGCACTCTGCCTTGGTGACAGATTGAGACTTTGCCTTTATTTAAAAAAAAAAAAAAAAAAGAACAGTTGAAACAAAAGCCAAAGAAGCAAAAAGTGGACTTCTGCTCTTCTTCCACCTTCCAAATCTCTTACACCATACACCTACTTGGGGAAACCCTGATTTATATCTAGAATCCTAGCTGCAAGATAATTTGGGAAATTTCAGATGTAGCTTTCCTGCCTCTGTAACACAAGAGATACATTGGAAGAAGGATTATAGAATAGAGATTGAACAAGCCAAGCCAATTTACCATATCTATCTTAGGGCTGAACCTCTCTTCCCCTAAGAAAATTTAACTGTGATTTTTTTTTTTTTGGTATATTTGTTGTAATACTGTTATTTTAATGATCTTCAGATAGAAATCAGAGTCATTCATGTATTGAGACTTACCTAGAGAATTACATGCTGCATGAAAGTTAAAAACTTAAATCATGCAGAGTTTTGGATAATATTCCAACAACATCCCTTCCCTTAAAACAAACTCTTTGAGGTATCTTGTTTTAATTTCTGTTTCTTGGATTATTTGTAAATTTTACTGTACTATATTTTGGGTCATTTGTATTTCTCCTTCCAGTGATCACTTTGAGTCCTCTTAGTCTGAGAGGACTAGATGTGCACTGAAAGATGATAATATAAGAGAAGGACTAAGGGAGGAAAGAAAGAGTGAAGTGCCCAGGCCCAATTCCCATTTCTTGCCCTAGAATCTGATTACCCATTTTATCAGAGCTAGATTCCGTATGTACTTTCAATGTTAATTCCATTATATTGGAGCCTGACTCCTCCTCCTATAAGATCATTTGTTTTAATTAGAATCTTCTACCATCATTCTACTCTAAGAGGCTGAATTGAGAAGGACAGTATAACCTCAGTCTTGGACCTCTCAGGCTAAACAGCAACAGAACAAAGTTTAGAAAATGATGGATACTATGTCTAATGTGAATATTAACAAAATAAGCATGAAATACCAAGATTGTTGTTTTACTCTGTTATCGTCATCATTAATTACAGTGTTTTGAGAGTAAGAATTCTCCAATTACTTTAGAAAGGTATTAAAGTTCTGATGTTGCTTTCTTAACTGTTTTTTAGACAGGGTCTCACTCTGTCACCAGGCTGGCCTCCAATAGAACAATCACTGTTCACTGCAGCCTCCACTTCCCAGGCTCAGGTGATTATCTCATCTCAGCCTCCCAAGTAGCTGGGACTACAGGCATGTGCCATCATGCCCTACTAATTTTTTCTTTTTTTTTTTTTTTTTTGAGATGGAATTTTGTTTTGCTCTTGTCGCCCAGGCTGGAGTGCAATGGCGTGATCTCGGGTCACTGCAACCTCCACCTCCCGGGTTCAAGCGATTCTCCTGCCTCAGCCTCCCAAGTAGCTGGGATTACAGGTGCATGCCACCACACCCTGCTAATTTTTGTATTTTTAGTAGAGATGGGGTTTCGCCATGTTGGCCAGGCTTGTCTCGAACTCCTGACCTCAGGTGATCCATCCGCCTCGGCTTCCCAAAGTGCTGGGATTATAGGCATGAGCCACCATGCCCGGCCAATTTTTTGTATTTTTTGCAGAGAGTGGGTTTTGACATGTTGCCCAGGTTCAAGTGATTGTTCTGCCTCGGCCTCCCAAAGTGCTGGGATTACAGACATGAACGACTGCACCGGGCCTTAAATTTTAATTGCAGAAACTTCAGGTCATCTGTCTTAAACCTTGCTATTCCTAGAGGGAAGAGTGCCTGGAAATAAGACTTTTTAAATCTGAAAGACTAATTTTTCTGCCTCTTTGCATCATTTGAAGTTCATTTAAACCATTCCTTTGTAACTTTCTTCTAGTAGGGACAATGTTGTATTAAAGGGATCTTTTACTCAAATCTCTTGCCTTGGTAACCTTATCCTCTGTAGGTGAACTCGTTACTGTTTTTGGTGTTTGTTTAAATTCCTTCTTCCTCTTTTCTTTTCTTCCTGGCTGAGAAAGATAATTTTTGCCCATTTTGTCATGATTTCTTTTTCTCCTACTTCTTTCATACTTCTGTGTAAGTTATTAAATGTTAACCCTTTGTTGGCAGTATGTTCAGCTTTCGCCCTTTTCTCCCATAGCATTTAATCAGTTAAATGAAAGGAAATGACTCTCACAAAACCTTTCACATTTAAAAGGAAGTTTTAAAAAATTTCTCTCTTCCTCGAGAGATTCCCTTTTCTTTGTATTTTTAAAAGTTATTATGCATCTCTGAGGAACATGAAGGTACTTTTTCCCTAAGTAATAATTGTAGATTCTTTCTTACTTGTATTATTGATTTGACCAATGGAAGAATATTGTTTTTGTCTGTGAACATATACATGGACAGTATTTGCTATTTTGATAATGGAGCTTCCTGTCTAGAATAATTATACATATAAAATTTAAGGTATTATTATATCATTTAATTTTTTTTAATATATCCTGAGTTTCAGTTTGTCAAACATAAAGCCCTAAATTGTATTATTTAAAATAATCTTGTTCCAAGTAGTAGCTGAGATTAGAAGTATAGCAAAATTCATGCTATCACTATCTATAATAGGAATAATATTTATTAATAGTGCTATTAAATCACAACTCTATTGACATCAAAGATTGACCATTAAGACCAAGTCTAGCCAGATATGGTAGTTCACACCTGTAATCCCAACAATTTAGGAGGCTGCGGTTAGAAGATCACATGAACTCAGGAGTTCAAAACCAGCCTGGGCAACATAGTGAGACCCTGTCTCTACAGAAAATGTAAAAATTGGCCAGTGTGGTGGCATGTACCTGCAGTGCAACCTGCTTCGGGGCTGAGGTGGGAGGATTGCTTGAGCCCAGGAGGTTGAGGCTGCAGTGAGCTGTGATTTCAGCACTGCACTCCAGCCTGGGCATTGAAATAAGACCCTTTCTCAAAACAAAAACAAAAACAAAACACCAACTCTGGTTTATAACCAAGATATGCAAGAAGAAATTCCATGTTTAATATGAATTATAAAAATTATTCTTGGGGAACAAGTCTGCTTTTTTTTCTGCTTATGTTGTGTCATTTCTTCTGTTTTGGCTTCTTCACAGATCCTTGGGGCTCCAGTTTAGATTAAAATTTTGTTTCTGTTTTATGTCTAAACATTCAAGAAAAGTAGGTAGTTCTCTCTTTTATGTATTTTTTATTGCATTTATTAAAATGTAAGTCCATTTGTCTCAAGCTATGACACACACAGTGCCTACATTATTTTTTTTAGTTACCTTGGTATTTTATGTGCAGCTATATTGAAGGTTTTCATTTTTTTAAAAGCATTGTGGAAAGAGGACCAGACGAGGAGTCAAGAGACTGACTGACATAAATTAGCAATGAAATTCTGAATAAATCACTTAATTTCTCTAGAGCTTGTTTCCCAGGATCATCCTTTATACCATATCATCCTTTGGTATGAAATTTTTCTTAAATCCATTCTAGGGGATCGGAAACTATCTAGTGGGTTGAGTAAATGAGAGTAGGCCCTTAGAGGCTTCCATTAATTAGGAAATACAGGAAAAGAATCTATTCATTTCCAGTCTCTTTTTATATTAGAAATCCTGACTCAATTTTAGTTTTCCCTGGTTCTGTACCAGGTGTTCTCTGAGTTCCTAGAAGCAAATCATGCCTTAAGGATTTAGGAGAAAAGGCCCAAAGCTCAGTGTACTCGACAGGGGCACAGTGTTAGAAAGTGTACTAACTTCGACCAGATGTGGTGGCTCATGCCTGTAATCCCAGCACTTTCAGAGGGTGAGGCAGGCGGATCGCCTGGGGTCAGGAGTTCGAGATCAGCCTGGCCAACATGGTGAAACCCCATCTCTACTAAAAATGCAAAAATTAGCAGGCTGTTACAAATGCAAAAATTACAGCTGGTGCCTGTAATCCCAGCTACTCGGGAGGCTGACGTAGGAGAATTGCTTGAACCCAGGAGATGGAGGTTGCAGCGAGCTGAGATCACACCACTGCACTCCAGCCTGGGCAACAGAGAGAGATTCCGTCTCAAAAAAAAAAAAAAAAAAACGAAGTGTACTAACTTCATTGCCTCTGGATTTTTTGAGTATTGCTTATAGTATACATTGAGACTTCCTGTTGTTATTATTCCCACTATAGGAAATCAGTGTGCCCATTACTTTTTATTTGAAACAATATATTTGAGGACATCATTTATTTTAAAATCTGCATTGTAATTTATGTAGTTGACAGAATATAGCCTCCTATCTCTTATTGTTGAGGTTTTTGCTGATTAAGCCACAACTTTTAATATTATCTCATTAAGATCTTTATTAAAATGGATTTTTTTTTCTTTTTTCTTTTTCTTTCTTTTTTTTTTTTGAGACAGTCTCACTCTGTCAACCCAGGCTGGAGTGCAAGTATTGCAATCATAGCTCACTGCAGCCTTGAACTCCTAGGCTCCAGCTATCCTCTCCTCTCACCTCATCCTGTGTGAGCCATTGTGTCCAGTTATCTCTCCTTTTTTTTTTTTTTTTATTTATTTTGGGATAAGAAGCAAAGGAAATAAAGTTGGATGTTATCTCTTAATATCCAAACATTATATTAAAGTTTACTGCATGCTCTCCTCACATCCAACATTTTGCCAATTGTGTTTGATCTTCTGGCCTTTGTCTTAAAGCAGTTGAAAATGAAGTTTTGCTTCCTCTCCTTGCTTCTGCTCTGCATTCATTTAAGTGACCGATGTGTGCCAGTTAATTAGCTAGATTTCAAATAATATTTAAAGTAGCATCAGAACCAAGGGGATATCAATCTACCATTGCTGACTTCTCTCCATTTAGTTAAGACAATCCACTGCTGTCCTTGCTTTTTAGTCAATAGAGTATAAAAGCTGTGTAAGTCAGTTTTCTCCCATTGCATCTCTTAGTCTTCTGATGGGTATGTTTGATTTTTATTTAGATTTTGGACGTAGGTAGTATTGCACTTGAGTATCTTTGTACTGTTGTATAAAAAATCTTAAGGTTACTCTTTTTAAAAATGTTTGCTATTTATTACATCTCATATCAGAATCATTGGATAGGATTTCAGCGGAAAATATTAGAAGCCTGCAGCCAGACAAACTTCTTAATATATGTGTCTTACTTTTTCTTGGTTTATTTAAAAACTTTTAAATAAACACTAATACTAAAAACATCCTTTGAAGGCGTTTTTAAAACTCCAGTATTCCTATTACCTTTGTCTGTAGTTGCTGAGTAATAACAGCACTGAAGAAATAATGTTCAGATTTTTTTTCAGAGGGCTGCTTCTGATAGGAAAATGCTTAGTAATGACAGAGGCACGCCCTCCAATTCAGTGGCCATTTTGTACTGTGGTTCTTCTGGAGAAACAAGTGGGAATCATCAAAGAAAGAAATGTATGGATAAAAAAGAATATGGACAAGAGGCAGTAAATTTTTCATTTAGGTCAACTGGAGAAATTAGAACCATGCTATCTGTGAGTAGTTTAATTAGTTGGACCAATTTTAATGGACCCTTTTAGCTTAATCTCTTTAAATTCTATGATTAGATTTTACTTTGCTGATTAATTAATTAATGCTTGAATTTGGGGCTTTGGTATATTAATTTAGATATTATGTTGAAATGTGTAAGCTCCGAAAAGCATTTCCTATTATTTTATATCTTTAATATCCTATGATATTATCTAAGGTTTAAGGGAGATAAAGGCACGAAGTAGTTAATTTCAGATTATATTTTGTGATTGCGTACTGAATTAAAGATAAGTGAAAAGGCTATATAGAAATTTACTACATTGGCAATACAATTATGGGGAAATTTATTTTCCATGATGGGGTTTTGTTAATTTTGACAGAGATTTAGCCTTTTAAGTAGATTCCTCATTAAAAATTGAGAAAAATCACTGCCTTTTATAATTTGTTAATAGTCTTACTCATCACTTTATTTTGTGATACTCTGCAGCTAGCCTGGAAAAACATGGAAATCATAGCAATTAACAACAGGAGTTTAATCCTTTTTAGTGGTATTTTCCAAAAACAATATATTGTTGTTCTATATGTGATAGTCACATTTAGACCTATAGCTTTAAGCTATATTCAAAGATAAAAGGTTTTTTTAAATGCTTTAAAATAACACATAATTTTCAGGCAGATATTTTCCCATCAAATCCCTTTAGTTGCAGATACCTTTTCCCTAGAGATTTTATTTTGAATTAAAGATCTTTTAGAGGTTCTGTTGGCATGGTAGAAACTTTAAAAAATATGTAATTTACATGGTAGTATGTAGAGAACACTTTTTTTCCAGAGAAATTACAAGTTGGTACAAACTTGAGGAAAAGTTACGTATAACTTGGTGAATTCTGTAACTTGGGAATGGAAATCAAAGGCTTTTTGATCCTTTGAACCAGAATAAGCACAGATTCATATAGGTGGGAAGTCTGTGTTAACAAAATTACTTCTCAAACATTACACAGTTTCGGGCTTTTGTGCCAATGCTTTGTGCCTCATACTCTCTTCTCTGTTAGTAGCTAGTGTGCCTGTGTTTTCTTGTTGCTTTTTGTGTTTAATATGGACTGCATGGCCCAAATGACATCTGACATCTGACAATAGTTAGCATTTTGCCAAACCTGATAGTGTGGTTTAGATATCATACTGACATTTTAAATAAAGGAATGTATAATAGTTGAAGTAGAGCATTAGTTTTTGGGTTGGTTTGGTTTGGGTTTTTTTGTTCGTTTGTTTTGTTTTTTGGGTTTTTTGAGACAGAGTCTCACTCTGTCGCCCAGGCTGGAGTGCAGTGACGCAATCTCGGCTCACTGCATCCTCTACTTCCCAAGCTCAAGCGGTCCTCCTGCCTCAGCCTCCTGAGTTGCTAAGAGCACAGGTGTGTACCACCATGTTTGACTAATTTTTGTATTTTTTGTGGAGACAGGGTTTTGCCATGTTGCTCAGACTGGTCTCAAATTCCTTGGCTCAAGTGATCTGCATGGCTTGACCTCCCAAAGTGCTGGGATTATAGGGGTGAGCCACTGCATCCACCCCATTGTTAGTTTTTATATGGGAAAGTGTATTGGCTCATTTTATTCATTTACTAAATTCTCATGTAATTAGGTACCTTCTTTTTTCTTTTTCTTTTTTTTTTCTTAGCAGACCTTAACTATGTTTTTCCACACAGATAACACATGAATATGTTCTCATTGTAAAACATTCACATAATACAGGGAAAGGATCAGCTCTCCCTTAATCCCCCTTTTCCTTTGCAGGTCCACCTTTCTCCACAGAAGTACCACTGTAATCACTTTCGTATATTTTCTTTTTTAAATTATTTTTTATTTTTATTTTTTATGTTTTTTGAGACAGAGTCTCACTCTCTTGCCGAGGCTGGAGTGCAGTGGCACAATCTTGGCTCACTGCAACCTCCGCCTCCCAGGTTCAAGTGATTCTCCCACCTCAGCCTCCCAAGTAGCTGGGACTACAGGTGTGTGCCACCACGCCTGGCTAATTTTTTTGTATTTTTAGTACACACAAGGTTTCACCATGTTGGCCAGGCTGGTCTCAAACTCCTGGCCTCAAGTGATCCCCCCACCTCGGCCTCCCAAAGTGCTGAGATTATAGGTGTGAGCCACTGTGCCTGGCCAATGTTGGTATATTTTCTTTCAGATTATTCTCAGCGCAATTACATTCATCTATATGTGTATGTGTATATATATATATGTGTGTGACATACATAAATATATTGTATAATTCCATTTTGTGGGTTTTTTAAAACACAAATGGGGTTTTTAAATGGCTAGTACTAGTCGATATTCTTGTATGTATATTTGGCATACTTTTATAATTGTATTCATAGACTGGAAGCTTAGTGGTAAAATTGCTAGGTCAACGGATATTTGCATTTATATTTTTATACCTATACTCCCACTAATAGTGTATGATGTATCTGTATTCCAACGTTGCCAAAACTGAGTATTCTCAGACTTCTTAATTATTGCCAACTAATAGGTAAAAATTGTGTCTTTGTTTCAATTTGCATTTCTTCAAAGGTGAAGTTTAACATGTTTTCATTCATATTGACCCATTTGTATTTTTTTCTTTGAACTGCTTCTTTATATCCTTTACCCATTTCTACAATTTAAAAAAATATTATTACTGGTTTATGTGGCCTTATTGTAAATTAAAAAACTGTTGCATCATGTTAGCCAAATTTTCTATCAATAATCTTTTTTTTTTTTTTTTTTTTGAGACAGAGTTTCGCTCTTGGCCCCCAGGCTAGAGTGCAATGGCGCGATCTGGGCTCACCGCAACCTCCCCGCCGGCCGGGTTCAAGCGATTCTCCTGCCTCAGCCTGCCGAGTAGCTGGGATTACAGGCATGCGCCACCACCCCCGGCTAATTTTTTTGTATTTTTTTAGTAGAGGCAGGGTTTCTCCATGGTGGTCAGGCTGGGTCTTGAACACCTAACCCCAGGTGATTTGCCCGCCTCAGCCTCCGAAAGTGCTGGGATTACAGACATGAGCCACCGCGCCAGGCTTCCATTTTCAGTGAGTTGTTTTTAAAACACATTAAGCTAGTTTTGAAAGTAGTTTTGTTTTTTTTGTTTTTTATTTATTTATTTATTTATTTTTTAATTGATCATTCTTGGGTGTGATTTGGCAGGGTCACAGGACAGTAGTGGAGGGAAGGTCAGCAGATAAACAAGTGAACAAAGGTCTCTGGTTTTCCTAGGCAGAGGACCCTGCGGCCTTCCGCAGTGTTTGTGTCCCTGGGTGCTTGAGATTAGGGAGTGGTAATGACTCTTAAGGAGCATGCTGCCTTCAAGCATCTGTTTAACAAAGCACATCTTGCACCGCCCTTAATCCATTCAACCCTGAGTGGACACAGCACATGTTTCAGAGAGCACAGGGTTGGGGGTAAGGTCACAGATCAACAGGATCCCAAGGCAGAAGAATTTTTCTTAGTACAGAACAAAATGAAAAGTCTCCCATGTCTACCTCTTTCTACACAGACACGGCAACCATCCGATTTCTCAATCTTTTCCCCACCTTTCCCCCCTTTCTATTCCACAAAACCGCCATTGTCATCATGGCCCGTTCTCAACGAGCTGTTGGGTACACCTCCCAGACGGGGTGGTGGCCGGGCAGAGGGGCTCCTCACTTCCCAGTAGGGGCGGCCGGGCAGAGGCGCCCCTCACCTCCCGGACAGGGCGGCTGGCCGGGCGGGGGCTGACCCCCACCCACCTCCCTCCCGGACGGGGCGGCTGGCCGGGCAGAGGGGCTCCTCACTTCCCAGTAGGGGCGGCCGGGCAGAGGCGCCCCTCACCTCCCGGACGGGGCGGCTGGCTGGGCGGGAGGCTGACCTCCCCACCTCCCTCCCGGACGGGGCGGCTGGCCGGGCAGAGGGGCTCCTCACTTCCCAGTAGGGGCGGCCGGGCAGAGGCGCCCCTCACCTCCCGGACGGGGCAGCTGGCCGGGCGGGGGGCTGACCCCCCGACCTCCCTCCCGGACGGGGCGGCTGGCCGGGCAGAGGGGCTCCTCACTTCCCAGTAGGGCCGGCCGGGCAGAGGCACCCCTCACCTCCCGGATGGGGCGGCTGGCCGGGCGGGGGGCTGACCCCCACCTCCCTCCCGGACGGGGCGGCTGGCCGGGCGGGGGGCTGACCCCCACCTCCCTCCCGGACGGGGTGGTTGCCGGCCGGAGACGCTCCTCACTTCCCAGACGGGGTGGCTGCCGGGCAGAGGGGCTCCTCACTTCTCAGACGGGGCGGCTGCCGGGCAGAGACGCTCCTCACATCCCAGACGGGGTGGCAGGGCAGAGGCGCTCCCCACATCTCAGACGATGGGCAGCCGGGCAGAGACGCTCCTCACTTCCTAGATGGGATGGCGGCCGGGAAGAGGCGCTCCTCACTTCCTAGATGGGATGGCAGCCGGGCAGAGACGCTCCTCACTTCCCAGACGGGGTGGCGGCTGGGCAGAGGCTGCAATCTCGGCACTTTGGGAGGCCAAGGCAGGCGGCTGGGAGGTGGAGGTTGTAGCGAGCCGAGATCACGCCACTGCACTCCAGCCTGGGCACCATTGAGCACTGAGTGAACGAGACTCCGTCTGCAATCACGGCACCTTGGGAGGCCGAGGCTGGCGGATCACTCGCGGTTAGGAGCTGGAGACCAGCCCGGCCAACACAGCGAAACCCCGTCTCCACCCAAAAAATACGAAAACCAGTCAGGCGTGGCGGCGCGCGCCTGTAATCGCAGGCACTGGGCAGGCTGAGGCAGGAGAATCAGGCAGGGAGGTTGCAGTGAGCCGAGATGGCAGCAGTACAGTCCAGCTTCGGCTCGGCATCAGAGGGAGACCGTGGAAAGAGAGGGAGAGGGAGACTGTGGGAAAGGGAGACTGTGGGAGAGGGGAGAGGGGAAAGTAGTTTTTAAGACTAGAGTACCATTGTTTCTGTAGTCCCCAAGAATCTTTGCAGCCAGTTTCTAACCTTGTGTAACGTGAGGCAAATGCTCTTACTGAATTCTTTTTTTTTTTTTTTCTGAGAGGGAGTCTCTGTTGCGCAGGCTGGAGTGCAGTGTCATGATTTTGGCTCACTGCACCCTCCACCTCCTGGGTTCAGGTGATTCTCCTGCTTCAGCCTCTCCAGTAGCTGGGATTACAATAAGCCCACATTACAGTCTCCTGCCACCACGCCCGGCTAATTTTTGTATTTTTAGTAGAGACGGGGTTTCACTACATTGGCCAAGCTGGTCTCAAACTCCTGACCTTGAGTGATCCATCCATGTTGGTCCCCCAAAGTGCTAGGATTACAGGCATCAGCCATGGTGCTTGGCTCTTACTGAATTCTTACATGTGAACTATAGCTCATCTGAAGCAAAAATAAGGCAATTGGGAATAAATGTAGATATTATCAGGAGAATAATGCTAGCCTATTTTGAGTTTTCTAACTTAATCTGCTAAATAGATTTAAAATTACAAGTTTAGTTTCTAGTTAAATAAAACAACTATACACAGTACTACATTAGACCAAATTAATGAACTTGTTTACTCAAAATTATTTGCAATATGATGGGGTAGGTAACAGCACTGAATCTGTCAGGTTTTTCCAACTCAGAAAAATCCCTCTTCTGTTGTTTACTACTATCTGTCCTTGTGACCTTGGGCAAGTTCCCTTGGTCTCTCTGTGCCTTAGTTTCCTCATATCTAAAATGAGCCATGCCTCATAAGGTTATTGCAAAGATGAGACAGGCTTGTACATAAAAAAAAAATACTTAGATTAATTCCTGGCCCTGTCTGGGTACTCAATAAATGTTTAGTACTGCTGTTGTTTGTGGGGAGATGGGTGGAAAAGAAATCAACCAACCAGATAGGAACTACACTGGATCATCCTCCTGTGAGAAAATTGTGCATCTGGGTAGTATCAAGCAGAATTATCAGCCTCCACTGATATCACCAAACCAGAGGTTAAACTTGCTGTAACCTCAGAAATGGGCAGTGGGAGAAGATCAAGGGCCATTACCAAACACTCACCACGTATAGCCCCCATAGCCTTGGGAAAACACAGCACTGGAATATTATTTTGTTTTGTTTTGTTTTTATTATCTTGTTCATGTTGGTGTCTGTTGTGGCTCTGTTTCCCTTGGAAACTAAATTTCTAAATTGGTAATCCATTGCCTCTTGATTATTTCTCTTCTCTGAGTTTATACCTTAAAATTTCTTGACTTCTTGCCATTTGCTACTTTATATTAGCCTTAGGCTAATAAGTATAGAGCTCTCCCTGAAGGATGAATAAAAGTCATGGAGCCTGTAGATCATAATAACACCAATTTTATATGAGCATTTTCTAAAATGTTCTCACGAGAAAAAAGTCTGTATTGGTATGTTCCCAGATTCTGTAGCTTCTATGAAACTTAAAGCCACCAATGGAAGGGGACAATTTAAGATGAAGTTAGCTTGAAGAGAGACAAAAATATGATTGAATTAAAAATTATGCCTTGCAGGGTTGAGCATTTTGAACCTTATAGAATATATCATATGATACATATGGTGAACTTGAGAGAGGTTGTTTCTTTTACATCTCAATTTTTCTCAAAGAGACAATTTTATATTATAGTTTAAAAGTATGGGCTTTGGAATCAGACTAACTGGGTTTATATTCTGATGGGTGACTTTAAGCAAGTTATAACCTCTTTATGACTCAGTTTCCTCATCTGTAAAATGAGGGTAATAATAAAAATACCTCTTTATAGAGTTGTTAGAATTAAATGAGGTATTATAAAACGTGCTTAACTCAATGCCTAGTAAATAAGCAACTCAGCAAATGTCAACTATTTTTAGTGTTACTACATTGTTTTTCAGGCTTGGCTCTACTGTTTTCTAAAATATATATAGTAACTCTGTTAGGGCCTTCCTGTCTTCTCTTGCCATTATCTCTAGTTGATCTTCCAGACTACATATGTTTCTATACTGGTATGTCATATGAGTTTGCCACCATATTTATATGCTAAAAACTTGAATGTATACATTCAGTAGGCTACTTTCCTGACCTCCAGACATTTTAGGTCTAAGCCATTCACATTTGACTATCTCATAGGCACTTCTAATACATCACCTTCCTCCTCAGATTTGTTGCTACGCCACTGTTTCATATTTCATTAAATAGCACCACCTGATTCTTCAAATCAGAAATCTTAATCTTGATCCCTCCATTGCCAACCATTTCAATCAGTAATCAAGTTATTTTGATTTTAATACTTAAACACATTTATTAAATGTTTTCATTTTTTATACTTCTTGTAGTCCCAGTTATCCAACAATAAGAGACTGGATAAATAAATCATGATAGATTCATAGAATTGAAATGCTATAAGGACACTAAAAAGGAATAAGGTACAATATATGTCCTAATATGGAAAGGTCTCTAAAATACATTCGATGAAGCAAGTGCAGAGAAAAGTATATAGTATATTTCCATTTGTATAGAAATTTTGAAGGCTATTCATACATATATAAGTGGATACTAAATTTTGGGGGAAGGATTCATGAGCTAAATATTTATTACCTTTTGGGTGAGAGACTAGGGGACTAGGGTAGGAAAAACAAAGTTATTTCTCATTTTATATCTTTTTGTATTTTTTAAATTTTTAGTATAAAAGTAGCAAGGCAGTAAAAAACAAAAAAACAAACTGAGGTTGAGCAGTTGAGCTTAGTGTCCTTTTACAGATGAAATAAGTTAACTTTTCTTGTATATCCCCAGAGAGAAGTTAATGGCAGAGAACTGCTAAAGTAACTAGTGCCTGACACAGAGTAGGTGCTCAATAAATATTTGGCTAGTGATAAAGGAGTAAATGATGATTGTCCCTTTTCTATCCAGATGATCTTTACCCTGGAATGCTGTTAGCACTCAGTCATTGCCATCTGCAAGAGAGAATAGATAGTGTGAGGGATCAGAATCAGAATTTGGCCACTAGTTAGTGCAGACTACAAATTGCTTTTCTGAAAGGGTATATGGCTCTGAGATCAGCTCTTCTGATAAAGGGAAGGAGAGAGTCTCAAGGGTGCATCAGGGCTAGTGTGAAGAGCTCGGAGGGTTCAGACAGACAGAATAAGTGACATAAGGCCCAGCACGGTAGCTCACACCTGTAATCCCAGCACTTTAGGAGGCCAAGGAGGGCAGATCACTTGAGGTCAGGAGTTTGAGACCAGCCTGGCCACCATGGTGAAACACCATCTCTACTAAAAATACAAAAATTAGCCAGGTGTGGTGGCACATGCCTTTAATCCCAGCTACTCGGGAAGCTGAGGCAGGAAAATCACTTGAACCTGAGAGGTGGAAGTTGCAGTGAGCTGAGATTGTGCCACTGCCCTCCAGCCTGAGCAACAGAGGGAGACTCGAAAGAGAGAGAGAGAGAGAGAGAGAGAGAGAGAGAGGAGAGAGAGAGAGGAGACAGAGAGAGAAAGAGAGAAAGAAAGGAAGGAAGGAAGGAAGGAAGGAAGG
Organism: Homo sapiens; assembly: GCF_000001405.40. Lineage (NCBI taxonomy): Eukaryota > Metazoa > Chordata > Mammalia > Primates > Hominidae > Homo > Homo sapiens. The sequence goes on from NC_000012.12 coordinate 95,240,050, forward strand.
AAGGAAGGAAGGAAGGAAGGAAGGAAGAAAAGAAAGAGGAAAACAGAAACATTGCAACAATGACTACTGAGTTGGAAGATAGACAATCATTGACTGTTCTTAGCCCAGTAGATGTGCTGGATTGTGGACCTGTAGTATTGATATTAATAGTGTGTCAATATCCAAAAGAAACCATTCAGTAAAGTGCCATTTGTGGAAGAGGCTAGGTTTATTGAGATATCTAACTTTCCTAGTTAATATCTATGGCCCAGATAGTCAGATTTGCACTTCTTTTCTTATGTTGACACCCCAACATAATTTTTTAAATAAGGAAAATTTTTTATTGGAAGACTGAAGTTCAGTTAGATGAGCATGAAGTTTATGTAGAAATAATCTCCCAACAGCTTAGCTCAGCTATTCTTAAAGTTTTTAAAATTTAAGGCTCTACTGGAGTAAAACGATGTTATATAGAAAATTATTTTCTTCAGATATTTTTAATACTGTAATAACATTTCTTAGCCTATTTAAAGGTTCATATTGATTATCACAATACTTAGTGTAACCAAGTGCTATAATTATTTTGGTTTTATATTAGTAGCTGATTAAAATTTCAATGCATAAATTCTAATGCAGTTATTTCGAAGGTAACTCATTTCACTCTTAGAAAGCCTGTTTTTGCAACAGGCTGTTGAGCATTGCAAGTCATGGAAAAACAGCTAATTTTCCATTTTGGTCATTGCTTTTCAAATCAGTCATCGTCCCAAAATAAAAAGTAAATAATGAAAGCAGCTGCTAGGCTACATATTTTTTTGTGATTTTTTCAATCTTTGATTCCTTATACTCAAAAACAGGTTCTCAGCCTTAGAACTATTGATGCTTTGGGCCAGATAACTCTTTGTGAGGGTTGTCCTGTGCAATATAGGATGTTGAGCAGCATCCCGATCTCTACACACTAGATACCAGTAGCGCTGCTCACATCCACCCCACAGTTTTTTGGGGATTTTTTTGTTTTGTTTTTGTTTTTTAAGACGGAGTCTTGCTGTGTTGCCCAGGCTGGAGTGCAGTGGCGCTATCTCAGCTGCAGCCTCCGCCTCCCGGGTTCAAGTGATTCTCCTGCCTCAGGCCTCCCAAGTAGTTGGGACTACAGATGTGCACCACCACGCCCGGCTAATTTTTGTATTTTTTTTTAGTAGAGACAAGGTTTCACCATGTTGGCCAGGCTGGTTTCAAACTCCTGACCTCAAGTGACCCACCCATCTTGGCCTCCCAGAGTGCTGGGATTACAGGTGTGAGCCACCGTGCCTTGCCAACAGGTTTTGTTTGTTTGTTTTGAGACGAGTCTTGCATGGCTTACTGCAGCCTTGACTCCAGGCTCAAGCAATCCTTCACTTTCAGCCTCCCAAGTAGCTGGGACCAGAGGCGCACACCACCATTTCTGGCTAATTTTTTTATTTTTAGTAGAGACAAGGTCTTGCTTTATATTACCTAGGATAGTCTCAAACGCCTGGCCTCAAGCAATTCCTCCTGCCTTGGCCTCCCAAAGTACTGGGATTAAAGGAGTGAGCTACCCTGCCTAGCACACCCCTCAGTTTTAACAATGAAAAATGTCTCCAGAAATTGCCAAATGTGGGGAGGGGGAGTTGTGCAGTGATGATTTACTTTGAGAACCACTGCTTTATAAGAACATAGTAGTTTTTTTGTTTCTACTTTTTGTTTTTAACTGTCTTGTTTAATGGTGATTTTAAAACATGGCTCAGAAAAATCACATAATTGAGAATAGTTTATTCCATGAACTTTACATTAGTTTGTGGAAAGAAAATGTGAATAATTCAAATTGACAGGTAAGTAGACACTTATTTGTGCCTCCACTGAGACTAGCAACTTGAAATCATGTTGCTAGAGGATACCTTTGATATTTGTTGACCTTGGCGAAAATATTAAAAAGCGTAGACATTGTTGCAGGAAGTTTGCAAGTCCAAATACTTGCTCATCATTTTCTGAATTTTTTAAAAATAAACACAAAAAATAGCACATGTACAAGTTACACTAGTTGATACACATGTGATTAACTCATAAATTTATTTTAGATCTTATCTATATTAACATTTGCTTTTTGTCGTATTCTCTTTCAATAGACATTAAAACTACCACTACTATGGAAGTACCACTACTAGATGGAAGTTTGACCTGGACATGGTGGCTCACACTTGTAATCCCAGCACTTTGAGAGGCCAAGGTGGGAGGATCGCTTGAGGCCAGGAGTTCAAGATCAGCCTGGGCAGCATAGTGAGACCCCATCTCTAAAAAAAATAAAAATAAAAATAAAATCACCTGAGACTATTAGATAGAAGTTTGTAAGACTCTAATGGGTTTTTTCTGGTTTTTATTTTGTTTTGTTTTCTTTTCTTTTTTAGAGACAGGATTTTGCTATGTTGCCTAGGCTGGAGTGCAGTAGCTATTCACAAGTGTGATCATAGGCCCTACGGCCTCAAACTCCTGGGCTCAAGCAGGCATCCTCAGTAGCTGGGACTACGTGTGGAGTGTTTTAAAATCTAATAAAATGGGCCGGGCGTGGTGGCTCACGCCTGTAATCCCAGTACTTTGGGAGGCTGAGGCAGGCAGATCACCTGAGGTCAGGAGTTCGAGACCAGACTGGCCAACCTGGTAAAACCCTGTATTTGTAAAAATACAAAAGTCAGCTGGGCGTGGTGGCTGGCTCCTGTAATCCCAGCTACTTGGGAGGCTAAGGCAGGAGAATCACTTGAACCTGGGAGGCGGAGGTTGCAGTGAGCCGAGATGGTGCCATTGCACTCCAGCCTGGGTGACAAGAGCATAACTCCATCTCACCAAAAAAAAAAAAAAAAAAAATCAGTAAAATGATATTTTCCCCAGATTATAATAATAAGTTGAATTTTTTCAAGTTTACATTTTTGTTCCATAGTATTTTCTTAAGCCTTTTATACCAGACTTTAGGAAAACCTAGCATCTGATTTTTAAAAGACTTTTATTATAGACCTTAAAAATGTATTTTAAGGGAGAGAATACTACAATGAAAACTCCATGGCCAGGCCTGGTGGCTTATGCCTGTAATTCCTGCACTTTGGGAGGTTTGAGGTGGGCAGATCACTTGAGCTCAGGAGTTCCAGACCAGCCTGGGCAACCTGGTGAAACCCCATCACTACCAAAAATACAAAAAGTGAGCTGAGGGTGGTGGTGCATGCCTGTGGTCCCAGCTACTTGGGAGACAGAGATGGGAGGATCACTTGGAGGTTGCCGTGAGCAGAGATAGTGTCACTGCACTCCAACCTGGGTGACAGAGTGAGACACCATCTCAAAAAAAAAAAAAAAAAAAGCTCCATTTACCCATCACTCAGCTTCAGCTTCAGCTTCAGCAGCTGTTAACATTTTACCAAACTGTCTCATCTATTCCTCTCACCCTCCCCCATCTTTTTTCTTGGTGTATTTTAAAGCAAATACCATGTGACTCCCATTTGGCCTGTTATAAATAAATAAATAAAAATAAAGCAAATATCAGACATTACCTAATTTCACCTGTAAATGTATCAGTATGTATCTCTAACAGACAAGTACTTGCTGTGATTTAGGTGTGGTTTGTCCCTGCCAAAACTCATGTTGAAATTTAATTGCCATGCTACGATGTTGGGAGGTAGAACCTTTAAGAGGTAGGACCTAATGGGAGGCATTTAGGTCACGAGGCTCCACTTTCATGGATGGCTTGGTGCCATTCTCACAATAGTGAGTGAGTTCTTGCTCTCTCAAAACTGAATTAGTTCTCTTGGGAACTGATTAATTCCTGAAAGAGCAGGTTGTTATAAAGTAAGGACTTTCTTAGGGCTTGGCCCCTTTGCACATACCCACTCCCGCTTTGACCTTCTACCATATTATATCTAGGCAGCAGAGCCCTTGCTAGAAGCCAGTGGCATGCTCTTGAACTTCCCAGCCTGCAGAACTATGAGCTAAGTAAGCTTCTTTCTTTATAAAATATGCAGTGTCAAGTATTCTGTTATAGCAACACAAAACAGACTAAAAACTCTTTTTTTTTTTTCCTTTTTCAAGATAACTCTGGCCAGGCACAGTGCCTTACACCTATAATCCCAGTGCTTTGGGCCGAGGTGGGAGGATCACATGAGCCCAGGGGTTGGAGACCAGCCTGGGCAACATAGTGAGACCCTGTCTCTAAAATAAAAAACAATTAGCCGGACATAATGGCACATACCTGTAGTACCAGCTACACAGGAGGTTGAGGTGGGAGGATTCCTCGAGCCCAGGAGTTTGAGGCTGCAGTGAGCTATGCACACCACTGCATGGGTGACAGAACGAGACCCTGTTTCTAAATAAATAAATAATGATAACCCCAATATAATTATCTCATCTGACAAAATTAATAATAATTTCCTAATATCTAATACCTAGTCTGTGTTTGGGCTTCCTTAAATTCTCAAAAATGCCTTCTTACAGTTGTTCCAAGCAGAATCCAAAACAAGTCCCTACGTTGCATTTGGGTGATACGTCACTTTAGTCTTTCCCCACCCTCTTGCCTCTTTTTTTTTTTTTCTGAGACAAGATCTGGCCCTGTCATCCAGGCTGGTGTGCAATGGTGTGATCTCAGTTCACTGTAACCTCTGCCTCCCAGGTTTAAACCATCCTCCCTCCCACCTCAGTCTCCTGCCTCTCACCTTTTTAAAAGTCATTTATTTGTTGAAGAAATTTGGTAATTTTTTTTGGTGTGTTTTTTTTTTTTAAAGACAAATGCATTTCATTATTTATTTAGATATGTCCTTGAGTCATAGAAACTAAATAATTTGATCTACAGGATTTCCATACTCTGTATTTAGCTTATTTTGTAGCATAAGATGACATTTGGTTTAGCACAAAATTCTGTATTTTAAAATACCACTTTTGGCCAGGCAAGGTGGCTCATGCCTGTAATCCCAGCACTTTGGGAGTCTGAGATGGGCGGATCATTTGAGGTCAGGAGTTCAAGACCAGCCTGGCCAACATGGTGAAACCCCATATCTACTAAAAATACAAAAAATTAGCTGGGTGTAGTAGCGCATGCCTGTAATCCCAGCTACTTGGGAGGCTGAAGCAGGAGAATCACTTGAACCCGGGAGGTGGAGGTTGCAGTGAGCCAAGATCGTGCCACTGCACTCCAGCCTGGGTGAAAGGGGGACTCTGTCTCAAAAAATAAAAAATAAAAATACCACCTTTTATCTTGTTTCTCAGAGTGTCGTGAGTTTTGTTTTACTACCTGAACAAGTTTAAGAGTCCCATAGCATTCTTACTTTGTACTTAAGGAAGCTGAAACAGGGAGAGGATTTTTCTGGAAACAGAGCATACCTAGAAAGTACCAGAGCACTCAATATTTCCTTGATAATGTTGAAAGCTTGATGAACCGTGGTTTTATCAGAAGTATTACAAGATAAAACTCTTTTGGGAAAAACTGTTCCTGTTTTGTTTTATCCCCTGTGCCTACATGTTGCCTGACATGGAAGATGTTCAGTAAGTATTTATTATTGAATCAGTTGCCTAATTCTGCCATCTTTGGCCCATTCTTCTCTGGCCCAAGACCTGAAAGCTTACAACTTGTTCTATCTATAAGAGTTTAAAGCAGTTTAAAAGAGTGAAGCTAATAATAAAAGCACTGTAGCCAGGTAGAACTGCTCATGCTTATAATCCCAGTGACTCAGGAGGCTGAGGCAGGAGGATCCCTTGAGGCCAGGAGTTGGAGACCAGCCAGAGAAACATAGCAAGACCCCATCTCTACAATAAATTTAAAAATTATCTGAGTATGGTAGCTTGCACCTGTAGTCCCAGCCACTCAGAGGCTGAGGTGGGAAGATTGCTTGATCTCCAGAGGTTGAGGCTATAGTAAGCTATGATCGTGCCATTGCACTCCAGCCTGGGTGACAGAGAAAGACCCTGTCTCAAATAAAAGCTAACCAGCAATGATGTAGTAATGACACTGGCACTTGTACAGAATACATCATGAATCATGTAGAAAACAAGCACTGCCATAAGTGAATGGTTGGACTTTATACATCTGGGAGATCTGATATCTTTTCTTTTTTTTCTTTTTCTTTTTTTTTTTGAGACGGAGTCTCGCTCTGTTGCCCAGGCTGGAGTGCAGTGGCGGGATCTCAGCTCACTGCGACCTCCACCTCCTGGGTTCAAGGGATTCTCCTGCTTCAGTCTCCCGAGTAGCTGAGATTACAGACATGTGCCACCATGCCTGGCTAATTTCTGTGTTTTTAGTAGAGACGGGGTTTCACCATGTTGGCCAAACTGGTCTCGAACTCCTGACCTCAAGTGATCCACCCGCCTTGGCCTCCCAAAGTGCTGGGATTACAGGCGTGAGCCACCGCACCCACCCAGATCTGATATCTTTATGTGGGGCCTGCAGGGAGCAGGGCTGGCAAGAAGTGTCAGTAGTGTAGGACTTGGATGAGACATTTTCTTAAAGAGCTTTCTTCAGCAAAAATGTGGGATTTTCCTGTCTATTTTTGTTTATTTTTATTGCAAAAATGTTTCGGCCACCAGAACAATCTTAGCACAACCAAAGGTTCTTGGCTGTTTTTCATTTAGCAAAATTCTTTCTGGTGTTATGATATGTGTTTTCTGTCAGCTAAAACTTACAGGAATAGTGAACCACAAAGATTTCCTGAGGAGCTCCCACATGCTGTGTCTGAGGTTTCTCATATTTCTTTTGGCATCAGTAACATTCTCCAATACTTCGAAATTATAGTTTGAATCCAGTGTTAATGATTTCTCTTCAAAAAAACAACTTAAATAAAACATTTGCGGTTTTATTTTGCTTGAACCAAGGAAAAGTCATAATAGAGACAACTACCTACTCTGCCTTACCCTCTGCACAAAAACACCCCTTTCTAAAGCTACCATCTAATACTTTATGAAAAATAAATATTTCCCTGTATTTATTAGTGTATAAGCCTAATATCCCAAAACCTCTAAAATATAGTGGTCAGAACAGTTGCAATAGGGAGCCTCCCCTTGCTGTAAAAGAAAAAAAGTCAAAATAAATTATGTTGAGTGATCAGGTTTTAATACTAAGACATTATTTGCCTTTGTCACTGTCATTCTCATGTGTGTATACAGAGTACAAAAAGCTCATCAGATGGTTGCATATTCTACGTTAACATTTAGCTATTTGAAACTATTACTTGTTTCGGTACGGCTATTCTTCTTTGATACTACAATGATCAGAAAAGACTATTAAAATACTTCTGGCTTTCCAACTATATTATTTGTGTAAGCCTTTATTTTTCTGTATACTTCACCCAAAACAATACATTGCAACACATTGAATGCAGAAGCAGATATAAGTATCCGGCAATTTTCTATTAAGCCAAACAATAAAGAGATTTGCAAAAAGTGTAAAACAATCTGTTCTTCTCAATAAATTTTTTTCATTTTGGAGAATTTTTTCATTAACATATGTTGTTTAACATTGTAACAGGTTTATTGCTATTTTCAAGTAAAATAATAAGTTTTTTTTAAATTTTAGTTTTGAGTTCTAATATGATGTCATTAGACGTCCATGTAAACAAAAGCTCTTTGGGGCTCTCCATAATTTTTAAGATTATAAGGAGAGCTGAGACCAAATAATTTGAGAACTACTGGTTAGGATATGGTTTTCTGAGATCTATTAAATAATATACAAGTTATTTGACAGTTTCGGAGAAAAAGTGATAGCAATTTTATTCCTAAACATTTTAAAAGAATTAATGTAAGCATAATGAATAGAACTTGAGTGTTCACAGTGTTCATACAGTATCTGGGTTTACATGTGTTAGGAAGTAATATGATTTGCACTAACAGCCAAAAATAGAAAAATGCAAATATGAAATATAATAGTAGATAACTAGAAATTACATTTTATTAAACCTGCAATACATTCACCTCAGTCTCCAAAGGTTGTCTTCTATGAAACTTTGACAAATGCTTTGTTACATACAGCCATGAAACAAAGTATGGTGATCACCTTGGTAAGCCAGATTTTTCCAGAACTGTAAAACAGTGCTTTCTGGGATAAAACTGATCTGTTACTAATGATGGGGAAGAAACCAAAACTACTGAGGAATCACTCATAGTTATATAGCACAAATGGGTGTGCCACACCTTTAACAAGAAGCCTGTGAAACCAGCCAAAAAGTTAATGAGAAATTGTATTTGCAGAAAAAGCAGAATAAACTACTAGTAGAATTTACTGTATCACATGATACTGTTGGATATGATCTGTGATATATAAAGTGAATGATTAATGTGCTGTCATTGTGAAATGTGAAATAGCAAGTGTTCCAGATTATGGTGATCCGAACTGAATGTGTATATATGCCCTCAGCTTATATACAGAACATATTTGAAGAAAAAAGTATTCTTGTTTCTCTTCTGGTTATCATTTTTTAAAAAACAATCTATACTACATTTTGTTATTTTGTGATCTGTGACATAAAGTGGAAAAGGAAAGGACGTTGGGGTCACTGATGAGAGAGCATCTGCTATCTGTACAGTAAAAAAGGGCATTATAATCTCAATAAAAAGTTTGTACTCATCTTGACTCTCTAAGTCTCTTGCCAGAGAACAGTTAGCAGTCAAGAGTTTGTCTCCTGGTTTTGACTGAGTCTTTTATTAGGAGAGGAGGGCACGATGGCTTGCACCTGTAGTCCCAGCTACTCACGAGGCTGAAGCCAGAGGATAGCTTGAGCCCAGGAGTTCTAGGCCAGCCTGGACAACACAGTGAGACCCTATCTCAAAAAAAAAAAAAAAAAGAAAGAAAGAAAAAGAAAAACAGAAAACAAACAAAAAGAACAGGAATCAGCAAATTAAGGTTTTTGGGCCGGATTTGCCACCGTGACCCGTACCCCCATTTTTGGATGGCAGGTTTTTAAAATGTTTTTAAACAGCTGGGGAAAATATCAGAATATTTTGTGACATATGAAAATTACATGAAGTTCAAATTTCAGTGTCTATAAATAAAGTTTTATTGGGACATAGCCATACTCATTAGTTTATGTATTGGCTGAGTCTGTTTTCTCACTACAGCAGCAAACTTGATTAGTTGTGACAGAGACCATATGGCTTGCAGAGTCTGAAATATTTACGATCTGGCCTTTTACCGAAAAAGGCTGCTGACCCAGAGTTAGAGTAACTTCCCTTTGATCCATCTTATTTATTGTTCTTCCCCATGGGAGTTCATTTGAAGAAAGGGTTCTACTGCCTTAAAAACAATGTTTTTTTTTAAAGTATGTAAGGTCGGCCCAAACAAATGAACTGGCATTCTTGTTCTTTTGCCCCCACTGGGGCAAGAGCAGGGTGGGGTTCACAGTTCACTTTGAAAATGCAGATTCACTAATTCAAGGCAATATTTGAATATACATTATGGGTGATATCAAGATTAACCATTTGTGCTGCCAGAAATTTTAAATCTGGTAGAGGGATATATTACTTTTTTAAAAAATATTTTTCTTAAAAAAAGAGATTAAACATAGCTTAAAAGAAAGGCATTTGACTCAATTCCTGTTCTCTCAAATTGATATTCCACAAATTGCTACCAGTCCAGCAGATTCCCACTCTTCCTTATTCTTCTGAATGCAAGAATATATTCCCTAAATGTCTTGGTCTATCTTAGGTATCTCTCCTGTTTCCATAGTATCCAAATACTTTCCTGACATTGTTAACTTGCTTGGTGTGTTTGTACTAAACTATAAGTAACTTTTTGGTGTCTTCCTTAATAGACATGGAAGGGACTGTTTCTTATTTTAGGTAATAGAGTATAATCCTGCTTTTTCTAACTGAGTGAACCCGTTTCCTCATCTATGGAATTGGAATAAAAATAATAATGATAATGATGATAATAATAACTTTTATTGTTGTGAACCTTAACTGAGAAGATGAAAGTAAAATACTTAGTTAAGATTTTGCCACATAGTACTTTAACTGTGTTGCTCTTTTTTTTTTCTGTTGTTTTATCTCTAAAACCTAATTATAGTCTTTTTTTTTTAATTATTATTATACTTTAAGTTTTAGGGTACATGTGCACAATGTGCAGGTTAGTTACATATGTATACATGTGCCATGCTGGTGTGCTGCACCCATTAACTCGTCATTTAGCATTAGGTATATCTCCTAATGCTATCCCTCCCCCCTCCCCCCACCTAATTGTAGTCTTTTTGGAGATTTAAATATTTCATTGAATGGAATCAAGATTTATTATTTTTTTTTTTAATTTTTTAATTTTTTTTTTTTTTTGTGAGACAAAGTCTTGCTCTGTCACCCAGGCTGGAATGTAATGGCATAATCCCGGCTCACTGCAACCTCCACTTCCCAGGTTCAAGCCATTCTCCCGCCTCAGCCTCCTGAGTAGCTGAGATTACAGGCACCTGCCATCATGCCCGGCTGATTTTTATATTTTTAGTAGAGACAGGGTTTCACCATGTTGGCCAGGCTGGTCTTGAACTCCTGACCTCAGATGATCTGCCTGCCTCAGCCTCCCAAAGTGTTGGGATTACAGGCGTGAGCCACCGCCCCCAGCCAAGATTTATTTTTAAACATGTCACCAACTGTATGCTTTAGAGAAGGTTGAAAGTTAAAATTTAAGCTTGCTGTTCAGAAATAGTTGTCCAGTAGATTTTCATCCAGTAGTGACATTGATATTTCTGTTTGATGGGGTTGGGGTGATTTTTTTTTTTTTTTGGTCTGTTCTGAAAATCTGTGCTGTTTCCACATAGCTTATATATAGTTAAAAGTATAAATGGAGTGCTTACTATGTGGCAAGGACTGTCCCAGATGCTTTATATTAATTTAATTTTCATAAGAACTCTATGAACTAAGTGCTATTACTGCTATTTTTAGATGAGACAGCTGATGCACAAAAGGATTATAAATTTCCTGGTTACTTAGCTAGTAAGAGGCAGAGTCGGGATTTGAATCTGTAGATTGGTTTTTGTTTGTTTGTTTTGAGATGGAGTTTTGCTCTTGTCGCCCAGGCTGGAGTGCAGTGGCGTGATCTCGGCTCACTGCAACCTTTGCCTCCTGGGTTCAAGCGATTCTCCTGCCTCAGCCTCCCGAGTAGATGGGATTACAGGCACAAGCCTTCATGCCTGGCTAATTTTTATATTTTTAGTAGAGTCAGCATTTCACCATGTTGGCCAGGCTGGTCTGAAACTCCTCACCTCAGATGATCCACCCACCTTGTCCTCCCAAAGTGCTGGGATTACAGGCATGAGCCACTGTGCCCAGCAGATTGTATTCTTAACCTCTGTGTTCTAATGCTTTTGTTAGCCATACTGTGTTCTATTTGTCATATGCTCGTATGTAAGATATAGCTTATCTAAGGTAACATTATTGAAGAGTTTTAAGTTTGTTCACAGTGCTGAGCATATGGTAGATAATACGTATTTGTGCTTGAATGAATTAAGGAATATGATGAGATGATAAAAATATTATAATTCATACAATATAATCATTGTTTAATTATTCTTGGCTTTGAGTAATAACATTGTCGTTTGAGTTATCTATAACATTGGCTATTTTGAAGCAATCTAAGACTATAAAATTTGGGACAGTGAAATTGCTTAACAATCTATTTATATTCCTAAATTCATTTTTTCTTGCTGGTACTCACTCAAAAAAAAAATCTGTGTGTTTTATTTAGAGTTTTTCCTTTTTTGGGTTCCTCTGTTGAATTGTTTGTTGATTTGTTTGTGTTAAATGGCATTGTATTATAACAGATAATTCAGTTCTTATAGAAGAAGCCTTAAAGAATTTGGACATACTGGTCACAATAGTGAAGTCTGGTATTAAGTTTGGCCCCCGAAACTTTTGAAGTAGTAATGATCTTGAAATTTGCTTTATTTTGTGTCTTTTTCAGAATTCTCCACTTTACCAATACTTACAGGATCTGGGACACACAGACTTTGAAATATGTTCTTCTTTGTCACCAAAAACAGAAAAATGCACAACAGAGGGACAACAAAAGCCTCCTACAAGAGTCCTACCAAAAGTAAGAACGCATGCTCATTCTTTCTGGCCGAATCTTTTGCACTTTACCTTACTGGCTATTCAGATACTTCTTAAGCACTTCCATATCCTCCCTCACACTGGTAAGACTATTTATTTCATCAATAGTACAAAACTTTCTGTTAGATAAACATGAATCCTTACTGCTTTGGAATACTTTGTAGGTAATTTATATCCAGTGAGGAAATAATTTGGTAGAGAATTAAAATACATTACTTATTTAAATATTGATGCTATCCAAACAGAATCGAAAAAAATATACTAAAACTTTAATGAGAGCACAACTAATAGGAATCCTCTACTAACTGGATTTTTCTCTTTAAATCTTTTTTTTAAAAAACAGCATGAATGACAAGAACGCAAATTGATATTTCTTAAACACAGTTTCAGGTGTAGATAATGGAGTGAGCATAACTTCTGGTGACTTTTTTATCTATAGAATTAAATACTTTTATACATTAAATATCTCATAGTCGATGTCCAGCATTGAGGCCGAGATACTAGAAAAATCTCCATTAATTATGTTCTACAAAATGCATTTTCTGGATTCATTTATGTCCTGCTAGCCATGTTTACTAAAATAAGAAATTTATGGGCCAGGCGCGGTGGCTCACGCCTGTAATCCCAGCACTTTGGGAGGCCAAGGCGAGTGGATCACCTGAGGTCAGGAGTTCGAGACCAGCCTGGCCAACATGGTGAAACCCTGTCTCTACTAAAAATGGAAAAATTAGCTGGGCGTGGTGGCGGGCGCCTGTAATCCCAGCTACTCGGGAGGCTGAGGCAGGAGAATCGCTTGAACCTGAGAGGCGGAGGTGGCAGTGAACCAAGATTGTGCCATTGCACTCCAGCCTGGGCAACAAGAGCAAAACTGTGTCTCAAAGAAAAAAAAATAAATTTACTCTATTTTTAGATGAGACAGCTGAAGCATAGGAGGATTATAAATTATCATAGGTTACTTAGCTTGTAAGAGGTAGAGTTGGGATTAGAACCTGTACTTTACTCCGAGTTTATGTTCTTAACCTCTGTCTACATGTCTAGTATATTTTAGTTTTAACCAAAGGAATTGTAATTTAATAGAAAAAACATAACCAAATTTCCTCATTCCTTGAGCATTCTAGTTTAATCAGTGTTTTATCACTATTGAGAGGAGCATTTAAAACTTTCAATTAGTCATTTACAGGGAAAGTATGGATTGGCAGAAGGATCCTTTCCCCAATCTTCTTACAAAGACACCTAAAATGTGAGGTAACCAAGCTGGCCCATTTGTAATAGTCTAGTAAACACTAGAGAATTTTTTGACTAACACCCAGAAGGTGAGAGTTAGGAGAGTTAGAGCTCACATGGATCAGAACCAGTTTTCCTAGTCCTCCATTTATACCATTTCTTCCCTGTGCCCCTTTTAAGAGTGAATGTTCCTGGGAAGTGGTTTGTATATAATAGGCTATTTAATAAGCTTGGATTTGAGGTTACTTGGCAACACAAAACAAAGAATGGCCAGGGGATAGTCTTAGAGCAGCAGATGGTCATTGACCTCTAATTTTTTGTTTTGTTTTGTTTTGATACAAACTTGGGTTTTATAGGTATTATTGTCATTTATGACAAGTATTTTTATATATAGAAATGTTGTTGCTAGTTTATAAATAAGTCAAGTGAGAGTTTAAAATTGAATCCCCTCAGAAACTGAGGAACAATAAAAAGCATAGCCAGAGGTTGTTTTAAAAAATTACCAGGCTGGGCACAATGGCTCATGTCTATAATCCCGGCACTTTGGGAGGCTGAGGCAGAAGGACCACTTGAGCCCAAGTGTTGGAGACCAGCTGGGGCAACATAGCAAGACCCCATCTCAAAAAAATTATCATATGTCTAGAAAGTTTGTTTTGTCTTCATTTTATTTATTTATTTATTTATTTGAGATAGGGTCTTCCCCTGTCACCCAGGCTGGAATGCAGTGGTGTGATTACAATTCACTGCAGCATTCACTTCCTGGGCCCAAGTGATCCTCCCACCTCTGCCTCCCAAGTACCTGGGACCACGGACATGTGCCACCATGCCCAGCTAATTTTCTTCTTTATTTTTTGTAAAGATTTAAAAATTACCACTCACTATGTTGCCCAGGTTGGTCTCAAACTCCTGACTTCAAGCAGTCCTCCTACCTTGGCCTTACAGATGTGAGCCACCACACCCAGCCATATTGCACATTTCTAAGACAAGTTTTTAACTGTAGGATCTATATTTTTCTAAAACGAAGTTCTTTTTTTTTTTTTTTTTTTTTTTTTGAGACGGAGTCTCACTCTGTCGCCCAGGTTGGAGGGCAGTGACGCAATATTGGTTCACTGCAACCTCCATCTCCCAGGTTCAAGCAATTCTCCTGCCTCAGCTTCCCAAGTAGCTGGGATTACAGGCACAGGCCACCACGCCCAGCCAAGTTTTGTATTTTTAGTAGAGATGGGGTTTTACCTTGTTGGCCAGGCTGGTCTTAAACTCCTGACCTCAAGTGATCCGCCTACCTTGGCCTAAACTGCTGAGATTACAGGCATGAGCCACCATGCCCGACCAATTTTTTTCCTAATTTGGGGAGAGCTAAATTTTAGAAAACTTGTTGTATTGTTTAGCTCATTGTCAGGGAATGTATGTTTAGAATTGCTCCCAAAATTCTGTTCAAGGAATGAAGTATCAATTATTTCCTCTGAAAAGCTGTTTTTCTATGAGTTCTTAATGAAACCATCCTTAGCATTAATTGCTCTCTCTTTTTTAACTTTATTTTTGCATATGCTTGTTAGTAGTTGTTAAGTAGTCTGCCCTGATATTCTTACTATGAATATTCATTCTGTCTCTTTTTCTGGTTTCTTTTCCTGTGATTATTCTTAAATTCATTCCATAGAGTTTTAGCAGCAGGCTTCTCGTTGGCTTGATATCTTCTCTGGGGATCTCATCTACTTTCTTGCCACTTATGTCCATTCTCCAGGCTTTGCTGAGTTCCAGGTGCTTGTTAGACATTTTCTTCTACATGTGCCCCACAAAGCTCAGATTCAACTTGTCTAAAATAGGACTTCCTCAGACACCCCCAAAACAAACAAACAAAAAATGTTCCTTTTAATAGTCCCAAATCACTACCCCCTCAGACACCCCCAAAACAAACAAACAAAAAGTGTTCTTTTTAATAGTCCCAAATCACCACCCTCTCAGTTACCATACCATTTCCAATCGCGCTGACATAGCCTTGGTCATCAAGTGATACATCAAGTCAGCTTCTGTGTCTCTTAAATCTAACTCTTATTCATGATCTTTTTTGTACTCATTACCTAACTTAAAGGCCTTTATTGTTATTTAGCTGAGTGATTAATTTTCTTTTCTCTTTTTTGAGATGGAGTCTCGCGCTGTCGCCCAGCCTTGAGTGCAGTGGTGCGATCTCAGCTCGCTGCAACCTCCACCTCCCGGGTGCAAGCGATTCTCCTGCCTCAGCCTCCTGAGTAGCTGGGATTATAGGTGCCCACCACCACGCCCGGCTAATTTTTTGTATTTTTAGTAGAGACGGGGTTTCACTATGTTGGCCAGGCTGATCTCGAACTCCTGACCTTGTGATCCACCCACCTCGGCCTCCCAAAGTGCTGGGATTACAGGCGGGAGCCACCGCCCCCGGCCTTGAATATCCTTTTAATCATGCTTCTTGTCTACAATCATACCCTGCCAGTTTAGCCCCTGCACTATTGCCAATTATTTTTCTTTATTGTTTCGCTTCCTTGCATAAAAATCTTTGGTAGCTCCTCACACCCTACAGGATAATGTTCATACTATTATGGTGTGTAAGTCTAAGATCCTTTAAAACCTATCTCAGTGTACCTTTTTAACTTCCTTACTAATCCCTTCTTCTCTTGGGTCATAACTGTCCTGGAGTGCGCCACCATCCCCATGACATGTGCTTTAATGGCTCTTTCCTTCATCCTCTTCCCTTGACTGAAGTGATCTTCTCTTTTTTTTTTGAGATGCAGTTTCGCTCTTGTCACCCAGGCTGGAGTGCAATGGCGCGATCTCGGCTCACCACAACCTCTGCCTCCCGGGTTCAAGTGATTCGCCTGCCTCAGCCTCCCGAGTAGCTGGGATTACAGGCATGCACCACTATGCCTGGCTAATTTTGTATTTTTCGTAGAGACGGGGTTTCTCCATGTTGGTCAGGCTGGTCTCAAACCCCTGACCTCAGGTGCTCCGCCCTCCTCGGCCTCCCAAAGTGCTGGGGTTACAGGCATGAGCCACCGTGCCCAACTCGTTCTTCCCTTCTTTGTTAAATTCCTACTCATCCGTTAGGACTGAACTCCAGTGTTAGCTCCTCTCTGACCTCCTCTTTTCCAATACTTTTTCAGACTTTACATTGATTGTAATTCTTTATATTGTCTCTTCTTCTATACTAAGTTCTTGAAAACAATAGTTACATGTATTTATCTTTTTTCCCATGACCCTTTGCAGTACCTGGGATATAGTAATCACTCAATGAATATAAACTGCACTTACTGGCATGCTCAAGGAATGGGCTATTAAGGTAAATTGAATTTTTGGTTGATTCAGTAGTAAAGCTTTTTTATCAATATATGACAGTTTTTCTAAAATGGTCAAAGTATCTTTTTGACTTAGTATTGTGGAATGAAATGGTCTTAATATTTGAGAACTTGTAACCACCCTATGATTTTTCTTTCTGAAATAAATACTATCATCATGTTGACATAGTACATAGTCTCCCCAGGATAAATGGGCTGCTTCAGAATGACTTCTGCCTGCTCTTTAAAAATCGGATTTTCAGGCCTCATTCCAAATGTATTGAATCAGAATCTTTAGTTTGGGGGCCCAAGAATATGTTTCTAACTAAAATCTCCAGGTGATCCTGATATGCAACAAAATTTAGGAACTAATAAGGAGGCTGAGATGTACTGACAAGGTATATAACCTGGACAATTTTTTTCTTCCTTTTCTGATATAAATTCTCATTGATTGGAGGTAAGTACTTTGAAGTTTTTCTGCTGTTTGGGTATGCTTTTAATAATCCTATACAATGTCATTCATTTCCTTCAGCAAGGTATCCTGTTAAAAGTGGCTGAAACCATCAAAAGTTGGATTTTTTTTTCTCAGTGCAATAAGAAAGATGACTTACTTCACAAGTTGGTAAGTGGTCACTTCTTTTTGCCACTTTTCAGGGTTCTAGGTTATTAGTGAAATAATTGGTGAATCAGAATTTGTTTTGCTATCAATTTGGCCAGCAATTGATTTTTACTAGAGATTCTGCAGTAACTCAGGATCTTTTAATTTGGGCTTACTGGTATTGTTTATAGCTTTTAAAGAGGTTATTAGCCACTCAGAATGGAATACTCTGATAGTTATTGAAACGTTATTTGTTAGATTGCTAATTTACTATTGCCCTCTTCCTCCATTGACAGGTATCCCTCTCTATAGGTAAAGGAATATGTCATTAGTGGGATCAATTCAATCTGTTAAATCACAGAATTTCCCAAAGACTCGAAACAGTCAACCTGAAAGGTCTTTGTGATTTTTGTGAGGCTTTGTTTTTTTCTACTCTCTGCTGTAACAGAACTCCAGGGGGGAAATACTTCAACCTTCTGACGTCCTAACAATACAAAATCCAGGGAGTATAGCCTAAAAATTCAAGTTATGTGGTTCTCATGGCTCCCAGAAGGAGTAATGTAGTTACAAGTAAGCAGGTTTCAGGATCTCTGCTGGCCTGTAACCTTAAGAATTATCATTCCTGTAAATTAACATTTGTAAGGAGATTGTTTACAAAGTGCTTTCACATTTTGATTTGGTAATCTAAACAACACTATAAGATTTAGTCTGCTTCAGTAACGAGAAAACCAAGGTTCAGACAATCAGTTTGTTTTAATAACTTACTGAGTGAATTGTCTAAAAATGTTCAGCTAGAAAGTGATAGAGCCAGAATTTGAACCCAGGTCTCTTGGTTCCAAAGCCATGCTCTTTCTGCTATAGCATACGACCTCTCTAGCTCAAGTATTATTATTTTTTGGCTGACTAAAATTACTTTTTTAGCAATCCAAATTGTCAAGTTCTTTGTTCAGGGTTTCATCTTTGTTGAAGGTGTATTGAGAAGGTCAATGAAGTGTCTTATCGTCTACATATAATGCCATTTTTATCCAGGTGGAGCCATCTCATTCTTCAGTGATACTAGGACTGTGGTAAGGTATATGGATCCATATACATTTTTCTGTGATTTAGTCATAGTCTGCCTAGGCCTGGTCTTTTCATTCTTGATTCTGTGTCACTGGCCACATGTTTCATGTGATGTTTCACTATACAGTGCCAGCTTCTGTATGCATCCCTTTTGTGCCTATATTATGGAGAACTATAAGAATACATACCTAAGGATTAGTTTACTAGTAATGGAACAAGAAATTGCCAAGGTGGCTTTTGGCGTGAGATTGCTTGACTTTTTCCCCTTGATTGTGACGTATTTAAAATGTTGTTAGCTATACAGATATTGAAGCAGGCCCTCATTTCTTTTGTAAGAATATTGGCAATTGCTCTGTGATATCTGAACATTTTACTAATGTTCATTTTTATAGTACTTTTCTTAAAAATTAAAAAAATCCTTTATAGCAACCATGATGGGTAGTGGTAATGGCACTTTTTAAGTGCCTTTTAGCTTATAAAGTGCTTTCACACGTGTTATCTTATTTGATCCTTGTATAAAAAGCCCCATGATATCCAAAGTGATTAAGATCTTTGAAGAATACTGACAAATGAATAAGTTCTCTTCTTCATCCCTAAGGAAAAAGAAATCAAAATCTCTTAATTTTTTATCTGTGCCTTCTCATAACCTTTCATTTCATCCATGCAGAAAGGAATTCCTAAGTACTTTCTCATGCCACTTCCCTATTTAGATCCTGGAAAGATCTTTATCAATCAAATCAAGTCCAAATTTGTCACGTCAGCACTAAAGAGTCTGCATAATTTGGCCCTAACCTACCTTTCCAGCTTTGTCCACCAGTATTTGTATCAATGAACCCAGTCTTCATTTTCCTTTATTCCGTACTTATTCTGTATGTCTATGTTTGTGCTCTTATACTGTGATGGAATACTTTCTGTTTTTTTTTTCTTGATCCATTAGAATCTTTTCAATAAGCACTCCTAGCTTTTTCTCAAAGCTTTCCCGAAACTTCAGCCTATTGTGTCTCTTATTTTCTGCATCAACCTAGTAATAATTACTTTGTGTTCTATAAGTTTTTGTATTGTAATATATCCAACGTGTGCTTTTCTTTATTGTTTCAGTTATTGCATAGATAGTGACAACAGTAATAGCTAACATACAGTGCTTACTATGAGCCACTCTTCTTGGTATTTTATAGATACTGACTTATTTAATCCTCATAACAACCCTGTGAAGTAGCTACTGTTATTATCCCACTTTTGCCAAAGAGGAAACTGGCACAGAGAGCTTATTAACATGCTTAAGTTGTGGAGCAAGGATATAAAGCTAGACACTAAGTCCTGGCACTCAGACTTGTTGAAAATGTGCCAAAGTTTACATAGTACACATCCCAGGAGCATAGAGCCTCCAGCCATGCAGGTGATACCTGCTAATATTTAAATCGATCAGAATTAGCACCTTTTCAGTTTCTTCATTTGTTTGAGACCTGGATCTGGGCTTCCCAGTCCAAATAGTACTGTCATGACATGTTTCTTAATTTGCAGGTGTCAGTTTTTCTGGTAGTTTGATTGTTACCTTGTAACACAGTTAACATGTTTTCTGCAGTTCTTATTTTTATAATCAAAGAGTAATATCTAATTTTACATTTTATCCTTAAGAAAGAAACTTAATTCATTAATCTGATTCAATTTAAACCGTTATAATAATCAGTATATAGTTCAAGTTTTTCCTCTACGTGAGGCAATCTAATCACTAAGATAACATTGTTTTAGTTATTTGGAGTGTCTTGGTGCCTTTCAAGTTTATTTGTATTCATAGATGATTGTAGGTTGTTGGTTGATCACTTTTTTTTTTTTTTTTTTTTTTTTTGAGACAGAGTCTCCTTCTATTTTTCAGGCTGCAGTACAGTGGCACCATCTCGGCTCACTGCAACCTCTGCCTCCCAGGCTCAAGCAATTCTTGTGCCTCAGCCTCACAAGTAGCTGGGACTACAGGTGCACGCCACCAAACCTGGCTAATATCTGTATTTTTAGTAGAGATGAGGTTTCACTCTGTTGGCCATGCTGGTCTTGAACTCTTGGCCTCAAGTGATCTGCCCGCCTTAGCCTCCCAAAGTGCTGGGATTACAGGGGTGAACCACAGTGCCCAGTGGGTTTGTCACATTCTTAAATCAGATATTCCTAATGCTATTAATACTTCCTCTAAGCACGTTGGTTTTGGGGAGGTGTTATCCCAGTTTTACACATAAGTCTGATGCCAGGGAATGGTGTTAAAGAAAGTGAGTAACTGATTAAGTAGAATATCTGTGAAGAGAGAGCACTGCCATTGAATATTACTGGCTTTTCCACTCTCTGTCAGCTTTAGCCTTCAACTCGTTAGGCTTCTTCAAACTTACCTTATATAGGTACATAGAAGTCTCATAAAAGGTATGGTCTAAAGCTTTTGTAGCAAAAGTTTGATTTTTAATACTTGCATTGAATATGGCTGTGTCTAATTGGGGAACCAAATAGTAAGATCAATTTCAGAGATTACTCAAAAAGCTACCATGCCCCTGCGCTCCTTTTTTCTCCCCTCTGAACAATAGTATAAAGTGAGTTGTGTTGCTCTGTTTTTATGAAAGTGGGGTGGGATGTCAAATTAAGTGGTTCCTAATGTTAGAATCAGAATTGTGGGAAGAGAGAAGAGGCAGTTGTTCAAATATGAAACATAAAAGTGCTGCAGAGGTACATGCAGAGTGTGTCAGTAGATGGTAAAAAAAAAAAAAAAAGCCATATCAGGCTAAAAGAAAGATCAACATTCCATTGAGAAGATGCTCTCTTTTTGGACTGAAGATAAATAAAATATATCTAAATGCACCTAATATTAAAAATCTTCTTCTCTAAAAGTGGCATATAACCCTGATCAAGAGGTCATGGGCTCAGTTTGATATATGGTTCACCTCATTCTTACTGAAGTCCTCATTATGATCAGCGAGGCCTGGAATGTGTGGTGTGGGGATGATTAAATTAACTAAGAAGAGCAAACCTGTTGCCTTCACACCCTAGACCTAACAGGTTTTACTTTAATTGTTAATGGCCTTGTCCATCATTCTCTTTATTTTGATCATATAGTAGGATCACTCTAGTACTAAATTTGTTTGTTTGGTTTTGGTTTATTTTTTATTTTTATTTTTTTTGAGACGGAATCTTGCTCTGTTGTCCAGGTTGTAGTGCAGTGGCACAATCTCGGCTCACTGCAACCTCCGCCTCCTGGGTTCAAGAGATTCTCCTGCCTCAGCTTCCCAAGTAGCCAGGATTACAGGCATGTGCCACCATGCCCAGCTAATTTTTGTATGTTAGTAGAGATGGGGTTTCACCATATTGGCCAGGCTGGTCTCGAAATCCTGACCTCAGGTGATCCGCCCACCTTGGCCTACCAAAGTGCTGGGACTACAGGCGTGAGCCACTGCACCCGGCCTCTATTTGTTTAAATTTAATACAAAATACAACTTTAAATTTTCTTTTGAGGCAGACTATATGCAGGGAAACACAGCTACCAAACGCTTAGGATTTGAAATCAAAATTCTGGAAAGTTACTTAATCTCTTTGGGCTTTGGTGTTCTCCCCTACATAATGGAGAGGAGGATGATAAGGTACATCACAGGGTTACTGTGAGAATTCACCTATCTGCCCTAACAGTGCTACCTCATCTCTCACCTCTCTACCATGTGCACTCTGTGCACAATCTATTAATAATATCATCTAATATCGACGACTCACACTTCCCCAAATTAGAAAGGCTTTTATCCTGTACCATCCCACTTCTCCAACTCCTTTGTCTGGTCAATTTTTGTTCATCCTTTAAAACTTAGCTCAGGCTTCACCTCTTTTACTTTCTCTGACTTCATTACAGGCTTGGTCCCTCTATGCCATTTTCATAGTACTCTAGGTGTATTTCATCACACTCCTTTGCATGTTATATTGCAACTGTTTACTTTTTGGGTCACTTCATTAAACTACGAACTCTTTAAGAATAGAGACTTGTATATCTTTTTCATTTTGTGTCTTCAGTGTCAAGCCTGATGCCTGGCTTATAGAAGATATTCCTTGATAGATGAATAGAAAGAAGAGAAGGAGAAATAAATGAGCTCGTATATGTGAAGGCATTTTGTAAACTATAAAGTGCTATGCAAATGTTAGTGTGATTTTACATTGCATTCCTTAATAGTGTATTTTTAAATATCTGAATATCCATTTTTAGGAGGCCTTGATCCTGCTAATAAAATTCTTAAATATTGGCTATATTGTTACAGCTTCAGGGACAGCATCTTTTATGTTATAGGATTATATTTTCCATGTCGTGCCCTAGCAATTTAATCAATTAGGCTTAACTAGACAAGTTTGTTAATCTGTAATTACTTTACATCTTGTTATTAAAAATTTATCTTTTACATCTGATGGCTCAATAATGTCTATCTCAACCTTTACTGTTTCACATTTACAGTGAAAATAAAACCCAGCTATCATACTGAAGGTAGATTGGACTGTTGTTTCTTCTTGAAGTATCTTCTGAAAATAAACACCACCAAATTTTATTAGTACATTAGGAGCTTAGCGTTTAATGCAATATTATATATGTGTTAATACCTCTCTTCTGGTATTTTAATGGCAAGGATATTGGATTCCGACTCGACTCATTACATACCATCCTGCAACAGGAAGTCCTGTTACAAGAGGATGTGGAGCTGATTGAGCTACTTGATCCCAGTATCCTGTCTGCAGGGCAATCTCAACAACAGGAAAATGGACACCTTCCAACACTTTGCTCCCTGGCAACCCCTAATATTTGGTACTGTCCAGAAAACACCTATTCTTTGACTGCTTACATACAGAGTATTAGCAGAGGAAACCCATCATTGTGCTCTCCATTGTAAAGGCATAAACATTCCATACATTTAGCAGTACAATTAAAGTAACAATATGGGGGGAAAAAGTGCCTTTCTAAAGTAAATACTATTTAAAGTGAAGCTAGGGAAAAAAATCCAATTTGGTTATTATATACTTCCAACTCATTAAAATTAGTTCTGTGCTCAGCAACCTAGCAAATGGGTATAACAAGTGCCAAAAAGTTACTCTGCCAGGTGCAGTGGCTCATGCCTGTAATCCCAACACTTTGGGAGGCTGAGGTGGTAGGATTGCTTAAGGCCAAGAGTTTGAGACCAGCCTGGGCAACGTAGCAAAATCCCATCTCTACAAAACATGAAAAAATGAGTTCAGGTATGTTGGCATATGTCTGTAGACCTAGCTCCTTGGGAGACTGATATGGGAGGATTGCTTGAGCCCAGCAGTTGCAGAGTGCAGTGAGCCGTGATCACACCACTGCACTCCAGCCTGAGCAACAAAGCGAGACCCTGTCTCTAAGGGGAAAAAAAAAAGAATTTATTTTACCCATACACCTATTCACATGTGTGCATGCAAACCTAACCTTCTTTGTGTTTCTTTATAATTAATAGGTTTTATCGTAACTATATTGTAGAGACACCAAGAATAGGATGGGACATGGAGGTAGGCAGTTGATTCTGGCTGTGTTGGCTGAGAAAAGATCACAGGGAATGTGATTTGATGATTCATTCAGACCATCCTAAAACTTTTCAACCTCTTGAACTATTTGGGTCTAGAGCAGAAGTCCCAAGCAATAATCTGTTAAAAGAAAAAAAAAGAATGTGTAGCAAAAAGCGATTATATATAAAAAATTATTGATGTCTTCTTCCTGTTAAAGTACTTTATTAAATTTGACATAGAAGGGAGGAATGAATCAAGAAGTACACTAAATCACTATTCAAACTGTTCAAGTTATATAGGCAGTTACATTCATTGGCCTCAAGGTTCTGTATTTATGTCTTCCCTGTCACACTGACAAATGCTTCATTCTGCAGTCACTCAGATATGATCATGAAGAAGTAAAGCTTCTTATCCTTCAAAAATACAAGAATTTAAGGAGCTGATAGAAGGAACCATAGGTTTTAAGAATTTACTACTTTACTAACTTTCCTTTACCCACAAATATAATCAAGCAACTATGAGACCTATAAATGATTTTAGAGTTTACTATTAACATACAAAAGTATATGATGAGATTTTGCTTTATGGTATTGCCAGTATTATCTGAAAAGTAAAGGATTCTAAAGGAAATTAGGGCAAATATTTATTTATTTACTTATTTTTTGAGACAGGGTCTCTGTTGCTCAGGCTGGAGTACAGTGGTGTGACCTCAGCTCACTGCAGCCTCAGCCTCCTAGACTCAAGTGATCCTCCTGCCCTAGCCTCCCAAATACCTGGGACTATAGGAGCATGCCACCATACCTGGCTAATTTTTGTATTTTTTTCAGAGACAGGGTTTTGCCATGTTGCCCAGGCTGGTCTTGAATTCCTGAACTCAAGTGATCTGCCTGCCTCAGCCTCCCAAAGTGCTGGGATTACAGGCACGAGCCCCTGCACCTGGCCAGGGCAAATATTTAATAAGAAATTGCATGTGATTTTCTTTGCAATATGATTATTATAACTCTTTCCAAATATTGCTGTTTTTCAGCTATTCTCAGACACATCCCCCTTATACTCCCCTCTTTCTTTTCTTTTCTTTTTTTTTTTTTTTTTTTTTGAGACAAGGTCCTGCTTTGCCACCCAGGCTGGAGTGCAGTGGCATGATCTCGGCTTACTGCAGCCTGCTCAAGTGATCCCTCCGCCTCAGCCTCCGAATAGCAGGGACTACGGATGCATGCAACCACACCCAGCTAATTTTTAAATTTTTTGTAGAGAAGGGGTCCTACTGTGTTGCCCAGTCTGGTCTCGAACTCCTGGGCTCAAGTGGTCCTCCCACCTGTGCCTCTCAAAGTGCTGAGATTACAGGCGTGGGCCACTGTGCCTGGCCCCCTCTTTCTTATATATACACATTTTCACCAAAGCATTCATTGCTTTAAAGATGTATTTTAGTCTGTTAGACTTGCAATTGATATGAATTTTAAAATGTGTACATATTTTTGTTTCAATTAAAGTAGTATAAAAGTACAAACCTTGTCCATATCATGGTCTGTGGTAAGTATGTATATTCCAAATTGATGATGATTATTTAAAATTAGAGGACTTTATTCAAACAATTACTCATCAAGTGTGTATCATTTCTAATTGGAAAAATGTGTACATATTCTTGATCTAGTATGTGTTTCTATGCAAATAAAGTTTGATTTTAGGAAAAGGGATTTATAATATCTCTGAAATAGTATTTTTACTTTTAAATCTATAAAATCGGATTTTAAAATCTCTAATTTGCTTTTTAGGTTAAGGATTCCATATATTTTTTATTTTTTTAAAAGTGGTTTCAGAAGATGCCTATTGTTATATTTATTATCATTTTTATTAATGTCATAAAG
Organism: Homo sapiens; assembly: GCF_000001405.40. Classification (NCBI taxonomy): domain Eukaryota; kingdom Metazoa; phylum Chordata; class Mammalia; order Primates; family Hominidae; genus Homo; species Homo sapiens. The sequence goes on from NC_000012.12 coordinate 95,265,660, forward strand.
AGAAATGTAGCAATTTCTTTGGGGTCACAGAAGAGGGGTTGGCTAAAATTAGAAGTAACTATTTCAAGCTTTTGGCAAAATCTTCACAGAAGACTTGGTGTCAGAGGAAGGTTTGAACGCATAGGATTTTGGTATTAAATATAAGATGACACCAGGCAAAAAGGAAAGAGAAGGAAGAGATGTTCTGGTTTACAATGCTTGGAGTTGAGGGCTGGGATGCTGATCTGACTCAAGACATGTTCTGGGCCAACTTCTGAAGGATTTTGTAGACTGAGCTAATGAAGTTTGATTTTATCCTGCAGGCGATGGGTGGTATTTCTAGCTCCAGATTCTGTATATGTAGGAAATGTAGAGGCCTTTTGTTGGTTCTGCCCAGCATTCAGTCAGCACCTACAGAGAATTTGAGTTTCTTTTGTGAAATCAGCTTTACCTGATTCCAGAAGATACCTGTTTTCTTACTTAAATTTATCAGCTCAGATGTTAATACCTAAGCACTATTGTCTAGTTGCGAGGTATTTTAAAAATCTTTCACATCACCTTCTTAAATGTCATATATTTTTAAGTTATGCTTTACAAAGAAGCTAGCATTTTATTTATTTAGTAAACCTAAATTTAAATTTTGTTTTTACTGATTAAAGTAATTCATCTTTCTTTCTCTAATCTGATGCATATCATTTTCTTCCTTTCTTGTTCCCAGGGATCTCTCAATGCTATTTGCCTTCATTAGCTTGCTCGTTATGCTTCCCACTTGGTGGATTGTGTCTTCCTGGCTGGTATGGGGAGTGATTCTATTTGTGTATCTGGTCATAAGAGCTTTGAGATTATGGAGGACAGCCAAACTACAAGTGACCCTAAAAAAATACAGCGTTCATTTGGAAGATATGGCCACAAACAGCCGAGCTTTTACTAACCTCGTGAGAAAAGCTTTACGTCTCATTCAAGAAACCGAAGTGATTTCCAGAGGATTTACACTGTGAGTTCATTTTTTATTTTATTTCTTAAATGATTATTTTCTATTCCATAAAGGAGAATATTTATTACCTATTTTCATTTCTATGTTGCATTTATAGGAAAAAAAAGTGCTTTTCTCTTTAGTACTTACTAAAGTCAATTAACTGCTAAGTGAAGGAATAAATACATTATGTGCTAGATTTAATATGTAGTATGATTCTGCCTATCTGCTTTGAGGAACTAAAGTACTTTGGAGATCATGATTATTTCTGTATGTTACCATGTGATTATATGAGATAATATATAGAGAGTGTCTGATACTGAACCTAACGTGCAGTAGTTACCCAGTAAATGCTTGCTCCCATTACTCCCTTTCAAATGCCTTCTTTATGATAGACGTATCTGCTATAAATGCATTTTGAAAACTCTTGACATGTACTAATAACTGTTCAGGTAAATATTAGCAGATATTATAGCACTGATACTCTCAGAATATCATGCAAATAGTGATGTTTTCCATTCTTACAGGAAATTAAATATTCACCAGTCTAGCTGTAAGTATATTAAGCTGTAGGATATATTGACTACTTAATCTATTATTAAAGGGAAAGTTACATTTATTGAGCACCAACTATATTCCATATACTATGCTAGTCACTTTTGCATACAACTAAAGGCATAGAATTATAAATGGTAAATATTCATATCCATTCCATCTGATTCTAAACCCGGCTTGCAGTACACTGGACACCTGCCAAACACTAACAGATGACAGTTGTGTGCTAGTATATTTAATAATTTATATAACCTATATAACTTTTGCAATCTATAGGTGGGGGAAAGTAAGCATATGGTGAAGAACATTCATAGCTCTTAATTAGTCGTATCTAGAAAATCATGAAAAGAGGGAGTGAAGAACCTCTGGTAGCCATCGCATCCTTCACTCTGTTCTGCTCTAGAACATTACACAATCTTGAGATAAACACTGTTTCTAAAAAATCATGGAATAGAGAAATGGAAGAATCCCAGTAGTTATCTTGTTCTTTACTCTCTTGTGTTCTACACACAATCCCAAGACATAAGATGGATTTTATAATTTCTCTTTCTTCTCAATCAAAGTATAAAAGTCAGCCAGGCACAATGGCTCACACCCGTAATCCCAGCACTTTGGGAGGTCGAGGCATGAGGATCACTTGAGCCCAGGAGTTCAAGACTAGCCTAGGCAATCTAGCAAAACCCCATCTCTACAAATAATAAAAAATTAGCCAGACGTGGTGGCACACACCTGTAGTCCCAGCTACTCGGGAGGCTGAGGTGTGAGGATTGCTTAAACCCCAGGAGGTTGAGGCTGTAGTGAGCCAAGATTGTGCCACTGCACTCCAGTTTGGGCAACAGAACTGGAGACAACAGATTCTGTCTAGGTTGGGCAACAGACTTGGTCTCAAAAAAAAAAGTATAAAAGTTCTTAGCATCTGTTGATTTTTGTCGTTGCATTAGTTGAAGTCTACTTCTTATTGACTTAAAGGATAGCACGTTTTTAAGTTGTTTAAGTGTCAAATTTTAAAAGTTTAAAAAAATCATGCTTAAAATAAGTAATATTTCCGGCCGGGCACGGTGGCCCACACCTGTAATCCCAGCACTTTGGGAGGCCGAGGCGGGCGGATCACGAGGTCAGGAGATCGTAGCTATCCTGGCTAACACGGTGAAACCCCGTCTCTACTAAAAATACAAAAAGAAATTAGCCGGGCGTGGTGGCGGGTGCCTGTAGACCCAGCTACCCGGGAGGCTGAGGCAGGAGAATGGCATGAACCCGGGAGGCAGAGCTTGCAGTGAGCCGAGATCGCGCTACTGCACTCCAGCCTGGACGACAGAGCGAGACTCCGTTTCAAAAACAAAAAAAAAGTAATAGTTCCTTTTTATTTTATTGAGAGGACTTACTGGTTGAACAAAGTGGCTTTGTTCAACTAATGGTTAGGCGTGTATAGAGGATTCTGTGCCTTGTGTCATTTTCCAACTTTATCTGTCCCCATGGAATTTGCACGAAGAGGTAAAGTGGGCCAGTTAGACATGATTTACCTTCCAGATTATGACTTCTACCCATTCAGATGACAGACGAAGAGAAGTATTGGAAGAAATTGTGCTTCCTTTGTCTCTATCTAACTGGATAATGGGTTGAAAAATGAATAATAAGTCTTGAATCATAATTTTTTAGACATTTTCAAAATTAGACAGTTTTTAAAACTGATTTAGTAAAATGGAGCACAAGCAGTAGTGCCATATATTGAAATCATGAATGCTGTTTTGTTTCTGACTCAAATTGTCCTCTCTCACAAATAATTGAAACCTTTTTTGCCTTCATTCCCTTGTCTTAACATAAGCCTGTCAGTCATCATCCTCTGCTTTTTATAGATTTTTTAAAATTTGGTTTTTATAGATTTTTAATACCTGAATACATTTTAGTATGGTTTAACATTTTTAAAGTTTTGAGTTAGGTGTGTTGTTTTATAGCTTTGTGTTATAGTATAAGCAATTTACAAATGCCAATATTTTGTTTTACTGTTGGGAAAGATTACTGGTTAGGTGAAAAAATTTATCTGATAACCAGGTATTTACTCATATATACTGTAAGTTATGAAATGTAATACATTGTATGTCATTGTTACAAATTAGGTACTCCCCATTAATCTTATGGGAAGTGCCATGAAATGTGCTTCCTCTTGAACAGCTTTGAGAGTAGCTATGCTACTATGCAGTAACCCTTACTTTGCCTTTCTACTTGTATTCCCCTGTTGGCCACTGGTCCTGTTATCTTTCCACGTCCCCTACTTCATTTTGAGTAGGTAAGTGCCAGTGGCAGCAGGTGGGTAAGTAATTTTACCCTACTTTTATGAATGTACAGAATGTATTTCTATACAGTATTTTTTCTGTACAAGTGACCAAAATATGATCAGTGAACATATGTGATGAACGTATGTAAATGTATATTAAGAATTTAAAAGTGTTTATAATTAAGGTCTTCATACTTCCTATGGATATAGGTTTTGAAAACTGAATATAAAGTAGCTCTTCTCTAATATATGTTAGCAAGCATAGTGTCTATGTAAAAAAGATGTGGATTCTTAATAAATATTTCTACATTTCTGTTATATCTCAGCCAGAATCCATTGTTTCCCCACATCAGAGGAAGCCTTTGCTCTTTGAGATGTTAATTTTTTGTCTTTTTTTTAGTGGTTGTCTATATATACATATATATATATATCTAGTCACAGAAATGACTATTTTATGAGACCTGAGTTGACATATGTATAATCATTTTCTAGTGAAGATCATGAAAGAGGAATTTGTTTTCTACATTTAATAGAATTGTGGATTTAGGAAACAAAAACTTTAGGACACCTGTACAGTTGTATCACATTTTACTTTTCAAGTTTGCTTGACAGGGTCAGTGCTGCTTGCCCATTTAATAAAGCTGGACAGCATCCAAGTCAGCATCTCATCGGTCTTCGGAAAGCTGTCTACCGAACTCTAAGAGCCAACTTCCAAGCAGCAAGGCTAGCTACCCTATATATGCTGAAAAAATATCCTTTTCTGTTTATATATGAAACTAAGCAATGTTTCTGGAGTCCTGAATATAGATATTATAGTTGTATCCTGTGAAAGTTTACTGTAAAGTGAGATTGCCTATTTTGAAGCTAATTTCCATCATCAATTCTATGTTAAAACTGGAAATGCATTCCTGGGGGAATGACAATAACAGACAGGAAGAAAGTTCTGTTCTTCTGTGACTGCTTTTTAAACAAGGAAAAAACTTGAAGTCTCTTCCTTTACTCATCCAAAGAATGAAGTCGAAAGAGTCTGGCTTTGCTAGGTCTGACATTTTAAACAAATTTCTCAACATGGCAGATTTGCATCATGGCATGTTAATAAACTGGCAACTGGAAATCCTTCCCTTTTCAAAAAAACAGGTTCTAGGAGCAGAATGGCTAAGTTCAAACACTGGCTGTATCAGTTACTTCCTAAGTGACTTTAAGCAAGTTTCTTAACCTCTCTATACCTTGCTTTAGTCGTGTTTAAAATGGCAATAATAACATCATCTTCCTTATTGGATTTTTGTTAGGATCAAATGAGTTAATCCATGTAAAGTGATCAGACATCATCTAGCATACAGTAAGCACCCAAAGACTGCATGACAATAAGTCTGTCACTTAAATTTATTAAAATAGGAAATTAGTTCTATTAGCCAGAAAATAAAGGCATATAAGAGCTTTATTTTAGTAAAGACATATAGATAAGTTAAATCCTGACTAAGTAGAAGGTAAAAAGACAACTTTGCCACTTCAGAATGCTGGGTATTGTAGCACTGATAAATATAATACTTAAAGTTTACAGGGTGCTTTATGTTCTATCATATCCTTATACAAACCTTTGTAGCTAGATTTTCTTGTCTCCATTTTATGAGAAAACTGAAATAGAGGTTAAGTGACTTGTGCAGTATCATACAACTACTAATGGATGAAGTTGTGTCTTGACTGTAGGACTTATGACTTGAAACCATTTTTCTCTCTCTTTCTCTCTCTTTCTATATATATATGGAAATTTCACATATATATGAAATGGAGAGAAAGCATTTTAATTTTTATTAAGAACTTTTCCATTTTATTCCCCATTGCCTAAATGCCGGTCTGCTATATGTCAGCCATTCTTCCAGGTGCTAGGAAAACTGAGTAAAAATATGTACTACCTACTTCTAAAGACTTTTGAATGTGATCAATAGAGAAATCAGTATTCATAATATTATATAAGTGCCGTGGGTGCCTTCCAACATAGCAGGGCAACATACTTGGTTTATGGAGTCAGAGAATGCTTTCAGGGAGGTGACATCTAAGTTGAGCTTCAGAGAATGAATAGAAGTTGGCCATGAGGATAAGAGTCTGCATTCCAGATAGAAGGAAGCAAAAACATATGGAAAGAAATAGAGATATGACAGTGTGGCATGTGAACTGTTGGTCATTCAGTGAATATTTATGGAGCACAGACTGCCAGGCAATATGCTAATCACTAGACGTACAGTGGTAAACATAATAGACATGATCCCTGCCTTATGGAGCTTGTAGTTCAGTGTAGGGTAGGGAGTGAGAGGGTTAGCCTATCAAAGACTACAGACTGTATGAGTTCTTTGTGCCAGTCATTTTTCTAGAAACTGGGGACCTGGCAGTGAACAAGATAGACAAGATCCTTATTCTCGTGGAGCTTACCTTCTAGTAGATGAAATAATCAATAAAATATGGGCTTGGTGCAGTGGCTCATGCCAGTAACCCCAGCACTTTCAGAGGCTGGCTTGAGCCCAGGAGTTTGAGACCAGCCTGGGCAATATAGTGAGACCTTGTCTCTTAAAAAAAAAATTCTTTTAAATTAGCTGCATGGTGGCACACACCCGCAGTCCCAGCTACTTAGGAGGCTGAGACAGCAGGATTCCTTGAGCCCAAAAGGTCAAGGCGCAGTGAGCTGTGTTTCAGCCACTGCATTCCAGCCTGGGCAACAGAGTGAGAGCCTGTCTCAAATAAACTAAAATAAAATAATAAATGGACAGATGGGATTCTTCAGATAAAATAGTTACTATGAAGGAAAAAAAAAACGGGAATAGGATAGAGAATGATCGGTGGGGTGCTGCTTTTTATTAGATGGTAAGAGAAGGCCTCTCTGAGGAGCTGACATTTAAACTGAGGTTTGCATGCTGAGAAAGATCTGGGGGAAGAGTATGCTGGTTAGATAGACCAGTGAGTAGAAAGATCTTGTGGCAGGAATGAATTTAGCATGATTGGAGTATAGAAAGAAGACCATCATGAGTTGAGCACAGTAAGTTGGAGGTTAGAGTATGAAATGAAACAGAGGTGGCCAGGGGCCAGATCATATTCTCCATATAAAAAACCTTAATAAATTTAACTAAAAAAGAATCCACCAATCATTTTGAGAAGACCAGTAAGATATGTAAACCCTTATTTGCCTGATCAAAGTAAAGAGCAGAAATATACAAGATTAGTAATGAGAACACAGTGATAACCATTGATATAGAAGACATTAAAATAACTGTAAGGGGATAGTATATGCAGCTGCACAGCAGCAACTTTGAACATGTAGGGGAAAATGGTTCTTTTTGTTTCTTTTGAGACAGTGTCTCATCTGTCACCCAGACTGGAGTGTGGTGGCATGATCATGGCTCACTGTAGTCTCATTCTCATGTGATCCTCCTGCCTTAGCCTTCCGAGTAGCTGGAACCAAGGCACACAGTACCACACCTGGCTAATTTTTTTGCATTTTGTAGAGACAGGGTTTCACCATTTTGCCCAGGTTGGTCTCGAACACCTGGGCTCAAGGGATCCCACATTGCTGGGATTGTTATAGGCATGAGCCACTGAGCCCAGCCTCATTTCTTATCAAAATAAAAATCTGCAAAACTGACCTAGGAAGAATTTTAAAACTTGAAGAGATTGGACATAGGATAAAGAATACTCAATTTTAAAAAGAAAACACCTGGTTTATATGTAGACAATGCAAAATATGAAACTATTTTTAAAAAACAATGATAGAGTTCTTAGTGCTCTAATGTGGATCTCCAAGTTATATTAAGTGAAAAAAAAACACAAAGTGCACGGATTGGTATTTATTGTATCCTTCAATTTGTGCATAAAAGGGACTGTGTGTTTATACAGGGATAAATATGTATGTATGTATTTATGTACATGCATGCATATATACCTACGTATCTCCAGATACACATTTATATTTGAATTTGCTCTTATGTATGTATGCATAAACAATCTTAGAAGGTACTGGTAAATGGAATTGCCTTTGCATTTGGATAGTGGAACTACATGGCTAAGGAATAGAGGTGGAAAGTAGTTTTTGCTGTATCCCTTAATACCTCATGAATTTTGAATCCTGTGAATATACTACCTATTCAAAAACAAAGTGAATTTAAAATTTTTTAACTACCAGATCCAGATGGTTTTATAGTTAAAAAAAATTTCAGACTATAGAAAAGGTTAGAAAGTTTCCCTATATCATTTTATTTATGAAAATACTGTAATCTCAATACCAAAACATGTTGTATTACAAAGAATAAAAACCAGTTGTATTACAAAGAATATAGACCCATCTCATAAGTGGAGAAACAAAATGTTTAAATGGAATATTTATAAATTTAATATTGGATTGTATCAAAAGATTATTATAATATGACCAAATAGGAATATGCTAGAAATGCAAAGATGGTTCACGATCAATAATTATTTAGAAAAATAATTAAAAGGAAAAATCATTATTGATTTTGATGTGTCTGTAAGGATGAGGGCAGAGGAAACCTAACAGTAGTCTATGTCAAACAAGCTAGATAGAACAGGCCTGGTGCCACTTATATCAGTCTGTGTATTTCAGATAACGTTCAACTAATAATGTCCTGCAGTACGCAGACTGAGAGGAAAAGAATATTTACTATAGCATAGTGAGGGCCCTGAACCATGACACAGTAAAGTGCACAATACAGCTACAAATGGTAGGTGTCAAAAATAACGGAGCTGAGCGCAGTGACTCACACCTGTAATCCCAGCACTTTGGGAGGCTGAGGCGGGCAGATCACTTGAGGCCAGGAGTTCAAGACCAGCCTGGACAACATGGCAAAACATCATCTCTAGAAAAAAATACAAAAATCAGCTGGGTGTGGTGGCGCATGCCTGTAATCCCAGCTACTCGAGAGGCTGAGACATGAGAATTGCTTGAACCTGAAAGGCCGAGGTTGCAGTGAGCCGGGTTGGTGCCACTGCACTCCAGCCTGGGAGACAAAGCAAGACTCCATCTCAAAAAAATAAATAAATAACGTATCACTTTAACCCTTTTGAAGACTTGAACTGTTAATTTTTTAGACATTAAAAATTGTATCCACAAGTATCCAAGATATCTGAGGTATTATGTTAATATATTAGATACTTAAAATTAATTTGTGTTTAAAAACTGCTGTAAACCTCCTCATCCAAAAGTTCAGAATAAAGATTAGGGAATGTGATATAGGACAATTTCACTGTATCTTTTATGCTTTCATGAAAAGGCTTTGTTGATTGCCTTAACCTAATTTAACCTACCCCCTGAACTCTGAGAGTGACAATGTAACCAACTACATCTGTGTGGTGCCTTTTAAAGAGCTGGGCCTTGGACTTAGTGAAGAGCAGATTTCAGAAGAGGAAGCACATAACTTTACAGATGGCTTCAGCCTGCCTGCATTGAAGGTAATCCATTTGTGTAAGGGAAGGGCTGAAGAAAAAATAGATGCACTTGGATTGTGTCTATGCTTTCTGAATGTAAATAGTGCGTTTGTTCCACTCATTGTTTGCTGCATACCATCATCATAAATGCACGGGTGATGTTTGTAACTCTGTCTTTAAGAGCCGAGAGCATAATAAAGATTGGAAGAGGAGATCCTTAGATTTTGACGTCCAAATACTTAAAATGCTTAAAGAAATGCCTTAAATTAGAGTTTGGAGATAAGTGAATTTACTTTAATTGGAGGCCAACGTGAGTGATTTTATAACTAGCCATTTGTTTCAACAAACATGGATAATGGGTTATCTCCAAAATTCTTAAGTTTTTTTTTCATACATCAAAAGCCACATGAAAGGATACATTTAGCTACATAGAAATTAAACTTTTGGGCTGGCCGGGTGGCTCACGCCTGTAATCCCAGCACTTTGGGAGGCCAAAGCAGGCAGATCACCTGTCACCTGAGCTCAGGAGTTCGAGACCAGCCTGACCAACATGGTGAAACCCCACCTCTACTAAAAATACAAAAATTAGCTGGGTGCAGTGTCACATGCCTATGGGAGGCTGAGGCAGGAGAACCCGGAAGGCAGAGTTTGCAGTGAGCTGAGACCATGCCATTGCACTCCAGCCTGGGTGACAATAGCAAAACTCCATCTCAAAAAAAAAAAAAGTAAACTTTTAACTTCAAATAATGCATACTTCAAATGCAAACAAGCTCAAGAAAAATTACAATGATTTATAACAAAGAGTTTTAATTTTTTTTTTTTATGCAGAGCACTCTAAAGTGTCTAAGATCTATAGAAGATAAGTTGGGTGCATGAACTGACAGTTCACAAAAAAAGAAACACAGGCTAGTCCCAGTGAGGTTGTATTTTACAACGAATTGATCACAACCAGTTATAGATTTCTTTGTTCCTTCTTCACTCCCGCTGCTTCATTTGACTAGCCTAAAAAGAAAAAACAAGAAAAGAAGAAATACAAATGGCCAATAAATATGATAAAATTTTTCATTTTAGTAATGAAAGAACACAAATAAAAATAATAAGCCGACCATTTTGCCAAGTATATTGAAAGTTGGTAATTTCATTATCACTGAAGATTCAGGGAGACCTCACACACCAATGGTGAAAGTATAAACTGGTTCACTTTAGCAGTGAATACCAATCTTCATACAGGTGTATGAAGCAAAATTGCTTTATTCTAGCAATTTTAATTTGCCCTTACAGATTTATCTCAGAAAGTAACCAAAGATATACCCAAAGTATGTTCATGACATTAGTGTAGCAGCCAACATTGGAAACAAATTTTTTTTGTTTTTCTTTTTCTTTTAATTTTTTTCTTTTTTTTTTTTTTTTTTTTTTTTGAGACAGAGTCTCACTCTGTTGCCCAGGCTGGAGTACAGTGTGGCTCAATCACAGCTCACTGCAGCCTCAACCTCCCCAGGCCTCAGGTGATCCTCCTACCTCAGCCTCCCGAGTAGCTGGGACTACAGTTACATGCCTCCACACCCGGCTAATTTTTGTATTTTTTGTAGAGACAGGGTTTCACCGTGTTGCCCAGGCTGGTCTAAAACTCCTGAGCTCAAACTATTTGCCCACATCAGCCTCCCAAAGTGTTGGGATAACAGGCATGAGCCACCATGCCCAGCCTCCAGTAGTATTTTTAAGACATTGATCCAAATGTCTTAAGTTCCTACTAAGTATTTAGTAAGCTCTCTTTAGATGTTTCTTTGTTTTTAGTTTTTAAAACTTCCCTTGATACCGTGAAAATTAGTGCAAGTATTGTTGTTAGCATTTATCAAGATCCATTTTGTTTTGAGACTGTATTGACTTCCATATCTTTTACATTTTCTAAATCAACATAAATGTTCTAATAATCTTGTTTGTTTTCTTTCTTTCCTATTACGTAAAATTTGCTTTGGCTTATTCCTACTCCCCTTCTAACCCATCTCAATAAATGGCACCACAAAAAACCTGGACACCATCTTTCTTGTCCCTCTTTTTGCCCACTCACATCCAGTCTGTTAGCAGATTCTTATGTCACTTCTACCTTGAAAATGTATTTTAAACCCATCCACTTTTTTCTATATCCACCCCCGCCCCCGCACCATCCTAGTCCCAGCCACCATGCTAGTCCCAGCCACCATCATTTCATACTTAGGCTGCTGCAGTACTTTCCTCAGTTATCTAAAGTTATTTGTTTCAGAATGCAACTTGACATGTAAAGAACCTTTTTAATGATTTATCCTTTGAATTTGTAATTCCCCTTCTACAAACTGCAGGAAATTATTTAAAACATAGTTAAACTTTATATACCAAGCTGCTTATTCACTTTGTGTTTATAATAGTGCACAATGGAACACTGCCTGAAAGTTCAAAAATAGAGGAATGGCTGTGTGAGTCATGCCAGAGCCACATGGTGAACCATTGTGTAGCAGCTACAGCTTGCCCGTGAAAATTCTGTAAAAACTTGGAGAAACATCTGTTGCCAGTGAAACAATCAGGATACATAAGTGTATATGCAATATGTCCACAACCCTGTTTAAAAAAAAAAATGAGGAGAAAATACCAAGATATATATAGCTACTCTTTGGGGTGGTGGGACTATAGATACTTTCACACCCTTTCGAATTTAATATCCTAACCTTGCTTTATTCTTTAAGGAAAATAAAGATTTTTTTCAAAGTACAATTTAAGAGATTCTTAATGTGGAAAATGGAGCAGACCTGTGTTTATATTTTAGCCCTGACTGACTAGCCATTTGCCTTTGAATAAGTTATTCTTTGAACTTATGTCACCTGTGAAAAGGAGTTACCATCCCTGCCTTATAAGGTATTAGATTAAATGAGAAGACATATTAAATACCTAGAACAGGGCTTGACATATAATGGGTACCCCCAAATGGTAATAGCTGTTATTCTTTAAGAAGGACTTGGAGAAAGAATTATAGTATTTCATTTCCTTTTAAATTACTTTTTGTTAACTCATCAAGATGCCTTGGAGATTTATTTCTTTATGCTGTTGATGTACTGTTTTTAAAAGCTTATTAAATCCTGAATTGTACTCTAGCTTAAGTATAGGCAGCAAAGAGAAGTTGTGGACCCTGTGGAGTCAGATTTTCCAGGTTTCACTCTAGCTCCGTTATTTGACTACTGTGTGGTCCTGAGCAAATCATTGTTTCTGTGTTTATTAAAATGGGATAATTGCAATGCTTGCCTCCAAAGGATTAGATGTTTGTCAGTTCAGTGCCTGGTGTAGAGTAAGCAATTAATGAATGTTAGCTGATTTTTAAAATTCTATCTGATATGGCCTGCTCTGAAATGTGAGACTTGTTCTCTGTTGCTGTATCCCCATCCTACCTTCCAACAATGGTGATTATAGCTAGATTCCTTTTGCTCACTCACAGTGTTTTACAAATCAAACTATAATAGTATTTTTATATTTCTTTTATTTTTACATATAACTAACCTGTAACCAAACTCAATGATTGTGTTACAGTTACCACATTTATCAGGCTCTGAAAGGAGCCTTATCTTGAGGAGCTCTATAGACTTTGCAAACTGTTGAAAACCCCTGTAATGTTCAAAGACTGTGTATTACCCCCTTCTGTAGTTACCACTGTATCGTTATTCAGATAAGAAATTTAAAAATAGATTTTGTAAGTTAAATTTTTAAAAGTGTGTTGCCCCCTCTAAAGAAAATACATTTTGGATTTATTTTTTATTGTTCCCGTATCTTCCCTCAGGAAAGTTTAGTGATAGTAAGTATTGCACCTTTAGAAAGAAAAGCAACCTCCAAATTGTAGCCTGAGGAGACATAAATAAAATACAGGTTGAATATTTCTTATCCAGGCGTGAGTCTTATCCAGGCCTGGCACCGTGGCTCACGCCTGTAATCCCAGCACTCTGGGAGGCCAAGGCGGGCGGATCAACTGAGGTTGGGAGTTTGCAACCAGCCTGACCAACATGGAGATACCCCGTCTCTACTAAAAATACAAAAAATTAGCCAGGTGTGGTGGTGCATGCCTGTAATCCCAGCTACTCGGGAGGCTGAGGCAGGAGAATCGCTTGAACCCAGGAGGCGGAAGTTGTGGTGAGCCAAGATCGTGCCATTGCACTCCAGCCTGGGCAACAAGAGCGAAACTCCGTCTCAACATAAATAAATAAATTAATTGATTAATTAATTTCTTATCCAAAATGCTTGAGACTAGAAGTGTTTTGGATTTTGGATTTTTTCAGATTTTGGAATATTTGCATTACACATTGAGGTTGAGCATCCCTAATCCAAAAATTTGAAATTTGAAATGTTCCAGTGAGCATTTCCTTTGACTGCCATGTTGGTGCTCAAAAAGTTTCAAATTTTGGAGCATTTGGGATTTCATTTCAAAGTTTTGGATTAGGGATACTCAATCAGTCCCTAGAACACAGTCCTTATCCCTCTCTTTTCCTTTAAGTTTTTAACTAGTTTTTTAAATTTATGAAGTCATCTGTTTCCTGCTCTAGAAAAAATAAATGCACACATTGTGAAATGCTTTAAATCAAAATTTTCTGTTTACCTATCAGCTATGGTTATCTCCTTATCCAGAGGAGCTTTCCTTATCCAAAGAACAAACAGGAAAAAAGAAATACATATTTCTGAGTTCTGGTTTAAGTGGGTAATGTGACAGTGATTGGATGACAAATTAGTCTTTAGAGACAAGGTCTTGCTCAGTCACACAGCTGGTGTGCAGTGGTGCAATCGTGGCTCACTGTAACCCTGAACTCCTGGGCTCAAGCGATCCTCCCACCCTAGCCTCCCAAGTAGCTGGAACAACAGTTATGTGCCACCATGCCTGACTAATTTTTAAGAAAATATTTTGTAGAGGCAGGGGTCTCACTGTGTTTCCCAGGCTGGTCTCCCAACTACTGGCCTCAAGTGAGCCTCCCAAAGTGCTGGGATTACAGGTGGGAGCCACTGCGCCTGGCCTTTAGTCTTTTCAAAAGCCGCAGTAAACTGTACCAACTTGATTCTTGCAGTTATCTTGACCCAACATGCTGGAATCATCCTTGTTAACTCTTTTTCTCTCAATACCAATCAGTCAAGAGATTGTGTTAGTTCTGCTTTCACAATGTATCCAGAGTCCATCTGCTGCTCACCTTCCACCACTAACCACCGTGGTCTCATTAATGCTTACCTGGAATATTGCAGTAACTTCCTTACTGGTTTCTCCACTTCTACTCTCATTTTCCTATAATCTCTCAACTCAGCAGACAGTATGGGCCTGTTAACGCATAAATCAGATTATGTCATGCTTCTGCTCAGAACCCTTCAGTGGCTCCCCATTGCTTACCTGGCCCCAGCCGTACTGAGCTTCTTGCTGTTCCATAGATCTACCCTGTGTGCTCCCACAACAGTACTTTGCATTTGACTTCCTGCTCCCTAGAACTCTCTTCCTTGATGATTATCTCATGGCTCACTTCCTTCAGGTGACACTTTTAGAGACCTCCCCAGCCAGCCCCTTCTCCTCTCTCCTTCGCGCTTTCTGTCTCTCTCCCCCCCTTTCATATGTGTACACACACATACACACACACACACACACACACTATTCCCCCCCTTTCATATGTGTACACACACACACACACACACACACACACACTATTCCTCTTCTTTGCTGTGTTTTTCCCATCAACCAAGAAACACTATCTTTCTTTTTCTTCCTCGACAATCATTACTGCAAAAGGGAAATAGTATCTTTTACTTGTAAATTATTATCTGTGCCCCTCTACTTGAATATAAGCTCCATCAGAGTGGGGACTCTTCATTTTTGCTCACTGCTGTTTATCTGCACCTAGAACAGTGCCTGGCACATCATGGGTGCTCAAGAAATCATTTCTGAATGAACGAACAAAAGAATAAAAATCATTGTAATCATAAAATTTAACAGTTGAATAAGAAGGCTTGCAAGTAAACTTGCAAGTCAAGAATCCCTAGATATCACATCTGTAGCAACTAGGAAATTAGGCCTTGGTCACTTTAAAAAAAAAATAAGTTAATGGTAAAATAGATATACATGAAATAATCTTAATTCATTATTGGCATAATTTTAAAATTCATTTACTAAAACCATCTAAATACTGTCTATTTTCATGGTTGTGAATAATTGGAATCTAAATTACCCAAAGTGGTTTCATCCTCTTTTTATTCCCTGCTACCTCTTGTTTCATACTACATTGTTTCCTCATGCATTTGTTTCGGAGATATTGTCCTCATCTTGAATAGGACTATATCTGGAGAAATATTTTGCTGCCAGGATTCAGGATGTATCTCAGGAACGGGCCTATGAACATATTCAGACTGCATTTTAAAAAAAAGAAGAAGAATGGGATTTATCCTGGCAACATACTGAGACCCCATCTCTAAAACTTAAATATTAGCTGAGTATGGTGGTACATGCCTGTGTTTCCCGCTACTCAGGAGGCTGAAGTAGGAGGATCACTTGAGCCCAGGAGTTTGAGGTTGCAGTAAGCTATGATAGTGCCATTGCACTCTAGCCTGGGCAACAGAGCAAGACTCTATCACAAAAATTAATTAATTAATTAATTAAAATAATGGGTTTTGCAATTTCTCATGTCAGACATTCCTGGAGTATTGATTTTTTTTTTTTTTGGATGGAGTCTTGCTGTGTCACCCAGGCTGGAGTGCAGTGGCGCCATCTCAGCTCACTGTAACGTCTGCCTCCCAAGTTCAAATGATTTTCCTGCCTCGGCCTCCGAAGTAGCTGAGACTACAAGCACATACCACCATGTCTGGCTAAATTTTGTATTTTTAGTAGAGACGAGGTTTCACCATGTTGGCCAGGCTGGTCTCAAACTCCTGACCTCAAGTGATCCATCCGCCTTCACCTCCCAAAGTGAGCCACTGCGCCTAGCCCTGGACTGATTTTTATGTTAATTTCTTAGCTAATTCCTAGGGCAAGGTAATAGTCTTATTTTGAAACCCAAGCTTTTGATCCATGTGACTCATTTCTTTGGAGAGAAAAAAATATATATATATATGTATATATATCCACTAGTCCTACTATCTTCTTTTCTCCTATGTGAAAATTTTTTTTAAATAATGAGTGAAGATTCACTTTTACTAAATTATCTCATTCCATCAACACTTCCCATCTAGGGCAGAACTGTAGTAAATTATATATTGATGTTACCTGCTGTATTGGAATCAGAGGTTCCCACACACATAATTTGAAATCATATTCTTGGCTAATCTTAAGGTAGTTTAAGTTCGGCTATATTTATTATTTAGGATAAAGTGCAAAATTTAAACCAGAAGTTAAGATAAACAAATTTATAGTTTGTTTTGAACACTGACCAATATTTTTATTGATCTAGTTCTTTTTTCTTTTTTCTTTAAGGTTTTGTTCCAACTCTGGGTGGCACAGAGTTCAGAGTTCTTCAGACGGTTAGCCCTATTACTTTCTACAGCCAATTCACCTCCTGGGCCCTTACTTACTCCAGCACTTCTGCCTCATCGTATCTTATCTGATGTGACTCAAGGTCTACCTCATGCTCATTCTGCCTGTTTGGAAGAGCTTAAGCGCAGCTATGAGTTCTATCGGTACTTTGAAACTCAGCACCAGTCAGTACCGCAGTGTTTATCCAAAACTCAACAGAAGTCAAGAGAACTGAATAATGTTCACACAGCAGTGCGTAGCTTGCAGCTCCATCTGAAAGCATTACTGAATGAGTAAGTTTAGAAATTATACCAAGAAAGGTCTCGGTAATTAGCAAGCTTCATTCGTGTACCATTGTGGTTGTTGGCTTGTGTCCTACCTAGAAAAAAGAAACAAAACTGAGGCATGAGCATGAAGGGTGATTTATAGCTATAAATATAGCAAAAAAAAAAAATAATTTATAAGTACTATAACTTGAGGGAGTTATTATTTATAGTTTTTACTTTTCCTTAGTTCAACAGAAAACTTGGAAAAGTAGGCTAAAAGCAGGTGTTGTTCATTCTCTTTGAGAGCTGAAATGGAGATGGTTATAAAGAATGAGTTTCTTTTAACTGTCTTAAGGTAGTGCTCTTAAACTGGAACCTGCAGTCCAATAGAAATATCTACCAGTACTGGAACAGTATATATGTTATATATAGTGGAAGAGTAACATATTGCTATTTTTCTAAATAAATTACAGCAGATCTGAAAATTTTTTTGTATCACAGGACAAGCTTTGTGGTCCCAGTTGAAGAGCAAAATGTAGAGTCTAGAGTTTATATTTGTTCATTTCCTACCTTGCATGAAATTGTTGGTATACTACCTTAATTCCTAAATTTTTATGTCCCACTTTGGTATACCTTTATCAGCTGAAAATACTATTTTCACATATTTGTACATGGAAGTTTTCAAGTTTAAAAATTGAATCAAGGCATTTAATTGAATACAGTCATTTCCAGTGAAATTTTTCTCTAACAGTTAAATACTCATCGTGTAGGACTGGATCAAATGAATGGTTGGGTTCAAATTGTGTTGGTAATCAGGAAGGTCCTAGGAATTTAAAGAGCTGACAAGATTGTAGTTGATGTACTTGACCCTGGGATACAAGGCAAGAAGTGGAATGGGGAAGGCAGTATTTGATTATGTAAATAAGAATGGGTCAAAAGGACTTGATACATCAGCAAAATCAAAAGGCTAAATCAGCAAATCAAAATCACTGGAATTAGGGAGGATAAGAGATACAAGGATAGGAACTTAAAGTCAGAAAGATATTTTTAGAAGCTAAGTTTTTACCCATCAGTTCAAGGCCTGAGTTGGGCTTGATATAAGGCTTGATATAAGGCTGATATAAAGATTATGGCATAGGAAAAATGAAGACACTATGAACTCAGGGTATTCCAGTGGTCTATATCTGCTGTTCTAAGAAAGCAGGTAAATGCTAACGAGGCTCTTAGCCCTGCCTTCTACAGGGAACTGGGCGATAAGGCCATCTCCACTTGAGTGGGTGGCAAAGGTTGGATTGTCCTCAAAGGAAAATAAGATTTCAGTGGACAGGTTGTAGGCAAAGCCAGAGCCTCCGAAGAAGTAAGTTTTGGCAATAGAATCAGAAATATACGGCGCATATTAGAATGCATTTGAGTGAGGGAAGATGGCTCAGGGAAGAAAGAGTGCTACACAAGGTAGACATGAACACAAAAAAGAGGAGCTTTGTACCATGAGCAGGAATTGTGGATTATGCATAGGAAGTTTTTGTCCTGTTTTAAAGTGTAATATTCTATACATGCTAATGTCTCTCACCTTTCTAAGTATTTTCACTAGAAAGTACACCAGTCACAAACCATCATATCCAATTTGCTCTGTAGTGCTGCTACATACAACTTTTTGAATTGTTAACTAAATAATTGTTTTGTGTTTCATATTTTAGAATGCTCTTTTTGTGTCTCACTCCTCTCCCCCTTGTGTTCTTTGCTGTTCCCACTCTCAGTGCCTCATGTGGAACCATATTGTCTCTTCCCTACACTAGGGCATTAATTTCTAACTGTTCTCCCCACCTCCAGGGTGTGTATGGCCAGATTAGTGTTACTGAGGCATATATTTGCTTTCTCACTTCACTGAAAATCTTGACTGGTTTCGGAGTCATAGCAGCTCAAACTAAAGTCCTTACAAAACATACTATAGAAGGGTTTGTCATAACCTGACTACAGTCTGTTTCTATCTTTAATTCTCATTCCTTTCCTTCAGTCCAGCCAAACTGTATAAATGCCTTTTCCCATGGTCCTTCTATAAGTTGGTGCAAAAGTAATTGCAGCTTTTGCCATTAAAAGTAAGGGCGGGCCAGGCGAGGTAGCTCACGCCTGTAATCCCAGCACTTTGGGATATGATGGTTTGTGACTGGTGTACTTTCTAGTGAAAATACTTAAGAAAGGTGAGAGACATTAGCATGTACACAATATTCCACTTTAAAGGCTGAGGATCACGAGGTCAGGAGATCGAGACCATCCTGGCTAACATGGTGAAACCCCATCTCTACTAAAAATACAAAAAAATTAGCTAGGCATGGTGGCAGGCGCCTGTAGTCCCAGTTACTCGGGAGGCTGAGGCAGGAGAATGGTGTGAACCCGGCAGGTGGAGCTTTCAGTGAGCCAAGATCGCACCACTGCACTCCAGCCTGGGTGACAGAGCAAGACTCTGTCTCAAAAAAAAAAAAAAAAAAAAAAAGTAATGGCAACAACCTCAATTACTTTTGTATCAACCTAATAGAACAAGCTTCCGGCCAGGCGCAATGGCTAACACCTGTAATCCTGATACTTTGGGAGGCCAACTAGAGCAGATTGCTGGAGCCCAGGAGCTGAGACCAGCCTAAGCAACATGGGAAACCCTTATCTCTACAAAAAAATACAAAAATTAGCCAGTCATGGTGGTACACGCCTGTAGTCCCAGCTGCTTGGGAGGCTGAGGTGGGAGGATCACCTGACCCCTGGAGGTTGAGGTTGCAGTGAGCCGAAATCACACCACTGCACTCTAGCCTGGGTGACAGAGTGAGACCCTGTCTCAAAAAATAAAAATAAAAAATAAAAAGAACAACCTTCCTCACCTTTTGTATATGGGCCCAAATTTTATCCATCCTTCAATGCTACCTCAAAAATACCTCTTCCTTAGTTGTTCCCCATCTGTCCTTGCAGTTGGTAGTAATTTTCCCTTCTTCTGATTTCTCATAACACTGTCTCTCTGTGGTATTATCCTTTTGTGCCTGTATTCAGCCCAGTTTTACATCTTACTAGCTTTGTGACTCTAGGCAAGTTTCCCCGACTCTCTGGGCCTAATTCCTTATTATCTGTAAAATGGAAATAAAATGGTAGTTCTAATTATTTATGATATTGTAGTCTTTTTCTTTTCTGATAAAGAAAGCAACTACAGAAAGCTTGTATTTATTTATTCAAAGTAACCAGTGCTATTGATGCAAAAAAGAAAAACCCAACAATTCTTCCAACACTGCTTTCAAAATGAGCATATAAAACTTGATTTTCATTAGAGTGTAGTTATTTTGTCATACTAGTAAATAAAAAACCAAGACGCTCCCCCCGACCCCTTCTTTTTTTTTTTTTTTTTTTTTTTTTTGAGATAGAGTCTGTCACTCTGTTGCCCAGGCTGGAGTGCAGTGGCATGATCTCGGCTCACTGCAACCTCTGCCTCCCACATTCAAGCGATTCTCCTACCTTGACCTCCTGAGTAGCTGGGATCACAGGCACCTGCCACCATGCCCAGCTAATTTTTATACTTTTGTAGAGACGGAGTTTCACCATGTTGGCCAGGCTGGTCTCGAACTCCTGACCTCAGGTGATCCACCCGCCTTGGCCTCCCAAAGTGCTGGGATTACAGGTGTGAGCCACCGTGCCTGACCGCAAATTTTACATGTATGTATGTATGTAACAAGAATACCAAGTTAGTCTTTCTTCATAAAAAGCAATTTCAATTTGAGGATACTTCATATTTGCCTTTTGTGCCAGCACCAAGTCTGCCTCATCTGAATCCTTCCATTTCATGAGCAACATCAATTCTTCACTGCCATCTGTGGCACCAATTATTCTTTCAGGATCAAGACCTCTGGCAATTCCTCTTGGTTTGTCAACAGCATCTCTTCTTTGATTTGCTGTCATCAGATTCACTGCCAGATAAAGGTTTTCTTTTTGTACCATCTTTTTCTTCACCAGCTTTTTGAGAATTAAGAAATGCTTCAATTAACTCTGGACAATCTAAATTTTCTTCAGGTTCCAAAGTATTGTCAGCATCTGTAAATTCCTTCAGGAAATATTCCACTTTCCCATTCCCTGCGTGTCTATCTAGTACATTTTCCACCACAAATTCTTCAGGCTCTGCCTCTTCAACTTTTTTACTTTTCCATTCTGTTTCTTTCCCATGTTTTGCAATGTGGTTTTGTTGGAGGCCATTTTTTATTGCAGACCTGAAGAGCTATTATTCACTGCCTCCAAGCTGCTCTGGGTCATGGGTCTGTGGTGTCTCCAGTCTTGCATGTCACCAGCTCGAGCCACATCCAAGTGGGGAGGGAGCCAGGGAGCTGTTGTTGGCAGGGGAAGTGGGGGTGGGGTGGGGTAGGGAGGGGCGGTGGATATTATATTTTGCTTACATATATGTGTAATATCACTTGTTATTTCTTATGAATAGCAGATGAGTTTAATTTTTCTTTTTGGCCCATAAAATGCCTAGTATGTATGCAAGAAATATTTGTTGAATAAATATGTAATACTCTTTATAAGCTTTTTAAAAAATTGTGTCAAAGAATACATAACAAAAATTATCATTTAATCATTATAAAATGTACAGTTCAGTGGCATTAAGTGTATACACATTGTTGTGTAGCCATTACCACTGTCCAACTCCAGAACTTTTTTCATCTTATAAGCCTTTTTTCTTTTTTTTCTTTTAATTGAGATGGGATTTCACTCTGTCCCCCAGGCTGAAGTGCAGTGGCGCTATTGTGGCTCACTGCAACCTCTACCTCCCAGGCTCAAGCAGTCCTCCCACCTCAGCCTTAGGCACATGCTACCATGCTCGGCTAATTTTTTGTATTTTTGGTGAAAAAGGGGTTTCACCATGTTGCCCAAGCTGGTTTTGAACTCCTGAGCTCAAGCCATTCACCTGCCTTGGCCTCCCAAAGTGCTGAGATTTAAGCTTATTTTAAAATAAGCCTCGTAAATTATAAATTTTTCATTTCATATTATAGAAATCTGTTTCTGTTTTTCTTTATGACTCAGGGTAATAATTCTTGAAGATGAACTTGAAAAGCTTGTTTGTACTAAAGAAACACAAGAACTAGTGTCAGAGGCTTATCCCATCCTAGAACAGAAATTAAAGTTGATTCAGCCCCACGTTCAAGCAAGCAACAATTGCTGGGAAGAGGCCATTTCTCAGGTCGACAAACTGCTACGAAGAAATACAGATAAAAAAGGTACCTGTGAGAGATTTCTTTGCCATATGCTTATCAGACATGCTTATTCCACTCTGGTAGGATTTTATTAGGTAGACTTCTTGTCTTTATGATGAAACTAGCTTCAAAATTTCTTAGTTTACTTTTTTTTAATGTTGAATTTATATGTACAAAGTGACACTGAATACAATTCTTGGCTCTCATTTTGTAAATTAAAAATGAATATGATTTGAAAGTTCAGTGAATCATATCTCTTTTTTAAAAAGACTGAAATGAGAGAATAAATTTTGATAGCATTTTTCTATTATTAGAACTTCCAGAAACTCTTTTTCAGTTAGGATAATAAAAGAATGAGTTTGATAGTCTGGGGCTAGGAACTTGAGTTTTTCTTTTAAGATAAAATACTTAACTTTAGTCATTCAAAAATAATATACAAATGATATAATTAGTGGCACTGCATATTTAGTACTAAGATCTAAAGACATTGTGTCATTATTTAATAATATATCAGATTGCTTTGTGCTACTAGGTAAAAAAATATATATATAGTCTTGAGATTTTTCCACCAAGCTGCTTTTATGTGACTCCGATTTTATGCTTGTTTTTACCTCACTGATTTCATTTTTCAATGTTTGGCATATCAATTTTTAAAAACTGTGCTGCAAATCAGTACCATATTTATCTCTTGGATGTTTATTGTGAGGTTACTCAGACTTAGGCATAGAATTTGCATTGTTGCTAAAGATAATTAATGCTTTACCATCCTGTTATTTTTGTGTTTACAGCTAGATTTGTAATAATTTCTTTAATGTCTTAAACAAGCTTGAACAAATCCTTAGATAGGAAAAGTATTCACTTTTTCCAAAGGAAATATTAACATGCTAATTACTGATATATTACCCGTAGGTTTTCTTAATATCTCAAATGTAAACTGTGAATAATTTTTTCTCCAAAGGATAAATCTACCAAGAAACTCTGATATATGCAAATACTTATGCATATTAAACTTTCTGATATGACATCTAGAGCTTTTGTGTACATTTTCTACAAATAGAAACACTCAGAAGACCTTTGGTTGTTAAAAGATGCATCCTGGCCAGGCACGGTGATGGGAGTAGCTGTTACCCAGCTTCTCAGGAGGCTGAGGCAGGAGGATTGCTTAAGCCCAAGAGTTTGAGGCTGCAGTGAGCTATGATCGTGCCACTGCTGCACTCCAGCCTGGGCAACAGAGCGAGACTCCGTCTCAAAAAAAAAAATAAATAAATAAATAAATAAATAAATAAATAAATAAATAAAAAAGGCCAGGCTCAGTGGCTCACGCCTGTAATCCCAGCACTTTGGGAGGCTGAGGTGGGCAGATCATGAGGTCAGGAGATCGAGACCATCCTGGCTAACACAATGAAACCCTGTCTCTACTAAAAATACAAAAAATTAGCCGGGCATGGTGGCGGGCACCTGTAGTCACAGCTACTCGGGAGGCTGAGGTAGGAGAATGGCGTGAACCCAGGAGGCGGAGCTTGCAGTGAGCTGAGATCGTACCACTGCACTCCAGCCTGGGCAACAGAGCAAGACTCTTGTCTCAAAAAAAAAAAAAAAAAAAAAAAAAGAAAGATGCATCCCATTCATCCCTCCTTTAGCACACTATGAGATGTTGAATCTTAGTCTATCGCTTATCCACTATTGTTAACCATTACTGTGAAAACTTTCTCCACCTCATTGGGTAGGTAATTAAGATAAGCCATTTTCTAATTATTTTCTGTATGTGTGGCTTTTGCTTATAGATAATAATGATATGGATTAAGACACAAATAGTTCACAAACTTTTTTCACTAAAAAATTCACAGTGGCCATGACTACACAGGTTTAAATTTAAAAAATGTTCATTTGAATATTTTAAGAAGCAGGTACTTTAGTTAGCCATATCTTTTTTTAAAAAGGTCTTATTTTGAAATCATTTCAAACTTACAGAAAAGTTGCAATAGTTGAAAGTCTCCTTCATCAATATTCCCTAGTTGTTGACATTCTGTCACAATTGCCTTATCTATGTATGTATCTGTATGTGTGTGTAATTCTTTTGATGGTGGTGTTACTCTGAGCCATTTGAGAGTAAGTTGTAGACTTGAAGCCCCATTACCCCTAAATATTTCTGTATGCATTTTTGTAAAACAGGAACATTCTCCTGTGTACCCACAGTATACCATCAAAATCAGAAAATGAACACCAACCATGATATTGTCATTTTATCCACAGAACCCATTCAAATTTCCCTGATTGTCCCAATATTTTTTATATGTCTAGACCTAGATTGTGCATGGTGTTCAGTTGTCATGCTCTTTATTCTCCTTTTCCTTAAAGTCTTTCATGATAAATATTTTGTAAAGAAATACTCTGAGGTTTTATAAATATGCTTTCTTCATCAAAATTTTAACCACTATGAATGCATATACCATATGACCCAGTAGTATCATTCCTACGTATTTAACCAAGAAATATAAAAACTTAGTGTTCACACAAAAGCCTATACATAAATATTTTGTTTATAAACTAAAACTAGAAGCAGCTAGGCTTTGGGAGGTGACTAAGCTGTTACATCCATCCATACAGTGAAATACTACTCGGCAACAAAAAAAGTGAACTACCAATGCATACAACACGATGAATGAATCTCAATACATTATGCCAAGTGAAAGACATCACATTCAAACCACTACATACTATGTTATTCCACTTATGAGGTACTCTTAAGTTGGCAAAGGAACAGAAAACAGATCAGTAGTTGCAAGGAATTGGAGATGGAGGGAGGAATGGCTTGTAAAATCTTTTAATGGCAATGGCATTTAGAAACCAAGATTAGGGTACTTGGCTTTGGCGGCACATGTATTGAAATTAGAATGATACAGAGAAAATTAACATGTCCTTTGTGTAAGGATGATGTACAAATTCATGAATCATTCCATATTTTATATAGAATTTATATAAATATGTATGTATACACATATACATATATATACACATATATATCTACATATATATTGTGGTAAGCTCAGGAAATCATTGAGAATAGGTTATAACTTTGGCATTACTCGAGGATTACCATAGAAAAGAATCTCCAGTTAATAAAGTTTCCCATTGTTAAAAATATCACAGGCCAGGTGCGGTGGCTCATGCCTATAATCTCAGCACTTTGGGAGCCCAAGGAGGGAGGATCACTTGAAACCAGTAGTTTGAGACCAGCTTGGGCAATATGGCAAAACCCCATCTCTACCAAAAAAAACAAAAAGTTACTTGGGAGGCTGAGGTGGAAAGATTGTTTGAGCCCAGGAGGTCGAGGCTTCAGTGAGCCATGATTGCACAACTGCACTCCATCCTTGGTGACACAGTGAGACCCTGTCTCAAAAATATATGTGTGTGCGCATGTGTATGTGTGTGTGTCACATTATTTTAAAACGCTTCATATTTATTACCTCTAGGGCCTTGTTATTCAGAGTGGTCCCCAGACTAGCATATAAGCATCACATGAGAGCTTGTTACAAATGCACCCCTGACTTTAAATCCACCTGTATTTTAATAAGATCTGGTAGTTGCATCCACGTTAAAGTGTGAGAAATTTGAGAAGCATTGCTCTGGGATAAAGGTCTGCAATTTTTTTCCTCTAAAGATTTTCTGCCTTGCAGGCCATATGGTGTCTGTTACAACTACTTTACTCTGCTGTTGTAATGTGAAAGCACCCATAGACTATACTTAAATGAGTGTGGCTGTGTTCTAGGAAAAATGTATTTACAAGAACAGGCAGTGGGGCAGATTTGGCAAGCCCCTGCTTTCAGACAGTAGAATTGAGGGATAAGGTCTTCAGGGAGCTTTTTTCACTTTATAACCTTCTGTGCTGTTTGTAAAAGCTATTACTGCAAGCATGTAATTAAAAATCTGGTGGGTTTTTAAAATTTTTTTAGGCTTTTTGTGTTTGTTTGTTTTTGAGACAGAGTCTCACTGTGTTGTGCAGGCTGGAGTGTGGAGTGCATTGGCGCAATTTCAGCTCACTGCAAGCTGTGCGTCCCAGGTTCAAATGATCCTCCTGCCTCAGCCTCTCGAATAGCTGGAACTACAGCCATGCACCACCATGCCCAGCTAGTTTTTGTGTTTTTTGGTAGAGATGGGTTTTCGTCATGTTGGCCAGGCTGGTCTCCAACTCCTAACCTCAAGTGATCAGCCCATATCAGCCTCCCAAAGTGCTGAGATTACAGGCTTGAGCCACCACATCCGGCCTCTTGCTAGATTTTTGTTAAATGGATTGCATGCTGGAGCTAGCTCTCCAAAGATTGTTAAATATTCAGAAATTTGTGAGTCAGTTTAACATCATTGGTAGCTTAAAATTGGTCACAGTGGGTGCATTTACACCATGGGAACTGGAAATCAGGAAGTGCTGCAAATTGGGTGTTTTGTTTTGTTTAGAGCTGGATTGCCAGCACACTGTTTAATGTACCTGTTTATTGCTATTAATAATAGTCTTATGGATTTATTTGGTTTTTTTTCTTTTCATTCAAAGAACTCGATATATGGTGTCACCATTGATGTAATGAAATCTGTGTTCTGCTAATTAGGCAATAATGGCAGTTTTTGAGCATGTAATCTGTAGCAGGCACTTTTCATGTATTCTTTTTTAATCTTACAAGATAGTACTATTATTTTCACCACTGTTCTACAGATAACTGTAATTTTTTTTTTTTTTTTTTGAGACAAAGTCGCACTCTGTCGCCCAGGCTGGAGTGCAGTGGCGCGATCTCGCCTCACTGCAACCTCCGCCTCCCAAGTTCAAGCAATTCTCCTGCCTCAGCCTCCCAAATAGCTGGGACTACAGGCGCATGCCACCATACCCAGCTAATTTTTGTGTTTTTATTAGAGATGGGGTTTCACCATATTAGCCAGGCTGGTCTCAAACTCTTGACCTCGTGATCCACCCACCTTAGCCTCCCAAAGTGCTGGAATTACAGGTGTGAGCCACTGTACCTGGCCCTTTTTTTTTTTTTTTTTTTTTGAGACAGAGTCTTGCTCTGTTGCCCAGGCTGGAGTGTAATGATGCAATCTTGGCTCACTGCAACCTCCATCTCCCGGGTTCAAACGATTCTTCTGCCTCAGCCTCCTGAGTAGCTGGGATTACAGGTACATACCACCATGCCTGGCTAATTTTTCTATTTTTAGTAGAGATGGGGGTTTCACCATGTTGGTCAGGCTGGTCTCAAACTCCTGACCTCATGATCCTCCTGCCTTGGCCTCCCAAAGTGCTAGGATTACAGGCGTGAGCCACTGTGCCCAGCCAGTTAACTATAATTTAAACTAGAAAGCAGCAAGAGCTGGGATGTAACCCAGGTGTGACTAACTCTACAGCTCTTAGCCACTGTGCTATTCTGTCTCTCATTAGTGCTTCCTATTAATTTATTCATCGTTCTGCCATCTTGCCTACAAACTAATCAGTCATTTTTTGTAACATTTCCCAAATACTTCTTTATTTTAACCATTTAACTATTGTTACTTTTGAAAATTAAAAATCAACAAGTTTAAACCATACTTCTTTTTTTTAAGTAGAAAGATAATGATTAATGATAGCCACCTGGATATGAGACTAAGTAACCCTGTCATTAAATACCAAACATAAATTTTAAGAATTAATCAAAGTTAAACTCACTTGGGTGATCTTTAAAAGATATTTCCTTGTGAATTCATTTCCAATTCCAACCTCTGAGTGTTAAAATAGCCTCAGGGTAAGTTTGAAGTTTGTATTTTGTGAAGAAGAGTGATGGTCTGTCTTAAGACTGTTCCTATGCTGTGAATGATAATATTTTGTTCAACAAGTACTTACAGAGTACCTGGTGTGTACCAGATACTGTGAAGAGGTGAAGAGAGAAGGGCAGGTCCTCTTCTCCAAGAGTTTAAAGACTTAAAGTTAAGTTGTAAATCTACTAATTTATTGTTTTTCACTTTAATATCTTTATGTTTTTATAAATACAAAGTTATTAGAACAAGTTGGACTATGAAATTGACAAAGTATTAGTACCAAGGATTTTTTTGGTTGGGGGAGACAGGATCTAGCTCTGTTGCCCAGGCTGGAGTGCAGTGGTGTGATCACTGCTCACTGTAGTCTTGATCTCCCCAGCTCAAGCGATCCTTCCACCTCAGCCTCCCAAGTAGCTGGGATTACAGGTGTGCACCACCATGCCCAGCCAATTTTTATTTCAGTTTTTGTAGCGACAGAGTCTTTGTTTCCAGGCTGGTGTTGAACTCCTGGGCTCAAGCGATCCTCCTGCCTCAGCCTCCCGAAGTGCTGGGATTACAGGCATGAGCCACCACACCTGGCCCCAAGGGTGTTTTTAATTAGATGTTCACTCATTTCTGTGTGGTCTGTTTCTTATCTTTATTCCCATCTATTCCCGTTTTTTAAAGGCAAGCCTGAAATAGCATGTGAAAACCCACATTGTACAGTAGTACCTTTGAAGCAGCCTACTCTACACATTGCAGACAAAGATCCAATCCCAGAGGAGCAGGTAAGGGTGAAAATTACTGTTCTTTCCCTTGTTGGATTTCTGTTTCTAATGAGCTTCAAAATTACAACATAATATATTGAATTTATATCAGATCATTAGTTCTTAGTGCTTAACTCTGAATTCATTGAATCTGCCTGCAGACTTTTTTTTGATTGTTATTTATATCTAATTGTCTATATCTGAGTGGCTTTCAAAAGTGATTAAACACATTGAAAATTAGTACATTGGCAAAGCTACCTTTTGGGATGCTGGAAATGTGTTTATCTTGATCTGAGTAGCAGTTACTGGTATGTGTACATATGTAAAAATCCTGTGCACTTGACTGCATGTACTATGATATACCTCACTTTTAAAAACAATTTTTTAATGATCGCATTGGATATTGACAAAGGTTACTTTTGTTCATTGTAAGGAAAACCTCTTTTCCTTAGGTCATATTATCTATTCAGTATTTTTTTTCCGTGTATATTGCATAACAAGTTACTATTCAGTATTCTTAATTGCAAATGGAAACCAACCCTAGTTAGTTTAACAGACAGATACTTTATTTAAACTTTTAGGTAGCTTACAGAATATTTCAGAGAGCTAGATAAGCAGGCTTGAATGATGCTAGGGTAAACAGCCAAATCACTCAAAAGAACTGTTGCAATGGAACTATCATTGCTAAGTTAATGGGTGGAGACATTGCCCCTTGCTTCGTCAATGCTGAATAGTAAAACTTAACCTCCAGAAGTGCTACTTCAAGAAACATATCTGCAACATCCTGCCAGAATAGATTTTCCAAAGTGCTTGGTTCTTTTTTATATGAGACCGAGTCTCACTCTGTGGCCCAGGCTGGAGTGCAGGGGCGCGATCTCGGCTCACTGCAACCTCTGTTGCCCGTGTTCAAGCGATTCTCCTGCCTCAGCCTCCTGAGTAGCTGGGATTACAGGTGCCTGCCACCGCGCCTGGCTAATTTTTGTAGTTTTTAGTAGAGACAGGGTTTCACCATCTTGGCCAGGCTGGTCTTGAACTCCTGACCTCGTGATCCGCCTGCCTCAGCCTCCCAAAGTGCTGGGATTACAGGCATGAGCCACCGCGCCCGGCTGGTGCCTGCTTCTTTTATCTCAGACTTCTAAGTCCGATCTGATGCAGGTACGTCGATTAGAGAATCCCAGGTCATTTACCTGAGCCTATACTGTAAGGATACTGCTTGGGTAAGCAAGCATCCTACCCTCTCTGTCTTAGAGATAGGGAGAACCATAAGGTGGGGTGTTCCCTAATCCTAGGAAGAATGTTCAAACTTCCTGGGAAATCTGAAAGAACCACAAGAAAACAAACATGCCTGACCACCTCCCCAAAGTGCCAGCCCTTCTAATTTTGATTGGTTTTGATATAGCTAATGGCTGTAACACTAAGTGTATGGTATGTTACCAGAGTAGAAAAATAACTACTGAAGTTGTTAAACTTTTTTTATCCACAATGCTTTTTAGTATCAACTGTTAGGTTGTTTTTGAAGATTTCAATTTATCCATAGGTATATATTTGCTTTTTTCTTTTCCTAGCTCTGCTTTAATGACCTGTGCCAAATGCAAGTCCTTTTTTTTTAATCTCAGAGATAAGTAAGTGCAAGTAAATGAATGCTTACTAGAGAATTGTTTGCTTCAAGTAAAGTGCTTTTTCTTCTATTCATTTTCAGGAATTAGAAGCTTATGTAGATGATATAGATATTGATAGTGATTTCAGAAAGGATGATTTTTATTACTTGTCTCAAGAAGACAAAGAGAGACAGAAGCGTGAGCATGAAGAATCCAAGAGGGTGCTCCAAGAATTAAAATCTGTGCTGGGATTTAAAGCTTCAGAGGCAGAAAGGCAGAAGTGGAAGCAACTTCTATTTAGTGATCATGGTAAGCACTGACTTTAAAGTAACAGGTTATTTCAATGTAGGGGATTCTTTCTTTCTTGAACCATGAATGTTATTTTAGCTGAAGAATTCTTGGGGTTTTATAAGGGTCCACCAGTATGCATAGTACTTTTTCTTCTAGATGCTAAATCAATTTGATTAATAAAAGAGTAGGAATGTAACCACATTGGAAATATGAAGTCATACTTTTTTATGAGTTATTTAATTTTTTAGTAAATTTGTTTTAGAATGGGCAGTGAGTTGAATAATTTGGGATATTTTAAATGTTATTTTCAAATTTAGTGAATTTGAGATTCTCAACTCTGTTGTCCATATGTTAAAATATTTAAAAATACCTCAGTGAAGCACAAAATTAATAACTGTGCTCACATTGAAAAAAATGGCCCAGGCGCAGCGGCACATGCTTGTAATATCAGCACGTTGGGAAGCTGAGGCGGGTGGATCATTTGAGGTCAGGAGTTCAAGACCAGCCTGGCCAACATGGCGAAACCCCATCTCTACTAAAAATACAAAAATTAACAAGGCATGGTGGCGCGTGCCTGTAGTCCCAGCTACTCGAGAGGCTGAGGCAGGAGAATCACTTGAACCCGGGAGGCGGAGGTTTCAGTGAGCCAAGATCACGCCACTGCACTCCAGCCTGGGCAACAGAGGGAGACTCCATCTCAAAAAGAAAAAAAGAAAGAAAAGAAAAGAAAAGAAAAAAAAGGAATTAAAACCTAGACCAGTGAGCCACATCATTAGCATTATTTAAGTGGTTTGAGCACTTTAGTAGATGGGAGGGGAGCAGGGTGCCTGTGGGCGTACTCCCCATACTCTGATTTCAGCAGAGTGGGGTAGCTGGTAATACAAAAGCCTTACATTCCTTTCTGTTTCTCACCCTTCTTTTCTTAAGTCAAACTTCATGGGAGACAGGGAAGGAATCAGGGGAAGCTTAATACTTGACAGTATCAACCTAGCTAATTCTTAGTTGAATTAATGCCTATGGATTTCTAAGTAGGTAGAGTGTGGATTCTCTTCCATTTTACAGTATCTGTGTGGACCCTCGAAATCAACTGCCCTGCTTTTCCCTCCTCACTAGAAGTACATAGATTACCTATACTTCTGGAAAGTTCCTCCAGTTCTCTTTTTTTTTT
Source organism: Homo sapiens (assembly GCF_000001405.40). NCBI lineage: Eukaryota > Metazoa > Chordata > Mammalia > Primates > Hominidae > Homo > Homo sapiens. The sequence goes on from NC_000012.12 coordinate 95,297,409, forward strand.
TCCCCTCAGGAGCCCTATGTTTTCTCCTGTCCAGATCTGCATTTCTTGGTTTTATCATTCCTCTTTCTTCCCATTGGCCCCCTTTATAGCCCAGGTCCTCAGTAGATTATCCTTGTACATTAAAATACCTTCTTAGCTGACTTCCATTTTCAGTACTTTTTTCTTCTAAGCTATCTTGCAAACTCTTTGCAGATTTTTCTCCAACACTGCATTGATGATGGCTCTCTATCTTAAAACCTATAGTGGTTTCTCCCTTTCTTATTGTGTTGAATCTAAACTCTTTTTCCTGTTTTCAAGTCTCTTCATCATAAGAATTCATCTATCCAATTATATTTTCTACTGTTTTTACTATAGATATCTTCTTATGTTTATCGAATTAAACTACAGTTCACAAATGTGTTATTTTTATTCATGAAAAAAATTCATGCTGGCCAAGCACAGTGGCTCACGCCTCTAATTCCAACACTTTGGGAGGCCAAGGCAGGTGGATCACTTGAGGTCAGGAGTTCAAGACCAGCCTGGCCAACATGGCGAAACCCCCTCTCTACTAAAAATACAAAAATTAGCCAGGTGTGATGGCGCACACCTATAATCCCAGCTGCTCTGGAGGCTGAGGCAGGAGAATCGCTTGAACCTGGGAGGTGGAGGTTGCAGTGAGCCGACATCGCACCACTGCACTCCAGCCTGGGTGACAGAGTGAGACTCTCTCTCAAAAAATAATAATAATAATAATAATAATAATAATTCATGCTTACCCCTTTACCAAGAATTCTGCCTTCTCCACCAAGCTGTCCTCTCTACTAGTCTCTCCTTCTCCATGAATCCTTCTCTGAGTGCTCCAGCTCTGCCGCCTCTCCTAACACTACAGACCCTCACACTAGAGGAACATTGTGATAAAATATAAAGGAAGTCTTGAACCCCAAAGCATATAGCAGAGAAGGGAAATGATTAACAGATTGATTTCCTGCAATCTGTTCATTCATATACTGGGCCTACATACATCAGAGATTAATTTTAGGCACTGTTGTTTTCTATATGTTCAGGGTTTTGTTTTGTTTTGTTTTGTTTGTCTCTGTAACAAAATTACAGTCTTCTTAAATAGGGGCCTTATTATCCCACAGCATTCATTCAGCAAATTACTCATTCAACAAGTAGTTATTAGGTACTTGTTATATGTCAGGCACTGTTTACTGCTGTATCCCTAGCGCAAAGATCAAGAGACAAAATGTAAAGCCTCCTACCTGCCTCAAGGCTTAAATTCTAACACACTCGTCAATTGATCCTCTCATTACTCAGATTATATCCACCCCATTTAATTAGTAATAATTGTGAACTATCAACCAACTTCTAATATATGTTGCTTCCTTTAAGAGCTAACAGATTTATAAACTAAGAATGTACATATATTGAAAATAGCATTGTATATAAACTTATATCCTTTTTTATTGTTTAGTGTTTCTTCATATAGCTTTAAAATTATGCTATTGACATTATGGGAAAGATTTATCAATGAGAGAAATGTGTCTCTTTTTCAGGTATGTGCTTTTGATATAGTTTACATTGGAAAGGGTCATAATGCTGTTTTAGTTTGTGAAAATAAGTAAAAAGCTGCTGATACCATAGAATGCTTTTCCCATGAAAAATTTCAGTACATCTTCCAGAGCTGTTTTCATCTCTGCCTACAGGGGTAAAGTCCGCATGGAATTAGAGGGGGAAAGTCTGCACTGGAACCTGCTGTGGCCATTTTTTTTCTGTTGTTGCTGCTTCTCTAGTGGAGTTACTGCAGCTTAGGGATGGTTCCTGGAAGTGGACACATTTTACAAAAACGTTTTTTAAATACACGCCAGCTCTTCGAGAAGCACTTTTTTCCTTCCGTCATGCTTCATACTATATTGTATTGTACTAACCCCTCATGCTGGGATGAGCGACTGCCTAGCAAGCAACCCACTGCCTACTAACATCAAGAGGGGCTAAATAAAACTGCATTTTCCTTGCAAGGACAACTTCTACCGTATGAATATATATTATATTTATGTATTATATTTTGTACAATAGTTGATCTTGAATGCAGACTTCATTTGTATTTTTCGTGGTACTACAAAATGTGTAGAAGTTATGGCTTTTCTTTCATTAGGGTCTTGTTAGGTGGTTGGCAAGTAAGTTAAATTGTATGTTGCATTTTTTTCCATGCTGTTTTAACTTGTAAATATATATGTATACATATGGAAGATATTATTATTATCTAGATTACTTTAAGCCTTTTATCTGATGTATTATCAGTGAAAACCATGCTGCTTATTCCCTAATACAATGGTTCTCAAACTTTAGTGTGTATCAGAATCAAGATGAGGGCTTGTAAAATATAGCTGGTCCCTACTCCCAGAGTTTCCATTTCAGGAGGTCTGGGATCAGGCCCAAGAATTTGCATTTTTAACAAATTCCTAGGTGATAACTGATAATGTTGGTTCAGGGAACACACTTTCAGAACCACTGCTTTAATATTTTAAATAAGATAATATGTGAGGTGTCATAAAAACCTTCATCAAATCCCTATCTCATTTCATTTCTTAGGCATTTTCTCTCTTATAAAGTTTCCTGGATTTATAAATTTTCATTGATTTTACTAGAAAGTTTTATTTAGCTTTTATTTATTTATTGTTCTTTTTAAGAAAAAAACTGAGAGTTTGAATTAAAAGTTTAAATCATTGCTAGGTCCTTAGTTATTTTTTTTCTTTTTTCTTTTTTTTTATTTGAAGCCGTGTTGAAATCCTTGTCTCCTGTAGACCCAGTGGAACCCATAAGTAATTCAGAACCATCAATGAATTCAGATATGGGAAAAGTCAGTAAAAATGATACTGAAGAGGAAAGTAATAAATCCGCCACAACAGACAATGAAATAAGTAGGACTGAGTATTTATGTGAAAACTCTCTAGAAGGTAAAAATAAAGATAATTCTTCAAATGAAGTCTTCCCCCAAGGAGCAGAAGAAAGAATGTGTTACCAATGTGAGAGTGAAGATGAACCACAAGCAGATGGAAGTGGTCTGACCACTGCCCCTCCAACTCCCAGGGACTCATTACAGCCCTCCATTAAGCAGAGGCTGGCACGGCTACAGCTGTCACCAGATTTTACCTTCACTGCTGGCCTTGCTGCAGAAGTGGCTGCTAGATCTCTCTCCTTTACCACCATGCAGGAACAGACTTTTGGTGGTGAGGAGGAAGAACAAATAATAGAAGAAAATAAAAATGAGATAGAAGAAAAGTAAGAACCAAGATTCATATGAAGTGATATTAGATTGTTCCTTTTACAAAAGTGTTTAGCTTCAAGACTGGAAAGGGAATATGAGTGTAAGTTTACTATATATAAAGCTAAGATGTGGATTTACAGGAAGAACCCTGGTTTGAATAACTGATCTGAAATTAGTAGTTACCTGTAAATGGCAGATCTTTTAGGAAAATAAGAGAAAGGTAAGGGCTCTTTTGAATAAACTGCTGTTTTATTTGTGGCACAACTGATCAATCTTGGAAATTCTTTAAGTATTTTTAATAAGAAATGAATTATCATTTCTTGCCAGAATTTGCTACCTTAAGGTGATTGGGAAAATTCTGTTGCAAGAACATTAACATTTAGTATGACTCCTTTTTACTGTATTCTTGCAGTTAATAACTGCAGCTATTATGTTAATAACAAGTTGTTTGTATTTTATTTTTGTTTATACCAGTCTTAAAGATCCAGGTTCTGAATAAAAAAATTAATTGATACAATTGATGTGTGCTGGGGTTTGGAACTAAAAGTAGTTTCAACAGTGCGTGGGTTATGACATTTCTTATGTTTCTTTGTTCATGTGTGTATTTAGTAGTTAATTTTAAGATGTCCTAGTGATCTTTAAAAGAAAAATATTGTACCATTTTTTAGAATTACACTTTCACCTTTCTTTTTGCAATTGAAAGTGATGATGTCAAAGTGGGATTTCTGTACTCCAAGGCCCCACCCCCAATTTAGCAAGCAGAAAAACGTTCCTTGTATCACTTTACCTTGGATAATTGGGTGCCATTAACACAAACAGGTCACAATCCTGCTGTTTTCTAGCCCTGTCCACCATAATGAGATTCAGGAAACATCCTGTCAGCCTCCTGGAAAGCATCCTTGTCTCCTTAGTATTTCATTTACAAACTACCTCTTAACAGAGACTGCTTTTCAAATTGGCCAATCTTACCTGTTTTGTGTTGTGATTGCATTTTCAAAGAGTAATTATTTTCAGCATATACAGTTTTGAAACCTGTAGCTCCTATGCAATAACATAGTTCTATAGACATTATTTGGGGGAAATGTAGTAATAACTCAATCTATGTTGCTGTCCTAGAAAGGAAATTGCATGATGAATCTAGATTGTCTTTAGAGTAAAGAAACACATTCAAATTCCTGTAACTTATCACTTTCAGTGAGTAAATTTACTTATACCAAAGGGGATTTTTTTTCTTTCAGGAATCTAAGGAAATTTACTTTTTAACCTGAGAAAAAAACTTGGTTCTGCTTTATATAAACAGTAGAGATTATTGTACTATAAGTGATTTTGCCTTTTTGCCAAAATCCTGGAACTCATCTATAATTAACCTCTTCGGAGCAATACCTTAGGTTGGGCCTTGCTTTACTACTTAGAAATAGCTAAATTTCAATTTTAAAAATCTTTGTGTGTTATAACTGTTAAATTATTCAATAATACTTAGGGTTTACTTTCTTATTTAAATCACTTATTTAGTTTACCGACTTCATTTTTCTTTGGATTTAGAAGAAGCAATTATGGAAAAACTTGGTAATCTCTCTCAACCTATAACCTTACACAGGAAGAATTAGAGTTTAATAATTTTTAATTCTTTTATTGTATGTTACTTTTATTACACCAGTTTGGGGGAAAATCTTCATAAAATTGTATCAGTTTTATTCAGTGTTCTCTAAGGTGATACCTTTTAATTTTGAAAGACTAAATAATTTTAATCGAGAATTTCCAGTCTTTCAGTCTGATCTATTTAATTCACTACTTGTTACATAATCCAGTGAAAACTCTACTTGTTGAAATTATGACATAAAGATCTTGCAGCTTTATTTGAGTATTTGTTCTTTTGTGTAGTTTCCATCTTTTAAAATATTTAAAATATTTTCAAGATAAAGTATTATCTTCTCTGCAAAAATTCCTGGAGTAATTTTCTCTCATAATATTTGAAGTCAGTGGTTCTCAGTTGTATTAGTGGGGTAACTACATCAAAATAAATAAAGTCTTATTTTTAAAATGCAAATTTTAGACCATACTCCCAGTGATTCTTAGTTGGTCTTTTTGGAATGAGCCATAGGTAATGTTTATGTCCAATAAAATCTAGGAACCTCTGTCTGGAACTTTGCTCTTCTTGCCATGAATACCTTAGGAAGTATTAAAAAACAGGCCAATGTAATATGAGTAGGTTTTCTTGTTTGTTACTTTTCTAAGAATATTTTACTTCCCTTAGCAGGCTTTTGGCTAGCTTTCAAAGCTGCCACCCTGGCCAGGTGCGGTGGCTCACGCCTGTAATCCCAGCACTTTGGGAGGCCGAGGCAGGCAGATTGCCTAAGCTCAGGAGTTCGAAACCAGCCTGGGCAACATGGTGAAACCCCGTCTCTACTAAAAATACAAAAAATTAGCTGGGCATGGTGGTGGGTGCCTATAGTCCCAGCTACTCGGGAGGCTGAGGCAGGAGAATGGCGTGAACCTGGGAGGCAGAGCTTGCAGTGAGCCGAGATCGTGCCACTGCACTCCAGCCTGGGCGACAGAGCGAGACTCCGTCTCAAAAAAAAAGCTGCTACCCTATATACAGAAGAAGCCCTCTGGGGAAAAAAATAAAACACTGCAGGGAAAACTTATAATTGTGCTTTTTAAGTTTTACAATATGATTTTTAACAGTATGATTCTTGTTAGGAGTATCATCCTGACAGTTTTTAATACAGATATTTCTGTAGTTTGTTTTACCAGGACAAACCTAGTACTTAATGGAAGAATGCATGTGAGAGTCTATTTAGGTCACTCTTGAAGACAGAATTTGTACCCTTTGTCTACCTCCAGGTAGGAAAGTCCATTTAAAACTCAATTTTCTTAATAGTAATATTCTGATTTACGTAAGAAAAGTTATAAAGCTTTTAGTGTTAAAGCATTAAAAAAATCAAGTCCTGATACATTCCACAAAATTGTAAGTCAGTGGAGTGTTTACAGATCATTTCACTCTGGTGACTAACTCTTCACTTCCTATCAGTAATGTAAAATATGAAAAAGTTCAACTGATTTGGTTTAATCATAGTATATTGTTCCTATACCCAAAACAAACAAAGAAACAGACTAAATACTATAAGAGTGTATTATAGCTCAGCTAAATCATTGTTTGAACTAAAGTAGATATTATGCTAAGAATGACAACCAGACAAGGCATAAAGGTTGGTTTATTTTTCCAATTCTACTTACAAGAAAATAGTTATGCAGTTCACAATTAGAAAATAAAGCTACAAATATTTTAGAAGAGAAAATATAGAAAAAAAATGCAGTAACCATTTATCTGTCATCATAGACAGGTGATTAATTTGCCTAAGTTAACTTCTCAGCTAACTAAAACAAATCCATTTTAATAATTTAATAACTAAATGCACTACTTCTCTACTTTGTCTAGAGTATATAGAATATAATTTAACTTTTTCTGTCATCTTTAGGAATATCAGTTTCTATCATGGGGTGATAAACAGAAACTCATCCTCAGGGGCTACTGAGATATATGTCAGGTACCCCTTTACAACATGACCTCACACTGGTGTGCTTTTTTCAGTTATGTCTGTTTTTCACAGTTTCTCTATCTTCCCTTATAATCAGCTGTCACTTTTGCCGCCGTCTTGTGTGCCTGCCTCCTGCAATAGGTCCCTAATTTGCTGCTTCTAATCTGCTGTGGACTGAGAAACCAGATTGCCAAGCTTGCTAGAATTGTGTCTAAAATAAGAGTAAGTAGACTGAAAGAGAGCTAAGGGGCTTTTCTGTCAGTAAAGTGCATGGACTTTGTGATACCTGCTTGACTGCTTAGCATTGTTTTGTTTGCCTCTTAGTTCTTTACTAAAAACTTGCTAAAACAAATACTTGGTTGAATATGTGATTGCCATATATTTGAAGTTCTAATTCAGTTTTTATATAATGATGTTTCTAGGACTTCCATTAATGAATTCAACTATAAGAGAAATTTGACTATCATTTTTGAATAAATAATTGTGTATATTTCAGAAAAATGTTAAACGTATTGTTATCATTAATTGTTCTTAGTACAGTACACAGATTTAAAACTTATGGCACTATAAATGTAACTTCAACTCTGTTCATCAAGACTTATGTTCTAGAAATATTGTTATGAGACTAAAGATGGCTAATTTAGTAAGAACTGGGTAACTTGAATATTTGGGGAATGAGTCATTCTAGATATCCCAGTTTCCTGCAGAGCTTGAACCTCTTTCAGCCCTAAAATTTTTTGGAATAATCTCTGAAGGAAATCTTCATAAAATTGATATGCATTACTGTCTTAAATAATATATGAATGTATTTTAATTTGTTTGGTATCAAAATGATCAGCATTAACATCACTTATTATAATCTGATAGACTAATCAGACATTGAGAGCTGTTTGTCCCTGTACTAAATGGCTCCATTCTGCTGTACTCGTTTTAGTTTTCATGTCTTTAACAGTCGTTCTGATTCTTCCATTTCTATTACTGCTTGCTTAAGTGTGCCTGTAGCAGTAGCCCTTCTCCACCTTCATAATGTGCCTTCTGATCTGCTTTCATTTTGGAGACCAGACAAACTAAGTTTATTAGACTTCTGTGTAAAGTAAGAATAAATAAACTCAAAGTGAAGACTTGAGGAAGTGGATTATGCTTAAATGCATGGATTTTGTGACATCTGTTACTTTACTACCTGTTTCATTGCTATCGTTAAAATAAGTGAAGCTACCGAATTAGATACCTGCTCTCAAAATAGAAAAGTTGTTATGGTACAAAAGGAACTATTTTGTTTACATACTTTACTTTCTCTAAAGTTAGTTCTATACTAGAATTATTTGGCGCTGATTAAAACTGGTCCACTCAAGTTAGCATTTTCTATAGTATTTTCTATTTGAATTGGAGACTACATGCTGTTAAGAATTTCTTTGGCTTTTTTTTTGTTGTTGTTTTGTTTTGTTTGAGACAGAGTCTCACTCTGTTGCCGAGGCTGGAGTGCAGTGGTGCAATCTCGGCTCACTGCAAGGTCCGCCTCCCAAGTTCACGCCATTCTTCTGCCTCAGCCTCCGGAGTAGCTGGGACTACAGGCGCCCGCCACCACTCCGGCTATTTTTTTGTATTTTTAGTAGAGATGGGTTTTCACCGTGTTAGCCAGGATGGTCTCGATCTCCTGACCTTGTGATCTGCCGTCCTTGGCCTCCCAAAGTGCTGGGATTACAGGCATGAGCCACAGCGCCCAGCCGGCTTTTTTTTTTTTTTTTTTTTTTTTTTTAAGAGAGAAATGTATCTTCATTTCCAAGACATGAAAATAGATTAAGCCCTGAAAAATAAGAAAACATTCACTATTAATGTCACAGAGACCTGAGAAGTAATAAAATTTATAGACTATAGGCAATTATACCACAAAGAATTTATTTTTTGATTATGCTAGTTTTAAAAACAGGGTCTTTATTTTTATTCAGCTATAGTAAGCGGACGTTAAAAGCTTACCAAAAGTTATCAGTGTTAGATCTAATGATATTGGCAGATATTTGAATGACTAAATTCCCACTGTCATTCTGTACTGGGCATGATTAAATTGTAATTTAATATTTAATAATTAAGCAGGATCACTTTTCTCTCTTGAATGAAAAATAAAATTTGCACACTATAATATTTACAAGTAAAAGTCAAATCTGTATAGAAATGGATATCCTAGCATCAAACAACTTATTTTTAGCAACATGCTGATTATTTTAGTAACCATATATTGACTCATGTTTTCATTACAAAGTAACTGTCAAATCAGTCTGTTTATTTTATGACCATGCCTCATAGTCGGCATTCAGTTATCCATGCTAATGGAAGGGATCTGTGGTATAATAATCATAAAAGATAAGTGGTCCAGGCTGGGCGCGGTGGCTCACGCCTGTAATCCCAGCACTTTGGGAGGCCGAGGCAGGTGGATCACGAGGTCAGGAGTTCGAGACCAGCCTGACCAACATGGTGAAACCCCGTCTCTACTAAAAATACAAAAATTAGCCGGGCGTGGTGGTGGTACCTGCCTATAATTCTAGCTACTCAGTAGGCTGAGGCAGGAGAATCACTTGAACCCGGGAGGCGGAGGTTACAGTGAGCCGAGATTGCGCCATTGCACTCCAGCCTGGGTGACAGAGTAAGACTTCATCTCAAAAAAAAAAAAAAAAGATAGGTGGTCCAAACCAGTTTCTTGAGTTGAGACTGCCATTATAGAAGAGATAGTCAAGATACCAAAGCCAGGTCAGTGATAAAAGAAGAAAACTTCTGAGTGTAGTTGTGAGAGGAAAGTGATTCTATTCAGTGTAATTGCTGTAAACCAAAAAGAGGATTAATTGATTCAAGGATTCACACATGTAAAAGTTTAGCATGAATAAGGAGGAACTGATTTTATAGATATTCTAAAATGTGTGATAAGCTAGGACGTAGTGGCTCACACCTACAATCCTAGCACTTTGAGAGGCTGAGGCAGGAGGATCTCTTGAGGCCAGGAGTTCAAGACCAGCTTAGGCAAGAAACAGCAAGACTTGGTCTCTACAGAAAAACTTAAAAATTAGCTGGATGTGGTGGCACACACCTGTAGTCCCAGCTGCTCAGTAGGCTGAGGCAGGAGGATCACTTGAGCCCAGGAGGCCACAGCTGCAGTGAGCCATGATTGCACCACTGCACTCCAGCCTGGGCAACAGAACGAGAGACCTTGTCTCAAAAATAAATAAATGAAAATGGGCTGGGCGTGGTGGTTCACACCTGTAATCCCAGCAGTTTGGGAGGCCCAGGTGGGCGGATCACCTGAGGTCGGGAGTTCAAGAACCGCCTGACCAACATGGAGAAACCCCGTCTCTACTAAAAATACAAAATTAGCCGGATATGGTGGTTCATGCCTGTAATCCCAGCTACTCAGGAGGCTGAGGCAGGAGAATCGCTTGAACCTGGGAGTCGGAGGTTTTGGTGAGCCGAGATTGTGCCAATGCACTCCAGCCTGGGCAACAAGAGTGAAACTCTGTCTCAAAAAAAAAAAAAAAAAAAAAAAGAAGGAAAATGAAATGTGTGATAAATTAAAGTGCATATAGTATTTTTTATGGTATATATTTTAATGTATTTTAGCTTGTCAGCAATGAAATTAGTTTTATCTCTATGTATTGAACTTCATTTAGCAACATATTATTGCAATAGTACAGTATTTAAGCTGCATATTCTCTTGACTGCATTATCCTTTAAAATCAGTATATTCTGTGAGATATGGCTATGGATATATATATTTCCTCTCCTATTTATATCCTAAGATTTTCTTAAAGGATAATTTTACTGTTTTAGGCTTTATGTTTTTCAGTTTTATATCATTTCCTAAAGCTTAGCTACCTACAAATGAATATTATTGAAGAATTTTTCTAAAACTAAAGCATGTCTTTTATAAGTTTACTCTTTTATAATATCCTAAACAAAGCATATCCTTTTCCCCTTCCTTAAGTAAATTCTTAAGGAAATTAACTTCATTTCTAAATCAAAGTATTTTCTGCACTTTTATTGCACCAATCTGTTACCTTCTGTTCATACCATGACTTAAATAATGCTTACTCAGGCACAGTACTATCAGCTGACAACGTACAGAAGGCTCCAGAAATGTCACTCCCATCCCTTAAAGGTTGGTATATGGTCCTGGTACAGTCGTGGAGGTCCATATGGGTGAAAAGCCCAGAAGTCTACCTGAGCTGAAAGCACTCCCAAGGAGTTTGGTTTTGTTTGGGTTTGTTCTAGGTATGGTCCCAGGGATCCCAGATCAAACCAGGCCCCTGGGCCTATCCTAGAACCAACCTAAGCTCGCGCATCATTCCTGGAACATCAAGAGTGTGAAGACTGAAGATAACCTGAGGCCTACCAGACATCCTATATTCACCAAGATTCACATTTTTTGGTATGTGTGCCTACATTTTAGCAAAAATTGGTTGGTTAATCCTTCTAAAATTAGAGGGATGACATTGGGTAACAAAGTCTTCCCAGCCTTTGGCATTATAGTAATTTCTCGCAATAGAAATTCCATACAGATATTATTGCCAGTGAAGAGAGCTATTCTTGTTTATTATCAGTTCTATATTTTTAGCTGAAGCAACTTAGCCCTAAAAAACCCCAAAATCAACTTCTTCCTCCAAATTAAACTCTCCCCCAAATTTAATGGTTTCTGTTTTCTTAAATGTTTTTCTACTTGACACTGTTATGTCAGTCTCATGTAACTGAATAATTGTTCATAATTTCTGAAGAGCATTTAGTCTTTGCCATCTGGCTTCAGTGCCAAATGATTTTCAATTCTTGTTTTTGGAGACTAATGACTTTTTCCTTAATTTATTATCAAATTTGCCACATTTTAGAGCTCACTTTTAGAAGTTCTGCTATGGTTAATGAAAACAAGCTAGAATGACACAGTAGAAATTGGTTAATACGTCACATTTTACATCACTATTTTGTAGAAGATTTTTAGTAAGTTTCTCTATTTTTATTCCTTGCCACTCTGGATTTTACAAATATTCTGACCTAGTTGATCCATCACATGGTCTCATATCACAACTGTTGCATCGCTATATTCACATAGATGTTTTTCTGTTTAATTTAGAAGACAGTATTTCTGAAAAAGTATGAAACGACCCCAAATCCAAAAGTTATGGTGCACAATGAAAATGTATGCTTTTAATAATGCTGGCTTCTGCAGTAGGTGTAGACCATGTTTCAAATAACCACAGACTAATCAGAAACTCCACCTGTGAAAGGAACTTGAAATTGTGCTATTCCTCCAAGCTTATAACACCAGCAAATTGGGTCAATAGGTTATTCCTTTAAAATAGGACTATGAGCCTACAGAGGCTCACTCTGAAGAACTCAGCCGTGGAGTTAGTTCTGTACTATATCCATCACAACAGACATGCTTCATCCCATAGACTTCTTGACATAGCTTGAAATGAGTGAACCCATCCTTGATTTATATACATATATGTTCTCAGTATTTTGGGAGCCTTTCCACTTTTTTAAACCTTGTTCATTATGAACACTGAAAATAGGAATTTGTGAAGAGTTAAAAAGTTATAGCTTGTTTACGTAGTAAGTTTTTGAAGTCTACATTCAATCCAGACACTTAGTTGAGTGTTAAACTGTGATTTTTAAAAAATATCATTTGAGAATATTCTTTCAGAGGTATTTTCATTTTTACTTTTTGATTAATTGTGTTTTATATATTAGGGTAGTACATTTCCTACCCTACCTGAAGACTTGAGATTATAGTCTTTGGGGGGATGGGCAAAGTACTCTCTTTTTTTGCATCTTTTAAATTGTGATTTTTAAAAACACATATAAATTTTACTATCTTAACCATTTTTATGTGTATAGTTCAATGAGATTAAGTCCAGTCACATTGGTGTGAAACAGATCTTCAGAATTTTTTCATCTTGCAAATCTGGGACTCTATACCCATTAAACAACTCCCATTTTCCCCTTCCCCACAGCCTTGGCAACCATCATTCTACTTTTCTCTATGAATTTCACTACTTTAGATACCTCATATAAATGGAATCATACAGGATTTGTCCTTTTGTAGCTGACATATTTCACTTAACATAATGTCCTCAAGGTTCATCCATATTGTAGAATGTGATAGGATTTCCTGCCATTTTAAGGCTGAATAATATTCCACTGCATGTATTTACCACATTTTTTTATCCATTCATCTGTTGGTGGACGTTTGGGTTGCCTCCATCTCTTGGCTATTGTGAATAATGCTGCTGTAAACATGAGTGTGCAAATATCTATAATTTTTTAACACAGTACTTTATTTTCGGTATTTAATCATATGGAATTTTTGTCAATTATGTTAAAGGATTTTACAACAACCCAACTATAGATTTATATATATATGTATTATTGTTGTTCCTTCTAAGCTTAAGAAGTCTCTAATAAAATCCATACTTCCTTATATCTTTTTGTGTGTGTACCTTTTTTATTCTGCTCTTTGCCATATGGATTAATACCAAAAGGTAAAAATCCCTTTTCCTTCCTATCTGTTTTTCTTCCATTATAGTATTTTTCAGAATTTGTTAATATGCCAAAAGATGGCAGTTGTCTGGGAAAGCCATTGATTCATTACTCCAAGTTTTGTTTGTTCATTTAAGTGCCTCATATGATAATTTATCACAGTGAAAACAGCAGTGTAAATTTTAAAGTTCCATTTTTGCCATTCCCAGTGATTGTTAGCCACTGAATACATTCTGGGCATGTTATATTTATTGACTTATATAACCTCCTTGACAGAAAAGACACTGACACCAAGAAGGTCATGAACACCCGATGAAGCATACTTTGACAAGTTGGTTGAATTAATGTTACTGGTTTGAACCTTTCTAGGCTTACCTACACTCTTAGGAACATTCATGGGAACTCCAAAATGGTTCTGTATACTAAAAGCTAGTTAAAGAGAAAGTGGCCTCCCTTGAACCGGACTTTTAAATAATAAGCCATTTCTTTCCAGAAAAGATTTAAAGCAAGGAATAAATATCTATAAAGGCAATTTTTGAAACTTGACCCTTGTTTGGAATTTTCTAATTGAAAGTATGAGATAAGGTAGAATATGTGTAATTACTGGATTCTGAAGTCATTGAGTAGGAAATATCCCATATAGTAGTCCTTCCTTGTCTTCACAATTTGCTTTTGAAGGTCTTTAGCAGATGTGCTATAGCCATTGAAAATTAAGTTGGCAAATGGTAATTTTGCCTGAATGTACATCTGTAAAAATGAACATTTTCAGAATCTGATCATTAAAAAGTAGTCCCATTTAAAAGATCTCCAAATGTGTCTTTATGAGAAAATGTTCATGGTATACACATAAAATAGTCATCATACATGTTCCTAGAAATATATTCCTAGAAGATATTGTTTAAAGATAAGAAAACAGGCTCAGTAGTTTTCTCACTCAGTCACACACACAAAGTGTCAGAACCAGTATCCTAATTAGATAATTAGATCCTAAGAGATACCAACATCTGCTCTTCATCGTTATGATAAACTGCCTATGTATATACATTTCATTTTACAGCTAATCTCTAGGAGACGGTACAGAGACCTTGATTTTGGTTTTTTGTTGTTCTTCTTCTTTTTCTAAAAAGAGACAGGGTCTCACTGTGTTGTCCAGGCTGGTCTCAAACTGTTAGGCTCAAGTGATCCCCTTGCCTCAGCCTCGGGAATAGCCAGGATTACAAGTGCGAGCCACTGTGCCAGGCAAAGAGCCCTTAAATTTGGAAGTCATTAGACTTGAATTCTGGATTAAAAACTACTTCTCTAAAACTCAGGCAAATCACTTAACCATATTAAGCCACAGTTTCTTCTGTAAAAACAACAAACAGCATTAATTATGATTTATAAATGGGACTAGACCTCTGAAAGCCTCTTCCATTTTTAAAACTCTGTTCCTCTATTATTAATAAAAAGATACAACTCTACTAGGTAAAGCCAAGTTTGTCCTTCTGTGCAAGAGAGTTGCAAGAGAGAGCTTATTTTTAGGCACAGTAAATAACTTGAGAATATTCAACTGTTAGAGGTTGGACAGAAAGAATAAGAGGGGACTTCAGAGGCCAAAGCAGGCGGATCACTTAAGGTCAGGAGTTCGAGACCAGCCTGGCCAACATGATGAAACCCTGTCTCTACTAAAAATACAAAAATTAGCTGGGTGTGGTGGCACGTGCCTGTAATCCCAACTACTTGGGAGACAGACAGGAGAATCTCTTGAACCTGGGAGGAGGAGGTTGCAGTGAGCTGAGATCGCAGTAAGCTGAGATCGCACCACTGCACTCCAGCCTGGGAGACAGACTGAGACTCGGTAAGAAAAGGTGGCAGGGGAAGGAGACCCTAGTTTAAAAAAAAAAAAAAAATGTAGCTAGTTCCAGCACAGAACTTAATACTGCTGAGGGCAAAGTATACCCTTATATTTTCAAGCAATCCAACGCAAGTACTTGAAAGTTAAAGTGTACACATTCAAAAGGAACAATAGCTCCCTGTGATTACTTGTTATTCCTTTCTCCTTAGATAGCATAATCTTTTCATTATGAAGGGATGTCCTATTGCAAGGTTTTCTTTGTGGGTATACAAGTTTCTGGCTTATCTTCATTTCTGAAACAAAAGAATCTTTC
Organism: Homo sapiens; assembly: GCF_000001405.40. NCBI lineage: Eukaryota > Metazoa > Chordata > Mammalia > Primates > Hominidae > Homo > Homo sapiens. The sequence continues at coordinate 95,312,855 of NC_000012.12, forward strand.
TTATTTCATGTCTAGAACCATCTATGAAGCCATTGTTGGCTGTAATTGAGTTCTGTGTGGTTCCTTAATCTAAAATGGTTTGTCTCTGTTCTTTAGCACCCATGCCTGGCTATTAGCCATCAAGCCATTTATCTTGCTTGAACTTAGAAGATTAAGCTATGATACATGGGTCATGATAGCCAATGACAAGATTACAATAAAAAATACATACGTGAATATTTTATAAGATCTGAAGAACTTAATGATTCTTTCTAAACAGTGACATAAGGATGATTTTTAGCCAGTTTTTTTTTCCCCCAAAATGAACATGAAATACTTGTATCATTGGAGGGGGGGAAGATGAAATTTTAAAAATTGATAAGGACCAGGTGCGGTGGCTCAAGTCTTTAATCCCAGCACTTAGGGAGGCTGAGATGGGAGGATCACTTGAGCACAGGAGTTTGAGAACAGCCTGGGCAACATTGTGAAACTCCATCTCTATGAAAAATAAAAAATTAGCCTGGCATGGTGGCACATGCCTGTAGTCTCAGCTACTTGGGAGGCTGAGGTGGAAGGACTGCTTGAGCCCAAGAGGTTGAGGCTGCAGTGAGCCATGATTGTGCCACTGTACTCCAGCCTGGGTGACATAGCAAGACGCTGTCTCAAAAAAATTTGTTTTCAATATGTTGATAATGTTTCATTCTTATTTGGGGCTTATATTCACACATAAGAAAGTTTACCGTTCTGTATATATTCAAGCTATCACCTCATAGGCCTAACCTGGCGCCTAGAGAAACCGGGGCAGGGCTGTGTGTTCAGTTCTTGCAGGAATAGCTTAGTCTGATGATGTTTTATTGAGTTTTAATTTTAGTAGAACTTCAAAACCTGGAATAATCTAACCTAGAGGTTCTCAGCATTTTAACAACCAAGAACCCATGATACTCACCATGGGTGTCATGTTTTGAAGGTTTTCACCACAAAATCTACATTCATTAAAAGCCCTATAATTTGTGCACACACACATACACACACACACCCTTTTCAACATTAACCAAAGCCAGCCTGGCATGGCAGCTTACACCTGTAATCCCAGCACTTTGGGAGGCCAAGGCAGGCAGATCACTTGAGCCCAGAAGTTCAAGACCAGCCTGGACAATATGGCAAAAGCCCATCTCTACAAAAAAATACCAAAAAAAAAAATCAGTCACGTGTGATGGCACATACCTGTAGTCCCAGCTACCTGGGAAACTGAGATGGGAAGATCACCGGAGCCCAGAGGTCAAGGCTGCAGTGAGCCTTGATTGCACGCCACTGCACTCCAGTCTGAGCAACAGAGTGAGACCCTATATCGAAAAAAACAAAAATTAACCAAAGCCATAATGGCCACTCAGAGTGTTTGGTGCTAAGGACAGAGCAGGGAACAAGGTTTCTGCCCTCATTGAATACTAGAGGGGAAAGTTAGACAATAAATATATATTGGGAGGCAGGTGATGGTAAATGCTGTATAGAAAATAAAGCTGAACATGAGGGCTATGTGGGAATGGAGAATACTTTTTTATACAAGGTGGTCAGACATGAAAGGAGTGAGGGAACCATCCCCGCAAATACCACAGAGAGAAGAGTTTCCCAAAAGTAGTGAGAGGTAAGTGGCTAAAGCCCTGTAAGAACAGGGCTAGGAAGGTCAAGGAGCACCTTGTAATGAATGGAATATGGTTTTACTCTTAATGAGATAGGAAGCCACTGAAGGGTTGTAAGCAGTGGAGTTGACATGATTTCACTTAGGTTTGAAAAGCATTATTAAGTTTAAAAAGCATTCTTTTTCATGGAAGTCTGACAGGGATGGGGAGAAGGGAGACCTGTTGGTTATTGCAGTGATCTATGTGAGGGAGGATGGTTGGTGGTGAAGGTTGTGAGGAGGGTCAAATTCTGGATATATGGTGAAGGTAAGGCCAAGAGGGTTTGCTGATGTAATGAATCTAGTCTGAGAAAGGGGAAGTCTAAATAATTCTAAGGTGTTTGGTCTAAGAATCTGGAAGAACAGAGGTCCTTTTCTGAGATGGGACAGGCAGCTGGTTTTGGATAGGTTCAGTACGAAATAGCTATTAATCAACAGGTGGAAATGTTGAATAGGCAGTTTGATATAAGAGCCCAAGTTCGGCCAGGCGCGGTGGCTCACGCCTGTAATACCAGCACTTTGGGAGGCTGAGGTGGGTGGATCATTTGAGGTCAGGAGTTCGAAATCAGCCTGGCCAACATGGTGAAACCCCACCTCTACTAAAAATTACAAAAATTAGCCAGGTGTGGTGGTGCATGCCTGTAATCCCAGCTACTCAGGAGGCTGAGGCAGGAGAATCGTTTGAACCTGGGAGGATGAGGTTGCAGTGAGCTGAGATTGCGCCACTGCACTCCAGCCAGAGCGACAGAGCAAGACTCTTTCTCAAAATAATAATAATGGTAATACCAAAGTCATGAACATAGGTTGGAGTACTGTGTCAGAACTCTGACATCCTTGGGGAATCTACATTTCAGAGGTTAGGAGACAAAAAGGAACTTGCAAAGGAGACTGAAAAGGAGCAGTTGGTGACAGAAGTGGTGGCCTAGAAGCTGAATAACATTTTGTTATAAAAGAGGCCATGACTAACATGTCAAAAGCTGCCATAACATCAAGAAAGGTGGGGCCATTTGTATATCTTTTTTGAATAAATGTCTGTTCAGGTCCTTTGCTTGTTTTTGAATTCAGTTGTTTATTTTTCTTGTTGTTGAGTTGTATAGTTCTTTACATATTCTGGATATTAATCTCTTATCAGATTTTGCAAATTCTCCCATTCTGTAGGTTGTGTTTCCACTATCTTGACAGTATTCTTTGATGCACAAATGTTTTTAATTTTGCGGAAGTCCAATTTATTTTTCTTTTGTTGCTGAGTTTCCTTATCTTTTTCAAACAGGACAATAATGCTATCTGATTCATAGGCTTGTTATGTTGATTAAATAAATTAATACATGTTAATACAGATAAAGGGATTGAGACAGAGCCTCCCACATAAGAAGAACTCCATAAATGTTAGCTATCATCCAGGCTAAACTTACAGTATAAAACCCAGTGGTCAGCAGTATAAAATTAGGACATGTGACACAGAAGCCAGAGGAGGAAGGGGTTTAAAGAAGCACATGATCAACAGCACAAATCTTGCAAAGATGATAAAAACAAGCAAACAAGCAAACTTAGACATGACACCTAAAAGTCAGACAGTGGTGTTCAGGTCAGACGCCAAATTATACTGGATGAAGAAATGTTGCTAGACCCTTTCTGATCTCCAGAGCCAGATCTCCTGCTGTTTCAGCTCTTAGGGTGCTACAAAATGAGACAATCTGTTGGACTTTGCTGAGACATAGCAGAGAGAACACTAGATTTAACTGGGTTAAAGTGTCTGGTCTTTTACCACTTGATCTCTGTGGTCACCTCCCATAGCTCCAGTTCTCTCACTTATTGAGAACAATTATTCCTATTTCACAAGGGCATTGACAGGTTACAGTGAAGAGTAAGCATAATAGTAAGTCATTAATTATTAAGATCAGTACATGGCTCCTTTCTGACTGCATGCCTTGTTCTGTTATTCCAACACTGTTGGAATGAACACTGTTGTTCTTCCAGCACACCAGGTCCCACCAGCCACAGGCACCTGTGAGGTGGGACATTCCCATTTTACAGATACTTGGCTTATAGGTTTGCAATAATAAAATGAGATTAATACACATCAAATGCTGGCAACAATATTGGCGGCAGTTTTATTCTCATGGAAAGTTCTTGCCTGATTTTTAGTAGTGCTTTTCTCTTCAGGTCCAATTTCTGGGCCACTGTATTCCTCATAGCTTGCGATGTTCACCAACTTACCCAACCTCAGTGTTGCCATAAGAAGCAAGTGCTTATATATTATCATTGAACGTATCAATGGAGCTTTTTGTTCCCTCTGCTTTGGTTGCAGATATGAGAACGCACATTAAGTGGGTTATGAGTGTTCTGTTTGAGGATTTCATCTACTGGTGAATAAACAAAACATGGTGCTCTTGCTGGGTTCCTACAGCTACCAAAGCAAAGATGTCTTCGGTAGAGTAACTATGTCCGGTCCTGATCACTTTCGCCCTTGCAAGCCACATTTCAGAGCAGGATGTAAGTCATGTTTATTTAGTCTGGTTTTTACCCTGTTGTCTGGTTCCTGTTTATTCTTTTTTTAAGGTTTACATTTATTTTCTCTTTCTTTTCCTTTTTTTTTTTTTTTTTTTACAAAGTCTCACTGTCACTTAGCCTGGAGTGCAGTGGCACAATCTCAGTTCACTGCAGCCTCAACCTTCCTGGGCTCAGGTGATCCTCCCACCTCAGCCTCCCAAGTAACTGGGACCACAGTCATGTGCCACCAGGCCCTGCTAATTTTTGTATTTTTTTGTAGAGATGGGGTTTCGCCATATTGCCCAGGCTGGTCTCAAACTCCTGGGCTCAAGCGATTTGCCTACCGCAGTCTCCCAAAATGCCAGGATTACAGACATGAGCCACCGCACCTGGCCTATATTTGTTTTTGATTTATTACATATTCTAAGATACCTTAGGAATGAATAGATTTTGAAAATAGAGTAGGAAATTCTATAGAGAATACCTGAATGGTTTAGAAAAGCCAAAAGCGCTATTATGATTTTATAATATTTTGTTTATTAATAATGTATGGTAACAAATAGAATATTTAATTCAACATGCATTTATGGAATGACCTTCCTTGTACTAGACATACATTCACAGACATGCTCACATACATGCATGGGAATCCTAATTACCACTTCAGGCAACATAACAATTCCCCTGTTCACATTTAGTTTAATCACAGGACCCCTAAAAGAAGTTAATCAAGGCCGGGCATGGTAGCTGAGACCTGTAATCCCAGCACTTTAGGAGGCTGAGGCGGGCAGATCACTTGAGGCCAGGAGTTCGAGACTAGCCTGGCCAACATGGTGAAACCCTGTCTCTACTAAAAATACAAAAGTCAGCCAGCCATGGTGGCGGGCGCCTGTAATCCCAGCTACTCAGGAAGCTGAGGCAGGAGAATCTCTTGAACCCAGTAGGCAGAGGTTGCAGTGAGCCGAGATTGCACCACTGCACTCCAGCCTGGGTGACAGAGTGAGACTCCATCTCAAAAAAACAAGAAGTTAATCAAGTGGGCAATTTATTTCTCTGTGTTGTTCCCTTACATATTAAAACTATTCAGCTCATTTCTTTGGAATCACTCCCCCATGCCGCCATCCTCAATGTTTAAATTCCTTATTACTCATCAGGTTAATGTGAGAATCCTATTGCAAAAGCACTGTGTAAACTGAAAAGGTTTTCTTTTTATCTGGTTGGGGGATCCAGTCTGGCCTACTTTATCTAGTTGACTGCAGTGAGAGGTTAAATGTTTAAACCCTACCAGTTACACCATTGTTCCAGGAATTGAATTGAATGGAATTAAAAGACTTTTCCAAACAACTCAAACCAAGCAAACACTCCCTGATTTGTTCTCTCAAACAAAATATATTAGCCTGTGGCGACTAAATATTGACCTAATGACTAAATGAAAGCAAACAGATTCTATAATGCTCTGAAGTACTCACCACTCAACCTCAGTGAAACTCAATGAAACTTCCCAAGAAGCTTCCAGAGAGCAACTCTTTCAGTTAAGTAGGGACTGGAAAAGGTGCATGTCTTTAAGTAGAGAGAGTAGAGACCTCGAAAACACTCCCCCCTGAGAATCCTAAAAGTCTCATTTATATAAAAACAAACAGGAGACAACTCCCCACCCTATCTACCTGTGTGATATCCTATTTTAAAAAATAGACCAGGGGCTCAACATTGCTAATGGACCCATTTAACCCCCCATTTCTACACACACACGCACACACACACACACACACACACACACACCATCCTCACTACATTTACCACCATCATCACTAGTCAAAGTCGTAAAGATTGAGCTCCATATGTGAGTGTGACGCCCATTCCCTCAAAATACTATCAGCCCTTAGTATCTAAGGTTCCACATTCATGGATTCAACAAACTGCAGATGGAAAATATTTGGAAAAAAAAGAACAATCAATAATAAGTAATAATACAAATAAAAATGCAATACAACTATTTACATGACATTTACATTGTGTTAGGTATTATAAGTAATCTAGAGATTATTTAAAGTATATGGGAGAATGTGTGTAGGCATATGCAAATACTATGCCATTTTATATCAGAGACTTGAGCATCCTCAGATTTTAGTATTCTTGGGGGTTTCTGGAAGCCCAGACTACACCACTATGCAATATAGGTATGCAAGAAATATGCACTTGTGCACCCTAAATATACAAAAATTTTTAAAAATTAAAAATGGCTACTAAACTAGGTTAACTTTTAAAGCACAGAGCCATTACAGCTGTCACATAAAGGATAAGGAACAGCTGTGCACTGGGAATTCCTGATCTTAAAATAACTATCATGGCCACCCCCAGTGGCTCATGCCTGTAATCCCAGCACTTTGGGAGGCAGATGTGGGCAGATCGCCTGAGGTCAGGAGTTCAAGACCAACCTGGCCAACATGGTGAAACCCCGTCTGTACTAAAATATAAAAATTAGCTGGGCGTGGTGGTGCATGCCTGCAATCCCAGCTACTCGGGAGCCTGAAGCAGGAGAATCGCTTGAACCTGGGAGGCAGCAGTTGCAGTAACCCAAGATCATGCTGCTGCACTCCAGCCTGGGTGACAGAGCTAGACTCTGTCTCAAAAAAAAAAAAAAAACTATCACGACATCAATGTCAATCAGATTTTCATACTTCCTTGGTAGGTACTGGTTTTTCTCTCAGTCTACGAAAAGCTTTTTCTTAAGGCTCCAAGTAGAAGACATGTAAGCCTCTGTTCAAACATGCCTCTAAAAGCAGAAACTGGAAATGGGACTACAGGGTGACTGGCTGCTCACATACCATGTTTGGCTGGTGGGATTTGGTGAGGGAAGTTACTAAGTATATCCACATTAAGAGAGGACTTCCATTTCCCTTCTCTCTGTGACCATCCAGCCCCCCTTTAACACTGTGACCATTCCCCAAAGCTCAGCATGATGAAATCTCTGTTTCTTACCAATAACTGACCCCTAAGTTCTTAAACTTGTTTTGATAACCACATCCCTGTTGACTTGCCATACAGTCACAGAAAAACCTCTCAATGCAGCTTTATAAGATAGGCCTCCTTGCCAAGGAGAACCTGCATTCTAATTCCTCAGATTCAAACCAGACATGCCCAAACCACCTGCTTCTAGATATTTGTACTGGTCTCCATGGTACCAGACTCACATACTTAGAGTGAACTTTGAAGAGTTCAAAGCCACACTGAAGGAGGTACTAGACTTGGAAAGAAAACAGAATGAAAAATTCAATTATTTGTAATTGTCTAATTATTAGTTGGTTTTCTTCAGATTAATTCTTTTTGTTTTGTTTTGTTTTGTTTTGTTTTGTTTTGTTTACAAACTCTGTTTTTTGAGACAGAGTCTTGCTCTGTTGCCAGGCTGGAGTGCAGTGGCATGATCTTGGCTCACTGTAACCTCTGCTTCCCGGGTTCAAGAAATTCTCCTGCCTCAGCCTCCCGAGTAGCTGGGATTACAGGCATGCAACACCACGCCCAGCTAATTTTTGTATTTTTAGTGTAGATGGGGTTTCACCTTGTTGGCCAGGATGGTCTCCATCTCCTGACCTCATGATCCGCCCGCCTTGGCCTCCCAAAGTGCTGGGATTACAGGCGTGAGCCACCACGCCTGAACAGATTAATTCTTTTCTTAAACTCCATGCAGTATTTATTTTGTTTTTTAGAGGAGAACTAGGGGCCCATAAAAATAGCTATAAGTATTTATGTTTCTGTGGCCCATCTTGTACGGCTCTCACTGGGTAAGGTGTTAAAAGTGAAACTGCTGTTTAGCTTTCAAGCATATTCTGTTTGTGTGAATTCTCCCTGTCCTAAGCTTCAATTACTTGATTTTTCTTTGAGACAGAGTCTCTGTTGCCCAGGCTGGAGTGCAGTGGCACGATCTTGGTTCACTGCAACCTCCGCCCCCTGCATTCAAGCGATTCTCCTGCCTCAGCCTCCTGAGTAGCTGGGACTACAGGCGCATGCCACCATGCCCTGCTGATTTTTTAGTAGAGGCAGGGTTTCACCATGTTAGCCAGAATGGTCTTGATCTCCTGACTTCATGATCTGCCTGCCTCTGCCTCCCAAAGTGCTGGGATTACAGATGTGAGCCAACGCGCCTGGCCACATTTCCTTGATTTTTCTAGCCACTCTCTCTGTTATCATGCAGGAAAAAGTGGAGAAAAGGTAATTTACTTAGAAGAATAAAGAGCAATCAATTTCACTCTCAATACTTTCCCCTGTAAAAGCCCTAATGGAAGTGTCACCCAACCTTCCTAACTAGCAGTGTTATATTAGGTTGCCGCAAAAGTAATTGCAGTTTTTACCATTAAAAGTATGCAATTACTTTGCACCAACCTAATAGGAAGCAAACTTTCAAAGTCATTGATCTCTCAACAGCTATGCCTTTCTATTCATGTTACACTATGGAATTAGGATAGGCACCTATGAAGACTTTTCCAAACTAGAGCTCATGGCTAAACACGTGATTTTGCATGTGATTGCACAGGTGAGTCAAATCAGGCTCACATTATATCTCACTTTATCAGTGAGGCCAATCAGACTTTATCTCTTATGGGCTGCATCTGAAGCAGAAACTTTCCAAGATAGACAACATGAAAAGTTGATGCCATCTGGAAGCAGCGCCCTGGAAAGAAGGGTGCAGAGTGTCTGCTGCTGAGATTATTGAGGCTGCCCTGGCTCCCGCCTCTCCCAGGGTTTTACCAAGGAGCTGATGAAGGCTGTCTTTGACTCTGTAAATTGCCCTAAATCCTTTAAACCAACACCCCACTTAGGTTAATCAGAATTGGTTCCTGTTGCTTGCAACTAAAGATCTTTGGTTGATTAAGAAACAAAACACAGACCTGCATGCCTGTTAAGTGGAGTGGAGGATAACACTAGGAGGAAGAATGTCAATTTTTTTTGTCACTACCTCTTCCTTGTTGTTCAATGTATTTATAATTAGAAGGTACATTTAGAAATTCAAAAAGGAAGGAAACCTTTGAGCTTTGATACAGAATAATTTATTCGGGAACATTTGCTGGCTGAGCCAAACAGATTTCTAGTTTGTGTGCTATTTGTACAGCTCCATGAAAATCAGTTCACTTCCTCTACAGCAAAAATAATTTTTATGACACTCTTAACCTTGATGTCTGACTACATCCTTCTTGTTATTTTTTTTTTTTTTTTTTGAGGGAGCATTGGGGATGAGGTCCTTTTTTTTCAACCTTTTAAAAATTCAAATTCAGTGGTTTTTACTATATTCACAAGGTTGTACAACCATTACTACTATCTACTTCAAGAACATTCTCATCCCCCTAAAATAAACCCCATATCCACTAGGAGTCACTTCCCATTTTCCCCTCACTCCAGCATCTGGAAGCCACTAATCTAGTGTCAGTCCCTATAGATTTGCCTATTCTGAACATTTCATATACATGAAATCATACAATTTGTGGCCTTTTGCGTCTGTTTTCACTTTGCATGATGTTTTCAAGATTCTTCAAGAGGGCTTTTAAAAATATAGCCCTTAGGCCGGGGGCAGTGACTCATGCCTATAATCCAAGCACTTTGGGAGGTCTAGGCGGGTGGATCACCCGAGGTCAAGAGTTTGAGAACATCCTGGCCAACATGGCAAAACCCTATCTCTAGTAAAAAGACAAAAATTAGCTGAGTGTGGTGGTGTGCATCTGTAATCCCAGCTACTTGGGAGGCTGAGGCAGGAGAATCATTTGAACCCAGGAGACGGAGGTTGCAGTGAGCCGAGATTGCGCCACAGCACTCCAGCCTGGGCGACACAGCGAGATGCAGTCTCAATATATATATATATATATATACCCCTTAGTCAGGCTCTCATCAAATACAAAATTCATCTCAATAACTTTCTCTGTATATATGTAGAGACACTCCTGGAATCATTTTCCCTTTAAGATCTTATGAAGATTTATGATTTTGAACTCTAATGACTTGTGGATATATTCATGAGGACGGAAGGAAGGGTTTTTCCCTTTAAGATCTTATGAGAATTTATGATTTTGAAATCTAATGACTTGTGGATATATTCATGAGAAAGGAAGGAAGGGAGGAAGGAAGGAAGGAAGGGAAGGAGGGAGGAAGGAAAGGAAGAAAGAAAGGAAAGAAGGAAGAAGGATGGAAGCAAAAAAAAGAAAAATTTTTATAGGATAAAAACAAGGCCTAGAACCTTCTAAGGAACACCTTGGGGTCACCCTTTTCTGCTGCCCCTCTTTCTCACTATCCCTCTTTTTCCTTATCTTTATTTTTATTAGACCATTGATCACTCCCAACATAGTATTTATTCAGATATGTTGACTCAAGTCCTTGGAACACCTCCAAGTGGAACAGTCCAGTATGCCTTTGGGTATATGGGCCCAAGGCACAGGGGGATGTCTGAGCTGGTGGTGGACATTTGGGTGTCACCAGCATAAAGAACTAGTCACTGAAGCTGCAGGAAACTGTGGACAGTTTGAAGAGGACTCATGGCAGGCAGGACACTGAGGCATGTGACATCCAGGAGGGGCATTCCTCAACCAGGAATGCTCTCTTAAATATCTTGACCCCTTCATGATCCAGATCAAAAGAATTAGTTTTCCCATTTGCAATTCATCCTTCCTTTTTCTGGTTTTTGGAGGACACAACATTCTAAGCCCTGTGTTCTTTAATTTAACACTGACTATAAATTATTATTGAAGCAAGCCACAGCAGTTTAACAGCAGACCTGAGTATTTATCAAGACAAATACTCAACAACCCAATACATCTTAGACAGATTTAAGAAAAAGGATGATAAGTGTTACATATAAGCTACCATAAAGTGTACACTTATTCTGTAGCTTGTCAGTTTAAAGGTGTCTTTCTCAGATTGTTTGCTAAGGAGGGCAAAGAACTTTCTGATGATATAGAAAGATTTGTTGTAATGGTTCCAAGTCAACAAGATGGTTGACTTCTATCCACGAGACCATAAATATTTGTAATTAGAAACTGCATTTGTTAAGATGATATTTGTTTACTTAAAGTTATAAACTATATTTGCATAAGAGGTTGATTTTTACCCACCAAGCTTGAAATAATTAACTTCATCGACTTTATTCTGTAGCTTCTCTAGACTCTAGAGAAGCCTAGGGGATGTGGGGGGGAGAAAAAATAAACAAACTGGTGCCTAAGGTTTTTTTCCAACCAGAAAGCATCTAGATATTTTGTCTGGATTTCTTCCTACAGGCTTGTATTTTAATAAGCCTGGCAACTCTAGCACTCTAGCAATTATTTCTGGAATATTATTTCTGGAAATAATTGCGTCAGTTTTTCTTCATCACTTGCCTAAGAAACGTGTCTTTTTTTTTTTTCTTGAGATGGAGTCTCACTCTGTCGCCTAGGCTGGAGTGCAGTGGTGCAATCTTGGCTCAATGCCACCTCCGCCTCCTGAGTTGAAGCGAAGTTCTCCTGCCTTAGCCTCCTGAGTAGCTGGGACTACTGGTGCCTGCCACCACACCTGGCTAATATTTGTATTTTCAGTAGAGACAGGGTTTTGCCATGTTGGCCAGGCTGATCTTGAACTCCTGATCTCAAGTGATCCGCCCACCTCGGCCTCCCAAAGTGCTAGGATTACAGGCACAAGTCACCACGCCTGACCAAGAAATGTATCTTTTCCAAAGTGTTCAACCAGCAACTGGGAGCTCAGTAGTAATCCCCTGATATGGCTGCAGCTCTGCCCTTAGAAAAGGCATTTTTCTGATTGACTGTTAGAATTAGGGGGATACCTAGAGATCATTTAATCCAGGCTCCCTTGATTTACAGATAAAGAGACTAAGGACCAGAAAGGTAAAGTATCTGTGGTCTCCCAACAAGTCAGAGGTTGACCAGGACTAGGATCAAGGTTTGCTGCTTTTCCTACACTGCCTCTCTTTTCTATTGTTTTTGAAATCTTTCTATATTGTGATGAATATATGTATCATAAAATTGACCATTTTAGCCATTTTTAACTGTACAGTTCAGTGACATTAAGTACATTCACATTGTTGTACAACCATCGGCACCATCCACCTTCAGAACTTTTTCATTATTCTAAACTCCCAGAGTCACTGTTTAATAACTCCCCGTGCTCCCTCCCCTATCCCTGGGAACCACTGTTTTGTTTTTTGTGACTATTCTAGGTACCTTATGTAAGTGGAATCATATAATATTTGTCCTTTTGTGTGTCTCATTTCACTTAGCATTGTCTTCAAGGTTTATCTGTGTTGTTGAATGTGTCAGAGGTTCATTCCCTTTTAAAACTGAACAATATTCCACTGTCTACATACACACACACACACCCACCCACACACACACACACACCACATTTGTTTATCCCTTCATCTGTTAATGGAAACTTCAGTTGTTTCCACCTCTTGGCTGTGTGAATGATGCTGCTATGAAATAATTATCTGTTTGGGTATATAACCATATGTGGAATTGCCAGATCATTGAGGAAATGCCATACTGTTTTCCATAGGGGCTGTACCATTTTACATTCCTGCTCCTTGTTATTACTATTATTATTTTGTGGAGACGGAATCTTGCTATGTTGCTGGGCTTGAAATCCTAGGCTCAAGTGATTCTCTCACTTCGGCCTCCCAAAGCTCTGGGATTACAGGCGTAAACCACTGCACCAGGCCTACTCATTCTTTATTTATTTATTTATTTATTTATTTATTTATTTATTTATTTGATGTGCAGTAACATTTAGAAAGAGGATTGGATTGAAATTTGTCAACCCCAACCTCAGGACTGATTAGCTATATAATCTTGGGTAAGCCAATTCACTCCTCAGACTCAACCTCCCCAGTCAGGACGAGAGAAATGCTTTGCTGACCTCACAAAACTGTTATAAATGTGATATACATACAAGATGAAATACACCAAATGCTTTATAAATTAAAACAGGTTCTTTGATGTAAATTATTATTAGCCATTTATACTAAATTCAAGTCAAATCCAACTCTAAAGGAGAAAACTCTGAGGTATTAGGAAGGAAAGAGCTCTTTATTAGTAAGGAGAGAAACGTATTGTCCGGCAAAGATTTTTTTTTTTTTTTTTTTTTTTATACAGAGTTTCACTCTGTTGCCCAGGCTGGAGTACAGTGGTGAGATCTCTGCTCACTGCAATCTCCACCTCCTGGGTTCAAGCGATTCTCCTGCCTCAGCCTCCCGAGTAGCTGGGATTATAGGCACATGCCACCACGCCCAGCTAATTTTTGTATTTTTAAGAGACGGGGTTTTGCCATGCTGGCCAGGCTTGTCTCGAACTCCTAACCTCAGGTAATCCTCCTGCCTCGGCCTCCCAAAGTGTTGGGATTACAGGCGTGAGCCACTGTGCCCAGCCCAAGACTTTGAACTAAAGGTCTTTTTTTCTAAAACCTAGGCAGTTGGACCTTAAATAAAGAATGCTGTTCCTAAGCACAAGCACTAAGTTACAGTCAGCTTGGGGGAGGTTGAGAAAAGGGCAAAATGGCACATTTGAAAGCAGCAGTGGCTGGGGTCTGCCAGCTGCTTCAGCCTGAAGCTCTGTAATTCAGTGTTTTATCAGAAACATTTAGAACTGTGTTCACAATCCTCTATAAACACGTCATCCCTATGACAATGTGGCTTATCCCTTTGATTGATGATAACAGTTGCTGAAATATGTCCAACAAATTTCTTCATCTGAACTTAAATTACAGGCTTAGTTTTACTTCTGTAGATTAAACAGTAGCCTCTCAAATAGGAAATAAAAACTCCATGCTCACTTTTGAAAAAAGTTAGGGATACCTGTTTTATTAAATTCATTCTTCATCACAAAGCAACTAGACAAATATTGATTTTGTAGTTACTGTAAAGGATTGAACAAAAATATGAAGAGCAGAGTTTCTACTCAAATGTGATCAAAGTCAACACTGAGGATCTCACGAGATTAAAACAATGCTACTAACCTGGATAAGGTGGCATCCCCCGAAAGACTATTTTCTTACCCTTTTTTGTTTGTTTGACAGAGTCTTGCTCTATCACTCGGCTGGAGTGCAGGGATGCAATCACAGCTCACTGCAGCCTCAAACTCCTGGGCTCATTTTTTTCTTACCTCACATGCACTTATATTTCTTCAGGCAACTCTTTTCTGCATCTATCCTAAGTAGTATCCCTGCCCTTTTTTTTTTCTTTTTTTTTTGATACAGAGTCTCACTCTGTCGCCCAGGCTGGAGTGCCGTGGCACCATCTTGATTCACTGCAACCTCTGCCTCCCAAGTTCAAAAGATTCTCCTACCTCAGCCTCCTGCGTAGCTGAGATTACAGGTGTGCGCTACCACGCCTGGCTAATTTTTTGTATTTTTAGTAGAGATGAGGTTTCACCATGTTGGCCAGGCTGGTCTCGAACTTCTGACCTCAGGTGATCCGCCTGCCTCGACCTCCCAAAGTGCTGGGATGACAGGCGTGAGCCACCACGCCCTGCCAGTAGTATCCCATTTTTAAAGACACCAAAGGCCTATGGTGTTTTTATGACGTGATGCTGAGCTCCTTAACTATTAAACAAAAAAGGCTATTGGACCTAGAGAGTGTGTATATGGTCTTATTGGCCAGGAAAGCGACTTTCTTCCTAGGCTCCAAAACTCTATGGTAGGGACAGCGAAGCAAAATCAGTGTTTTGTGCATCTGGTACTAAGGAGGGGAAAGGAGATGTTCAGGATCATAAGGTCAAGGGGAGACTGAAGAATAGGGGAAGAGGGTGAACCCTGGGAAGAAAAGTAATTGCCAAGAAAAAAGGGGCCCAGAGAATAGAAGGAAGGCACCCCCTCAGGGTAGGAATTTCTTCTGCGATATCTCCTTTAAAAATTATATTCTAGCCTCTGGAAAAAAGAGCTCACTGCTTTATAAGGCTATTCATTCCAACATTTGGACAACTCTAATTTTTTAAACATTCTTCTTTAAAATATTTTACCAGCTTGGGCAACACAGCAAGACCCCATCTCTAGGCTGGGCACAGTGGTTCACGCCTGTAATCCAGCACTTTGGGAGGCCGAGGTGGGCAGATCACAAGGTCAGGAAATCGAGACCATCCTGGCTAACATGGTGAAACTCCATCTCTACTAAAAATACAAAAAATTAGCTGGGCAATGGCACACGCCTGTAGTCCCAGCTACTCAGGAGGCTGAGGCAGGAGAATGGCGTGAACCCAGGAGGCGGAGCTTGCAGTGAGCCGAGATCGTACCACTGCACTCCAGCCTGGGCGACAGAGCGAGACTCCATCTCAAAAAAAAAAAAAAAAAAAAAAAAAAAGACCCCTCTCTACAAAAAATGAAAACATTAGCCGAGCATAGTGGCATGTGCCTGCTGTCCCAGCTACTTGAGAGGTTGAGGTGGGAGGATCACTTCAGCCCAGGAGGTCAAAGCTGCAGTGTGCCATGCTCACGCCACTGCACTCCAGTCTGGTGACAGAGTGAGACTTTATCTTTAAAAATAAATAAATAAATAAGTAATTTAATATCCAGCAACACATGATGTGTTAAATAATAAATTATGGGATATCCACATAATGGAATATTATGCAGCCCACACAATTGATGCTACTATGAAAGAATGTAGTAACAATACTTAGTGATATAAGGACTTCCCTATAATATGCTTATAATATGTTGTTCTATGTACTCCAGAATCCTAATTTGGCATGTGTATATGTGTATGTGTGTGTGTCTATAAATATTGGGAGGTTCTACAAGCACCACCTCAGAGATACTGCAGGTTTGGTTCTAGACCACTGCAATAAAGCAAATATCACAATAAAATGAGTCACAGATTTTTCTTGGTTTTCCAGTGAATATAAAAGTTATGCTAATACTATATTGTAGGCTATAAAGAGTGCAATAATAGCATTGTCTAAAAAAGGTACATACCTTAAATAAAAAATACTTTATTGCTAAAAAGTGCTAAGGATCATCTGAGCTTTCAGTGAGTCATAATCTCTTTGCTGGTGGAGGGTCTTGCCTTGATGTTGATGGCTGCTGACTAATCAGGGTGGTGGTTGCTGAAGGCTGTGACTGTGGCAATTTTTAAAAATAAGACAACAATGAAGTTTACTGCATTGATTGACTCTTCCTTTCATGAAAGATTTTTCTGTGGCCTGCAATGCTGTTTGATAGCATTTTCCTTAGAGTATACCTTCTTTCAAAATCAGAGTCAATTGGCTAGGTGCAGTGGCTCATGCCTGTAATTCCACTGCTTTGGGAGGCCGAGGTGGGCAGACCACCTGAGATCAGGAGTTCAAGACCAGCCTGGACAACATGGTGAAACTTAAAAAAAAAAAAAAGGTGTAATAGAAACCCATCTCTACTAAAAATACAAAAATTAGCCAGGCGTGATGGCACACAACTATAGTTCCAGCTACTCAGAAGGCCGAGGCATGAGAATCATTTAAGCCCAGGAGGTGGAGGTTGCGGTGAGCCAAGATCGTGCCACTGGCCGGGCATGGTGGCTCATACCTGTAATCCCAGCACTTTGGGAGGCCGAGGTGGGTGGATCACGAGGTCAGGAGTTCGAGACCAGCCTAACCAACATGGTGAAACCCCGTCTCTACTAAAAATACAAAAATTAGCCAGGCGTGGTTGTGTGCGCCTATAATCTCAGCTACTTGGGAGGCTGAGGCAGGAGCATTGCTTGAACCTGGGAGGCGGAGGTTGTGGTGAGCTGAGATTGTGCCATTGCACTCCAGCCTGGGCAGTAAGAGCAAAACTCTGTCTCAAAAAAAAAAAAAAAAAAAAAAAAAAAAAAAAAGATCGTCCCACTGCCCTCCAGTCTGGGTGAGTGAGTGAGACTCTGTGCCCCCACCAAAAAAAGGAGTCAATCCTGTCCAACCCTGCTGCTGCTTTATCAACTAAGGTTATATAAAATGCCAATCCTTTGTGTCATTTCAGCAATGTTCACAGCATCTTCACCAGAAGTAGATTCCATCTCAAGAAACCACTTTCTTTGCTGATTTATAAGAAGCAACTCCTCATCCATTCAAGTTTTATGAGATTGCAGCAATGCACATCTTTAGGCTCCATTTCTTTCTTTTTTTCTTTTTCTTTTTTTTTTTTTTTTTTTTTGAGACAGTGTTTTGCTCTTGTTGCACAGGCTAGAGTGCAAAGGTATGATCTCAGCTCACTGCAACCTCCACCTCCTGGGTTCAAGCGATCCTCCTGCCTCAGCCTCTCAAGTAGCTGGGATTAAAGGCATGCACCAACACGCCCAGCTAATTTTATATTTTTAGTAGAGACAGGGTTTCTCCATGTTGGTCAGGCTGGTCTCGAACTCCCCACTTCAGGTGATCTGCCCGCCTCAGCCTCCCAAAGTGCTGGGATTACAGGCATGAGCCACCGCGCCTGGCTAGGCTCCACTTCTAAATCAAGTGTCACTTCTAAATCTAGGTCTCAACTGTGAGTTTAAAATATTTAGTAAACCATGGTAGAAACAGATGTGCTGTCATCTAGGCTTTGTTGTTCTATATAGAGCGCAGGCAGAGTAGATTTAGCATAATTCTAAAGGGCTCTAGAATTTTTGGAATGGTAAATGAGCACTGGCTTCAACTTAAAGTCCCTAGCTGCACTAGCCCTTAACAATAGAGTCAGCCTGTCTTTTGAAGCTTAGAAGCCAAGCATTGACTTCTCTACAGCTACAAAAGTCCTAGCTGGCATCTTCTTCCAATACAAGGCTGTTTCTGTACAGGATTCCTAACGTATGGTAAGTAAAGATGTCACTTTCTAACAGGCCCAGAAGCCCCAAGCTATCTTGGGACCTCAAGAGGAGAGGAATTTACTCAACTCCTAGGTATTTGAGGATACAAACCCATGGCTGGGCTCAGCTTTAAAAAGGTCTTATCTGAGATTCCTTATGGAACAGAGTTCCATCAACGCCAACTTTAAAATCCTATATGAAAAAAAAATTATTCTTGCTGTACTTTATACAAATAATCAGGCCAAGTATAATAAAGCAAATCAGTCTTACCATGATTTGTCTTTAGTAAAAATGGGAGACTGGAGAGAGAAAAAATTAATGTTTCAAGAACTATGGTACACCTGATATTAGATTCTAGTCTCATTGGTTGTTTTTGAGGGGTTTTTTCCACTGCAATTTAGGCTAACTTTGCTTATTCCTGTGAACCAATCAGTGATCTCCAACTGCAGCTCAGAAGAAACCAGAGGGATGGGTAGTATAAAAAATCTAGATCAATATTCTAATTCTGGGCACATACTGGAATCAACTAGCGACCCCATATCAGCTTGGTTCCAGCAGTTGCCCAGTTCATAGAAAGCCTTCTTATTTAGTTTACTCAGGATAATTTTACTTATTTTGCTTTACTCTTGTGGAATATATTGCTATTGTACTCTTTGTATAGGAATGAGGAATAAACTTACTCAACGTTTACCTAAATTGAACATTTATTAATCTTCCAGATATCACGTTTGGTCAGAACTCAAAGTTATGAATGGACCTCAACATACTAATGCTTTTGACTGAGCTCCTCTCTACCCTGAATGCAAGAGACCCAGTAGTTAGGCAGGAATATCATTGCGCCTATTCAGCTTGAATAAGTTATAGAAGATGGATCTTCATCCCTCTGCAACCCTTAGGATTAAAGTTTCTCTTATAAAAGAGAGGGGGGAAATGTCAGAGGCATTTGAACTGGAGCGACTCCATCTTGGATAGAGACTAAGTAAAATAAAGCTGAGACCTCCTGGGTGGCATTCCCAGACGGTTAGGCATTCTAAGTCACAGGATGAGTTAAAAGGTAGGCACAAGATATAGGTCATAAAGACCTTGCTGATAAAACGGGTTGCAGTAAAGAAGTCAGCCAAAACCAAGGTGGCGACGAGAGTAACTTCTGGTCATCCTCACTGCTACACTCCCACCAGCGCCATGACAGTTTACAAGTGCCATGGCAATGTCAGGAAGTTGCCCTATATGGTCTAGAAAGGGGAGGCATGAATAATCTACCCCTCATTTAGCATATAATCAAGAAATAATCATAAAAATGGGCAACCAGCAACCCCTGGGGCTTCTTTGTCTGTAGAGTAGCCATTCTTTATTCTTTTACTTTCTTAATAAACTTGCTTTCACTTAAAAAGAAAAAAATATATATATGGCTGTTTCATCGATGTTAAAAATCTGTTATTTAGTGTAGCCACCTTCACCAATGATCTTAGTTAGATCTAGAGAACTTACTGCAGCTTCTATATTTAGGACTTGCTGCTTTACCTTGCACCTTTATATTACAGAGACCACTTCTTTCCTTAAACCTCAGGAACCAACATCTGCTAGCTTCAACTTTTTCTCCTGCACCTTCCTCATCTCTCTCAGCCTTCATACAATTGAAGAGAGTTAGGGCCTTGCTCTGGATTAGGCTTTGGCTTAAGGGAATGTTGTGGCTGATTTGATCTTCTATCCAGATGACTAAAATTTTCTCCCTGTCAGTAGTAAGGCTGTTTTGCTTTATTATCATTTGTGTATTCACTGGAGTAGCATTTTCATTTCCTTCTAGAACTTTTCCTTTGCATTCACAACTCGACTAAACTGAATGGTGAAAGGCAGCCTTGCTCTCGGCCTATGTCAGCTTTCAACATGCCCTTCTCACTAAGCTTAATCATTGCTAAATCATAGCTTTTGATTTAAAGTGAGAGTTGGGCAAGTCTTCCTTTCACTTGAATACTTAAAGGCCACTGTAGCCCTAATTTCAATATTGTTGTGTCTCAGGGAATAGGGAGGCTAGAGGAGAGGGAAAGAGATTGGGAAAATAGCCAGTCAGCAGAGCAGTCAAAATACACGCAACATTGATCAAAATTAAGCCATTTTATATGGGCTTGGTTTGTGGTGCCTGAAAACAGTTACAATAGTAACATCAAAGATCATTGATCTCAGATCACTCTAAGAAATATAATAATAATGAAAAGTTTGAGGCCAGGCGCTGTGGCTCATGCCTTTAATCCTAATACTTCAGGAGGCCAAAGTGGACAGATCGCTTGAGCCTGAGAGTTCAAGGCCAGCTTGGGCAACATGGCGAGACCCCATAGCTAATAAAAATACAAAAAATTAGCTGGGTGTCGGGGTGCGCGCCTGTACATCCAGCCACTCGAGAGGCTGAGGTGGGAGCTCAGGAAATGGAGGCTGCAGTGAGTTAAGATCACACCACTGCATTCCAGCCTGGGTGACGGGAGGGAGACCCTGTCCTTAAAAAAAAAAAAAGTTTGAAATGTTGCTACAATTACGAAAATGTGACCCAGAGACATGTGGTGAGCTCATGCTGTTGGAAAAATGGTGCTGATAGACTTGCAGGACACAGGGTTGTCAAAAATCTTCAGTTTGTAAAAATCACGATATTTGTGAAATGCAATAACTACAAAGCACAGTAGAATGAGGTGTGCTCATACACCTAACCATTAGCAGTGCTTAGTTCTGGGTAGCAGAAGTGTGAATGCTTTTAATTTCTTTCTTTATGCTTTTCTGCATTTTCAAAAATCAAAGTATACCAGAGGACCCTCCCTGCAAATAATCTGTGGTGCTGACTTCTCACAAAGCAGTCATATAAGCCTCCAAAGACCTTCAGGATCGGAATACTAAGAAGGTAAAATAAATTGGAAGATGTGGCCTGGGTGCAGTGGCTCACGCCTGTAATCCCACCACTCTGGGAGGCCTAGGCGGTGGATCACCTGAGGTCAGGAGTTTGAGACCAGCCTGGCCAACATAGCGAAACCCTGTCTCTACTAAAAATACAAAAATTAGCCCGGCCTGGTGGAAGGCACCTGTTAATTCCAGCTTCTCGGGAGGCCGAGGCAGGAGAATCGCTTGAACCCAGGAGGTGGAGGTTGCAGTGAGCCGAGATTGTGCCACTGGACTCCAGCCTGGGTGACAGAGCAAGACTGTCTCAAAGAAAAGAAAAGAAATAGGAAGATGAGTAGATGTGTGCACATCTCTGCAGGGACAGAAAGATATGGGTGTTCCTGGAGCTGCTTACTGCTCTGTTCTGGTAAGTCCCAGAAAGTTCTCAATCTCTGCTGCCCAAGGCCTCCTCTCATAAATCCTTTTACCCTCTCTGCTGATCATGTGGTTGGTCCCTGCAGGGTAGAGGCTACCAAAACTCTGATAAAATATCCTTAATATATACTGAATAGGATACAAAAATGCATGTGGAGTGGAGCACGGTGGCTCATGCCTGTAATCCCAGCACTTTGGGAGGCCGAGGCAGGTGGATCACCTGAGGTCAGGAATTTGAGATCAGCCTGGCCAACACGGTGAAACCTCATCTCTACTAAAAATACAAAAATTAGCCAGGCATGGTGGCACACACCTGTAATCCCAGCTACTCAGGAGGCTGAGGCAGGAGAATCGCTTGAATCCAGGAGGCGGAGGTTGCAGTGAGCCAAGATCATGCCACTGCACTCCAGCCTGGGCAACAAGAGTGAGACTCCCTTTCAAAAAAAAAAAAAAAATGCGTGTGGTTGCAGTTTGCCCTAAGAGGGCCCATGCTGTCTGGGTGTTCGGTAGCTAAAGTTAGAAAAGGCTTTGAAGTGTCTGAAGAGGAGAGACAGGGAAGTGACTCACAGCTCAACAGCTTCACCCTCTGGCTTTGATGGTCCTTGGCTCCGTGATGCTCAGTGTCTGTGTGAGTCTCAGAGAGCAAAAGCCCAATCCACAGCCCACCTGTTTGTATTCTTCACCCTCATTTGAGATTCTCAGAACTCAAGGAGAGCTCCTTTAGAAAATATGACTGCAGTTGTAGTGTAGTTGAAATATCAAAAACCTTTGTTATTAAAAAACCCAAACCTTTATTATGTCACTTGTAATAAAATATAAATGTGCTAAATTGGCTCAAATAAGTTGGATCAAATAATATTAAATAAAACAAAGGTGAAAAAAGAAACTTAAAAATAATTTTTTTTTGATGGGATCTCACTATGTTGCCCAGGCTGGTCTTGAATGCCTGGTCTCAAGCAATCTTCCTGTCTAGCTTCCAAAAGTGCTGAGATTACAGGCCTGAGCTACTATGCCCAGCCAAGAAACTATTTAAGTACTATAAGTTTTGTTGTGCTCGCTTCGGCAGCACATATACTAAGTACTAAAAGTTTTGTGATATAATTTCTTAAGTTGATAATTCTATTTTAGTCTTTCAACCTGATTATAAGAATTTGGGACAAAGGCTCACGTAAACATGACTTTGGCTCGGGGCAGTGGCTCATGCCTGTAATCCCCCCATTTTGGGAAGATGAGGCAGGAGGATCTATCACTTAAGGCCAGGAGTTTGATGCCAGTCTGGGCAACATAGTGAGACCTCAAATCTACAAAAAATAAAATTAGTCATGTGTGATGGTGTGTGCCTGCCGTCCTAGCTACTTAGGAAGCTGAGGCGGGAGGATCCCTTGAGCCCAGGAGTCAAGGCTGCAGTGAGCTATAATTGTGTCACTGCACTCCGGTCTAGGTGACAGACTCTGTCTCGCTTAAAAAAAAATTAACATGGCTTCATTCCTCATAAAACATTGTGATGAAGAGTCACAATGTTTTGAGTCACTATTCTCTTTACTCCATCTTTGGAGAGGTACGGTGGAGGAGAACAAAAAATGGCCCAAACCAAGCCTTTTAAAGCCTCCTGAAGCACTCAATTCATTTTCTGTCTTGTCCCTTTAAAGGAGAGACATGGCTGGTTCCATCATTCTCTCTCCTCTACTGCGGTGTCACTACACACTTCCACCATTTCCACTGGTCACCTGGAATTGTAACTACAGACTACAGTATTTGTTCCTGTTTTTGTTGTTTTTCGAAATGGAGTCTCACTCTGTCACCCAGGCTGGAGTGATTCTCCTGCCTCAGCCTCCCAAGTAGCTGGAATTATAGGCACACGCCACCATGCCTGGCTAATTTTTGTGTTTTTATTAGAGACGGGGTTTCACCACGTTGACCAGGCTGGTCCTGAACTCCTGGCCTCAGGTGATCCTCCCACCTCAGCCTCCCAGGGAAGTGCTAGGATTATAGGCATGAGCCACTGCAGCTGGCCTGTTCCTGTATTTGCATCTGAACAGTATTTGTATCTGGACAGGAACTCTCTTCCCTCTTGAAGTCAAGGATCACGTCAGAACAGATAGAATAATGTAAATATGTGAGCTGGCAATTTGGAAATAATATTCCACAGAGACAATCTTGTCCCACCCCAGAGCCCTGGATGCACATGTGTATAAAAAAGAACACCTCAGTTAAAGAATCCTTCCAGCCCCATGCATCCGAACAAACAGCTGAAATGAATTTTCAGCTGAGTTTTCACAACGCTCATTGCAAGCTCTTTGCCCTCATTAAATTATCAGGAAAATGCAAGTAATTTATTATGTGTAATCACATCATTCGCGGTAGCACTTCGCCCAGAGAAACCTAGCCCAATATGGTAACATCAGAACAATGCTTCACCTCACATCTTCCTTTGAAAGATAAAGAAAACACAGAATCATTCTGCTTCTCTCCGGGAAGGAAGGCAAAGCGTTTCCCCAGGCCCTCAGAACACCATCTGGCTGCAGTCTTTCCTTTTAGGGACCTGGTATTTTCTGGCCCAGGGACAAAGCGCATTTATTTCAGATGGATCAACACTGTCACCCAGCGGGCAGACAGCTGGGCAGGCTGAGGCCTTAGCCTTGCTCTTGGCTTGACAGCCAGATACTGACAGCCAGTATTTGAATAGGAACCTGTTTGTTTCGGGTGATCAGGATTAATTGTTAATATTCTCTTGGAGGGAACTGGGACAACCTCAGCTGACAAGCCTTTGATTTGGATGTCATGGGTGAGTGCAACTTAAGAAAGACATATATTTTCATCGTGCTGATGCTTTTTTTTTTTTTTAAGCCACTAGTGAATTTATAAGAAGCACAGGCTGTAAACCAACCAAGCATGTCTACCAAGACTCCCAGAATCAAATAGGTTTGCAGGAGCAGGGTGATATTTGGTCACCTGTCAGGTACTCTGGGAAGACTCCTCTACCACAAAATAAGACTAGTTGTTCATTGTTCGTAGTGACAGTGATGAATATTTTGAAAACTGAAAATAGATGTGTGTGTGTGTGTGTGTGTGGTGTGTGTGTGTGTGTATCTGTGTATTGAAATGTCAGGAAATAATCTGCATTACTACGGTGAAATCAGTGGATGAGTTAGTCTTTGTTTCTCTATTTTGTATATATCTCAGAAGACATGCACGGGATGCAACCTCTGTCCCATCTCATTTGTACTGAGTCCTTTTCTCTTGTCTAAACTGTCACTTGACACTTGAAACAAGCTGGATTCCTTTGCATATTGAGGTAGGCTCTGTGCCTTCTTGCTAAATGTACGGTTGAATTATTTCTTCTCCCCAGCTGGAACTCATCAACAAGCTGAAAGCATTCATCTGGGAACACTTTACACTTCTTACGAGCATGTCCGAGGAAGTGGGGGCTGAGACTTCACCTTGTAGAAACTCTTGCAGAATTTTGATTAAAAGCAGTCTCTGTTCATAGTGAGAAAATCTGGATTTGAATTCTGATCCCACCACATGCGAGCTCCTTGACCTTAGATAAGTTAACCTGTGTCTCAGTTTCCACCTCTGTTATCAGGGATAAAATTAGTACCTACCCCCTGGATTGCTGTGAGGATTTAGATAAGAAAATACACATGAATAACTTAGCACAGTGCCTGGGCACATAGTTAAAGATCAATAAACATTAGTATTACCATTGTCATAATTATTATAATGATATCTATCATATATATTATTCCCAAAATGCAACTTTCATAAAGTGCCTCTAGGCTAGCAGATGAAATCATGGCATCTTTTTAGCTGGAAGGGTCCTGAAAGATCATCCAGTCATTGCTTCTCATTAAAATCACCCAGAGAAACTTTTAAAACAAACGCTAATACCTCATTGTAGCCAGACAAAATAATACTTACTGTATGAATCCTTTTTTTTTTTTTTTGAGATGGAGTCTTGGACTGTCACCCAGGCTGGAGTGCAGTGCCATGATCTCCGCTCACCGCAACCTCTGCCTCCTGGGTTCAAGTGATTCTCCTGCCTCAGCCTCCCAAGTAGCTGGGATTACAGGCACCTGCTACCACGCCCGGCTAATTTTCTGTATTTTTAGTAGAGATGGGGTTTCACTATGTTGGCCAGGCTGGTCTTGAACTCCCTACCTCGTGATCCACCTGCCTCAGCCTCTGAAAGTGCTGGGATTACAGGCATATGAATCCTTTTAGATGAAATTCTAGAAGGGACAAACCTAATCTATAGTGACAGAACACTGATCAGTGGTGATCTGGGGATGATGTTGGAAGGACTGGCAGCTAATGGGCCAAAGGAAACTTTTAGGGTGATGGCAGTGTTTTCTATCTTGACTGTGGAAGTGATTACATGGGTACATACGTTTGTCAAACTCATTGGCGCTTAAAATATTCACTTGAACGCATTACGTTGTATGTAAACTATATTGTAATAAAGAGAATACTGATGCTGGGTCTCATCCACAGACATTCTGATTTAATTGTTCGAGGGTGAAGCCCAGAAGTCATTTTTTTTTCATGTATCCAAAGCATCAGCTGTGATTGAGAGCCACTGATCTAACTCAGTCTTCTTTTTTTCCAGATGACATGAACCCAAACAAATACAGCTGGTTAAAGGGGAAGGTCTTAGACTAAAATTCAGGTCACCTGGTTTCTTGTGCGCCAAACCTTATCTTTACTTACAACATGTCCTCTGCCTGGAACCTCTTTCTCTTCCTTCTTCTCATCTCTCTGACAAAATCCTACCTACCCTTAGGGGCTAGTATACAGTTGGCTTTAACCAATAGTATGAGCAATAGCATACCGCATAACTTTTGAGGCTGGAGTGCAGTGGTGTAATCACAGCTCCTTGCAGCCTTGACTTCCAGGCTCAAGTGATCCTCTTGCCTCAGCCTCCTGAGTAGCTAGGGCTACAGGCATACACTACCAAGCCCAGCTAATTTTTTTAATTTTGTAGAGACAGGGTCTCACTATGTTGCCCAGGCTGGTTTTGAACTCCTGGGCTCAAACAATCCTCCCACCTCGGCCTCCCAAAGTGCTGGGATTACTGGCATGAGCCACTATGCTCGGCCAGGAACATTCCTTCTTCAAACCAGCACCATGTTGTGAGGAAACCCAACTGGCTATGAGGAAACCCAAGTGGCTATGCACATATGACACTTCTCAGGAAGCCTCAGGCTGTGGCTCACCCCACTGGACTAGGAGCTCCTTGGCAGAAGGAACTGTGGCTCATTTTATTGACTGAGTGAGTGGGTGAGTGTATCTTCAGTATTCAGTACTTGTGTTTGGCACAGAGCAGACAGTCAATAAACATTTGTTGAACTGAAAAACCAGTGGAAGGGAATTAGCATTCATTGCCTATGATGTGCCAGGAATTGAAACAAGCACTTTGTGCACATTATCTCACTGAATTTTTACAATAATTTTATGAGTTGGTTATTATTTCTCCCTTTTGAAAGGGAGGATACAAGCTCAGAGAAGCTTAGTAATTTACCAAAGGTCACACAGCAAGCAAATAGTAGAATCAAGGTTTGAACTCAAGTGTGTTTGTTTTCAAAGTTCATGCTTTTTCTCTACCACACCAGGCTGTCTTGCTTATGGTAGTTATTCTACTAGGTCTTACACTATGGATTTTTATGTAGCCATATCTCCTCAACTAGGTTATAAGCTTCATAAAGGTGGGAATTAAATTTTAGCACTTAATTTTTATATGAACTCATGAGGCGAATGATATGGCCACCTCAGTTTTTTTTTTTTTTTTTTTTTTTTTTTTTTTTTTTTGAGAAGGAGTCTCGCTCTGTCGCCCAGGCTGGAGTGCAGTGGCGGGATCTCGGCTCACTGCAAGCTCCGCCTCCCGGGTTCACGCCATTCTCCTGCCTCAGCCTCCCAAGTAGCTGGGACTACAGGCGCCCGCCACTACGCCCGGCTAATTTTTTGTATTTTTAGTAGAGACGGGGTTTCACCGTTTTAGCCGGGATGGTCTCGATCTCCTGACCTCGTGATCCTCCCGCCTCGGCCTCCCAAAGTGCTGGGATTACAGGCGTGCGCCACCGCGCCCGGCCGGCCACCTCAGTTTTAACAGAGTATTCAATTTTTAAATTCATTAGAGTAACAGTAAAGATAATGCAACAGTGTTAAATCTGCAGTTATAAGAAGACCTGAAGTCAAGGGTTATCCCAAGGTTGTGATTTAAGCTGAGCTATTTTGGTAGCCTTCTGTTGACCCTATGAATAATCCCCAAGTCATGCAAACATCATACACAACAGCCCAGTCAAAAGAGTCATTATATCTCAAAGCACATACCAAAAAAATTCCTGGGATTATATTGTGCCTTTGAACCAGAAGAGGACAATTGTTGCCCATGAATTTAGAAGCAGATACAATGTTATATTTGAGCAACCGAAAGGAATCCGAATGACTCTAAAAGAACAAAGAGTTGTAAAGATATTAAATTCCAGGCAACAAATCTTTTGCTTCATTCAGCAATATTTGCATCCTTGAACAAAAAATTTAAAACTCTATCCTCATTCCTACATTAGAAATGCCTTCATAAGCTCACCAAAGACCTCTGTATTGCCAAGACCAGTCGACATTTTCATGTTTCTAATATTACTTGACCTATTTATTTATTTAGATAGAGTCTCACTCTGTCGCCCAGGCTGGAGTGCAGTGGTGCAATGACGGCTCACTGTAGCCTTGCCCTACTGGGGCTCGGGTGATTCTCCCATCTCAGCCTCCCTAGTAGCTAGTGCCATAGGCACACATCACCACACATGGCTAAATTTTGTATTTTTTGTAGAGACAGGATTTCGCCATGTTGCCTAGGCTGGTCTGGAACTCCTGGGCTCAAGTGATCCACCTGCCTTCGCCTCCCAAAGTGCTGAGATTAAGGCGTGAGCCACTGCACCTGGCCTACTTGACCTCTTTATGACATTTGAAATTATTGAACAGTGTCTCCTCCAACTCTCTGCTGGGCTTCTATGGCCACTTTCTCTTCTGTCTTCTTTCTGTTTCTCTAGGTCTTGCTTCCTAGTCTTCATTTCATGAAGACTTTTTCTCTACTTGACCTCTAAATATCTATTGTACTAAAAGCTTGCATCTTGTCTCCTGCCATTCACTCTCTTCACACACTCTTTGGATAACGCATAATTCTAACTACTATTTATGTCTACCAAGTGACCAAATGTCTATCAAAGCTAGTGCTCTCCTCTGATCACCAGACCTGTGCGCTGACTTGCCTACTTCTTGATGTCTCTACATTGATGTCACTCAGGTACCTCAAACTCAACATGTCCCACCTGAAATTTTCATCTTTTTCTTCAAATGTTCTTATGGTGGATTGAAAATGGCTGTGTATTCTTTGCCACTCTACCCATCAAGAGATGGAAGGCTATTTCTGTTCCCATTGAATCTGGGCTGGCCTGTGACAGGCTTTGAAAAATGGCAGACTGTGTAACTTTTGAGGCCAGGCATTAAGAGATGTATAGTTTCCATCTTCACCTCTTGGAGTCTTCCTTCTTCAAACAGATGCCACGTTGTGGGGAAACCCGAGCAGCTATGTGGAGAGGCCTTCATAAGGAGAATGGGGCCCACTGGCTAACAGTCATAACTCAGCTCCCAATGGCAGTGGCACTGCCTGCCAGCCCTGTGAAGGAGGATATTTTTCAGCTGTACTCAAACTGTCCCAGCCAGTGCTACATGAAAGAGTCAGGCCATCCCTGCAGGGTCATAAATAAATATAGGTTGTTGTTTTTAAGCTTCCAAGTTTGTTTGTTTGTTTGTTTGTTTTTTGTTTTTTGCTTTTTTTTATAGAGACAGGGTCTCGCTATGTTGCCCAAGCTAATCTTGAGCTCCTGGGCTCAAGCAATCCTCCCACCTTGGCCTCCCAAAGTGCTGGCATTATAGGCCTGGGCCACCATACCCAGCCTGGGGTGGCTTGTTGTGCAGTAATAGATAACAAGACATTTCTTCTCCTCCTCCTCCTGAATTCTCTATCTCAAAAAATAGTGCTACTGTTCTAAGTGCCCAGGTGAGAAGCTGGAGATACCTTAAATTCTTCCTTCACTGACATATCAGATCTTATAGAGTCTCATTTCTAACTGTTACTCATACCCAGCATCCTTTTCCATTCCCACCCACTGTTACTGCCTAATCATTTCCCTCCTAGTTAAAAGCTTAACAGGTCTCTCTGTCACTTGGACCCTTTCCATACCATTCTTCCAAAATAAACAAAATAAACTTTCTAAAATACAAAAAAAACCTCTGCATGTCACTTGTCTGTTTAAGGTCCTTTAATGATGCTGGGTGTGGTGGCTCACGCCTTAATCCCAGCACTTTGGGAGGCTGAGGCAGGCGGATCATTTGAGGCCAGAAGTTCAAGACCAGCCTGGACAACATGGTGAAAACCTGTCTCTACTAGAAATACAAAAATTAGCTGGGCGTGATGGTGGGCGCCTGTAATCCCAGCTACTCGGGAGGCTGAGGCAGGAGAACTGCTTGAACCGGGAGGCAGAGGTTGCAGTGAGCGGAGATCGTGCCACTGCATTCCAGCCTGGGTGACAGAGCAAGACTCCATCTCAAAAAAAAAAAAAAAAAAAAAAAAGAAGGGGGTACATGGGGTACATAAATAAGACCCTCTCTACATCCAAAGATATCGTGGGATTTGATGCACCTTGTTGTCCCAATGAGAAGTCTGACCCCTCTTACCTGTGATTCTACCCTCCCATCCACCCAGTTTCTCTGTATCTGCAGGTGAACCAGCTTCTTTGTATCTGCAGGTGAAACCTAGCTCAGCAGGTTACAAGCCCATAGTCCTAGAAACACCTGCAATGAGACCAAGAAAGAATTAGCAGTGACCATGGCCATCAGACTGAGAGACCATTCACTCATTCATTGGTTCATTGATTCATTCAGCAAATATGTTTTCAATGTTTACCATGAGCTGGGCCCAGGGATAGGGACTGGGGCTACAATGGTGAACATGACACAGTCTTACCATCAAGAAGCTTCCAGCCTAGGGGCAGAGGAAGCCAACTTCAAAGCAGGCTGGGAAGGTAAGGCTGTCCTCCCTATACTCCCAGAACCCACGACACACTCTCTGTGGCTCAGGCCACCCTTGTAAGAGCTCTGTCTACACCCTGATGCTTCCACCAGAGTATCTACTGCTGTTCACCTTCCAGGTACAGCTCAATCATTTCACTATCATGCAGGACTTGTGGTTCCCTGGTTAGGTGGAATGAAAGAGAATTAAGAGATAGCTAAGGCCCTCATCCAGCCACGCAACTCTTTTGGAGGACACTAGAGGTCTTTGCTAAGTTTTCTGTGTTTTATAACCTTCTTCATTCTTATTTGTATTCTCTTTAGGTTCTCTGGTCACGGGATTATTCCCTTCCTCTTGCTGACCTAAAAAATAATCAACTTTCTGGAAATTTAGGGGACTCAGCCAATGCTGTTGTGATTCTCCTTCTTTAGCTTTCAGTTACAGAATGACATGTGACCTCCTTGCAAGGTTGCTATCAGCCCCGTTGTACAAAATAATATGTCCTTGGTCAAAATTTACATTTTGTGCCTCTTATTAAAGATCTGTCTGTTTGCCTGCGTCATCTCTAAAGGCCTAGCCCATCTGCAATGCCACCTCCTGAATGGGACACAGCTGTTTAACTGAACTGATTTATTCTTAGGACTAAGAGACTGATTCAAGAAGACACGGAATGATATATTTAAATTTGCCCGTTTTTGCTTATCCCAATTTGTTTTTTTCCACTCCTTTGCCTATCTTTATCTCTGCAGCCTATCACCCAAATCTCTGCAAAGCTATCAATTTAGCTTTTCAGATGTGAAACTTTTTCAAGTTTCAAAGTGAGGACTGAAGGAAATAAAAATATTTCACCCCGAAATATACTTCTTTGGCATATTTTGAGGTGGCTGTTCAGAGAGCCAATGAATAGAAGTCACCCTGCAGAACTGTCTTTTGTGGGGGAGATTTGCATCTGCAGAGAATCTGCACTGATGCAGGCAGAAGAGGGCTTTCTCTGAGGCCTTCTCTTGTCCGATTGAGGAAAGATTAACTGAGACTCTGACATTTTAAAGATCTGAAAGAAATATTTGCCATCTACAGGCAGGGCTGAGAGAGCCCCAGTGGGAGTGGGCCCTCCATGTCAGACTAAGGAACTTGGACTTGGCCTAAAGGGAAGTCCTTAGAGACTTATAAGCAGAAGAATGATGCAGACATGTTCGGATATTAAAAAGAACACCTGGCTGGGCACGGTGGCTCACGCCTGTAATCCCAGCACTTTGGGAGGCCGAGGCGGGTGGATCACAAGGTCAGGCATTCGAGACCAGCTTGGCCAACATAGTGAAATCCTGTCTCTACTAAAAATACAAAAAATTAACGGGCTGTGATGGCAGGTGCCTGTAATCCCAGCTACTTGGGAGGCTGAGGTAGGAGAATCACTTGAATCTGGGAGGCAGAGGTTGCAGTGAGCTGAGATTGCACCACTGCACTCCAGCCCGAGTGACAGTGTGAGACTCCGTCTCAAAACAAACAAACAAAAAAGGCCAGGCGCCGCTCACGCCTGTAATCCCAGCACTTTGGGAGGCCGAGGTGGGCAGGTCACAAGGTCAGGAGATCGAGATCATCCTGGCTAACATGGTGAAACCCCGTCTCTACTAAAAATACAAAAAATTAGCCGGGTGTGGTGGTGGGTGCCTGTAGTCCCAGCTACTCGGGAGGCTGAGACAGGAGAATGGCGTGAACCTGGGAGGCGGAGCTTGCAGTGAGCTGAGATCGCGCCACTGCACTCCAGTCTGGGCGACAGAGCGAGACCCCCATCTCAAAAAAAAAAAAAAAAAAAAAAAAAACACCCTGAAATGGGTAGGAAATATTAGAGGTCTCAAGACTAAAAGCAAGAACTAGTTAGAGCATTGGAGAAAATCAGTTCGGGAGTGATGAAGGCCTGAAGTAGGCAGAAGCAGTGGGATTGGAAAGAAGGGACAGTCAGGAAATGAAAGTCGTGGTGATAGATTCCAAACTCAGTTTCATAAGTGGCCTCTGAGATCAGTCTGTGGTGGCTATTTGGTGTGCAATCAGCAAAAAAGAGTTTAGGGCCCAGTCTAGGCTCAGTTGAAAAGAATGATGGGCTGAGCATGGTGGCTCACGCCTGTAATCCCAGCACTTTGGGAGGCCAAGGTGGGCGCAGATGACTTGAGGTCAGAAGTTTGAGACCAGCCTGGCTAGCACCGTGAAACCCCATCTCTACTAAAAATACAAAAAAAAAAAAAAAAAAAATTAGCCAAACGTGGTTGGTGCTTGCCAGCTACTCCGGAGGCTGAGGCATGAGAATCACTTGAACCCAGAAGGTGGAGGCTGCAGTGAGCTGAGATCACACAACTGCACTCCAGCCTGGGCAACAGAACAAGACTCTGTCTCAAACAAACAAACAAAAAAAGAATGATGGATTAGTGATGTCTGCTATAGACACAGAATGGGGGAATATTGGCTCATGACTGGTATTTACTATTCCCATTCTCTGGTAGAAGAAGCATTAAAATGAACTGTGTATCAACAAGTGCATACTGTGTGAGTCCATGAAGATCTAGAACAGATGAAAGTAATTCATGCTGATAGAAGGCAGAATAGTGGTTTCCTGGGGGTGGGCAGGTGGGTAGGTTACTCAATGAGAAGGAGTAGGAGAGAGATTTTTCAAGCCTGGAAGAATTCTGTATTTGATCTGGGTGGTGATTACACAGGTGTGTATATACATAAAAATTCATTATGGTATATACCCTTAAGATTTGTGATCTTTATTATACGAATGTCATATCTCAGTTAAAAAAAAAAGTGTGTTGAGAAGCCAACAGAAAAAAAAAAAGTATATAGCTCCCTATATACTTTGGCCACTTCTTTGATAGTCTTGTCCTTTTGCTTGAAGGAGAAGACATAGACTATGATGACCTGGTCCGCAGAGGACATCTGGCTGCTTCTAAGGTGATCATACTCCAGGTCTGTCACTTTCAGGATGCTGTGAGAGCTACATTGGCACGTGTGCCCTGTGTCCCTGCACAGTGTTCTCCTTAGGACCATGGGACAAACCAGCTGGGAAGCAAACCAGGTATCCTTGCTTTCAATGGGAAAAGGAACCCTAGAAATATAATGGTTAGAAATCACATTAAAGAAATGAAAGGACAGAAAGGACACCCCTGATATACAAGCGATTACTTTAGTAAAGCATTGACATTTAATTCTGGACAGGATTTTATTTACCAACATGTTAAAATATTTGTCAATACACTAAAAGAGTTAAACATAAGCCTTTTCAGCTATACAGGCACCGATGGCTCTGAAAGAAACATAAAATACGTGTTCAGAGGACCAATGAATCCAAATGATTGCAAATAATTGACCAGCAATTACTAGAATGTTAATTGCACTGTAACATACCTAAGAAGAATGCATACAAGGCTGGTCTGTAAGTTACTTACTTTTATTCCCTTACAGATGAGAAAACTGAGGCTCTGGAAATTCAGTAATTATACCAAAAACACACAAGCAGTAAATGACAGCTGTGATTTGAACACATGCATATATTTTTTCTATTGTAATACTGCTATCTTGCTGGATCCTGAAATATCTGTAAGGTGTTTATGAGTTGGTTTTATTGCCTCTACTAAATAAGCTATGTAGCCCAACAGCTAGAATGGAAATCAGAAAGCTAAATTTGGATTCATAATCTGTCACTTACTCTTTTTTTTTTTTTTTTTTTTAGACAGAATTTTTGCTCTGTTGCCCAGGCTGCTGGAGTGCACAATCTCGGCTCACTGCAACCTCCGCCACCTGGGTTCAAGAGATTCTCCCGCCTCAGCCTCCCAAGTAGCTGGGATTATAGGCACCCACCATCATGCCGAGTTAATTTTTGTGTTTTTGTAGAGATGAGGCTTCACCATGTTGGCTAGGCTGGCCTTGAACTCCTGACCACAAGTAATCCACCCGTCTAGGCCTCCCAAAGTGCTGGGATTACAGGTGTGAGCCACCGTACCTGGCCTGTCACTCACTCTTAATGTGATTGCAAATCTTCTCATTTCTTTGTGCTTCAGTATTAACATCTATTATGTAGGGGTAAGTTTGTGTTTCCACAAAACTTCCAGGGGGGTTATGAAGCATATAAAACCAACCTTTCATGAATTTTAATTAGCTTAAAGAATTTTATGAGACGCTGAAATTTGTTTAAAAATATAGTATTTTAATTAGGTTATTTTAAACTGGCATTCCTGGGTAGCTAGAAGAGTACATCTTATTTATTTTTATTTTTTAATACAGAGATGGGGTCTTGCTGTGTTGCCCGGGCTGGGCTCAAATTTCACCTCAAGCAGTCCTCCCACCTTGGCCTTCCAAAGTGCTGGGATTATAGGCATGAGCCACTGTGCCTGGCCAGGAGTACATTTTATTATCATTAAAATATTCACTGTTGATTTCAGTGTCCTTTTTTTTTTTTTTTTTTTTTTTAATGAGACAGAGTCTCTGTCTGTCACCCAAGCTGGAGTGCAGTGGCGCGATACTGGCTCACTGCAACCTCCACCTCCCGGGTTTAAACGATTCTCCTGCCTCAGCCTCCCGAGTTGCTGGGACTACAGGCACCCGCCACCATGTCTGGCTAACTTTTTGTATTTTTAGTAGAGACAGGGTTTCACCATGTTGGTCAGGCTGGTCTCAAACTCCTGATCTTGTGATCTGCCTGCCTCCCAAAGTTCTGGGATTATA
Organism: Homo sapiens; assembly: GCF_000001405.40. NCBI lineage: Eukaryota > Metazoa > Chordata > Mammalia > Primates > Hominidae > Homo > Homo sapiens. The sequence goes on from NC_000012.12 coordinate 95,347,826, forward strand.
GGCGTGAGCCACCGTGCCAGGCCTTTTTTTTTTTTTTTTTTTTTTTTGAGACAGAGTCTTGCTCTTGTCACCCAGGCTGGAATGCAGTGGAGCGATCTTGGCTCACTGCAACCCCCACCTCCTGGGTTCAAGCGATTCTCCTGCCTCAGCCTCCCTTGTAGCTGAGATTACAGGCGTGTGGCACCATGCCCGACTAATTTTAGTATTTTTAGAAGAGACGGGATTTCATTATGTTGGCCAGGCTGGCCTCGAACTGCTGACCTCAAGTGATCCGCCTGCCTCAGCCTTCCAAAGTGCTGGGTGTTTTCAGTTTCTTTACCCTTAACCTGAGTGCTGTGGACTCAATGTGTCCCCCCAAAATTTGTATGTTGACGCTCCAAACCTCAATGTATTTGGAGATAGAGGCTTTATGGAGGTAATTAAGGTTAAATGATGTTATAAGGGTGGGATCCTGATCTGATAAGATTAGTGTCCTTATAAGAAGAGGACACCAGAGAGCTGACTTTTGCTGCCTGCCACGTGAGGACACAGCAATAAGGTGGCCATCCATAAGCCGGGAAGAGAGCCTTCATCAGATACTGATGCTACGGACCTTGATCATGGACTTCCAGCTTCCAGAACTGTGAGAAAATTAATTTCTGTCATGTCAGTCCCTTGGGCTCTGGTAGTTTGTTAAAGCAACTGAAGCAAACAAATGCACTAAGCAACTTAGTGTGATGAATGATCAGCTATGTTTGTTGAAGCCATGCTTTTTGAAATGTCTTGATGCCTTTCCTCAGTAGAAACGCATTTCTACAAAATGATGGTGATTTACGGTATCTGCTTGGCTTAAGAAAACCCATGCATGCAAATATAATACATTATTTCAGCATTTGCCTTAATGCCCCACCAGACCTATTTTCAATATATTTTTTCCTTTTTCAGCATAATGTTTATTAGTGAATTTAGATGCAGGCTAACTTAGAGATGGATCTTCTTTCATGGAAAGACAAACACATAATATCAGCAGAATATTGTTTCTTTGAAATGTTCAGAATAGTACATTTTGAATTATAGTAAAAGTTTACATATGTGTGTTGGTGTGTGCATATAATGGAGTAGTTAATATATTCATAAAAATATGAAGATAATATAACACCCCCATGCACACCACCGAGCTTTATTGTATTAATATCAAATATTAATACAAATTAATGCTTTACTCCATTTGCTATATATGTTTATATTTTTTCCATTGTTACAATTTGAGACACAACTGAAAGTCCCTGAGGACTCCTGCCTGATTTCACTCAACGTTTTATCCTAATTTTGGTGTATGTCATTCTCATGTATGTCATATAAGTATGTAATAACCCATAATCTGTTAGGATGAGGGTTTTTATTTGCAAGCAACAGAAACAAACTGGTTAATTTAAGCAAACAAACAAAAAGGAATGTATTCAATAACTTGGAAGACCTTTGCAAGAGTGGAAGACTTGGGTTTGGAGGCTCCACTGCCAGGGAAAATGTCCCTAATCATGCTGTAGAATGTGTCCAATAGCAACACCACAACAACGGCTGCTGGACAGACCCTACGGCTTGCACTGTTGGTCCTCCTGACCCAAAACACAGCTGCAGGAACCACAGCCATTACAGCCACTAGAAGCCAAGCGGAACCACTGCTCTTCCTCCCAGAAAGTCCGGGCAGCCCCTGCAGCTGCATGAAAGTCTGGGGCAGGCGCATCTGATCTTTGGAGCCTGGGTCATGTGCCTGGGCCCTAGCTGCAGGAGAAACTGGGAAATCAAGAAGATGGGACTGGGTGTGGTGGCTCATGCCCGTAATGCCAGCACTTTGGGAGGCTGAGGTGGGCGGATCACTTGAGGTCGGGAATTCAAGACCAGCCTGGCCAACATGGTGAAACCCCATCTCTATTAAAAATGCAAAGAAATTAGCCAGGCATGGTGGTGCATGCCTGTTGTCCCAGCTACTCGGGAGGCTGAGGCAGAATTGCTTGAACCCGGGAGGTAGGGGTTGCAATGAACCAAGATTGCGCCACTGCACTCCAGCCTGGGTGACAGAGGGAGGCTGTCTCAGGGAAAAAAAAAAAAAAAAAAGTGGTATTTTTGGCTTTTATTGTGGGAGGGGACTCTGCCTCAGCAGGTAGGGGAGTCCCCAAACTTAGGAGGGAGGTATAGATGCTGCATGATAAGAGCCAATGGCAGTTGTCCACAACAAACAACTGATACATTCTCTTGTTGATGGACATTTACATAATTTCCAATTTTTTACTACAGAGAACTGCTGCAATGAAATTTTTGCACATTTCCTACGGTATAGAATTTCTCTGGATTATTCGTGCCTTCAATTTTACTAGACATTGCCATATTGTTCAGCAAAGGGTCTATTTGCCAATCATATATTTTGCTAACATTTGTCTCCATCTGTGGCTTGTCTTTTCCTTCTGCTTATGGTGTCCTTTTTATATGGAAGATTTTTATTTTAATATAGTTAAACTAATTAATCCTATCCCTTATGTTTGTGATTTTTTGGTGTGCATTTGGTTTAAGAATTTATTTTCAGCCAGGCGAGGTGGCTTATGCCTGTAATCCCAGCACTTTGGGAGGCCGAGGCGGGCGGGTCAGGAGTTTGAGGCCAGCCTGGCCGACAGGGTGAAACCCCGTTTCTACTAAAAATACAAAAATTAGCCGGGTGTGGTGGTGTGTACCTGTAATCTGTAATCCCAGCTACTTGGGAGGCTGAGGCAGGACAATTGCTTGAATCTGGGAGGTGGAGGTTGCAGTGAGCAGATCACGCCACTGAACTGCAGCCTGGTTGACAGAGCAAGACTGTCTCAAAAAAAAAACAAAACAATTTTCTACCTGAAGGTGATAAGAAAAAATTATCCTGATGTTTTCTTCTAAATGTTTTATTATTTGGCTTTTAATGATTAGCTCTTTACCTGGAGTTTATTATGGAAAATAGGAATCTAAGATAGATAATCAGTTGTCCCAGCACCATTGATTGAATAATCCATTCCTCCTGGTTTGTAATTCGATCTCTGTTGTAAATCAAGTTTCCCCATGTTCCTGGGTCAGTCAGGTCTTTCTATTTCTGTTCCATTGGTCTATTTAACTAGCCTGGTGCCAATACTACAATATCTTAGTTACTATCACGTCATAAAAACCTTAACATCTGATAAAATGAGTCCTCCACTTCCCCCTCACCCCAATGTATTAATGCTATTTCCAGAGTGAGCTATTAGCTATCTTATATCCTGAAGAGCACAATGACAAAAAAAAAAAAAAAAAAAGAGAAAAGAACTTTCAGAGTGTATGGTTTGGTATAAAATATGAGTGGGCCATAAGAAGTAGCAAGAGAATCAACAACACCTTCACCAGTGGCTAGGTGCCTGCAGAGAGCTGAGAGCCAGAGGCAGGGATTTATATCAAAGAAATCAGATGCATTTGAATTAAAGCTCTGATCTCCACCCTGTAAGAACAGGCTTCTAAGACTCCCAGCTTCAGTGACACTCTTCTTGTTTTCCAATGACCACTGACTCCTCCATCCCCACCTTTCCTTTCCTGGGGTTTACGGCAGGTAAACACAGCGTGGCAACATCAGGTTCCTGGAGTGGCATTCTGAGCATCCCTGAATAATTCTGATGTGTCAGCTGGTGTCTGTGGAATCACTAAAAGTCAAGTTTCAAGCTACAACCCTCTACCTCTGCTCAAAAAGGCATTTTAAGTCCTTGCTTTGAGCAAAGCTTCCAACCTCCTGCCTCAAACACATGGCAATGAGAGGTAAAAGAGAAAAAGAAGCAATCTAAAGGACAAAGCTGCACTCCAACCAAGATGAACACCCTGTGCATGGAAGCCAAATCAATAGATTTGCGGGGCTGAAGCCACAGGCTTGCTTGGCTCTAGGTCTAGAAGCAGCGAAAGCAGATATGAATTTAGCTCTTGTGGGAAAACAGAATAAAATAAAATGCCCCTCTCCAGGCTGGAGAGCAGGGTGGGGGATGTTGCCTGTTTTGCTTCTTGAATCCAAGAACCAGGGTAGGGCTTCCACTACTCCGCATGAGGCTAGAATAGCTGCTGTCTACTCCTGCTTGGCCACATGATGGCTCACAGGATGCTTCGTGCCCAGGCAGATGAGAGAACATGGCCACGGCCGCCCAACCAGGACTAAGCTAAACTGCTTGCTGGCCTGGAGACTGGATCTGCAATAGTTCTAATATTCATGAAGTGAGACATCCAAGCCACCATTATTAGACCTGGTTCAACCACTAAATGGGAGGAAACCTTGCTCATGCGCACACACACCCGCACCCACCCATCTGCCCCAACACACACACAGAGAAAGAGAAAGGAAAAACCTTCCACTCAAGATGAGCCCAGAATCCAAAATTCCAAAACATACAGAGAAAGCTAATTCTATTTTTTTATACGAAGTCTCACTCTGTTGCCCAGGCTGGAGTGCAGTGGCACGATCTCAGCTCACTGCAACCTCTACTTCCTGGGTTCAAGCGATTCTCCTGCCTCAGCCTCCCAAGTAGCTGGGATTACAGGCACACGCCACCACACCTGGCTAATTTTTGTATGTTTAGTAGAGACAAGGTTTGCCATGTTGGCCAGGCTGATCTCAAACGCCTGACCTCAGGTGATCCATGTGCCTCAGCTTCCCAAAGTGCTGGGATTACAGCCACCTGCCACCATGCCAGCTAATTTTTGTATGTTTAGTAGAGACAGGGTTTCGCCATGTTGGCCAGGCTGGTCTCAAACTCCTGACCTCAAGTCATGGTGCCATCTTAGCTCACTGCAACTTCTACCTCCTGGGTTTAAGCAATTATCCTGCCTCAGCCTCCTGAGTAGCTAAGATTACAGGCATGCACTACCACGCTGTCTAATTTTTGTATTTTTGGTAAAGACGGGGTTTCGCCATGTTGGCCAGGCTGGTCTCAAACTCCTGACCTCATGATCTGCCCACTTCAGCCTCCCAGAGTGCTGGGATTACAGATGTGAGCCACCATGCCTGGCCTTAAAAGTTATTTTAAAAATGTATGTTTAGAATCCTAAACATAAAAAATGACGGAATAAATAACTGAAAAAAAGGATTAAAAGACTTTTAGTTACCATAGGATGAATTGAACACTCAGGTTTACTTTAACTCCTTGCTAATATCTTACCACAGAGACTATTAAAGGGTAATAAAGGTAAAAACCTAGAGGCCTATTGTATCACGTGTTATATCAGTAAGGATGCCTTTCTTTGGCTGCAAGTAATGCAGCTCAAACTGGCTTACTAAGGACACTTACGGGCTCCCACAATTGGAAGTCTAGAGGCAGGGCTTTGCAGGTGGCACTGCCCAGTGGCTCCAGATCTATCCCCCTCGTCTTCTGTGTCAGCTTCTTCTGCAGGAAGGTAACAGATGGCCAACCAGCTCCAGGTCTCACACCTACTCAGAACAACCATTACAGAGGAGAGTGGGCTTCTGATGCCAGCATTCCAAACCAAAAGCCTGGGACTCACTATGTCTTGTGTCACATGCTCACCCCCAACCCCACCGACCAATGACTGTTGCCAGATACATGAAAATTCTCAATTGCCTTAAATCCCAAGGCTCATCCTTGGAGCTTTGGCTGTGGTCAACTGCCCCCGATGCATCTGGGTGATTGAGGGAATGGGCAGACACTAAATAAACCCAGGGTTCTATGAGGAAGGATGAAGACAGAAATGACTCCAGGTGTTCAATTAAAAATATTCACTCAGTGCTGTATGTGGAAACTTTTTTTAAAATGTTGGCTAGGCATGGTGGTTTATGCCTATAATCACAGCACTTTGGGAGGCTGAGGTGGGAGGATCACTTGAGACCAAGAGTTCAAAACCAGCCTGGATAACATAGCAAGACCCTGTCTCTACAAAAAATAAAAAAATTAGCCAGGCCTGGTGGTGCATACCTGTAGTCCCAGCTACTTGGAAGGTTGAGGTGGGAGGATCTCTTGAGCCCAGGAGTTTGAGGATGCAGCGAGCTATGATTGTGCCACTGTACTCTGGCCTGGGTGACAGAGTGAGACCCCATCTCTAAAAGAAAAACAAATATTTACCAATATCACCACAAATATTTGGTGCACCACTTAAAATGTGCACTTTCTGAAAAAATTAGAAACAAAGCATAAAAAGTTAGGGAAAGGGATATGTTAATACTCGTTCACTGGTAAATTGTTATTTGTATAGACCGTGATAGCAGATAAAACTCTCTGATACCCTGCTTATGCGTTGCCTCACACTATGAGTGACTATATTCCTTTTGTCAAATAGCACTTATATAGACAGTGCTCAAAGTAAGTTATCTGACTGAATATCACTTTTAATTTATAGTCTGCTCTAGCCTTGTCAAAAAACCTGCACACTGTTGCATAGACATCCTTTTTCTTTTTTATCAGTAGTAAATGGGCTTTAAAAATAATTCTGTCCTTATTCTCAGAAGCATGTTGCATACTGGGATGGATGGTTCTGGAAATGAAGGGATGTTTACCCTTGCCACTGTATTTCAATACCATAAATGGTGACTGTGAATCATTACAAAAAATGTGGCAACTTGCTTGTGTCTAAAAGGAGCAACTGGAACTAGAAAGTGTGATTACATAGGGACCTTGTAGGTTTGTTAATTGATCTGCAGCTAAACCTTAATGTGTTTGTGTGTCTGCTCATTGCCCTCAGCATTTCAAGACATCTAAATACTACCATAAAACCAGCATTTTCCTGTGCATTGACTTCTCATGTGAAAACAGTTACTGAAGTTGGCAAAAAATAAATTTTAAAGTTTGGATGAAGGTATTTTTGGTCTGTTTAGTGCTCTTCTCAGGTTTTTCAATAAACTTGCATTTTGAGGGTTGTATCGGCAACTTCAGCTTTCAATGTGCATCATGGTGGAAGGTGCTGAGTTTATTGGAAGGGAATGGAAAGACAAAGTTACCATGAGGAGGATCCGCAGACCACGTCCTAAAAAGAAATTGGCTCAGCCCTCCACGAATTGGGTCTTTGGGCTACTTAAAATAGAAGTAAACATTTTTTTAAAGTTAGGGAAATTAACAAGCCTCTCCGTATACCCATAGATATAGGGAATCTCACTGAGTTTCTCAGACACATGATAAAACAGCATACATCTCTCACTTACAGGTGGAATATAACATTAACCATCTTGCACTGAGGAGTTACAGATTGGTAGACACAGTGCCAAAAACTTGATAAGCTTGTCTCATTTCATCCTTACACAACCTTGTGAAGTAGGTATTATTATTGTGCTTTTTACACATAAGGAAACAGAAGCTTATTCTGCAATTACAGAGGAAGTAAAAAGCAAAAGAAAGAAACAGAAGCTGGGCGCGATGGCTCACGCCTGTAATCCCAGCACTTTGGGAGGCTGAGGCAGGCAGATCACCTGAGGTCAGGAGTTTGAGACAAGCCTAGCCAGCATGGTAAAATGCTGTCTCTACTAAAAATACAAAAATTTAGCTGGGCACGGTGGCTCACGCCTGTAATCCCAGCTACTCAGGAGGTTGAGGCAGAAGAATCACTTGAACCCGGGAAGTGAAGGTTTTGGTGAGCTGAGATTGTGCCACTGCACTCCAGCCTGGGTGACAGAGCGAGATTTCATTTCAAAAATAAAATAAAATAAAATAAAATATAGCCGGGTGCGGAAGGAAGAAAGAGAAAGAAGATAGAAAGGAAAGAAAGAAGAAAGAGAGAAAGAAAGAAAAGAGAGAAAGAAAAAGAAAGAGAAAGAAAGAAAGAAAGAAAGGAGGGAGGGAGGGAGGGAAGGAGGGAGGGAGGAAGGAAAGAAGGAAGGAAGAGAGGAAGAGAAGCTTAGAGAGGCACATGATTGCAGAAGTTCACGTAGCGAATACATTCTACTTGTGTCGTATCAGGACATTATGCTGTTGTCCCTCCACCAGGTATCAGCCTATCCATCGCAAGTCAAACACAGGATTTGGTTGGAAATGGAACTCCAGCATGGAAACCATACAGAGGAGTGATCACAGGAAAGATAGATGTTCTTGCACATGGTGCTTATTTTTAATTCATAGGTTAGGTGAAGTCTTTATGTTTTTTAATTCAAGATTTAGAGTCCAGTTGTGGATTTAAAAGTTGCAGTTAAGTTTTTGCAGAAATAAATAAAGCCCTTATTGAATTGGTATTAATCTCTTCAAATGTCATTGCTATTTGAGTAACTGAGCCATAAAAATAATTTTACAGTGACATGTGAAATGATTGGGTTTTGACTTCGTAAATTCGAAAGTCTGAATAAACATTTTGGAGCTGCCTTGCACAGTGCCTGCTCGCTTCATCGTTGCAGATTTTAAAGGATTGGGATAATTTTGTTATTTGCACACAGTTCTGGCCTGAGGTCAAGGGGCCATGATATGGCCCCAACCCTGCCTATCATTCGTGTCGCCCTAAGACCCAGCAAAACCAAACTGCTCAGCATTCCTACGATTTGCCTGCATTGTCCCTCCTACGTGACTTTGCTCCAACCCCTGTGTTGCTGCTCACTAGCTGTGTCTTTGGGCAAATTACCTAACCTCTCTGAGCCTCAGTTGCTTTAGCTCTAAAATGGGGGCTGGGGAGGACAGTGAGGGTTATAATTATAATTAACTAATTATAATTAATCCCTTAGGTGTGTTGTGAACGTTAAATGAAATCCTGCAAGTAGAGTGTTTAGCATGGTGTCTAGTGTATGGTAACTGGTCAGCAAATGTTAACCATCCCTAACATTATTAGGGTCATTACTATCCTTCTCATCACTCATCTCTCCACCTAGAATACCCAACCCTCCTTACCTGCCTATCCCAATTCTCCCCCTCACTCAAGACTCTGGTCAAAAATGCACTATAAAATAATCCTGTCTTTCTGGTCAGGTGCGATGGCTCACGCCTATAATCCCTGCACTTTGGGAGGCCAAGGTGGGCGGATGGCTTGAGGCCAGGAGTTCGAGACCAGACTGGCCAACATGGCAAAACCCCATCTCTACTAAAACTACAAAAATTAGCCGGCGTGGTGGCAGGTGCCTGTGGTCCCGCCTACTCGGCAGGCGAGGCAGGAGAATCACTCGAACCCAGGAGGTGGAGGTTGCAATGAGCCGAGACTGCACCACTGCACCAGCCTGGTGACCGAGTGAGACCCTGTCTCAAAATAAATAAATAAATGAAAATAAATAAATAAATAACCTTTTCTTTCCAAAAATACTCTCCCTCCCCAAAACTTCTTTAGCGTTCTATCTATACAGCTCTGCTAGCAGTTCCTTCCTTATTTATTTATTTTTTTTGAGATGGAGTCTCGCTCTGTCACCCAGGCTGGAGTGCAGTGGCGCGATCTCGGCTCACTGCAAGCTCCGCCTCCCGGGTTCACGCCATTCTCCTGCCTCAGCCTCCCGAGTAGCTGGGACTACAAGCGCCCGCCACCGCGCCCGGCTAATTTTTTATATTTTTAGTAGAGACGGGGTTTCACCGTGTTAGCCAGGATGGTCTCGATCTCCTGACCTTGTGATCTGCCCGCCTCGGCCTCCCAAAGTGCCGGGATTACAGGCGTGAGCCACCGCGCCCGGCCTCCTTCCTTATTTTTCATTTATTAATAGTATACACTATCTTACGTCTTCCTGCAGCCTTGAAGCCTTGGGAAGACTGGGGCCAAGTCTTTATGTTGCCCCCTGGGCCTAGCTCACACACCTGTCAGTAGCGGATAACAGCCACTGGTTGCATGAATTCATACCACGGTCAGGGGTCTGACAGCACTGCTTGCTTTAGTGGCGTTAGTAAAGTATCATGGCAATACTTCGAATACAGGAAACATTGCCCTCATTGTATTTACAACTTTTCTTTCAATGCACAGTCTGCACCAAATGTTACTGAAGCGATATTAGGTTTGGGAGCTCGAGGGAGTCTCAGCTCCTGGGGGGTCTTGGAAGATGTGTGCTCAGCTAAATTACAGCATGTGTGGTGTTAGGGGGCAAGGCTTCGCTTAAGGCTTCCAAAGGCTGCCACGCAGTAGAGAGACCAAGCTGCTCCTGCAGCAACCCCCTTCCCTCCCACATGCTACCTAAACCTGGAGAGAGTGACACACGGCCTTCTCTGCCTGAGGTAGGAAGCAGCCCTGTTTGGTGGCTAGTCCTGGAGATACAAATGCAGAAAGAACAGGGCATTTTATGCTGGTGAAGATAATAAGGGCACATTTCCCCCAGGAGAGTTGGTATGAGAAGGCAAGAGAAGCAGGAACTTGTGGCACTTATATACTATCACCAAGTATAGATTAAGGACTTTTCAGCATAGGGCCAGGTTTTGAACAAGCATTCACTAAAGAAATGAAAACAAACTGAGTCATGATCCCAGATTGATGTGGCTCCACTGCTAAACAGGAAGCCTCTTAGCAAGCAGACTGAGGAGAGCTCAAAGGCTTGAATCTGGGCATGTGCATTTGTCCCAGTTTTAGGAAAGATTTTCAGTTGATTGCATGAAAGTGGCCACTCCTTAACCCAAACATGAGCTGGGCTATGAATTATTAAGGCAAAGGAAGCTGGTTACCGGAAGGTCTGATTGCCGGCTGGGGCCTTCCGGATGTGACAAAGAGGCAAAGGCTTCAAGACACCCTTTTGTTCTAGGAAGGTATTTCGGCATTGAAGGTACTCCTTATCCTCGCCTTTCTCCTTTGCACCTTGTTTCAGAGAAACTTTTGCTGATGAGGCGTTCTCTTTCCTGGGTACTATTTGTGGAAACTTGGTTATTTTGCAAATGTGCTGCGGTTCCATTCCTGAAATGTAAACAAAATGTATTCCTCCCAGCAGCCTCAGTAGACCAAGGCATCTGTAGGCTGAGCTGTTTGGGTTAAGTTGGCTGCTATAGTCTGGATGCTCCTTCACCCATTTACAGAAGTTCCTTCTGTTCGTTCTTCAATTTTAAATGCACCTCTTGTTCTACTCAGAGGACACATGGCATCTATGTAATAAAGAAAGTTTCCAGGCTATCAACAAATCTAAACCGTAAGAGTTTGATTGCACTTATCTTGTACCGGGAAATGAGCCAGGCACTTTAAATACATTATCCCATTGAAGGAAGTGCCCCCATGAGTTGAATACTCTTATTTTCATGATATCACAGATAAGTTCAAGTCACTTGGCTAGACAGAGGCAGAATCAGGATTTCGACAGGCCTATGTGATTCCAGACTGAGCTTTTACTTACCATGCTCTATAGAGACCAGTGCTTCCCATTTTTTTTACATCACATGGAAAAGTGTAAATTGTAAAGCACATATACATATAGATCCTTATCATAGAAAATGTACTATTAAGAAAGAAGGCCAGGTGCAGTGGCTCATGCCTGTAATCCCAGCACTATGGGAGGCGGTTGTGAGTGGATTGCTTGAGCCCAGGAATTTGAGACCAGCCTAGGCAACATGGTGAAACCACTGTCTCTACAAAAAAAAAATTAGCTGGGCATGGTAGTGTACACCTGCAGTACCAGCTACTGGGAGGCTGAGGTGGGAGGATCACTTAAGCCCAGGAGGCGGATGTTGTAGTGAGCTGACGTGCTACTGCACTCCAGCCTGGGCATCAGAGCCAGATCATGTCTAAAAAAACAAGAAAAAGAAAAGAAAAGATGATGTATTTGTGTGGCACACTGGGATAAATTTACTAGGCTGCTTGTGGGTGGAAGCAACTATCCCAGTGGCTTAATCACCCCAGCCCAGCTGAGTGGCCCTGAAGGCTGGTAATGTCCACTTTTCAGTTCCTGTGTACAACATCTGAGGCACACCCTTTGGGAAGCTCTACTCTATACCACAGTATACAGCAAACTACCTCCCCAAATGGAGAAGCTTGCCTTTGGATTTAGCATATAGTCAACGTGCACTATTCACAGATTGTGTATCATGTCTTTGACTGCTTGCTAAAATTTATTTGTAAACCTCAGTGTCAGTATTGGTGGCACTCTTGTTGTCATTCACAGATAGGTGCAGAGCAGTGAAAAATTTGAGTTACCTCTTGTGAATGTTCCCAGCTGAGGTCGAACAAGCCTACGCTCTTCTTGTTTCAGGGATACTGTAAACGTGTCTCTTTGTGGTCTGTTTAGTGGCGTGTTTCTTGCATTTCTGTGCTGTTGTTGGTGATGCTGTTTAAAATGAGCTGCAAGTGCAATACTGATGTGTTGTCTAGTGTTCTAAGCTCAAGAAGTCTGTGATGTGCCTTACAGAAAAAATACACGTGGTAAGTAAACTTTCAGGGTGAGTTAAAGTGCTGTTGGCCATAAAGTCAATGTTAATGTATCAACGATATCTAGTAAATAAGGTGTTTTTAAAGAGAAACACGTAAAATGAGGTTATGTATTGATCAATTGACGAAAATATTGTGACCCTGGGAGCTACCCCTACCAGCAATGGTTCAGTATTTGCTTAGTGTTTGCCAAGACTTTACAGAACCTAATTTCCATGAATAACGAGAATAAACCGTGTTATATCATCAGTCAAGAACTGAAACTGTGATAGGCTCTGTAGTTAACACCAACTACGAGTTAACATTGCAACGGCACACTCCACTGTGGGAACACAGGCCTCTTCTCAACACAGCAGGTGAACCAAAGACATGGGCAAGGATTGAGGTTTTGGTGGGAACGCTAAGAGGTGATGGTTGAGGGGTGAGAGCATTTTCCAATCCAAAAAATGAGTATGAAAGCACCTCTCCTTAAGAAAACACAGAAGTGGCCAGATATATTCTTTTCTTCAAAAAGAGAAAGGAAATAAAATCAAGTTTGCTTCTCTTTTCCTGCTACAGTCTATCACCTGCATCCATGACAAGAATCCTTCTGCATAGGGCTTTACAGTTTACAAACTCACCACCTCAGGAAGGAGGGAAGAGGTATTTAAATGCTGGTTCTCTGGAAGTCTGAATGATGGGAACCGGCTATTATGAAGCAACACAATGGATTCCATAACTGACCCAATGCAAATCTGTACTGATTATAGCCAGTGAATGAGGATGTGCCGGACTTTTCTCTACAGTCTTCTTAGCTTGATAGCTGTGGCAATGTCACGCATGGGGCTTATGTCCACTGCTGGATCAAATGTATCTGTATCCACTGGGTCTGTTAAACTTGAAGGCTTCAAAACAGAAAGATGTGTGTTCCACACACACACACACACACACACACACACACACATATATATAGAGAGAGAGTATTTACTATATACATGATTAGCAAACATCAATTCTGTCACTTGTTCATTCATTAGGTAGGTCATTCAACAAGTGTTTATGCCATTTATGGGCCAGGTACAAAAACTAAGACTAAAGACATATATAAAAATCCACATTACCTTGGGAGGCCAAGGCTGGCAGATCACTTGAGGTCAGGAGTTTGAGACCAGCCTGGCCAACATGGTGAAACCCCGTCTCTACTAAAAATACAAAACTCAGCTGGATGTGGTGGCACACGCCTGTAATCCCAGCTACTTGGGAGGCTGAGGTAGGAGAATCACTTGAGCCCGGGAGGTGGAGGTTGCAGTGAGCTGGGATCATGCCACTACACTCCAGCCTGGGAGACAGAGCAAGACTCCATCTCAAAACAAAAAACAAAACAAAACAAAAGATCCACATTCCCTTGTGAATATACTTAATGCCACTGAATTACAAACTTAAAAATGTTAAGAAGGTAAATTTTATGTCATGTATATCTGACTGCAATAAAAAGGGGGTAAGAAAAAGCCATTTCCCTCCACCAAGGAGCTCACAGTCAGTGAAGAACTGGTTGGGTTAACAATTACCATACAGTACAGGGGCTGTGTTAGATGGAAGTAGAATGTTACCAGAGCATAAGTAGGAAATTTAATGTTTGTAATATTGACTTTCTATTTAGCAGAAGTTTCTAAGAAGTACATCATGAAGACATTAAAGTATATTGTTATAGTGAGTAGTATGTGTGATCTTTTCAAAACATATTGGGTATATAGTTATTTTCATTTGGATGAGCTCATGTGACTAGAAAAATTGTTGATAATTTAGTTTTTTTGTGGGGTTTTTATTTTTTATTTTTTTTGAGGCAGAGTCTCACTCTTGTTGCCCAGGCTGGAGTGCAATGGCATGACCTCGGCTTGGACATTTACATACTTACATATAAAATTAGGCATGATTGTATACTTAACTCATTATCCAGGTGTAATTTGCATAATTTTGGCACGTCACAGCAGACCCAGAGGAAAGTGTGCAGAAACCAGGAAGAATATGAAGAGAACACAGGATTCAACGACCCATGAAGAGATTATTGAAGTGGATAATAGGGAGAGTTTTGGGGAATTTGGTCTACAGAAATCAGGCAATAAAAGTTGAGATTTTATCTTGAATCCCGGAAAAATCAACCACATCTGAAGGGCAGGGACTTGAACTTCCTTGTCATAATGAATTCAAAAAAGACTCAGAGAACCCATTTGTGGGATTGATAAAAATCACTAAAAAATGTGTATATTAGTTCCTGAGTCTCAGCCTCCAAAATTTGGTGGGTAAATAAACTTCAGAAAAGTTTAAAATTTAAGTAGAGAGATAAATTAATCCCACAATATTAAAACTTTAACGTATATGAATAAATTTTGAGTTATGAGATAATCTTGTGTATTTATTATGTTTGAAATATTAAAGAGATTTCAGCCAGTTAGAGAATGTGAGAGATTTCCTTTGGGCTTTCAACTTAAATTTGAGTAAACTGATTTTAGATTTGTGATTATTAAGTTTATAAGTTTAAGGTAGTTTGACTAAGTTCAAAAATATAATTGGAATATTTAAGAGAACTTGAGATTCCTCCAAATTTAATTTATTTGCTTTATCAAAGTTAAGAACTTGAGAATGTTTTTCTTGTTAGGGTTATAAATACTTAAAGGGGAAGTACTTAAAGGGGAACAAAATATATTCAAAATATAAATGCACTTTAAAATATATGAAGGGGGCCAGGTGCAGTGGCTCACACCTGTAACCCCAGCACATTGAGAGGCCAAAGTGAGAGGGTTGCTTGAGCCCAATAGGTGGAAACCAGGTTGGGCGAGGTGGCTTATGCCTGTAATCCCAGCACTTTGGGAGGCAGAGGCGGGCTGATCACCTGAGGTCAGGAGTTCAAGACCAACTGGCCAACATGGTGAAACCCTGTCTCTACTAAAAATACAAAAATTAGTCAGGCCTTGTGGCAGGTGCCTGTATTCCCAGCTACTTGAGGGGCTGAGGCAAGAGAATCACTTGAACCAGGGAGGCCGAGGTTGCAGTGAGCTGAGATTGTGCCACTGCACTCCAGCCCTGGGCAACAGAATGAGACTCCGTCTCCAAAAAAAAAAAGAATTGATTGGAGACCAGCCTGGGCAACACAGTGAGACCTCCATCTACACATACACACACACACAAGCACTATATATATATATATATATATATATATATATATATATATATATATGTATATATGTGTATATATGTATATATGTGTATATATATGTGTATATATGTATATATGTGTGTATATATGTATATATGCGTGTATATGTGTATATATGTGTGTATATATGTATATATGTGTGTTTATGTGTATATATGTGTATGTGTGTATATATATGTGTATATATGTGTATACGTGTGTATATATGTATATATGTGTATATATGTATATATGTGTATATATGTATATATGTGTATATATGTATATATGTGTATATATGTATACATGTGTATATATGTATATATGTGTGTATATATGTATACATATGTATATATGTATACATATGTATATATGTATATATATGTGTATATATGTATATATGTGTATATATATGTATATATATGTGTATATATGTATATATATGTGTATATATGTATATATGTTTATATATGTATATATGTGTATATATGTATATATATGCGTATATATGTATATATATGTGTATATATGTATATATGTGTATATATGTATATATGTGTATATATGTATATATATGTGTATATATATACACACACACACATATATGAAGGGTTGTTATTCATTAAATTGTATATGAGTCTAATTTTTATAGAAAGTTTAATCAGCTCAATTTGCGTTAAACAAACATTTATCAAGGAAAAGGTAAAGACAATTGTTACCTTAGAGTTTACAGATAAAATAGATAGATTTTTAATGGCCTTAAAACTTAGTGAAGAGAGGGTTTTTAATGGGTTGCTAATAAAATGAATTTTACTTTTAAAACCAAAGTGATTGCATTTTTCTATGCACAAAAATATCTTGAACATCAAAACCCCACACATTGGCACTGCATTTTTTAAGGCCTCTCCCTGTTACATGTTTACTGAATTGGTTAATCACAACCAAACTGAATCCTTGAGAGGTTTTCTTTTAATTTTCTGCCAATTTAAATAGAGTGAAATTGACAGAAAATTTTCCCTGCATTGCTGAAAAACACAATTCGCTATCAAAGAGAGACAATAAATGGAGTTGACAAGATATGATATTTTGCAGGCATGACCACTAATCGTGAGAAATAAATCTTTGAAAAATATAAAGGCAAAAGGACCAAGAAAAAGCTTTCCCCCCCAAATGATTAGTAAATGCAAATATTAGGTCCAAAAAAATAATATACGAAACCCCCAAATTCCTGAAACATGACTATCTCCCTCCACAGGTGCATGGGCCCTGTAGGAATTGTTTCTTTCTTTTTTTTTTTTTGAGACAAAGTCTTGCTCTTGTCACCCAGGCTGGAGTGTAATGGCATGATCTCAGCTCACTGCAACTGCCACCTCCCGGGTTCAAGTGATTCTCCTGCCTCAGCCTCTGGAGTAGCTGGGATTATAGGCACCTGCCATCACGCCCGGGTAATTTTTGTATTTTTAGTAGAGACAGGATTTCACCATGTTGGCCAGGCTGGTCTCAAACTCCTGACCTTGTGATCCACCTGTGTCGGCCTCCCAAAGTGCTGGGATTACAGACGTGAGCCACCGCGCCCGGCCAGGGATTGTTTCTTTGAGTTTATATAATTAACAGACTGAGCCAGAAAGATAATGAGGTAGCAGTTATAAAAAGAATGAATAAAATAACAGAAAACAACTGCACTTTTTTTTGTCTGAACCACTTCAACAAATAAGAACTCATTATGATTTGGCAACATCCCCCAGTACTCTCTAGTCCATGTCTCTTCATATATACAGCAAAATTTCATTTTTCACATTTTTTTTCTTATTTTGGAGGCAGGGTCTCACTCTGTCCCCCAGGCTGGAGTGCAGTGGCACGGTCTTGGCTCACTGCAACTTCCACTGCCCCGGCTCAAGCAGTCTGCCCACCTCAGCCTCCCAAGTAACTGGAAGTACAGGTGCTTGCCACCACACCCACCTAATTTTTTTTTTTTCTGGTTGCAGTCTCATTATGTTACCAGGCTGGTCCCGAACTCTTGAGCTCAAGCAATCTGCCTGCCTTGGCCTCCCAAACTGCTGGGATTACAGGCGTGAGCCACTACACCCAGCTTCATTTTTCATATCTGATGCTCAAAGTGTGTCTAGTTTACGGATCTCTTCTTCTACTTGACCCTTCACTGAATCTATACTCTTTCCTGAAGTGTTTTTTAGTTTATCAACTTTTTGGAGGTATAATTTACATATAAATGACCACACCTTTTAAAGTGTGTCATTCAGGCCAGGCACAGTGGCTCATGCCTGTGATCACAACACTTTGGGAGGCTGAGGCAGGAGGATCACTTGAGCCCAGGAGTTTGAGTCTGCAGTGAGCTATGATGGCACCACTGCATTCCTGCCTGGGTGACAGAATGAGACCCCATCTCTAAATATAACAAAATAAAAAATAATACAGTGTATCATTTGGTGAAATATTGATCCCTTGTAAGCACCACCATAATCAAGTTTGAGAGCCCTTCCATTAGCCTCCAAACTTTCCTCCTTCCCCTTTGCAAGAAACTCCGCTTTGGCCCCCGAGTCCTTTCCAGAGTTTCAGATAACCGGAATCATACCATACGTTCTCATTCATGTCTGGCTTCTTTTGTTCAGCATGTTTTTGAAATTGATCTGTTTTTGTGTAGTGGTTCATTCCTTTGTACTGATGCATGATATTCCATTGTATGCACGTATTTTGTGTACCCATTTACCAGCTGATGGACACTTGGATTGTTTCCAGTTTGGGGTATTATGAACAAAGCTGCTATCAATATTCACGTAGAAGTCTGTGAAAATAGGTGTCCAGCTTTGAGTAAATAAATACCTAGGATTGGAATTGCTGGGTCACATTGTAGGTAGAAGTTTAACTTTATAAAGTGCCAGAATGTTATTCATATCACCATAACATGTTCTGTTCCCACAAGCAGTGTATGAAAGTTCCAGTTGTTTCACATCTTTGTCAACACTTGGTCTTGTTAGTCTTTTACTTACAGCCATTCTAATTGAGGTATTAGGTGATATCTCACTGTGGTTGTAATTTGCATTTCTCTCATGCTGAACACGTTGAACCTTTTTTGTGTGTTCGTTGGTGATATCGTCTTTTGTGAAATATGTTCAAATCTTTTCTGTATTTTTAGTGGGTCATTTGATTTATTATAGAGTTATAAAAATTCATTGTATACTCTGGACACAAGTTCTTTGTCAGACATGTATATTATGTATATTTTCTGCCTTTCTGTGGCTTGCCTTTCCATTTTCTTGCTAGTATTTTCAAGGTTTTTTTGTTCTGTTTTTGATTTTCAGAGTCCAATTTATCAAGTTCCCTTAAGTTTCTTTGGAAATGAAGTGTAGTTGCTACTCTGGGCCAAAGTACTGATGACCTTTATATTGCTACAGAATGATTTAAATGGGCTAAAGCCTGAGTACACATATTTTACTGGCTTTTTATTACATTCACTGTAAATTTTTACTTTTGATCTTGTGCATAGGAATGTCATGCTTTCCAGGGTATATGTTTCCTTCTTTTTTTTTTGAGACTGGGTCTCACTCTGTTGCTCAGTCTGGAGAGCAGTGGCAGGAACACAGCTCACTGCAGCCTCCTCTTGGGCTCAAGCAATCCTCCTGCCTCAGCCTCCCGGGTAGCTGGGACTACAGGCATGTGCCACCAGGCCTGGCTCTTTTTTTTTTTTTTTTGTACAGATGGGGTCTTCCTATGTTGCCCAGGATGGTCTTGAACTCCTGGGGTCAAGCAGTCCTCCCACCTCTGCCTCCCAAAGTGCTGGGATCACAGACGTAAGCCGCTGTGCTTGGCGATGTGTACTTTTTAAATGAAATTTAAAGAATATAGGAAAAAGAATATTATTAATAAAAGACATACCCATGTACCCACTACCTAGCAAAATAAAGAGAACATTATCAATGCCAATAACTTTAAGGCCTCGATGCACTCCTCCCAATTCATATTCCCTCTCTCCCCATAAGAAAGTATAGGCTGGGCGTGAGCTAAGCTGTGAGGACACAAAGGCATAAGAATGATACAATAGACTTTGGGGACTCAGGGGGAAAGGATGGGTGGGGGTAGGGATAAAAGACTACACATTGGGTACAGTGTGCACTGCTCAGATGATGGGTGCACCAAGGTCTCAGAAACACCACTAAAGAACTTATTCATGTAACCAAACACCACCTGTTTCCCAAAAAATATTAAAGTAAAAATAAAATTAAATTTAAAGAAGAAAGAAAATATAGGTCGGTTGTGGTGGCTCATGTCTGTAATCCCAGTAATTCGGGAGGCCGAGGCAGGTAGATCACTTGAGGCCAGGAGTTCGAGACCAGCCTGACCAGCGTAGCAAAACCCCGTCTCTACTAAAAACACAAAAAATTAGCTGGACATGGTGGCAGGTGCCTGTAATCCCAGCTATTCAGGAGGCAGAGGCACGAGAATCGCTTGAGCCCAGGAGGCAAAGGTTGCAGTGAACCAAGATTGCACCAATGCACTCCAGCCTGGGTGACAGAGTGAGACTCTGTCTCAAAAAAAAAATTATTTACAATTTTGGTTTTAGCGGTTTTATTCTGTTTTTACCATTATTTTATTTCTTATGTATGAATTATTAAACAATAAGACTAGTTTCCTTACTTTCTTGTAACTCAGTAATACATTTAAAATTTTCTTAGTTATAATGTATTCAGTATCCAGGTGTTTTGCAATAAAAGGGCTTCTCAGAATCTCTCTTCGGCTATATAAATAGAAGCAAAGCTGTCCAGGCCAGATTTTTTTTTTAAACAGCTTTATTGAGATATCATTCACATTCTAGACAATTTATTTCATTTCAAAGTGTAGAATTCAATTGTTTTTGGTATATTCATGGAGTTGTGCAACCATTGCCACAATCTAATTTCAAAACATATTTGACACCCCCCCCAAAAAAATCCTATTCCAATTACCAGTCACCCCATTCTTTCCCAACCCCTAAGCCCTAGGCAAACACTAACTTACTTTGTGCCTCTAGAGATTTGCTAGTGCCAGTCATAATCCCTGAAGACACAATTCCAAATGCCATAATCCTGAACGTTGCAAGCCTGAAACATTAAAATCCCTAGAGTCTAAAATATCTAACATCTAAAATTCCAAAAATCGTAATCCTGAAAGATCAAAATCCTGAAATTGGAAATCTTAGAAAGCTGAATTCTAGGGAAGGAATTAATGCGTTTTGGGTTGTATTTAGGACAGTTGAGTCATGTTAGTTGCATCATGTTATGCAGAACTATTACCTTCTCATTGTCTTTATTTGCATTTGGTGGAAAATTCAGGTGAGTGGATTGGCCACATTATAATGCAGTGATGAAAACTTCAGTTTAAAAATGCATCATTGGCTGGGCACAGCGGTTCATGCCTGTAATCCCAACACTTTGGGAGGCCAAGGCGGGAGGATTGCTTGAGCCCAGGAGTTCGAGTCCTGGGCAACATGGCGAGACCTCAACTCTACAAAAAATAAAGGAAATTAGCCAGGTGTGGTGGCATATGCCTGTAGTCCTACACTCAGGAGGCTGAGGTGGGAGGATCACTTGAGACTGGGAAGTTGAGGTTGCACTGAACTGTGATCACATCACTGCACTCCAGCCTGTGTGACAGAGTGAGACCCTGTCTCAAAAAAAATGAAAAATAAAAATAAAAATGCATCCTTTGTCTGCATTGGCAGCCCTTCCAGCTGATGAAATTCTAGGAATTTTTAATGAATTAAAGCCAAATTTGCT
The DNA here is from genome assembly GCF_000001405.40 of Homo sapiens. Lineage (NCBI taxonomy): Eukaryota > Metazoa > Chordata > Mammalia > Primates > Hominidae > Homo > Homo sapiens. The sequence continues at coordinate 95,369,006 of NC_000012.12, forward strand.
TGAAGAAGCCAGCAAAGTTACTGGCTGGTTCAAAAATAATCATGTGCACAGTAGGATAAAAGAATGCACAACGATGTTGGAGTTCAATCAACAACATGGTTTCTGTGAAATTTGTGGTCTCCATAAAAGTGCTTGTGGAGTGGATTACTGTATACCCAAAATTACACAGAAGTATGGCACAAAAGATGTGAACATTATACAGGAATGTTCATGTTGGTGTATCTTAACTCAGAAGAATTTCAAAAAGAGCAGTGCCACGTAGAAAAGCAATGTGAATGTATTCTTTGTAAATGTATTCATACCCTAAAAGGGGAAAAAGAAAGCAGGTATTCATGGACATGAGAGGCTTCAAATATAGTTAATGATTGTGAAAGTTGGTCAGCTCTATGGACAACCTCTGTGCAATTGCCCATAATCGATATACTTTTTCACATGCCGAATTTTCTTCTTAATTTTTTTAGTTTTTTTTTTCTTTTTTTAGTATTTTCTCCACTATTTTATTTAATTAATTAATTTATTTATTGAGATGGAGTCTCACTCTGTCTCCCAGGCTGGAGTGCTGTGGTCCAAACTTGGTTCATGGCAACCTCCGCCTTCCAGATTCAAGTGATTCTCCTGCTTCAGCCTCCCAAGTAGCTGGGATTATAGGTGCCCGCCACCATGTCCGGCTAATTTTTGTGTTTTTAGTAGAGACAGGGTTTCTCCAGGTTGGCCAGGCTGGTCTCAAACTCCTGACCTCAGGTTATCCGCCCACCTCGGCCTCCCAAAGTGCTGGGATTACAGGCATGAGCCACGGAGTCCCAGCCCTTCCCCACAATTTTAAATTGTCAACATTATTTTTTTGCAATTTGCTATGCTATGGATTTCATCTTTGCATTATTTCAATACTGGAGGTATAAATTGTGTAAAGACTTTTAGAGTTCTAATTCATTTTATGTATTTTGTTTTTTACAAATTTGACTTCACAAAAGTACATTATCACATTGACTCTGTGTGTAAGCGTCACGTGTGTATGCAAAAATGTTGAATCTTCCTCAATAGATGAAGAGATGTCCTTTCTGTGCACATGCATTTGTGAAAGAGAAAACTTCTCGAGATCTTGGCTCTTTGGGTGGCTGCATATGTGGTGCTGACCCATCGTGGTTTTTGATCAGTCTCATCAAAAGACTTAGTTTGCCGGTCACAGTATTTCAGATGACTGAGGTTATAAAGCTGGGTGCATGCAATTACCAACCATAGTGATGTATTTATTCATTTTGCTTTCTGACCTATTTCTTTAATAATACATTTCATCCACTTGTAACTGTACTCTTGCAACTGTAGTTAGTATACCTAGATGTTTATGCTTAAAAATATGTATATTATTATTGTCTTTTATTGTGTATTCTGTTGTGTTTCTATGTTTCTCAAATGAATCTCCTTTAAAAATGTAAATAAATGTCCTTGTATTTTCTAAAAATTATTTTTTCCAGAATTCTTTTTTTTTTTTTTTTTTGACATGGAGTCTCACTCATGTTGCCCAGGCTGGAGTGCAGTGGCACAGTCTCGTCTCACTGCAACCTCTGCCTCCCAGGTTCAAGCAATTCTCCTGCCTCAGCCTCCTGAGTAGCTGGAATTACAGGCATCCACCACCACGCTTGGCTAATTTTTGTATTTTTAGTAAAGACACGGTTTCACCATGTTGGCCAGGCTGGTTTTGAACTCCTGACCTCAAGTGATCTGCCTGCCTTGACCTGCCAACGTGCTAGGATTACAGGTGTGAGCCACTGCGCCCAGCCTATTTTTTCCAGAATTCTAATTTTGAGATATTGATCTTTTGGGATTGTGGTTTTTGGGACTTTAGACTTTAGGGATTTTGATCATTCCAGGTCACAGCACTCAGGATTGTGCCTTTTGGGATTATGGCCCAAACCTGAGATTTGCCCATCCTGAACATTTCATATAAATGGAATCATTCAACCTGTCATCTTTTTTTTACTGGCTTCTTTCACTTTGCATGTTTTCAAGGTTCCTCCATGTTGTAGCATCGATCAGTACTTCATTTATGGCTGGATAATCTTCTATTGCACGGATATACCACATTTTGTTTATCCTTTTCTAAGTTGATGGACATTTTTGTTGTTTCCCCTTTTTGCCTGTTACGAATAATTCTGCTATGAACATTCATATGCAAATTTTTGTGTGGATGTATGTTTTCATTTCTTTTGAGTATATAGGAGTAGAATTGGTGTTCATATGGTAACTCCATGTTTAATTTTTTTAGTAACTGCCAGACTGTTTTCCAAAGTGGCTAAACTTATATTCCCACTAATGAAGAATAAGGGCTCCAATTTCTCCAAACCCTCACAAAAACTGCTTGTCTGGGCCGGGCGTGGTGACTCATGCCTGTAATCCCCAGCACTTTGGGAGGCCGAGGCAGGCAGATCACGAGGTCAGAAGTTCGAGACCAGCCTGACCAACGTGGCAAAATCTCGTCTCTACTAAATATACAAAAATTAGTTGGGTGTGGTGGTGGGCACCTGTAATCCCAGCTACTCAGGAGGCTGAGGCAGGAGAATCACTTGAACCTAGGAGGCGGAGGTTGCAGTGAGCCGAGATCACGCCACCGCATTCCAGCCTGGGTGACAGAGCAAGATTCTGTCTCAAAAAAATAAAAAATGAAAATAAAACAAATAAATAAAACTAGTTGCCCGTCTTTTTAAGTATAGTAACTTAAAATAGTTTAGCCATTCTAGTGGGTGTGAAGTGATGTTTCATGGTGGTTTTGGTATGCATTTCCCTGATGACAAATGATGTTGAGTATCTTTTCACAGGCTTATTGGCTGCTTATATGTCTTTGGGGAAATATCTATTCAGATCTTTTTCCCACTGAAGAAACTGGGTTATCTTTTCATTGTGGAGTTGTAAGAGTTCTTTATATATTCTTGATACAAGTCCCTCATTAGATATATGATTTACAAATAATTTCTCCCATTCTTTGGATTGTCTTTTCACTTTCTTGATTATATTGTTTGCAACACAAATGTTTTAAAATTCATTAAGTCTAATTGATCTACTTTATCTTCCCTCACTTGTGCTATTGGCACTGTGTCTGGGAAACCATTGCTGAATCCAAGATTGTAAAGATTTATGCCTGTGTTTTTCAGACAGGGTCTCACTGTGTCACCCAGGCTAGAGGGCAGTGGTGCAATCATGGCTCACTGCAGCCTCAACCTCCTGTCCTCAAGCAATCTCCTCCTACCTCAGCTCCCCCAAGTAGCTGGGACTACAGGCACATGCACCACGCCCAGCTAATTTTTTTATTTTTGGTAGAGATGGGGTCCCACTATGCTGCCCAGGCTGGTCTTGAAGTCCTGGGCTCAAGCAATCCTCACACCTCTGCCTCTAAAAGTGTTGGAATCACAGGCATGAGCCACTGTTCCTGGCCAGTTTTCAGCTCTTAAGTTGTCAAAAGAACTTGGCACTGTTAAACTGGTGATCATTTTTTAAAAGATATTTAATATAAACCAATGTTTAGAAATTATACTTTTTAATGTTTATAAATTGATGAAATATGCTTATAGTCACGGTTTCTCAGTGTGAGGAATTTGCTTCCTTTTCATATGTATGGACTTTAGCTTCTAAGGAAAGTAGTATCACAAAGGCCCTTTGATGTTCATAGAACGTTGTTAAGTGTGGAGAAAAAAGTAGATGTCAAGGTAGCATGTACTATATGATTCCGTACTGAGTCAAAGAAAAAATATTCTTATATGCATTTATATAGACTGGGAAAATGCATCATTAATTTTTTGTGTTGAATACATTACTTTTGAAATGAGAAAAGAAGATACTTGTGAAATGTGTAAGGAAACTCACAAACGTGAAAACGTTATGGGTAATATTAGCAGAGAAACCAAATCAGAAAACAACATTGTAATTATCAAAGGACTGCAGTTCTGAAGGTTTGAGTGGAACAATTTATATTCATTTCTGCCATGAAATTGACCATTTTCCAAAGGCTGTGAATGCAGACACCCTCTCTATATGCATGGAAATCTTCCTTATGCTATTTTCATAATAAATATTGACATATTTATTTCTCACATTCAAAAATGGCATGAAATAATCATCAGAGTCCCTTTTTGTAACTTCCATAAACAACTCCTACAATCTGTAATTTTCCCAGGCATCCCACCCCTCAAAAATAAATGTTCAAGTTTGCATAACAAGAATCAACTTCTCAAACTGTGAAAATGTATTCTTTTTTCAAATCTTTTTAAAATATGCGTTATTTTTAGATGTTTTATATTATCTTTGTACAGTATTTCCAAAGGAGAATGTTAAGGCATGACATTTTCAAGGTAGATTTTTGTTTGTTTAATTTTCTCCCAGTAGTGTGAGCTTTCACATGAATATCTGATGGGCTAACTCCAGCATACCAAAACACTAACAATTGTAACAAGCATACCACTGAGTCTTCTACTTTTGGAGCCATACACATAATTCACAGATAGATGTCTGACACTTAGGAAATGGTTTTTCATGCCAAACATTTCTTTCTTTTTTTTTTTTTGAGACGGAGTCTTGCTTTGTCGTCCAGGCTGCAGTGCAACAGCGTGATCTTGGTTCACTGCAACCTCTGCCTGCCAGGTTCAAGTGATTCTCTTGCCTCAGCCTCCTGAGTGGCTAGGATTACAGGCATGTGCCACCATGCCCAGCGAATTTTTGTATTTTTATTATAGATGGGGTTTCACCATGTTGGCCAGGCTGGTCTCGAACTCCTGACCTCAAGTGATCCTCCTGCCTCGGCCCCCCAAAGTGCTGAGATTATAGGCATGAGCCATTGCGTCTGGCCCAAACATTTCTTTCAACCTACTTTCTTTGCAGCCCAATGTGAAAGGCAAGCTACTTTCCAAATTCATTACCTTTCACAGACCCCTCATTCTACCCAATATGTTTGTAAATTAAGCCAATCATGAAGTCCAGAAGGGGGTTGGGAAAAATGTCCAACAATGATAGACTGGATTAAGAAAATGTGGCACATATACACCATGGAATACTATGCAGCCATAAAAAATGATGAGTTCATGTCCTTTGTAGGGACATGGATGAAATTGGAAATCATCATTCTCAGTAAACTATCGCAAGGACAAAAAAACCAAACACCGCATATTCTCACTCATAGATGGGAATTGAACAATGAGAACACATGGATACAGGAAGGGGAACATCACACTCTGGGGACTGTTGTGGGGTGGGGGGAAGGGGGAGGGATAGCATTAGGAGATATACCTAATGCTAAATGACGAGTTAATGGGTGCAGCACACCAGCATGGCACATGTATACATATGTAACTAACCTGCACATTGTGCACATGTACCCTAAAACTTAAAGTATAATAATAATAATAATAAAAAAAGAAGGGGGTTGGGAAAGTATAGTACAGATCAAGTAAGTGATAGGAATACAACTCAAAAAAGCCCAGTGAAAAATGAAATGAAGGCCAGGCATGGTGCCTCATGCCTGTAATCCCAACATTTTGGGAGGCCAAGGTGAGTGCACTGCTCGAGTCCAGAAGCTCGAGACCAGCCTAGGCAACATAGTTAGATCCCGTCACTAAAAAAAATTAAAAAAAAAAAAAAATAGTCGGGTGTGTTGGTGTGCACCTGTAGTCCCAGCTACTTGGGAGGCTGAGGTGGGTGGGAGGCTCGCTTGAGCCCAGGAAGTGGAGGCTGCAGTGAGCCGAGATCATGCTACTGTACTCTAGCCTGGGCAACAGAGTGAGTGAGACTCCGTTTCAAATAAATAAATAAATAAATGAAGAATCATGATGACTAGAGGCTGGAGGAAGGGGAAAATGGAGAGTTAGTGTTTAATGAATGGGCACAGAGTTTCAGTTTTACAAGAGGAAAAAGTTCTAGAGATTGATAGTGATGTTGCATGACAATGTGAATGTATGTAATACTATTGAATTATACACTTAAAAATTGTTACAATGGTTAGTGGGGAAAAGTGAAATATCAAAAACAAACAAACAAACAAACAAAAACCAAACAAACAGAAGTCAGCCAATGCTCCTTTCTGTGAGTATATACATGGGCCTACCTGTGTTCAATAGCTTGGCTCTTTGGCTCTCGAAAACAAATCCAGCTTACATTGGAAGAGAAAACCATTTCTAGAGTAACATGAAAACTACAACCCTCCTTTGCCTACAGTATCAAAATATTTCACATGTTTTAGTTCTGTGTTGTGAATCTCAGTCACTTGTACTTCATTTTATAGGCCTTGAACAACTCCCTGGCTTCTCCGGAGATGGAATTGATATCAGGGAATGAATGAGAGAGAGTATAAGGTCTTTTCAGATGACATCGTTCATAAAAACCCAGAGGCAAGACAGCTTGACATAAAGACGCTAATCACGGCAAAAAGTATATAACTTCAGCATATTCAAAATCACCATAGTAATTCTAAAGAGTAACACAGTTTTGATGTCAGTCCCTAAAAATACAAATCTCATATGTGCTCATATTCTTTCTGTATTTTGTGTCACATTCACATAAATGCACTCAACATTTGTAAAAGTTTCAAAAGTTTGGCCAGGTGTGGTCGCTCATGCCTGTAATCCCAGGACTTCAGGAGGCCGAGGCCAGCGGATCACCCAAGGTCAGGAGTTCAAGACCAGCCTGGCTAACAGGGTGACACTCCGTCTCTACTAAAAATACAAAAAAAAAGAAATTAGCTGGGCATGGTGGCTCACTCTTCTAATCCCAGCTACTCAGAAGGCTGAGACAGGAGAATCACCTGAACCCAGGAGGCGAAGGTTGCAGTGAGGCAAGATCACTCCAGTGCACTCCAGCCTGGGTGACAGACCGAGACTCTGTCTCAAAACAAAAAAAAGTTTCAAAAGTTTGATCAAAATCAATCAAGCTAGCTCACTACTTATCTACATGAAAGTAGAGATATTCATGTTAAGTGTTTCACCTCTTGACAAACAAAGGTTTTAGCCTAGACTTCCTCAACAGAGGTTTAGTGAGTGTGAAATGATTATTTAGAGAAGTTATTCTGGGCCACAATTTTAACAATGCTCTAACATCTCCATGTTTTTTGGAATGTTACTAATGTCTTAAAAGAGTAACTTTAAATTGATTTAATTTCATCTGACTTATAAAACAATATGTAAGCCCTATGCTGTTTCTATTTTTAAGAGATAATAGATTATATAATGCAAACAATTCAACCAAGTAGCACAGAAGAAATTAATTCTCTCTTTTAAAAAATTATTACTAGCTAATGTTTACTAAGTTCTTGGGTTTTTTTATTTTGTTTTGTTTTTGAGACAAGGCCTCACTCTGTCACCCAGGCTGGAATGCAGTGGTCCTATCACAACTCACTGCAGCCTTGACCTCCCCAGGCTCAGGTGATCCTCCCACCTCAGCCTCCCGAATAGCTGGGACTATAGGCGCACCACCATGCCTGGCTAATTTTTGTATTTTTGTAATTTTTTTTTTTTTGAGACAGAGTATTGCTCTGTTGCCCAGGCTAGAGTGCAGTGGCGCGATCTCAGCTCACTGCAACCTCCACCTCCTAGATTCAAGAGATTCTCCTGTCTCAGACTCCTGAGTAGCTGGGACTACAGGCATGCACCACCACGCCCGGCTCATTTTTTTTTTTTTTTTTTTTGTATTTTTAGTAGAGACAGGGTTTCACCATGTTGGCTAGGCTGGTCTCCAACTCCTGACTGCAGGTGATCCACCCGCCTCGGCCTCCCAAAATTCTGGGATTACAGGCGTGAGCCACCGCACCCGGCCAATTTTTGTATTTTTTGTAGCGATGGGATTTCGCCATGTTGCCCAGTCGGATCCAAAACTCCTGAACTCAAGCAATCCACCCGCCTCAGCCTTTGAAAGTGCTGGGATTACAGGCATGAGCCACCAAGCCCGGCCAGAAGATTCCTAACCTTTCTCTAAAAGCTTAGGAATCACAGCCTTAGAATAAACTAGGTATTCATTTTTTTTCCCAATTCTACCTTTACCTTCTAACCTCTCCTCTTTCTAAACTTTTAGTTGTTTCACGAGTAAGGTTCATAAACAGCCCTGGTAGGATTTCTAACTAGGCAAGACTCCAGCATCCTTATTGTAGAAATTACCAGGTGATACTAAAAGTTAAGAATATGACATCAGTCAACATTGCTCCCGCTCTGTCCGGCCAAAGTGGTGGCATGAAGATGATCAAGACATCTCTGGACCTACCACTTTGGGTAGGCATGGAGGGAAAGGCTGGCGTTTTACAGGTGCCAAAGATAGCTTCAGGCTTTGGGAATGCCACTTGTAGACCAAGGTGGTGGCAGAATGTCCAGAAATCTTCACAGTGATGAACCTATTTACCTGGGGGTAACAGAAAGGAGGGTCATTTCCTGCGTGGAATCCTCATTCTCATAATTCAGATGGAAATCATGTATTTGCATGACATGTGGATGGAAATTTGGGACTGACATTCACAGACAGCTGCAGTCTCTTGATTTAATACTATTACATTTTTGAGTTTTGGGCTTTGTGCTGCAATTTCGTGTGTTGTTATGACTTAGGGAGGGAAAAAGACAAGGGAGGAGAAACTATTTTGCAAGTAATGTAGTCATGTCTGGTAAAGAACATCAGGTCCATTTTAGATTGAAAAAATGCTAGGTCAACCTACAGGCACTTCTGAGCCCTAATTCTAGCCCCTGAGACATAGTCAGTCTCACCTGTAAAATCCGATTAACAACATCTGACTCCCTTGGTGTTGAGAAAAGTCAATGGCTGCCAAGTGCTTAGATGTTTTACAAGCCTTAATCTTCCTGTGAAACCCATTAAAGTTGGAGAGATTTTACAAAGGACAAGAATGGGAAAGTAACAATAAACGAACAACTTTGAACATCGGCAGATTTGTAGAGCATATTTAAAAGGCTTTCAGTAAATAAAGCATCTTAATTAAGTCAGCTGCTCTAAGCAGGCAAAGACTCTTGGTTTGGTTATAGTTTACATTCCCTTGCTTCCTGAAGGCTACTAGCTGAAGTAATCTAAGCTAAATAACCTACTTCATTGGTGATCCTGATTGTTTTTTAGATGATAGGTGAGGAAATTCTGACTTTAAAGTGTCAGGAAATTTGCATATAGAATCCTGGTACAGCCTTTTTATCTACTCTACTTTCCTAAGCCTCCAGAGTTAAACAGTACTTCTTTAAAAGTTACCATCTAAATAGTCCATGCAGAGCATGTGGCTACCACAGATGATTTTGTAAGTCGCTTAGAACAGAGACCTAGAGGTTATTCCCTATCCAGTAGCCTATAATGGTGCAGTCCAGTCAAAATAGAATGCAAGCCACAAAGGTAAGGCAAGTGAGTAATTTTTAACCAACCTTCCTTATTTACTTCTTTCCTCCCTCCCTCCCTCTCTCTCTCTTTCTTTCTTTCTTTTTCTTTTTGAGATGGAGTCTTGCTCTGTCGCCCAGGCTGGAGTGCAAGCTCTGCCTCCCGGGTTCACGCCATTCTCCTGCCTCAGTAGCTGGGACTACAGGCGCCCGCCACCACGCCCGGCTAATTTCTTTTTGTATTTTTAGTAGAGACGGGGTTTCACCATGTTAGCCAGGATGGTCTTGATCTCCTGACCTCGTGATCCGCCCGCCTCGGCCTCCCAAAGCGCTGGGATTACAACTGTGAACCACCGCGCCCGGCCCTTTATTTTTTTTAAGAGACAATGTCTCACTCTGTCGCCCAGCCTGGAGTGCAGTGGCACAATCATAGCTCACCACAGCCTTGAACTCCTGGCCTAAGTGATCCTCCCACTTCAGCCTCCCAAGTAGCTGGGACTACAGATGCACACCACCAAGCTCATTTTAAAGTTTTTTGTAGAGATGGGGTCTTGCTATGTTTCCCAGGCTGATCTCAAACTACTGGGCTTAAATGCTTCTCCCACCCTGGCTTTCCAAAGTGCTGAGATTACAGGTGTGAGCCACCATGTCTGGCCTAATTTTAAATTTTCTAGTAGACAGGTTAGAATAAAAAGCAGGTGAAATGAATAACTTTGTTTTATAACCAAATATCTCCAAGTATTAGCATTTTGACATGTACTACATATAAAAATTATTAATATGATAGTTTCTATTCTCTTTGTACTAAGTCTTCGACATCTGGTGTGTATTTTATCCTTACAGCACATTTCAATGCTTCAATAACCATGGATGCCTAGTGGCTGCCATATTGGATAGCATAGCTCTCTATAAATGGTGCCGTGAAGGTTGGTTGTGCAGTGAGGCACCTGCACATCTGTATACAGTGAGCCTGGACTAATGCATCCCATTTTGTACATATAAACATGCATGTGTGTGTGCGCACGTGCGCACACACACACAAACACACACTTGAGGTAACTATATACAAAGGAGAAAATCTAGCGCAGAGGTTTTGAGAGGTGACAGTGTGCTGGCAGTCCTCAGAGCCCTCGCTGGCTCTCGGCACCTCCCCTGCCTGGGCTCCCACTTTGGTGGCATTTGAGGAGCCCTTCAGCCCCCCACTGCACTGTGGGAGCCCCTTTCTGGGCTGGCCAAGGCTGGAGCCCACTCCCTCAGCTTGCAGGGAGGTGTGCAGGGAGAGGCGTGAGCGGGAACCGGGGCTGCGTGCGGCGCTTGCGAGCCAGCTGGAGTTCCAGGTGGGCGTGGTCTTGGCGGGCCCGCACTTCGAGCAGCCGGCCAGCCCTGCTGGCCCCGGGCCAGTGGCTGCGGAGTGTGTACTGGGTCCCCCAGCAGTGCCAGCCCACCGGCGCTGCGCTCGATTTCTCACCGGGCCTTAGCTGCCTTCCCGCGGGGCAGGGCTCGGGACCTGCAGCCCGCCATGCCTGAGCCTCCCACCCACTCCATGGGCTCCTGTGCGGCCCGAGCCTCCCCAACAAGCACCACCCCCTGCTCCACGGTGCCCAGTCCCATCGACCACCCAAGGGCTGAGGAATGCGAGCGCAAGGTGCGGGACTGGCAGGCAGCTTCACCTGCAGCCCCGGTGCGGGATCCACTAGGTGAAGCCAGCTGGGCTCCTGAGTCTGGTGGGGACGTGGAGAGTCTTTATATCTAGCTCAGGGATTGTAAATACACCAATCAGCACCCTGTGTTTAGCTCTGTATCTAGCTGCTCTGCTGGGGCTGTGGAGAACCTTTATGTCTAGCTCAGGGATTGTAAATACACCAATCGGCACTCTGTATCTAGCTCAAGGTTTGTAAACACACCAATCAGCACTCTGTGTTTAGCTCAAGGTTTGTGAATGCACCAATCAACACTCTGTATCTAGCTGCTCTGGTGGGGCCTTGGAGAACCTGTGTGTCCAAACTCTGTATCTAACTAATCTGATGGGGACCTGGAGAAACTTTGTATCTAGCTCAGGGATTGTAAATGCACCAATCAGCGCCCTGACAAAACAGGCCACTCGGCTCTACCAATCAGCAGGATGTGGCTGGGGCCAGATAAGAGAATAAAAGCAGGCTGCCCTAGCCAGCACTGGCAACCTGCTCGGGTCCCCTTCCACAGTGTGGAAGCTTTGTTCTTTCGCTCTTTGCAATAAATGTTGCTACTGCTCACTCTTTGGGTCCACGATGCTTTTATGAGCTGTAACACTCACCGCGAAGATCTGCAGCTTCACTCTTGAGCCCAGCGAGACCACGAGCCCACCCGGAGGAACAAACAAATCCAGACGCGCTGCCTTAAGAGCTGTAACACTCACCGCGAAGGTCTACAGCTTCACTCCTGAGCCAGCGAGACCACGAACCCACCAGAAGGAAAAAACTCCGAACACATCTGAACATCAGAAGGGACAGACTCCAGACGCACCACCTTAAGAGCTGTAACACTCACTGCGAGGGTCCGCGGCTTCATTCTTGAAGTCAGTGAGACCAAGAATCCACCAATTCCGGACACAGTTTCAGACTGGCAGCTCAGAAGTGTTTGAATTAATCCTGTCAAAGTTTGAATTAATTGTCAGCAGTTAAATTTCAGGATATTTCACATAAAAGTCTGAATTTCTAGCTGGAAAAAACCGTAAAATGTAGTAACCCCAGGCCCGTATTCCCATGTGGCAACAACCTTCTGGCCCTGAGTAGAGGCTGTCCCCCTCAGGTGGGACACTTCCAGTTCACTGCCGTTCCTACTTGGTAGACTCACTCTTATATTATCTCAGTTTGGAATCTTTGATCCTACAGAGATACATACCAAGCTATGAATATGGTTGATTTCTGCAGAGTGAAATTGAGGAGGAGGAGACTTTCACTTTGAACACCATACTTTCCTATTTTAGAAATGTTTTTACAGTAGGCATGAACTGCTTTTCTAATAACAATTTTAAAAAATTGCTGTTTAAAGCAACTGCTGTTTAGCAAAGATAAATCCATTAAGAAAGGGCCAAGTATAGTTTGCCAAGTGAAATGAAGAACTGAAGTAAAAATGTATCACATCCAGGAACTGGTTATTATCTGAAATGAAATAAGCCAGGCACAAAAAGACAAATATCGCATGTCCTCACTTATATGTGGGAGCTAAAAAATGGGATCACATGGAGGTAAAGAGTGGAAAATAGAGAACAGAGACTGGGAGGGGTGGGGCAGGGGTAAAGGGAGGATGAAGAGAAGCGGGTTAAAGGGTAAAAACACACAGTAAGAAGGAATACATAAAATGTTTGACAGCACAGTAGGGTGACTATACTTAACAAAAATGTTTTGTACTTGGGCTGGGCATGGTGGTTTATGCCTGTAATCACAGCACTTTGGGAGACTAAGTCTGGAGGACTGCTTGAGCCCAGGAGTTTGAGACCAGCCTGGGCAACATACTGAAATCTTGACTCTATAAAAAAACAAAGAAACAGAAAACCCCAAAACTGTTTTTTACTCGGGTGACAGACACCCCAAATACCCTGACTTGACCACTACATATTATATACATGTAACAAAGTTGTACATGTAATAAATATACATGTAATAAATTTGTACAAATAAAAAAATTTATAGCCAGCAAATTAATTCAGTCTTCTCAACCTTGTTTCCTTTAATAGCATATATATTTTTTTATTTTTTATTTTGTTGTTTTTTTGAGATGGAGTCTTACTCTGTTGTCCAGACTGGAGTGCAGTGGTGCAATCTTGGCTCACTGCCACCTCTGCCTCCTAGGTTCAAGTGATTCTTCTGCCCCAGCCTCCCAAGTAGCTGAGATTACAGGCATGTGCCACCATGCCCAGCTAATTTTTGTACTTTTAGTAGAGATGGAGTTTCACCATGTTGGCCAGGCTGGTCTTGAACTCCTGACCTCAGGTGATCCACCTGCCTCAGCCTCCCAAAGTGCTGGGATTACAGGTGTGAGCCACTGTGTCTAGTCCCATAATAGTATATTTTAGATACCCAAAGTAAATTACTGTTGCAACATAAAAATAACCATAAGAATGCTAATTGTAAAATAATACCCAAATTTCCACTGGATTATCAAGTTTTCCTTTTGAAGGCCAGGTCCATTCCCTTATGATGTTTCCTTTTCTGCTGATCACCAGGCCTCCTTCCTAATTAAACATCACTGCTACTGTTTGTCTACAAAAAAGACAGAAATTGACCCATTTAGAACAAGAAAAATTCATGCACTCATTGATTTGGCTGAGGTGATGGAAGTCACCAAGATACAGCTTTTAAGAGCATGGGAATCTCTCCTGTCACATTCCTGGAGGATAGTCACTCTCTCTGCCTGAATATCTTTCTGGAAGGAAGCTTGATACATACCTGCTCAGCTGATTAGTGTCCCTTCTCTGAGACATGCCTTCTCCCTCCCCTTGCATCTATAGGGTCATAGGAATGGATCCTGCCAGCCACAATTATCATACCATGTGGGCCTGCTACCTTGGCTATGGCTGATTGAATCAGGGGTGGACATTTAACCACAGCTGTGTTCCAAATGGATACACCCAGATGTGTCAAAGGACTTAGGAGAGGAGGTGGGCATAGTGCATTCAAAGGACTGAAAGGAAGACAGCATGACTAGGGTCAAGAGTGGCGTAAATTAGATGGGAGTGATTGGCAGGCAGTGGTCAGATATGCAGGAATCCTTGGCCATAGCATGAGTTTTATCTTAAGGGCAAAAAACCAGGCTGGGTGCAATGGCTCATGCCTGTAATCCCAACACTTCAGGAGGCCTAGGTGGGAAGACTGCGTGAAGCCAGGAGTTCAGGACCAGCCTGGGCAACAAAGCAAGACCTCGTCTCTATTTCAATAATAATAATAATGATAAAAAGAAAAAAGAGCAAAAAATAATAGAAGGGTTTTAACAACTAAGCAAGGAGGCTACATGATCAAGTGGATTAGGGAGGGACCACAGTACATGCTGGGAGACCAGTTAAGAGGTCATGACTAGCTGAGTGGTCCAGGGAAGATGGCAGCTTGGATGCGAGTACAGGTGAGAAAGACGGAGACCCAGGTATGGATTCAAGAACCATCTAGGGTTTGGATGGATGGGATTTGGGTGGTGAATGAGAGGAATGTGTTGATGTTATCTCCACTATACTCTCTTGGTCTGTGAATGCAGCCAAGCATTTTATTAGTTTCAGATCAGTAGCATCACACTATGAGTCCTTGTCCAAATCATCTTTGGGCCTTCTGTCTTTTGGGCAGAGCCCCTGGCACAGAGAAGAAGCTTAAAGAAAGTCTGTTGAATCATGTTGACAAAATGGATTGTTAAGCCAATATATTTTGAATAATTATTAGACGCAGGACACTGTTTAGGCATTCCAGGGATGCCCTGATTGCAGTTCTCTCTCTACACTTAGGACATTTTCTGTCTTGAGGTAATAATTATTTTGATAGACAACATTTATTATAGCGCCTACTAAGCTCTGAGTGTTGTATGAGAGCCTTAACTACAGGCTTTTAGTAGGTAGTGTTGCTTAATGGTTCCAAACCCTATACGGCCAGACTGGTATGATATTGAATCTGGTTCGTCTGTGTGCTATTGTTGAAGGCTGAGTGAGGGTTGTGATCAACTCAGTATACCACTGGAGGCTGTATGAGTAAACAGCAAACTGTTCTCATGAAAGCAGGATGTTGGCAAACTGACAAACTGCGTCTGCTGCCCAGAAGGAACGCTGAGGGCAGTCAAGCCCCAAGCACAGTGTTTCTTGTGATTAGGCGCATCTGAAGCCTGTTACCAATAATGTGAACCTGTGATCAATTAAGCAGCTGACCAGTCGTTACCCGCTCCTCCCTGCTCTTGCTACCCAATAAATACGAAGGGCTGTAGAAACTCAGGGTGGCTGCTGCCTTTGCTCACTAGAAGCAGGGAGCCCTTTTCTTCTTCCCCTGGCCCCTTCCTTTAAAACAGTTTCTTTTGTCTTAAGTTTTCATTTCTACGTTCGTCCCCCTTCGTTCGGTCTCGTAATGATGGTCTCAAGTAGTAACAGTAGTAACTGTCGTAGTGATGGTCTCAAGTAGTAACCATGGCAGTCTGCCACATCCTATTTTTGTAGATTTGGATTTCCCTCCATTCTCTTCTCTTCTTTCTTTCTCTTTCTTTCTTTCTCTTTTTTTCTTTTTCTTTCTTTCTTTCTTTCTTTCTTTCTTTCTTTCTTTCTTTCTTTCTTTCTTTCTTTCTCTCTCTCTCTCTTTCTTTTTCTTTCTTTCTCTTTCTTTCCCTCCTTCCTTCCTCCCTCCTTTCCTTCCTTCCTTTTTTTTTTTTTTCTTGATCTGTTGCCCAAGCTGGAGTGCAGTGGCATGATCAAGCTAAGGTGACCCTCCTGCCTCAGCCTCCTGAGTATTTGGGACTACAGGGGCATGCCACCATGCTTGGCTAATTTTGTTTATTTTTTACAGAGACGCTCTCACTATGTTTCCCAGGCTGGTCTTGAACTCCTGGGGTCAAGTGATCCTCCTGCCTCACCCTCCCGAAGTGCTAGGATTAGAGGCATGAACCACTATGCTCGGCCTGACTTGGACATATTTCTCAACCTTTCTGTGGCTCAGTTTCCTTGCCTTAAAAGTGATGATAACAATAGCACCTACCTCATAGGGCTGTTGTGAGAGCTAAATGAGTTAATACGTGTAAAACACTTCAGAGCCAGGCACCTTGTAAGTTCTATAAAAATGTTGGCTTTCATGATTAAGTCCTCACAATCCCATCTATAGGTATTATGAGTCCCATTTCATAGACGAGAAAACAGAGGCTGAGAGAGGTTAGTTAATAAACTACCTGCAGCCTAATATAAAGTTTGATAGGCTCACCCTCTACCAGAAGGATGAGAATAGTTCATAGTATAAAAGGAGCACTTTGGGCTTAACCAAGGAGCCTGCAAGCTGGGCTGGAGGAGCAAAGCGACCTAGCCAGTGGAAAAAAAAAAAGAGCAGAAACAGCAGTGCCAAGTCTTGGCCACCTAGAGTACATTCCTTTCTTGAACAGCCTACCCTTTCACTCACCCTGAGCGGTCTAGCCTTCAGCTGTTCTCGTTCCTGCCAGAAGCCTCAGGAAAGACCTTACCCATCCACCGTGCATTTCGGTAGGAGCTTTGGCTAAAGCAGCTGTCTTCCTGTCCACACGGTGTTTCCCTATCCGCTGAATCCCAGTAACAGGGGTCTCACTCCACACCCCTCTTTTATTCCTCTTCCTAACTGCATGGGCTGCTGAGCCTTCTCACCAAGACCCCCTTTGGTGGGAGGGCAGATGCCCAAAAGGAGGATTCTTTTAAAAGATCGTTAATAGTGAAATACTGAAATCCCTTTAAAGGCAGCTTTCTTTTTGTTTTGCCTTGTCTCTTTCAGAGTCTTCAGTTCTGCTGAAAGTAGACATTACTCTCTGCCAAGAAATGGGCTATGAGGCTCGGATAACATTACACAGGGGCAGGACTTAGCGTTTTGGCTTAGTGTTTTGGACTTGTGTGAAGTTCCCAAAATACCATCAGCAGATGGTGTTGCATTTATCTGCTTAGATGCTATTATCAAAGAAGACAGGGGGAGGATGAGGAAGGCAACCACCCCGGAGGGGCGAGTGGAGAAAATTTTTTCATCTCCTGTTTATTTCACAGATATAATTCTCATCTTGGGCATTTAATTTTATGTGTCAAATAAAGGGAACAATTTCCCAGTGCAAATTTAACTGTTGGGAAAAGTCTGATCAGGGCACTGAACATTCTAGCTTCTGCCTAGAAAGTGAAGATTTGTGATGTATTTTTATTTCCATTTTAACGTTGTTGACTTCTAATTCTCTAAGACTGTCAATTAGTCATAAAGGACATCTCAGGAATCATGTTGCTCAACTCTTGCATCAACCACTACCTATTAATTTTTTCATGTATAGCTTTTATTTTTAATTTAGTATTCCTGGAATGATAATTCTTTTAAATTTCATAAAATTGGAGTGAACAAGAAATACCAAGTGCAGGTCCAATTTTCTTATTAGGTGAAAGGGAAATAATGACACCTACTTTAATCATGCAATACAAGACAGCAAATTATATATTAATTTATTGAGCTGTGTCTCTCTTTATTTTTTAAATACATTTATTTATATTTATTTATTTATTTATTTTTTGAGACGGAGTTTTGCTCTTGTTGCCCAGGCTGGAGTGCAATGGTGTGATCTCGGTTCACTGCAACCTCCACTTCCCAGGTTCAAGTGACTCTCTTGCCTCAGCCTCCCATATAGCTGGGATTACAGGCATGCACCACCATGGCCAGCTAATTTTGTGTTTTTAGTAGAGATGGGGTTTCACCATGTCGGCCAGGGTGGTCTCTAACTCCTGACCTCAGGTGATCCGCCCACTTCGGCCTCCCAAAGTTCTGGGATTACACGTGTGAACAACAGTAGTTTTTAAAAATACCTCCCTTTTTTATATAATAGCTTTACTGAAATATAGTTCTCACATCATACTAGTCACCATTTAAAGTATAGAGTTCAATGGTTTCTAGAATATTTACAGAGTTGTGCAACAATCATGATAATCAATTTTAGAACATTTTTTATCACCCCAAAAAGAAACCATGTGTCCACTAGCAGTGACCCGCATCGCTCCCTCTCCTTGGCCTCTGGGCAGCCACTGATCTATTTGCTTTCTGTACAGATTTGCTTAATCTAGATATTTCGTGCAAATGGAATCATACAATATGTGGTCTTTTGTGACTATGCTTTTACTTAGCACAATGCATTCAAGATTAATCTACGTTGTAACATGTATCAATACTTCATTCTGTGTTATGAATGAAATAATATTTCCTTGTATGGCTATACCACATTTTAGTTATCAGTTATTTGTCAGTTGAGTGCTCCTTTTGAGGATGTGTTAATGGTACTGTAATGAAATTATCATAGGGCCTCACAAATGGTGACTCTGTTTTTAGCTCAGACTTCAGGACAAGAAGTACTTTTTTTCATTGGGAATTTAAAAGAGAGAGAAAAGTAAGCAAACATATGCATATATAGATGTGGGTATGTGGATATAAACTCACCGTATTTTTAAGACTATATAAAATACTTTTTTTTTTTTGAGACAGAGTCCCACTCTGTCACCCAGGCTGGAGTACACTGGCATGATCTTGGCTCACTGCAACCTCTGCCTCCGGGGTTCAAGTGATTCTCCTGCCTCAGCCTTCCAAGTAGCTGGGATTACAGGCACAGGCCACCATGCCTGGCTAATTTTTGTATTTTTAGTAGAGATGGGGTTTCGCCATGTTGGCCAGGCTGGTCCCGATCTCCTGACCTCAAGTGATCCACCCACCTTGGCCTCCCAAAGTGCTGGGATTACAGGCGTGAGCCATAGTGCCTGGCCCAAAATACTCTTTGCCATGGATATATTTGCAGAATGGCTAAGAGGTTGAGAGGAAGAGAAAATTTTAATTTCCAGGTAATACTCTGTAGTTTAATTTTTTACCACATGCATGAATTACTTTTATTAAAATACATGTATACAAAAATCAATATACCTTCACCCCTGTGTCAGAGTGGGCTTTCTCACTGAGAAGTTATAAACAGTAAATTCTCTGGTTAGAGAAGCAGAAAGCTGTAGGAGCCCTTAGTCAGAGCCAGCATTTGCAACAGGTCAGAGGAACGTTGAGGATCACACAGGAATCAATTCGTAAGGACTCAACTTTAATAAATGATACTTAAGTGAAGATTTAGACCCAATTATAAGGATGGTGCCACAAGAAGAGGCATCTCAGCAGAGTCTGATTCTCCAGAGTTGAGTGTGGTAGGACACAGTTTGCACTGAACTCAGGCTTCAGTCCTGCCAGGGAGATGTTTTCACCTTCTTAGCTGGATTAAGGGAGGAGACCACCCCTCATATTGTCTTATGCCCAATTTCTGCCTCCAAAGAAAGAAGAAGTAAAAACTAAAAGGCAGAAATGAAATCCACAAGCAGACAGCCCAGCGCCACACCCTGGGCCTGGTAGTTAAAGATCCACCCCCGACCTAATCAGTTATGTTATCTATAGATTCCAGACATTGCATGGAAAAGCACTGTGAAAATCCCTGTCCTGTTCTGTTCCATTCTAATTACCGGTGCATGCAGCCCCCAGTCACGTACCCCCTGCTTGCTCCATTGATCACGACCCTCTCACGCAGACTCCCTTAGAGTTGTGAGCCCTTAAAAGGGACAGGAATTGCTCGGTTGTTGGAGGCGTGAGTCTTGCCGAAGCTCTCGGCTGAATAAAGTCCTTCCTTCTTTAACTCGGTGTCTGAGGGGTTTTGTCTGTAGCTCGTCCTGCTACAGATGAAACTGAACACTGATCTCAGATGCTTCTGAACATCCTTGGCAGTTCACTTCATATCAGTACCTATAATATGGAGTTTATCACTATAGTTTATAGGCTTAGATCTTCTCAACCAATTCTTTACAATCTCTACACTGTCCCAAGTGTCACTACATATTGACATCTCAATTAGATGGACCCTGTGAAAGGAAAATCTTGAGGCCCCCAAATTACTAAGCTGAAGAATAAAGTGAAGCTGGGAACTTCTCAGGGCAAAACCTGCCTCCCATTCTATTAAGTCATCCCTCTGCTCACTGAGATAGATGCATATTCTGATTGCCTCCTTTGGAAAGGCTTATCAAAAACCCCAAAGAATGCAACCATTTGTCTCTCACCTACCTGTGACCTGGAAGCCCCCTCCCTGCTTCGAGTTGTCCCTGCCTTTCTGGATGGAACCATTGTACATCTTACATATATTGATTGATGTCTCATGTCTCCCTAAAATGTATAAAACCAAGCTGTGCCCTGACCACCTTGGGGACATGTTGTCAGGACTTCCTGAGGCTGTGTCACAGGCATGCATCCTTAACCTTGGCAAAATAAATGGTCTAAATTAACTGAGACCTGTCTCAAATTTTCAGCGTTCACATTTTGGTAACCACAAAGGGATTCTGAGTAGAGATGCCCCTGCCTTTGACAAATCTCCTATCGGTGCCTGGTACCAGCATGAGCTAACTTTATGTCTCAAACCAATAGGACAATTTGCTGAGGTCTGAGAGCACGCCCTCCAGAAAGTCCCTGATCTCCCAAAATTTGGTCGAGATCTAAAGTTTATTTTGCTGTACAATTCCTGCTTTTTTTTTTTTTTTTTGGAGTTTTACTTGCTTCCAACACAAGGAAGGCAAGTTTTTCCTGCCTCCATGACGATGTAAGACAAATAACTCCTTTATGGAATTTGAGCGCGCATCCAACAGGGAAGATCAGTTTACTTTTTCCTGCTTCTAGGTTGGTAGAGAGCAGTCCTCAGCCTGAGACCCATCCCTAGGTAAGTAACTGAATTGGTGTTTGTCTTGGCTAAAGTTAAGATTAACAAACAGCTGGTCTTAATTTCCCCTTACCATTAGCGCGCTCAGTGATGATAAGGTTGGGATTTTTTGTTGTTGTTTGTTCCAGTCTTTCTCCCAATGGATTTGACCAACTCTACCTGACTTGGTCAAATCTGAGTGAGAATTCCAAATTATGGGTTACATGGCCTCTCTAATTTGGCTAAAATTCCTTGCAGCTGCAAAAAGCAAACAAACGAAAAAAACGTGTTTGGTTTCTGTGTTTGCAGCCTGTCTTAAAACAAACAAACAAACAAACAAACAAACAAAAAACTCGTCCTTTCATCTACTTTTCTTCCACCCTATACCTCCTTCCCCCTTTTGCCATTTGCAGTACCAAAAAATCTAGAGAAGGCGTCTAATGACTTGAACCTTGAACCCCTTTTAAAGAATTCAGAACAAAGGTGCTCTCACCCCCTTTTAGGGTGTTCTGTCTTCTTTGTGGAGTTTCAAGAGTCATGGGCAGATTCTTTTTAGGTCTAAAGCTCTGTTTTCCTGGATTGCATGACCTGACTTTTTTGGCTTTGGGGTACCAGAGATGACTTTGCACTGTGAGATGATTTGCCCTTGACATGTACAGTGGCAAATGACAGCTGTGAAGTTACAGGTGGTTGAGCACAGTTTACAGGAAGTGGTCTTGGCTGTTTATTTTTCTTTTCTCTCCTAGGAAGCTGTTGTTTAAGGATCCTAATTCTAGTTCAGAGATGCATTCTAAAGGGTCTTCTGTATTGCTTTTACTTGCAAATTTAATCTTAATTCGGTTTGTGTGTGCATTTGCATGAGGAACTGAACTGTTATTTTCTTTTCTTTTTTCTTTTTTTTTTTTTTTTGAGACGGAGTCTCGCTCTGTCTCCAGGCTGGAGTGCAGTGGCGTGATCTCGGCTCACTGCAACCTCCACCTCCTGGGTTCAATTCTCCTGCCTCAGCCTCCTGAGTAACTGGGACTACAGGCGCGTGCCACCACGCCCAGCTAATTTTTGTCTTTTTAGTAGAGATGGGGTTTCACCATGTTGGCCAGCATGTTGTTTTCATACGTTAATGAGAGACTGAGTTTTCTCAGCTTCAAAGAGAAAAGGCATTTGCTCCTCCTAGTTGAAAGTTGCCCCTGGGTGACCAGGGGCCTTGTGGGAGTGTCTGGGGGTTGACCCCCCTCAATGTGCAGTGGCCCTGCAGGGAAATCACTCAAAAACAATTTTTTTAAATGGCTCATCCAAGAAATGCATGTAAGGGCTGATCACCCAACGTTTTGAGCCTTCTCTGAGGTCATAGACCTCTAGAGAGAGAAACTAAGACACATAAGAGGGTGGAAACAACTCAGTGGTAACACACTGTGGAGTCCTGTTCACAAGCGGCACATATTGATCCACCACACAAAACCCTAGGCCACAGCTCAGTTCCTCCTTTTAAGAAAAAAGAAAGTGGGAAACAAATAATCTAAGAATGATGAGAAAGCAAGGAGAATGACCCCCTTTGGAGCAGTCTGTGGATTTTCCGACACATCTACCTGCCAAAGATTATGTAAAATGGAAATAATATGGTCTTTATACACATTTACTTAAGGAAAAAGAGCCCTAAGGTCAATCTGCAAACTACAGTGTTCCTAAGTCCTCTTTTTCTCTATTTTTTCTTTTCTGCCTACTCTAAATCTGCTGTTATTTTTGTATTAAGATAAATACCACTGTTTAGATCCAACAAGTTCTTTTTGCAAGTTGGTGAATTTGTGTTTATCTCATGGCTAAAAGTTCTGAAGTAAAAGCTATAGGATCTTTGTGTGTATGTATGTGTGTGTATGTGTGTGCATATATATTTCAAAGGCCTTTATAATTCCTATAATTTGTTTAATTGGCAATTAAATCCATTTTAATTTCCCGCCAGCACACCAAACTTTTTCTCTCTGCACCTTATAATGTAAAATTTGCTATTTGACTTTCACCTGAGTTGCTTCCTTTAATATACAAATGTAAGGCTATTTAGCTGACAACTACCGAGGGTTGTGAAACAAGTCATCAAGAATCTGAAAGTCTAACATAGGAAAATAAAAGGTTTTTATGACTCTATAAGATGTATTTCCATTGGCATGCCTAGTATGTCTATGTATTTGTGTTTTGCATATACAGTGTTTCATTCCTAAAAATATATAAAAGAGTTCTAATTAATCAGCTTAAAAAATAAAAACACAAGCCAGATACTAAAAAGGAAAAGACTAGTCAAATGCTTTTTCAAGTTATGTAACAAGTAAAATTAATAAATAAGCTAGCTTTAAAATTATTGGTAAAGTAATAGTTGAAATGTCTCAAGAATTACCAGAATACATTTTTGTTTGCATTTATTAATCAAGCAATTTCATACTTATCCGGGCCAAATACTATAAGGTGTCAAAATTTGTCACAGAGGTTACAAAACTATAAGCCCATCTCAAGACAGAATGATCTTTGCTTGTGTAATCTTTAATAAATAAGACATTGATATTGGTTTAATGAAAATAGCTACATCTTGAATTATTTAGTATAATTACCGTAACTTCTAATCTTGTGGCTTCAGGCAGTCTAGTCCACATGGAGTAAGGAGGTCTGTTTTGGGAAAGGATTGTTATTGCCTTTGTTTCAAAGCTCAACTATAAATTAAATTTCTCCCAAAGTCCAGGAATGAACAAGGACACCTTGGAGGTTAGAAGCAAATGGAGTTAGTTAGGTCATATCTTTTTCACTGTCTCGGTTACAGTTTTGCAACAGTAGTTCCATAACTTTAAATGACTATTGCAGTTTTCATAAATAATCTAGGTAAACAATATATTAAAACAAAATAATTAGGTAAATGTAATAGGATACTTGCAGACAAATTCATCATAATTTAGAATATAAAGTTTTATTAAATTAAATAATAGAAATTTCATTATTTGGGTATTTTCCAATAAAAATATAATTGTAGGAAAACATTCTTTCTAAAAAAAAGTGTTTCCTCTTAAAAAAGTTGAACAGTTTTTTTCTAATTCAAAGCTTATTTAAAGATCATGTGTAAAACAAGGTAAAAGGAACCAGGAAATAAAAGAGATATAAAGACAGTTTTTTTTTTTTTTTTTTTTTTTTTTTTTTTTTTTTGAGACGGAGTCTCGCTCTGTGGCCCAGGCGGGAGTGCAGTGGCGCAATCTCGGCTCACTGCAAGCTCTGCCTCCAGGGTTCACGCCATTCTCCTGCCTCAGCCTCCCGAGTAGCTGGGACTACAGGCGCGTGCCACCACACCTGGCTAATTTTTGTATTTTTAGGAGAGACAGGGTTTCACCATGTTGGCCAGGCTGGTCTCGAACGCCTAACCTCAGGTGATCCACCCGCCTTGGCCTCCCAAAGTGCTGGGATTATAGGCATGAGCCACTGTGCTCAGCCAAAGACAGTTACAAAAATAAAGAGGTATTCTTTATTGGTAAGAAAGCTTAAAGAGAAATAATTTTATTTGTGGAAGAATCTTGTATGGTAAATTTAGTCCTAAAATAAAATAACTAGTTGTTTAAGAAGGAGGGATGTTCAGGACAAACTAGAAAGTCCAAGCATGTCATGAATGGTTGGTATAAGTCACAATAAGAGGATTAATATTTTTTAAAAATCCAAAAACTTTTAAATGATCAGGTTGTCATATTAAGTTTTGGTTTGCTTAGGAAAAAAACCGACATATAAAAAATGTTTTTAACTAAGGTTATTACATCCATATAGCTTCCTGTATGTGCTTTTATATTTCTTGTGACTGAGTTACAGGGCTTTGACTCCCTCGCACTACACAGCTCACATTCTAGTTGCAAAAACTAAACTCAATAAATGAAAATTTAATTTCAGATTGTGAATAGTGCTAAGAGGAAATGAATAAAGTGATGGGCAAGAGTAAAGGAAAGGGCAGGACAGGGCTTCTTAAGATGATCGGAAAATCTCTTTTGAGAAACTATCTGGAAGTTGCTCAGAAGGTTAAAAATAGAGTTATCATGTGACCCAGCAATTCCAGTCTTAGAAATGGAAATGGAAACATAAATCCACACAAAAACTTGTACAAGAATGTAGTAGCATTATTCACAGCTGCCAAAAAGTAGAAATACAAATGTTCATTAACTGATGGACAGAAAAATAATGTGCGATATATCCATACAATGAAATATTATTCAGCCATAAGAAGAAATGAAGTACTGATACATGCTGCAACAGGGATATACCTTTTTTTTGAGACATGGTTTTGCTGTATCACTCAGGCTGGAGTACAGTGGTACAATCATGGCTCACTGTAGCCTTGAACTCCTGGGCTCAAGCTCTCCTTCTGCCTCAGCCTCCCAAGTAGCTGGGATGACAGGCGCATGCCACCGTGCCTGGCTTTCTTTTTTTTTTGTAGAGACAGTGTCTCCCTATGTTGCCCAGGCTGGTCTTGACCTCCTGGGGTCAAGTGATCCTCCCGACTTGGCCTCCCAAAAGTCCTGGGATTACAGGCATGAGTTCCTATGCCTGTGCCCAGCCTGGATGCACCTCAAAAGCATTATGCTAAGTGAAAGAAGCCAGTCACAAAAGACTCTATGTTGTATAATTCTATTTGTATGAAATGTTCAGAAGAAACAAATCTCTAGAGGCAGAAGGTAGGTTAGTGGCTGCCTAAGGTTGGAGATAGGATGGGAAATGATGAGTGACTGCTAATTGGTACAAGTTTTCTTTTTAGGATAATGAAAATGTTCTCAAATTAGATGATGATGATGGCTGCCAAACTCTGTAAACATACTAAAAGCTATTGAGTTGTATGCTTTAAATGAGTGAATTTAATGGAATGTAAATTATGTTTCAATAAGCTGTTTAAAATACAAAGAAAAAAAGAAAAGTTTTCTCCAAGAAGGTGATATTTAAACTGGGACCTGAAAGATAAGAAGAAACCAGTCATGCAAAGAGTGGGGACAAGAGCTTTCAGGCACAGGGCACAATGTGTGCAATGGTCATAAAGAGAGAAAGAAGGGCCAGGTGTGCTGGCTCATGCCTGTAATCCCAGCATTTTGGGAGGCCAAGTTGGGAGGATCACTTGAGATCAGCAGTTCAAGACCAGCCTGGCCAACATGGCAAAACCCTGTCTCTACTAAAAATACAAAAATTAGCCGGGCATGGTGGCGTGCACCTATAATCCCAGCTACTCGGGAGGCTGAGGCAGGAGAATCACTTGAGCTGGGGAGGAAGAGGTTGCAGTGAGCCAAGATTTTGCCACTGCACTCCAGCATACGTGATAGAGTGAGACTCCGTGCCAAAAAAAAAAAAAGAGAGAGAGAGAAAGAAGGCTCATAAAGAAGGGGCAGATCGTAGACAAGGTTGGAAAGGGGCCAGAGCAGGCAGCGTCTTCTGAAACTTTCCAGGTCACCACGTTCCATTTAGACACAAACTATAATCAGACAGTATCATTCATATGGAAGTCAACATGAAATATGTTAACAGCAAAACCCATGGATGGGACAGCAAGTGAAAAGCTGTTAACCCCAAATTCTACAGCTGCAAAACACCTGACTGTGGAGAAAAGAGGTATCATCAAATTTTAAAAGGGAAAATATTTAAAACAACACTTAGCCTATAACCAGGGAAGTTCATTAAATTACTCCCACCATTGTCATAAAGATCAATTTCTGTAGCCAGCTCATAAAGAATTCACATCTCTAGAAGGTTGTTAATGTGTTGGGTCCTATAGAACACCAAACAGGAACAGAAATCAATAAAGCAATATAAATACAGACTTCATAGTATCTGAACTTTGTGAGTAGCTGTAGGTGACAGATCTGAGACCTGAGATAAAAGGAGGAGATCAATCCAGGTTGCACCAGCATGGGATGTAGAAAGGGATCAGAGGATGAAACAGAATTCCAAGTGAGAATATATGAATATCCAGGAAAGAGAAGATAACCAATCCTTACAAGTTTTCATCAACATCCTTGATAAACACACTAATACTGGCCTGGTCATCCATCTTATATGTATTTACACTTCTCAAATTCCCCTATGCATGTATCATCCAACCTCTAACAGTATTGGAGGTGGAAAAAGGCAGTGAAGTAGACAGAGAATAATTTAGATTCAATTGTTTCCCTTCTGGTTGATTGCCAAAAATGACTGCAATATTTTAGTGCTTTCTGAAGAAAAGCAGGAGTCTATTTCTCCACTTCCCGAATCTAGGTTTGGCCATGTGACTTGCTTTAACTGATGGGGCATTAGCAAACATGATGCTAGAGAAGTCTTGAAAAATGCTCATGCATTGGGCTTCTTCTTCTCTCTTGCTGCTTTTGGAACCCAGGCACCATGTGAAAAAGCCTGAGCTAGCCTGCTAGACACTGGAGACACATGGCCCAGCTACCTTGTTTCTCTAGCCAATAGCCAGATACATGAGTAAGTTTTCTATCTATCGTTACTATCAGACGGCTCTTTTTGTTTGTTTGTTTGAGACAGTCTTGCTCTGTTGCCCAGCCTAAAGTGCAACCTAAAGTGCCCAGCCTAACCTACATGAACACGGCTCAATGCAGCCTCAAATTCCTGGGCTCAAGTGATCCTCCCACCACAGCCTCCCAAGTAACTGGGAACACAGGCGCATGCCATCATGCCTAGCTAGTTTTTAAAAAACTCACTATGTTGCTCAGGCTGGTCTCAAACACCCAGCCTCAAGTGATCCTCCTGCCTCAGCCTCCCAAAGTGCTAGGATTGCAGGTGTGAGCCACTGCACCTGGCCAAGGAATCTCCTAGTATTGCTCATCTGGTGTGTACTCAGCTCCAGGCTTCTCTTTCTCTCAACATGTTCAGGGTTGGAAGGTAAAAAAGCACTGGAATTAGGATCTGAAAACTGACTTCAGTGCCCTTCTCTGAGCTTTGGAAAAGGTATCCATCTTCTCCAAGCCTCAGTTTCCTCCTCTGGGAATTACACCTAGTCATAGCGTTCCTGGGAAAACTAGATAACTTGCAAAAGTGCTCACTAAAGTGATATATATCAGCAAATAACAAGGGTGAAACATGAATCAAACTCACCAGAAACAGTGTCAAAAGAACCTAACTTTAACAATCCCTGGAATATCAAGTGAAATCCATTTTTTCTTCGTGAAAGTCATGATTACTTTTCCATCTTGTCTGTAGTGTCACAGAATAAGATGTTCAATTAAAATGCCGTAAAATTACATCATGCTTGCTCATCTGTCTTTCGAAACTGTTGAATGACTAGAGTTGGGAGATGAAAAGACTTTTTGAAAGTAAATGCTTTCTCAACTTTTGAAATGCTTCCAGATTCTGTCATGTTCCTTTCATTTCAACATCTAAGCTGGGAAAGACTCTTTGACACCAAGGGCAGGTGTTTACATGCAGCTCATCCAGGTACTTTGCTACCCTATTAATCTGTCTCTCTCTATATATTTGGATCTTCAGAATCAAGCGTTAGTCTTTTGTTTCTTTTAGCTTTTTGCTGGCCTGTACTCTTTGCTGGCAAGCTGCTGACACATTTTGACAGGTGACTTGGCTCATAAAAACAGCCAGGGAAGGGAAATGGTGAGAAGGGGCTTCACCAGGAGCATGGTCAGCACATATGAAATGCTGAATGTGGTAGAAACACACAAAAGGATATTTATGAACTGGTTTTAAAAAAAAAAGGTTCTTGCTCTCTGGATGACCTGATTCTCAACTCCCTTCATCTTGAAGACTTAAGTCAAAATACAGGGGTTGGGAAATATGTGATTGGAACTCAATCAATAAATTCAAATTCAGCAAATCTGGAGGGTGGATTTATCCTCATGGTGCTTTATTTCACTGAGAGGCTGCCTTGTGAATAAGTTATAATGTCAATCTCTTCCTAAAGATCCAAGGGCCAGAGCATGTTTTTCTAAATCCCCATTGCATGCTTTTTTTCATTTGCTGCATTTATACGCTTGAGGTGTCTTTGTTTTACATTTTTCATCTAAGGAGCTTTAAATATGAATCATCTACTAAACTGAAAGCGAGCGCATGGAAGAGGATTAGGCAGAGGTGTGGGGTAAGTAATAGCCTAAGGAAAAGTAAATACAGAGAAACAGTAATTACAGTGAGTTGAACACTGGTCCTCCCCATGCATGTCCACCCTAAACCTCAGAATGTGATCTTATTTGAAACGTGCTGTAGTCCCAGCAGGTTGGGAGTCCGAGGTCAGAGGATTGCCTGAGCCCAGGAGTTTGAGATCAGCCTGGGCAACATGGCGAGACCCCATCTCTAAAAATAAAGTTAAAAAATAAAATAAAATAGGGCCCTTGCAGATGTAATTAGTTAAGGATCTTGAGATGAAATCATCCTGGATTTAGGGTGGGTCCTAAATCCAATGACTGGAGTGCTTATGACCAGAGCAGAGATCCCACAGAGGAAGTGGCAATGTGAATGAAGAGAGAAGCAAATGGAAGTGAAGCATCTGCAAACCAAGAAACGCCACGCATTGCTGGCGACAGCAGAAGCTAGGAGAGAGGCATGGAAGAGTCTCTCTCTCAGAGCCTCCAGAAGAAACCAATCCTGTCAACACCTTGGTTTCTCACTTCTAGCCTCCTGAACTGTAAGAGAATATATTTCTGTTGTTTTAAGCCACCCAATGTATGGCAATTTGTCATGTCGGCCCTGCAAAACAAATACAGTAAATTAACACCTGCTGCAGGTAGTCTTGAAGAGCCCGGCAGCCTCTGCCACCTGCACTTGGTTGTCTGTGGACACTCTGACATTCTTACCTGACTCCTTCAGCCCACCTCTGACCTTATCCTGACCCTCACTAACATTAAATGCCATCTCTTATCCTCCTCTTTCTGAGCCTCTGCAGTATGACATGGGGAGGGATTGGAGTCAGGGAGGCTGTGGGATATTGTGTATGTCAGGAGGAACTTTGGATAAGGCATGAGTTAGTCAAGGCTGGGACTGGTTAAAGGATCAAGGTCAAGCATCGGATGAGCCTATGTGGGCACACATTGATTGGGAAATTTTTTTCTTTTTTTTGAGACAGGGTCTTGCTCTGTCACCCAGCCTGGAGTGTAGTGGTGCAATCATGGCTCAGTGCAGCCTCGACATCCCAGGCTCAAGCCACTCTCCCATCTCTCTCCCTACCAAGTAGCTGGGACCACGGGTGTGCGCCACAATGTTGGGCTATTTTTTTAAAAATATTTTGTGAAATCGGGGGTCTCATTATATTGCCTAGGCTGGTCTTGAAATCCTGAGCTCAAGTGATCCTCCCACCTTAGCCTCCCAAAGTGCTGGGATTACAGGTGTGAGCTACTGTGGCGCAGACAGACTGGTACTATTTTTAAAAGCCAAAAATAATGGTCAAAAGGGCAGGCTTTGCAACACAAACATCTGATAGCCTTCATTTGATGTAGTAGGTAGAATAATGGTCCCTCAAATATGTCCATTCCCTAATCTCCAGAATCTGTGAATATGTCTTTTCATGGCAAAAGGGACTTTGCGAACGCCTCTCAAGCTAAAGATTTTGAGATGGGGAAATTATCCTGGACTACCTGAATGGGCCCAGTGTAATCACAAGGGTCCTTCTGAAAAGGGAGATAGGAGAATCAGTCAGAAAAGGAGATGTGGTCGGGTGTGGTTGCTCACGTCTATAATCCCAGCACTATGGGAGGCTGAGGTGGGAGGATTGCTTGAGCCCAGGAGTTTGAGACCAGCCTGGCAACATAGTGAGACCCTCTCACTACAAAAAAAAAAAAAAAAAAATTAGCTGGGTGTGGTGGCACACACCTGTCATCCCAGCTACTTGGGAGGCTGAGGCAGGAGAATCACTTGAGCCCAGGAGTCTGAGGCTGCAGTAAGCTATGATCAGGCCACTGCACTCCAGCATGGGTGCAGGATGACACCCTGTCAAAAACAAACAAACAAACTACAACAACACTATAAAGTATTATTGGCTGGGTGCAGTGGCTCACACCTGTAATCCCAACACTTTGGGAGGCTGAGGCAAGAGGATTGCTTGAGCTCACCAAGCCTGGGTGACATAGGGAGACCCCATCTCTACAAAAAATTTAAAAATTACCAGGTGTGGTGGTGCATGCCTGTAGTCCTAGCTACTCAGGAGGCTGAGGCAGGAGGATCGCTTGAACCCAGGAGGTCAAGGCTGCAAGTGAGCTGTGATTGTGCCACTGCACTCCAGTCTCAGCAACAAGACCTTATAAAAAAAATTAAAAAAAACGAAAGAAAATGTAGTAACAGAAGCAGAGAGAGGAATTTGAAGATTCTATGCTGCTGTTTTGAAGGTGGAGGAAGGGGCCAGGAGCCCAGCAATGTAGGCCATCTCTAGACTCACTCTCTCAGAAAAGGCAAGGGTGTGAGTCTCCCTCAGAGCCTCCCAAGGAATGTGGCCTGGTTGATACCTTGACTTTGCCCAGTGAGACTCAGTTTGGACCTCCAACATCCAGAACCATACAAGGATGAATTTGTGTGAAGTCACTAAGTTTGTGGTAGTCTGTTATAGCAATCATAGAAAACTCTCCTCCTGGGCCACTGATATGCTCCTGCTGTGGGGGAGCTATCCACTGCTTCCCAGCCTTTGCCTCCAGAAACAGCCTCATGAGCAATCCCCAAGGATGCAGAAAATGCCCTGGTATGATAGAGAACAGGAGAGGTCTCCCTGGTCAGTCGCCGCTCTTGGGCAGTGTACACCCAGCCATCTCTGGTTTCACAAAGAAACACTTATGCTATGGCACATTTCCTAAAGCACGATAAAGCTGTAGTACCTTGAAACACCAACTTTCATGCTCCTATGGCAGTATCCCTTCATCTCGTTCCTGCCTGTGCACTGTCAAGGGCACATTCTCAGCCTTGGTGTTTCCCATTACGCTTGGGGATTCTCAAACCTCCCCATTCCACACACCCTCTGCCTTCTCCCTCTCTCTCTCTTGCTCTCTCTCTCTCTTTTGAAATGAGGATCTCATTACATTGGCCAGTCTGATTTTGAATTCCTGGCCTCAAGCAATCCTCCTGCCTTGGTCTTCCAAAGTGTTGAGATTACAGGTGTGAGCTACTGCACCCAACCACCCTCTGCCTTCTCTTTCTGCCATTCAGAATCACTGCTTCATGGAGTTTTCAGGTCTTTACCTACCTACCTATCTCCATATCTATCTGTCTACCTATGAATGTATGTATGTATCTATCATTTATCTACCTACCTACCTATGTATCTGTGTATCTATACATCTGTCTATCTATCATCTACTTACCTATCTCCATATCTATCTATGAATGTATGTATGTATCTATCATTTATCTACCTACTACCTATGTATCTGTATCTGTGTATCTATACATCTGTCTATCTATCTATCTATCTATCTATCTATCTATCTATCTATCTATCATCTACTTACCTACCTATCTCCCCATCGTCTATCTATTGTCTATCATCTACCTATTATCTCTCTATCTTTTTAAAACTACTTTATTGAGGTATGAACAACATACAAAAAGCTCTAGTATATAATGTTGACAATTTGATTAATTTGGAGGTAAGTACATACCCATGAAACCATCACCACAATCTATGCTATAAACGTATCTATCATCTCCAAAAGTTATCTATCTCTTATCTTATAACACACTAAAAACTTCCATGGTAATTTGTCTTGTTTAGATCTTACAATCGTACTACGGGATAGGTACAATGTATATATATATATACACACACACATATATATACATATATATATATAAAATATGGATTTTAAAAATAATATTTAGGTTTTTCTGATTATAAATGCAATGATACCTATGCACTCCTTATTAACTGACTATAAACACAGTGTGTAGATTGTTACATGTTCTTTATTGTAACATATACATAAAATAATTAATTAAATTTATTTTGGAGATATATATGTTTATATACACATATATGTATATTCCAAGTATTAACACTTGGGCATGCTATGTAATGTAGTGGGAGAAATTTGCCATGTTTTCTCTTCCCAGTCTTTCCTTTTTACCCATGACCTTCTCCTACTCAACTAAGATATTGGACATCACCTAAGGCTTCTGGAAAGGGTTATGAGAACAGAAGTGTCAAATTCTTGGCTTTTGAGTTTAAGAAGTTGAGATCTAGACACATGGCAAAGGGGATGTGGAAGAATATGTAATATCAGGAGCAGGTTTTTCCACCCCAGAGGAGTAGGGGATGGGAAGCAGTGTGGGAGGATGAGATCCAGGTGTGAGAGGCTCCCTGAGAAACAGCCGTGTGCTGTCCTCCTTAGGCCAAGTTGTAGGTAGGATGGGGGAACTCAATAGAGGCCCCAGGTTGGAAAGCCTGGAAGCTGACCTCAGGCCCAACATAACTCAAGAGAAGGAGAACAGATGGTTGTGTGCAAGACAGTCTCCATTTCCCCACGTTCTGCCCAGGACAGGAACAAACAAGTGTTTCTCTTGTGCCAAGGATGTGGAAGCAGCTGAGAGTGAGCTTGCCCTGAGAGGCCGGGGAAACTGGGGTCCAGGGGACACAGCTGTCAGCTTCAGGGACCAATCACTGCAGACCATTTGGAATGAAAGTGCCTGAGTATCAGATGTCAATCCCCCAACCGCCAATGCCTTGTCATTTCTTCAGCTCGCTGGAGCTGAGATGAACTCATAGAGAGAGGATTCCAGGGCTGCAAGTCTCTGCTACCTACTGGTAGGGGCTTACCTAGAAATTAAGTTGAGTGGCAGAATTTTTTTTTTCCAAGTTGCTTTTGGCCGGCCGTGATGGCTCACACCTGTAATACCATCACTTTGGGAGGTGAAAGGATCATTTGAGCTCAAGAGTTCAAGATCAGCCTGAGTAACATAGCAGAAATCCTGAAACCCCATCTCTACAAAAAATACAAAAATTAGCCAGGTGTAGTGGCCTGCCCTCCAGTCTGGGCAACAGAGCGAGACCCTGTCTCAATTAAAAAAAAAAAAGTTGTTTTTCCTGCTCACCTGGATGTGTGGATGGAGATTTGTATCCATGACAACAGTACCTTGTAGCTTACTCACCCATTCCTTAGCTGGTAGATACTTAGGTTGTCCTCCCCACTCACGGGAAGCTACCAATACCAAGACCGTGGCAAGGTAGTGCTTTCCCTTCCCTTGGTATGAATAAACTCACTTTTTTCTTGTCAACAGGTTGATATTTGGGTGATATTTTCCAGGAGCCAGCATTCTAGAGGTCATGGTTTTGCTTGGATTTGTAAAGCGTGCTCTTACCGGAAGGCTTTGCTCTGACATTTCCTTCTGCCTGGAACAGTTTGCCTACAACAGCATGTCTGCCCCTCACTTCCACAGGTTCTGCTCAGATGTCCCCATATCAAACAGGCCTTCCTTGGCCACTCCCAAAATAGCATCTCCCCATTCCCACTATCCTCTAGTCCCTCTTTCCTGCTTTATTTTTTTTTACAGCACTTTTCTCCACCCGATATGGAATATATTTATTTACTCAGCCTCCCTTCACTAAAACGTAAGCTATACAAGGGCAGAGACTTTATCTTGTTCCCTGCTATCTCCCCAGTGCTTAAACAGTACTCACATTATTAGGTACTTTGCAAATATTTGTTGAATCAATATATATAAATATCTTCTACAGATGGCTTTTTGTTTCAATTTTCTGTATTTTTTCTTTTTATTTATTTATTTATTTATTTTTTGAGATGGAGTCTTGGTCTGTTACCCAGGCTGGAGTACAGTGGTGCCATCTAGGCTCACTGCAACCTCTGCCTCCGGGGTTCAAGCAATTCTCCTGCCTCAGCCTCCCCAGTAGCTGGGACTACAGGTGCGCCACCACACCCAGCTAATTTTTGTATTTTTAGTAAAGACAGGATTTCTCCATGTTGGCCAGGCTGGTCTTGAACTCCTGACCTCAAGTGATCCACCTGCCTTGGCCTCCCAACGTGCTGGGATTACAGGTGTGAGCCACCATGCCTGACCTTTTTTTCTTTTTAAATATTGCCTGTAGGCTCCTGACAAGACAGCTCTTGAGAAACAGGAACTGCATCTTACACTACTCTTTATTCTGAGTGTCTGGAATGTAATAGATGCTCAATAAATATTTACTACAGGAAAGGAAGAAGGAAAAAATATGTAAGCAAATGAATAAAACTTATAGTAATGTTATGGCTGAGGGCAGGGTGAGATGATAAAGTAACTGCACCTCTCTTCCTTGATTTCTCACTGCCACCCCCCACCTCAGGATGGCTCATCCAAATTGTTCACCAAGTAAAAGTTAGCTGATTTGGGTGTACAGCTATAATAAGTTGAATATATCTTCCATAAGAAAATGGAAAGGCTTGGAGAGGAGGGGTGGCATAAGAGGGGGGAAAAGGGGGCTCTTAGAAAAGAGAAAAAAGAGGATCCAGGAGAGGAAAACATGAAATATTGGGCAACATTTTAGGACAAAATGAACACTTCAATACATTTTACACTCCAAGGAAATTACTTGTATTACTCTACTGTAAATTCCCCATGACCCAAACATCAAGATGCTCGGCTACCCTCACAGGCCTTGGGTGAACAGTTTTTATATGTGAAAATTAAGAGAAGGAGCAAATTCCCCAGTTGCCTCAAATCAAAAAGGAGCCAAAATAAACCTACAGATACAAGGCACAGACGAGAGAAACAGATTCCAAGGAGGCGGAATGTCAAAGCCAGAGGAGACCATGAGATCATAATCCCTAAGAACTTTGCAGAAATCTTGCATGTATGTATGTATGTATGTATGTATGTATGTATGTATGTATGTATCTATCTATCTATCTATTATCTATCATCTATCTATCTATCTCTATCATTTATATCTATCTATCTATTTTTACTTGAGACAGGGCCTCGCTCTGTCACCCAGAGTGGAGCACAACGGTGCAGTTCACAGCTCACTGCAACCCCTAACTCCTGGGCTCAAAGAATCCTCCCACCTCAGTCTCCTTAGTAGCTAGGACTGCAGGTATGCACCACCACACCCAGCTAAAATTTTTAATTTTTTTGTAGAGATGGGCATCTGACTATTTTGCCCAGGCTGGTCTCGAGCTCTTGGGCTCAAGCAGACTTCCTGCCCCGGCCTCTGAAAGTGCTGGGATTACAGGCATGAGCACCATGCCCAGTTAAAAAATCTCAAGGGGGATACGAGACAATCCTTGGGGCAGGGAATGGGGGTCCTGCCAGTGTTATCTAGTTCTTAAGGGTGAGGGAGGCCCAGCTGATACCTGGCTCTCTGAAATGACAGCCTCCGTATTCAGCTCCCAGTCTGTGCTTTCCTAGGGTCTTGCCTTTGTGCAGGTCCCTCTGCTCTAGAGAGCCACAGATCTCCACACAGGTGGTGCAACTGGATTGAGACCCATGGTCTTCCAACCTAAGCTAATGCAAATCTGTACAAGGAACAGCCTTGGGCACGTGTGTACGTT
Organism: Homo sapiens; assembly: GCF_000001405.40. Lineage (NCBI taxonomy): Eukaryota > Metazoa > Chordata > Mammalia > Primates > Hominidae > Homo > Homo sapiens. The sequence continues at coordinate 95,405,184 of NC_000012.12, forward strand.
TCCTTTTCCTTACCTGCTTTCCCAATTAGAGTGAGAATTAGAAAGATTGCTTCCCTTTTGTCAGGAGTTAGCTTTTCTTCTGCCCTACCCCCGACCCCTTGCCACCCCCCCCACCCATACCCACCCCCTTACCTTACCCCAAAGTTCTAGTTTGTCTGGAATCTCATGTACCTCTTAGGAAAAGAAATGCTGCCACATCCAAAAGGTGTAAAGGTTCCAAGGATAACTGGATTTGGCAAGTCACTGAATACGCTGGTGTACACACCACCTGAAGGGAGGTCAGAATAGCTCTGACAGACAGCTAGGTGCCCAGAAGGATAGATACAATCCAGGTTAAGGAATTGATATTCATTAACAATAATAATTCTTATATAGAAAGATGTTAGCTGTCATACATACGTCCTTATTTATTTATTTATTTATTTTTTGAGATGGAGTCTTGCTCTGTCACCCAGGCTGGAGTACAGTGGTGTGATCTCGGCTCACTGCAACCTCCACCTCCCCGGTTCAAGCAATTCTCCTGCCTCAGCCTCCCAAGTAGCTGGAATTACAGGTGTGTGCCACCATGCCCAGCTAATTTTTTGGTATGTTGAGTGGAGACAGGGTTTTACCACATTGGCTAGGCTGGTCTCGAACTCCTGACCTCAGGTGATCCACCTGCCTTGGCCTCCCAAAGTGCCGGGATTACAAGCGTAAGCCACCGCACCCGGCCTATTTTATTTTTTAATCAGCAATTTACAGGCCAGGCACCGTGGCTCATGCCTGTAATCCCAGAACTTTGGGAGACCAAGGCAGGTGGATCACTTGAGGTTAAGAGTTCAAGACCAGCCTGGCCAACATGTTGAAACCCCGTCTCTACTAAAAATACAAAACTAGCTGGGCATGGTGGCACATGCCTGTAATCCCAGTTACTTGGGAGCCTGAGGCAGGAGAAAGGCTTGAACCTGGGAAGTGCAGGTTGCAGTGAGCCGAGATTGCACTATTGCATTCCAGCCTGTGTGACACAGTGAGACTCCATCTCAAAAAAAAAAAAAAAAAATCAGACTGCACACGGTGGCTCACTCCTATAATCCCAGCACTTTGGGAGGCTGAGGTGGGCGGATCATGAGGTCAGGAGTTCGAGATAAGCCTGGCTAACACGGTGAAACCCTGTCTCTACTGAAAATACAAAAATTAGCCGGGTGTGGTGGTGGGCACCTGTAATCCCAGCTACTTGGGAGGCTGAGGCAGGAGAATTGCTAGATTCCGGGAGGCAGAGGTTGCAGTGAGCCAAGATCTCGCCACTGCACTCCAGCCTGGGTGACAGAGCAAGACTCCATCTCGGGGAAAAAAAAAAATCAGCAATTTACAGATAAGGCAATGGGAGGGCCAGAGAGGGTGCCTCTCACTCCCATAGTCTCTGAGCGTGATAACGGTAGCGCCAGACCAGCACACAGGCTTCATGATTTTCAGCAGCATGTTCTTCCCATCCATGCGTATTTCTGCACCCTCATTTTAATCCTAAATTCTTTGAAGCCAATCTGTGAATAATAACAAGGGAGTCTGGTTAGACTGGTCCTGTTAATGGCTAGAGTGCTGGAAACCAAAGCTGTGCATTGTGACCTAGTATTTCTCAATGAGCTCGTTCCAGCATAGAGCAGGAGGATCAGTTGTCCTGACAACATCTGTGGATAGGTAGGGGTAAAGAGGGGCTGAGGATGATTACAGATATGCGAACAATTTCACAAAACCTACCTGTACCGACCTCTCCAAAACTGTCTGCAATGGACTCTTGAGGCCTTTTTCATTTTGGATTTGTAGGAGCTGATTATAAAAGTTCTCTTCTTTCTTAGCTAGATTCTCTAGATGCTAAATCCCCATGGCATTCTCTCTAAGCAGGAAAATAAACCAAGGACAACTTGTTTCTCAGAATCACCTGAGCCCTCAGGCACTTCACACAAATATCAGCTACATGGCTGGGTGCAGTGGCTCACACTTGTAATCCCAACATTTTGGGAGGCTGAGGCAGAAGGATCACTTGAGGCCAGCAGTTTGACAGCAGCCTGAGCAATATAGTGAGACACTGTCTCTATTTTAATGTAATATTAAAACATTGTTTAAAAAATTAGAATTAACAAACAAACAAAAACGTGCAAAAAAATATATGCACGATGACCAGAGCTTCCCTTAAAAAGAAGGAAGCTTGGGCTGAGTGCAGTGGCTCACGCCTTTAATCCCAGCACTCTGGGAGGCCGAGGCAGGAGGATCAATTGAGGCCAGGAGTTTGAGACCAGCCTGGACAACATGGTAAAACCCTGTCTGTACAAAATATACAAAAATTAGCCGGGCATGGTGGCATGTGCCTGTAATCCCAGCTACTCAGGAGGCTGAGATGGGAGGATGGCTTGAGCCTGGGAGGCTGAGGCTGCAGTGAACCAAGATTGTGCCATTGCATTCCAGCCTAGGCAACAGAGCAGGATCCTGTGGGGAAAAAAAATAAAAATAAAAAAAGAAGGTTGTAAAGTGAGGAACTTGCCCCAACTTCTTTTTTGGGTTGATTTCTCTTGCCCCCAGATTGTGGGGATGTGGACCATTGGTAAAAAGGGATTAACAAACTCAAGGTCTGAGACCTCTTTTCCCAATCCTTCCTGGGTTTTTTCTGCTGAAATGGAAACCCCCAGCTGTCAGCCCCTTCCATCACGACCTGCCCCCTTCATCCTCCTTCCCGCCTGGGATTTTCACAAGGATATTAGGTCAGAGAGGAGCCATCCACCAGAGCGTAATGGAATTTTTTCATGTTGGGGTCAGCCTTTTTGACAATTGGCATCTGAGGCTTCTTCTCCAGCAGCTCCAGCCAGAAACTCTGTGAGCACTGCTGATCCCTGCTCTCCTCCACGCCTTCCAGGTCCTCATAGCGGCGCCGGATAAGTTGTTTGTTGACGCCCTCTTTTTTTTGCTTTGCTTCTTCTATTTTGCTGTTCAAAAGAAGAGAATTCAAGACACGGCTTGCTTCTTGGTCTTATCAAGGTCTGCAGGAGGGCCAGGGGCTCTGTTTGAGGCCCCTGGAGCCTCACCTTTACATGGATGTAATAAGCTTCCTTTAAGTCGGAAGAGCTGGATTTCAAGATTCATCCTGAGTCCCTAGCTAGTGTGTATTGAGTGCTTCCAATTTAAACAGTTATTGAGCACCTCCTGTGTGTGCAGCACTGTACCAGAGGCTGTAGGAAATATAAGGAATAGTGCATCGTCCCTGTGCTCACAGGAGCAGCATGGAGCAGTACAGGCTCTAGATAAGAACGAACTGTGAGGCCGGGCGTGGTGTCTCATGCCTGTAATCCCAGCATTTCGGAAGGCTGAGGTGGGTGGATCACTTGAAGCCAGAAGTTTGAGACCAGCCTCGCCAACGTGGTGAAATCCTGTCTTTACTAAAAATAACAACAACAAAAAAAAATTTATCTGGGCATGGTGGCATGCGCCTGTAATCCCAGCTACTCAGGAGGCTGAGGCACAAGAATTGCTTCAAACTTGGGAGGCAGAGGCTGCGTGAGCCGAGATCACACCACTGCACTCCAGCCTGGGCAACAGAGCAAGACTCTGTCTAAAAAAAATAAAAATAAAAAATAAACTAAATGTGAATCCTGACTCTGCCACTTGGCACCACGGGAATGAGGACAGACTACTAAACTCCTCTGAGTCTTGGTTTCTTCATCTGTAAAATGGGGACGCTAATACCTATTGGAAATGTAAGAATTATCTGATTAATGAATACAAACCTCTGCGCATAGACCCCCGCCTTTAGTATGCATCCTACAAATCCTAGTTGTTATGGTTACAATTTGGTGAGGAACCTACACATTTGTTAATAATAACGTGGTAAAGGAAAAAATACCTGTCATTCCTAGGTTTTACACTGAGACCCTGATATGAAGGTAGCATCTTAGAATATTCATGTATCATTCACAAATATTCATTAGGTTTCTTCCACAGGCAAGACTCATAACAAAAGAAGTGCCTGAGTTATACGGCTACGTGGCTACGTGGTAAAGCCAGGATTCAATGTCATGCACACCCCAATTCCAAATTCATTACTAGACCTCCCCGGGCTCTGTATCTGAGGATAAAGCTGATGAAGCAGACCTTCCTAGTTCTTGCCCAGCCCAGCTTTTCAATCCCAACACACATGCACACACGTGCACGTGTGTGTATGCACATACTTATAAACACAACCACAGACACTCCTGTACCCAAGCATGCCAAACAGTAGCTGTTAGCAACATTCCATTAGAAGCCTCAGTCAGGTGCAGTGGCTTACACCTGTAATCCCAACACACTGGGAGGCCGAGGCAGGAGGATTGCTTGAGGCCACGAGTTCAAGACCAGCCTGAGTAGCACGGCAAGACCATGTCTCTAAAAATAATAGTATAATAAAAATTAAAAGGAGAAGCCTCCAGGAGTCAAGCTGGTAAAGCAGAGGTCATGTACTGGAGAGACATGCTTAGCTCTCTTGGACACCAGCATCACCTGTTTAATATCTGCATAGACTGGCTGGCTTGCCTCTACTCCTTGGCCCCAGCACCCAAAGGCAGGCTGCTGGGCTTCTCACTCATTGAAACAGATGTGGGGGCTGGGTGCAGTGGATCACACCTGTAATCCCAGCATTTTGGGAGGCTAAGGCAGGCAGATGACTTGAGGCCAAGAGTTCGAGAGCAGCCTGGCCAACATGGTGAAACCCTGTCTCTACTAAAAATACACAAATTAGCCGGGCATGGTGGTGCACGCCTGTAATCCCAGCTACCTGAGAGGCTGAAGCAGGAGAATCGCTTGAACCCGAGATGGGGAGATTGCAGTGAGCTGAGATCGCACCACTGCCCTCCAGCCTGGGTGACAGAGAGAGACTCCGTCTAAAAACAAAACAAAACAAAACAAAACACAGTGTGGGGATGTAACCGGACAGAATGAAGACCAACCCTTGAGAACAGCCAGAAGTACCAGGACCCTAGTTAGGAGAAGTTAGGAGACTTGGGAGCCTTCTTCTCAAAGAAGTCAGCAGTTTGTGCATTTCCAATGTGGACATAGAGTAAAGCTCAAAACAAACAACTAGATCTCAGCAACAGCGTGAAGACAAATCTCTGAAGCCACCCTTGGAGAGTTCCTTCAGATTCAGAGCAGAGTCCACTGGGAATCCCCAGTAGTTTTCATTTTTAAGGCATGCTTAAAATTTCCTAAAATTGAGCTTACATATGTCAAGGAGGATTTGGAGTGTTGAGGAGAATTGGTCTCTGTGTTTTGTGTGTGTGTGTATACATGTGGCACATTTACTGGATGGGTGTGGGGCTTGGGGAGTGGGAAGAGCTATGCTGAAAGGAAACTTTTTAAAGGATTAAGAATAAGGGCCGGGCGCGGTGGCTCACGCCTGTAATCCCAGCACTTTGGGAGGTCGAGGCGGGTGGATCATGAGGTCAGGAGATCGAGACCATCCTGGCTAACAAGGTGAAAGCCCGTCTCTACTAAAAATACAAAAAATTAGCCGGGCGCGGTGGCGGGCGCCTGTAGTCCCAGCTACTCGGGAGGCTGAGGCAGGAGAATGGCGTGAACCCGGGAAGGGGAGCTTGCAGTGAGCCGAGATTGCGCCACTGCAGTCCGCAGCCCGGCCTGGGCGACAGAGCGAGACTCCGTCTCAAAAAAAAAAAAAAAAAAAAAAAAAAAAAAAGAATAAGTACTTGGAAATAATACAGCTGATTAAGAAAGCAGGGAAAAGTATAATAGCAACACCATTGTTGGGGAAGGAACTAGAGCCAGAAGGGTGGATAAGGGCCAGATCTGCCACTCACTGAGTAGTTGGAAAATAGAAATGCTTGGTTAAAACAACTGCCCCCTCTCCCTTCCCTTTTGTCTCTTCTCTTGCTTCCCTCCTCCTGACTCTCCTTCCTTTCTTTCCCATATTCTCATGAAAATGTATCCCACTGTCAAAAATGAGGTGAGCGGGCAGAATTTTTGAACAATGTGACAAAAGCAAAGCACTTATAGATTGCCACTCTTCCCCACCCCAGAACACACGCATGCCACTCCATTGAAAAGCACCAAAGGCTGGCAGAATGTCAGCCTAACAACACATATTTACAAGCCCAAGCCTAATGACCACTTTCCAAGCCTACACCACAGCCCTTTCATTCAGTGCCTATACGGGATTCTATTTTTCTGACTTTCTACAAATGGACCTTTTGGATTATTCTTAAAAGAAAGCTAAGTACTCTAAAGTATGAGTACCTATAATCATTGGGAGAAAAAAGGCACACTTCCCCTCCCTACTAACAAGGCCAAAAATTCAGATACAAAAGCCCTTGTGCAAAAAAAAAACCCAGGCAAAATCTCTCACATTCTATAAATGCCACATTAATCAAATACGTTGAGTAGGCAGCTGTAATTTGGGAAAGTTCCCCATTACCTTTTTAAAAGCAGTGCTTCCTTTTCTAATCCCTTTAACATGCCCTAGACAAAGAGTCTTTTAGTCATTGTGTCAAGGCCAATCAGCCTGGCGTGCCAACAAAGACGGCCTTTTCTCTGCCTTTTCTCAAGGTTGACAGTGGTAGTTGTCCTGCTTTCCTCTTGCCTGAGGGCCAGAAGTTGATCCCTGGATTCTCCAACAGGTGACAATTATCACCAAGTTTATTCATTTGTCAAAGGTACCCTAATACTTGCACAAAATGGTTTCTTGGAAGTTTCAGGCAGCTGGTCATTCCCAGGGAAAGCCATTTTCAGGTCTTACGGAACAGTCATTCTCTAACTCACAAGTTACCCAATTGTTCTAGCCCTCTAAGACAGAGGCTGGAATAAAAGGGAACTACATCTCAAAAAGGAACTATATCTCAAATCTCAAACTACATCTCAAAGCCAATCTTTATCTCAGATTGGCTCTAATCTAATAGTAAGCTAAATTCAATATGGTAGGGGCACTCGTTGAATGTAAGAGCTGAAGGATGCTTGGAGAATATCTAATCCCATTTTACAGATGAGGGAGCCAAATGCAGAAAAGGGAACAATAATTGCAACATAATAGTTAACTGCTTATCAAACATTTGCTATACTCTAGAGACTGTGCTAAGGTATTTAGCTTATGATTTCATTTAATGCTTTCAATAACCCTATGAGGCAGATTCTATTAGGATTCCCATTTTACACGAGGAAAGTAGAGCTTTGAGAAGCTAAATGTCTCAAATCCCATGATTGGCAAATGAGAGTCATGTGGACTCCAGAGCCTGGGTTCTAAACCTTTATGCTATATTGACTCTTATATCCCTGGTCGCACACCTAAAGAATAGTAGGATCAGGATTAGAAGCAAGCCCAGAATTCCCCTGCTTTGCACCGCCATGCTGCAACAGTGAATATGACTAAAATCAGAGAACTTGAGTGTCATCAATTACAGACCAGAGATCTGATTCAGCACCAGACAGAAGGTCCACATAGACCCTTCCTGGGGAATGAGCTCTGCTTTCAGAAGTACCTTGGGAACTGGTCTGGGATAGTTTCACTATGTTTGTCAGACCAGACTTCTTGTGATAAATCCACAGAGTCTATCCCAGGGTAGACTTGCCCCTGGAGTTAGAGAAGCTTCTGTCTTTTTTCCTGCCCTTAATCTCCCTGGGCCTGACTTAATAGTAAAGTTCTATAATGTTCCATGTTGAGCAAACATAGAAATTTGGTAGGGTAACTAGGCTGAAAGTTCTGATTTGCCTAAAATTGCAATTCATCCAGCAAGTATTAATTTAATCTCCATGGTATTTCTAATGCCAGTAACCTGGGGATGTTAAGATTTTGCTGCTTTTCTTACAGAAATGTTTCATCATACACATAAAATTACATGTGCTGTTTTTAAAGCTTGGAGTCTACGCATGACAGATCCCTTGGGAATGAATTCTAGCAACTTCAGCAAATCTCATTAAAAAACCACTGCCGTGAGAGTTTGTTATTATGGGTCATGTATAATGGCCTCTTACTCATCCCTGCTGCTGTGTGCCAGCTAAACTCTCCTCCTCTATCATCATCTCTGTCAAGCCATCTCTTCTTGGTTCTAAACCCACTTGTTTCAAGAAAGCTCCTCTGGGCCGGGCACAGTGCCTCATGCCTGTAATCCCAGCACTTTGGGAGGGTGAGGGGGGTGGATCACTTGAGGTCAGGAGTTCAAGACCAGCCTGGCCAACATGGTGAAACCCTGTCTCTACTAAAAATACAAAAATTAGCTGGGCATGGTGGTGCATGCCTATAATCCCAGCTACTTGGGAGACTGAGGCAGGAGAATTGCTTGAACCTGGGAGGGGGACGTCGCAGTGAGCGAAGATCATGCCACTGCACTCCAGCCTGGGTGACAGAGCGAGACTCCGTCTCAAAAAAAAAAAAAAAAAAAAGAAACAACCTCTGATGGTATTACGTTATTATTTTTAAAATACCTTTTACTTGCTTAGTGCTTTAGTGTCTACAAAACATGTTTATGTATATTGTGTTGATTTCAGCTTTATAACCCGCAGTACTAAACAGAGACATGTTATTTTCCCTAACTGACTGAAGACATTGAGGTTCAGGGAGTCCAAGTAACTTACACAAGATCCCGCACCCATTGACTAAGGAACCTGAGTGTTCTGACCTCAACTGGGGTTTTACATTCTTTCAAATAAAAAAAATGCTTCATTATTCAGAACAGTTTTAGGTTCATAGCAAAATAAAGCAGAAAACACACACACTTCCTGTACACTCCCTGCAAGTTTGGTTTTCTTTCCATTAAAATATGCTACCTACTCCTAAAGGGCTAGGATTACAGGTGTGAGCCACTGTGCCCAGCCAGAAATTTCTTAAAAGATCAAGAAATACAAAGTTAAATCTCTCTAATTATTAAAGAAATAGACACTTAAAAGAGTATTTTTTGCCTACCAATTTTGCAAAGTTGAACAAGCATGTTAATTCTGTTCAGTGCTAAGGATGCTGTGATGGAGCTGCACGCGGTGGCTCATGCCTGTCATCTCAGTATTTTGGGAGGCTGAAGCAGGAGGATGGCCTAAGGCCAGGAGTTCGAGACCAGCGTGGGCAACAGAGCAAGACTGCATTTCTTAAAAAAAAAAAAAAAAAAAAAGAATGCTGCAATGGGATCTCTCATACTTTGCTATGAAAAGTTAGCTGGCATTTTTGTTTGAAAAGCGATTTTGTGGTACATCTCTAGAGCCTTAAAAATGTTCATATCCTTTAACAAAATTTCACTTTGAGAAATCTAGCTTTAGGAAGGACCCAAAGAAACAAAAAAAATGTAGGATAGTTGTACAAACATAAATGTTCAATAATAGGAGAATGGTTCAAAAAAATCATAGACCATCCATGCAATGGAATTCAAAGCAGCCATTCAAAATCTTTTTTCTGAAGAACTTAATATCACAGGAAAATGCTAATGATCAAGTGAAAGAATAAAAAAGCAGGACAAAAATGTTATTCAAAAAATAAGTATATTATATATATATATATATACACACACACACACAAATACATAGTATATATTCACTATATGTATGCGTGGGGTGTGTGTGTATGTATATTGGAGAAAAGTTTGGAAGAAAATATGCCAAAATGTTGAAACGGTATTCTCTTGGTGATAATATTGTGTGATTTTAATTTCTTTCTGACACCTTTCTAAATTTTTGAAAAATTTAAATACCAAGCATCTTTATGTTTAAAATACACCCTGAAAAGCGATAAGTGGTTTTTTTCACACCAGATGCTAGGTGAAGAACTGGAGTAGAAACAATTCATGGTGAAAAATGGGCCGGGCAAAGTGGCTCACACCTGTAATCCCAACACCCTGGGAGGCCAAGGCAGGAAGATCACTTGAGCCCAGGAGTTTGTGACCAGCCTGGGCAACATAGCAAGACCCTATCTCTATAAAAAATTTTAAAATTAACTGGGTGTAATGGCACACACCTGTAGTCCCAGCTACCCAGGAGGCTGAGGCAGGAGGATCACTAGAGCCCAGTAGTTTTAGATGACAGTAAGCCATGCTGTGCCACTGCACTCCAGCCTGGGGGACAGAGCAGGACTCTGTTTCTAAAAATAATAACATAAATAAAAAAGAAAAATAAATAAATGGACTTAGGAGTCACATAAAGCTGGGTTTTACCTCTGGCTCTGCCTTTTTCTAGCTGTATCACTGTGAACAAATGGCCACACTTTATGGTACATCGGTACCATCTGTAAAGTGGGGTCATCATACCTGTCTCATGGGGTTTTTGTGAGGAGTATACATGACCTATTTAAAGCATCAGGTCTGCTGTCTAGCACAGACTAGATATTTTGTCAGTGGTTTCTATTGTTACCTCCTGATTATTTGATTTGTCCTCTGTTGATTGTTAGCTTGCTGAAATGCTTAGTTTCCCATTCTAGGAGATAAGTTCCTTGAATATAGGGACTGGATTTATGTTTTCTTAGAACGGTGCTTTGCCTACAACTGACTTTTCTTTCCCTGGCTTCCTCTTTTCTTCCTTCCCTCCTCCCCACTACTTTCCTTTTTTGTTTGTTTTTACTCCCCACTATTTTCACATATAATCCTGTACCAGTCACCTAACAAGGCTGATGCACTGATAAGTTCATGTGCCATATAGTGAATTTCCCATAAGTTACCAGGAAGAGAGGAGTTTGTGTGTGCAGCTGTGTATATATGTTTTCATATTACAGATACAATAGGCAGGTATCGTGATAAGGTGACTTGTCTGGGGGGCCACATGCTCTGCGTTTCTTCTTGCCCATCAAACCATATGCTTTATAAAAGTCTATGATTATAAAGACTATGGAGGGCTTCCTACATTTGAATTATGGCTACTTGTAGTCTCTTCACAGCTATACTGGGGACTGTCTTCCACTTCAGAATTTCCCATTTTGAGTAAGGATGTTGAAAGATCCAACCTTAAAAAAGAAGACACACATATTAAATACAAAAAGAATATAAATAAATAAACAAACAAAGAGAAAAGGGATATTTCAAAATTTATACCAGTTCAGTACTCACTGTGTAAATCCTGCCCAGCCATCAGTCTACCAAAGCCTATGTGTAAAAGGAACCAAAATCCATTTGTGTCAAAGTATGCAAATCATCAGCCTAAGAATAACCTCTCCTCAAGGGGATTTGCACTGAAATGGGATCGAAGCTTTAACCTTAAGTAATTAAGTCTCTATGATGGTGGGCTGAGCCCAGTGGCTCACGCCTGTAATCCCAGCACTTCAAGAGGCCAAGGTGGCAGATTGCTTGAGCCCAGGAGTTCGAGACCAGCCTGGGCAACATAGTGAGATCCCATCTCTTAAAAAAAAAAAAAACTTTATGATGGCGTCTCAAGTATTTGAGGCCTTTCAAGAATCCCTACGTACTGTGTGGACCTACAGATAAGGCTCTTTAGCTTCTCCCAGTTTCAGACAGATTCCCATCTACCAGAGAAAACACATTCTCAGCAGTCAATAGACTTGAGTTCTGTTTTTGACTCTCCCATTAACCAGCCTGAGTACTTAGCATCTGTGAGGCCGGGCACAGTGGCTCATGCCTGTAATCCCAGCACTTTGGGAGGCCGAGGCAGGAGGATCACTTGAGGTCAGGAGTTTGAGACCAGCCTGGCCAACATGATGAAACCCTGTCTCTACAAAAATACAAAAATTAGCCAGGCGTGGTGGCACACATCTGTAGCCCCAGCTACTCAGGAGGCTGTGGTGGGAGGATCACACCTGGGAGGCGGCGACTGTAGTGAGCCAAGATCATGCCACTGCACTCCAGCCTGGCGACACAGCATATCTCCATCTCAAAAAGAAAAAATGTGTATTATTTGCTCTGGAAATGAATCTGCCTTCTAAACTAAAAACTTGGCTGCATAATTTCTTGATTTATTAAAAGACTGTTTGTTTATGCTTTTGTTCTAAGAACTGCCCTTCCACATGAGGCTACTCATAAAGGATTCATGTTTTATTTTTGTTCCTTCTTTTAGCAATTGAGTAACAGTAAAAGCACACACACACACCCACATAAAGGCTTCCAGGATACAATGCCCCTCTGTGTCATTATTAAGTTTTGTGCTAAACTATAAATCTAAAGCAAGAAACTATATTAAATCTATGAAGTAGAATGAATTCATCCTATGGAGAAAAAAATATTTTATAAGCTGTATAAAAGAAAAAAAAGACACATTTGAAGAGAAAGCAAAACTCATGAGAGCCTTTTAAAGTTTAGAAATGAATTAGGAGGTCCATAAGTCCAGATTCCCATAACAAATAGGTTGCATCAAAAGAAATAATACAAGAAAATTATACGCATGCTATCATTTAATTCTCCCAACAACATTCTACCCTTAGTCATCCTCACTTTACAGATGTTGAAATCAAGATTTAGATTTCCCCACATTCACAGAACTGGTTGGCAGTAGAGCTGAGATTCGAAAACTTTTAGAGTCTTTCTAGCTCCAATAATGTGGTTCTACCCACCATGCCCTCTATACTGGCTGTTATAAAAGTTAAAAATATACCCAGAGACAATATTCAGTGCTTCCTTAGCCCCCTGGTGCTCATAACTATCAAGTTCATCATTGCCATGAAGAAAGTGATTAGTTGGCCGGGCACAGTGGCTCATGCCTATAATCCCAGCACTCTGGGAGGCCGAGTCAGGTAGATTACTTGAGGTCAGGAGTTTGAGACCAGCCAGGCCAACATGGTGAAAACCCGTCTTTACAAAAATACAAAAATTAGCAGGGCATGGTGGTGTGTGCTGTAATCCCAGCTACTTGGGAGGCTGAAGCAGGAGAATTGCTTGAACCCGGAAGGTGGAGGTTGCAGTGAGCCGAGATGGCGCCTGTGCATTACAACCTGGGCAACAGAGCGAGACTGTCCCAAAAAAACAAACAGAAAAAAAGAGAGACAGAGAGAGAGAAGAAAGAGAGCATGGATCTATAAAAGGAAAACACTAAATTAGAAATGTAAGAAAGCACCAACCAACCAATAAAACAAACAAACAAAAACATGTAAATTTCCTATTCCTGGGACTTCCTATGCACTGCTGAGCCTATCTGTTTTTAGTCACTGATAGAATGCCAAGAAGCCAGGTCCTGAGAGATCATGAGGACAAAAATAAACTCCTCTCCCAACTCACAGTCACATTATTGTTGCAGGGGCAGAGTTGGCCACAGAAAACTCAACAGGCTGGGTAAGACTATTCCTCCAGGAAGGCTGTTTTTCTCTTTCTTTCCCTCGCTCCCCTTTTACAGAAACCTAAACCATCGCCAGCTGTTGTAATCACACACACTGGATAAAGGGAAGCAAAAAGAATGGAATATATTTAGCCTAGGGTTTGGAGTCTAAAAGCCCATGTTCCATTCAAACTCTGCAAGAATCACTAAGGTTCTTGGTTTAAGCAACAGCCACCACCCCCCTTTTTTTTTTTTGAGACGGAGTTTCGCTCTTGTTGCCCAGGCTGGAGTGCAATGGCACGATCTCGGCTCACTGCAACCTCCGCCTCCCTGGTTCAAGCGATTCTCCTGCCTCAGCCTCCCGAGTAGCTGGGATTACAGGCATGTGCCACCACACCCGGCTAATTTTGTATTTTTAGTAGAGAAGGGGTTTCTCCATGTTGGTCAGGCTGGAACAGCCACCCCCTTATATGCTCGCTACAGATTCCAAAACACCTCCAGAGCCTGGAGTTTTAGAGATTATGAATTCTGTCTCTTGGCTTAAAAAGTTTTTATTTTTATTTATTTATTTATTTTGAGACAGAGTCTCGCTCTGTCGCCCAGGCTGGAGTGCAGTGGCGCGATCTCGGCTCACTACAAGCTCCGCCTCCCGGGTTCAGGCCATTCTCCTGCCTCAGCCTCCTGAGTAGCTGGGACTGCAGGCACCCGCCACCACACCCGGCTAATTTTTGTATTTTTGGTAGAGACAAGGTTTCACCATGTTAGCCAGGATGGAAAAAGTTTTTATTATAAATGCTGTCTATTTGAATTGGAATACCACAGTTTATTTTGTTTTCATAGGCTTTTATTCTTTTTCCTTTTTTTCTCATACTTTAAAACTTAGGTTATAATTCACATACTGTAAACTCACCATTTTATTTATTTATTTATTTATTTTAAGTATTACGGAGCTTCTCCACTTTTTTTTAATTAATTTTTTTTTTTAAAGAGAGACAGGGGTCTCACTATGTTGCCCAGACTGGTCTCTAACTCCTGGGCTCAAGTGATCCTCCCACCTTGGCCTCCCAAAATGCTGGGATTATATGTGTGAGCCATGGCATCCATTACTTATTTATTTTTATTGATTTATTTATAGAGACAGGGTCTCACTATGTTGCCCAGGCTGGTCTCAAACTCCTAGACTCAAGCAATCCTCCTACCTCTGTCTCCCAAAGTACTGAGATTACAGGCATGAGCCACTGTGCCTGCCTGACAGTCACCCTTTTAAAGTATTCAGTGGTTTTTTAGTACGTTCACAAAGTTGTATAACCATCACCACTATCTAATTCCAGAATATTTCTATTACCCCCCAAAAGAAACCCCATACCTATTAGCAGTAACTCCTCAATTCCCTCTCACCCCAAAGCCTAGAAACCACTAATCCACATCCTGTTTCTATGGATTTGCCTTTTTTGGAAAGTTCATAGAAATGCAATCATACGCTGGGCATGGTGGCTCATGCCTGTAATCCCAGCACTTTGGGAGGCTGGGGCAGGCGGATCACCTGAAGTCAGGAGTTCGAGACCAGCCTAGCCAACATGGTGAAACCCCTTCTCTACTAAAAATACAAAGTTAGCCGGGCATAGTGGTAGGTGCCTGTAGTCCCAGTTACTTGGGAGGCTGAGGCAAGAGAATCGCTTGAACCTGGGAGGTGGAGGTTGCAGTGAGCTGAGATCGCGCCACTGCACTCCAGCCTGGGAGACGGAGCGGGACTCCGTCTCAAAAAAAAAAAAAAAAAAGAAAAGAAAAAAGAAATGCAATCATACAATATGTGTCCTTTTGTGACTTGCCTTTTCCACTTAGCATAATGTTTTCAATGTTCATCTATGTTGTATCATATATCAGTATTTCATTCATTCCTTTTCTTTTTTTGAGAAAGGGTCTCACTCTGTGGCCAATGCTGGAGTGCAGTTGCATGATCATGGCTCACTGTAGCCTTAAACTCCTGGGCTCAATTGATCCTCCCACCTCAGCCTTCTGAGTATCTGCAACTACAGGCAATGCCACCACACCTGGCTTTTTTTTTTTTTTTTTTGTAGAGACAGGGTCTTACTGTGTTTCCCAGGTTAGTCCTGAATTCCTGGTCTCAAGCAATCTTCCCATCTTGGTCTCCCAAAGTGCTGAAATTATAGGCATGAGCCACTGTGCCTGGCCTCATTCATTCCCTTTTATGAGCGAATAATATTCTATTGCATGGATATACCACATTTTATTTATCCATTTTTCAACTGACAGGCATTTTGGTTATTTACACATTTTGGTTACCATGAATGATGCTGTTATAAACATTTGTTTATAAGATTTCATGTGGCCGGATACAGTAGCTCATGCCTGTAATCCTAGCACTTAGGGAGGCCAAGGCTGGCGGATCACCTGAGGCCAGGAGTTCAAGACCAGCCTGACCAACATGGAGAAACTCTGTCTCTACTAAAAATACAAAATTAGCCGGGCGTTGTAGCGCATACCCGTTAATCCCAGGTACTTGGGAGGCTGAGGCAGGAGAACTGCTAGAACCCGGGAGGCAGAGGTTGCAGTGAGCCGAGATCGAGCCATTGCACTCCAGCCTGGGCAACAAGAGCGAAACTCTATCTCAAAAAAAAAAAAAAAAAGATTTTATCTGGACATGTTTTTAATTTTCTTGCATATGAACCTGGAAGCAGAATTGCTAGGTCATGTGCTCTCTGTTTAATTTTCTGAGGAACTGCCAAACTGTTTTCCAAAACAGCTGTACTATTTTACATTCCTATCAGCAATGTATGAGGGCCCCAATTTCTCCATATCTTGTCTAACACTTATTATTGCCTATCTTTCCAATTATAGCCATTCTAGTAAATGTGTCTTAATTTTTAAGCTTAATTTATCTACTAGTTATTTGATGGTGGACCTGTTTTACAAATATGTTATCTCCTAAAACTTTCTGTGATAGTAAAATTGTTTTATTTTTTATTTTTTTATTTTTTGAGACAGAGTCTCTCTCTGTCATCGAGGCTGGAGTGCAGTGGCACAATTATAGCTCACTGTAGCCTCAATCTCCTGGACTCAACTGATCCTCTTGCCTCAGCCTCCTGAGTAGCTGGGACTACAGGTGCACACCACCATGCCCAGCTAATTTTTGTATTTTTTGTAGAGATGGAGTTTTACCACATTGCCCAGGCTTGTTTCAAACTCCTGACCTCAAGCCATCTGCCTGCCTCAACCTCCCAGAGTGCTGGGATTACAGACGTGAGCCACCATGCCTGGCCAGCTTGTTCTTTAAAGTAAAAAACTTATTGCTGAAATTATCTTGTAAAAGCAAATGTAATGGGCCTCATGAGCCGTCAGGTACCAATATTAATACCTATATAACCAAGGGTAACAATGAGGGTCATATGAGACAATGGGGATAATAGTAACAATAAACACATGTAATATCCACTATGTTCAGATACTTTTCCAAATGCCTTAGTGTTGACTTACTTAATATTCAGAACAACCCTGGAGGAAGCACCATTCGTAGCACCATGTTACAGACAATGACACTGGGACAAAGAAAGGCTAAGTAACATGTTCAAAATTGTATCACTAGCAAGTGCCAAGGCCAGGATTTGAGTCCAGGAATTCTAAAAGCAAAGGCTTAACCACTGATGAGGTTACTTCCGTATCTCAGAGGGGTTGTTGTAGGGAAAACTACAACTACCATTTATTATTGCTAATATTATTTTCATTATATGCAAGCAGAATGAGAATTAGGGATAAAGTTACAGAAAGAACATTATCCCGGGAGTCAGGAGACCAGGGTTGGGGTCATGGCTCTATCAGCAATCATATGACTTTGGGAAAGTTACTCGGCCCCTTGGAATCTCAGTTTTCTTCCTCAATGAAATGGAAATCCAGCCTAGGCAACATGGCAAGACCCTGTTTCTACAAAAAAATTTAAAAATTAGCCAGACATGGTGGCACATATCTCTGGTCCCAGCTCCTTGGGAGGCTGAGGTGGGAGGATCACTTGAGCCCAGGAGTTTGAGGCTGCAGTGAGCCAAGATTGTGCTACTGCACTCCAGCCTGGAATAAAAAAAAAAAGCCAGGCATAGTGGCTCACGCCTGTAATCCCAGCTACTTGGGAGGCTAAGGCACAAGAATTGGTTGAACTTGGGAGGCGAAGGTTGCAGTGAGCTGAGGTTGCACCACTGCACTCCAGCTTGGCCAACAGAGCAAGACTCTGTCTCAAAAAAGAAAAAAAGAAAAAAGAAATTCTAAATTCTATTATCATCCCACAGTGATATCAGGATGACTAAACTAGACAATAGCTAGAAAGCTCCCTGTGATCTGTGGAATACTATAAGTGAATATGATTTTATTATTGAAAATATCAGTTCTTTTAATCGTCAAGTCCTGAATATAAAGTTTCATTCTTGGGAGAAAAGCTGGGTCTCCCAGGGCTCTTCATTGCATAGTGCTAATCTCAGATGAGGTTCTTCATCCTTCTTTAATTGCACAGAGCTGCTTCACTCACTCATTTTTCCTGAAAACTATCAAGTTTTCTGAAGTTACAATCAGTAAAGATTTCAGATTACTAAGCCTTTATTTATATTCCTGGGGTTGGTATTTGCAAATGTTTCTAGCATCTGAGAATGGCATCAATTTTTGGAGAGAAAAATAGTAAACTTAATTTTAACTGTAAAAAACCTAGAGGCAGCCAGGAGCAGTGGCTCTGTCCTGTAATCCCAGCACTTTGGGAGTCCAAGGCGGTGTATCACTTGAGGTCAGGAGTTCGAGACCAACCTGGCCAACATGGTGAAGCCCCATCACTACTAAAAAAAAATACAAAAATTAGCCAGGTGTGGTGGTGGGAGCCTGTAGTCCCAGCTACTCAGGAGGCTGAGGCAGGAGAATGGCATGAACCCCGAAGGCAGAGCTTGCAGTGAGCCAAGATCGTGCCACTGCACTCCAGCCTGGGCAACAGAGCGAGAGTCTGTCTCAAAAAAAAAAAAAAAATTGGATTTATTGCCAGCATTTGAGGACTAGAAGTATGCTGCAAACATTTACATTCCAGGTTTCTCTTAAAAAATGGGTCCGGGCGTAGTGGCTCATGCCTGTAATTCTAGCACTTAAGGAGGCTGAAGTGGGAGGATTGCTTGAGCCCAGGAGTTCAAGACCAGCCTGGGCAACATAGCAAGACCTCATCTCTACAAAAAAAAATTTTTTTTAATTAGCTGGGTGTGGTGGTGTGCGCCTGTAGTCTCAGCTATTGGGGAGGCTGAGGTGGGAGGATTGCTTGAGCCCAGGAGTTCTAGGTTACAGTGAACTACGATCATGCCATTGTACTCCAGCCTGGGTGACAGAGCAATACCTTGTCTCAAAAAAATTTTTAAAGAAGGTTTTTTTTTAAAAAAGTATGGGCTGCACCTGTAATCCCAGCACTTTGGGGGGCCGAGATGGGTGGATCACTAGGTCAAGAGATCGAGATAATCCTGGCCAACATGGTGAAACCTCGTCTCTACTAAAAATAAAAAAATTAGCTGGGCGTGGCAGCGCGGGCCTGTAGTCCCAGCTACTTGAGAGGCTGAGACAGGAGAATCGCTTGAACCCAGGAGGCAGAGGTTGCAGTGAGTGGAGATCATGCCACTCCA
The DNA here is from genome assembly GCF_000001405.40 of Homo sapiens. Lineage (NCBI taxonomy): Eukaryota > Metazoa > Chordata > Mammalia > Primates > Hominidae > Homo > Homo sapiens. The sequence goes on from NC_000012.12 coordinate 95,424,002, forward strand.
CTCCAGCCTGGGTGACAGAGTGAGACTCTGTCTCAAAAAAAAAAAAAAAAAAAAGGATGGGCTGCATTGCTGTAGAAATATCATTTAAGTTGGTTCCTCCTGTCGTTATGTTAAGGCTGTGACAGGGCAGTGGTATTAACACATCTAGAGAGATAAAGAGCTATGCTGTATCTATACTAGTACTTCACACTAGTATTTATACGAATGTGAAATTTCTATAAAAGGGAACAGACTCCATGGCCACTGCTATCCTGAGAGTTCCAGTCAAGGGATTGTTTTGGCGCTCCTTGTGCCAAAGCGGTTCACTTTTGATATGGCCCACTGAATTCTGAATGTTTAACTCTGCTACCAAAGTGATTGCAATGAAGATCTGGCCTACTCCGGGAGATAGAATGTGCTGCTGACCCAAGAGTATGTAAGTACTGTGCCTCCCTAGAGACTTTTTTCAAAACAATCAGAAATTAATTCATGACTTGGCACCCACAGGCCTTCCCAGTCTCACAAATATTTTGCTTGGCTCGAGTCCATATCTCAGGTCCTGATTACCTTAGTCTTTGATAAGAGCCATCTCTGGGCCCTTAGAAGCACAGGGTCTGAATCTGGAATGCAGAGGCTAAAGGAAGGTGAGACTCCAGCTGACCCTCCCTTAGCTATGTGACCAGCAATCTCCTTCTACAAGTTTCTTCAGTTCCTTCCTCCATAACCTTTTAGGACCTTTTTTTTTTTTTTTGAGACAGAGTCTCACTCTTGTGGCCCAGGCTGGAGTGCAGTGGCATGATCTCGGCTCACTGCAACCTCCGCCTCCCGAGTTCAAGTGACTCTCATGCCTCGGCCTCCCAGGTAGCTGGAATTACAGGCACCTGCCACCACACCCAGCTAATTTTTGTACTTCTGGTAGAGATGGGGTTTCACCATGTTGGCCAGGCTGTTTGCTCCCTCTTTTTTAAAACTCTTTTTAAAAAAAAAAAATTGTGATCAAATATACACAACAGTAAGTTTACCATGTTAACCATTTTAAAATACACATTTCTATAGCATTAAGTCCATCCATATTGTTGAACAACCATCACTGCCATCCACCCCCAGACCATTTTCATCTTGTGAAATGTAAACTCTGCACCCATTAAATACTAACTCTCCATTCCCCGTTTCCTCCAGCCTCTCTGACAGTCGCCATTCTACTTCCTGTCTCTATGAATTTAACTAATCTATGGACTTCATATAAGAGGAATCATATGATATTTGTCCATTTGCGACTGGCTTATTTTGCTTAGCATAATGTCTTCAAGGTTCACCCATGTTGTAGCATGCTGTAAAATTTCCTTCCTTTTTAAAAGTGAGTAATCATCCATTGTATGGATATACCACATTTTGTTTATCTATTCAACTGTCAATGGACCCTGGGTTGCTTCCACCTTTTGGCTACTGTGAATAAGCTGCTGTGAACATGGGTGTACAACATCTGTTTTGAGTCTTTGCTTTCACTTCTTTGAGTTTATACCTAGAAGTGAAATTGATAGATCATATGGTAATTCTATGTTTAATTTTTTTTTTTCTTTTTGAGATGGAGTCTCACTCTGTCGCCCAGGCTTGAGTGCAGTGGCACGATCTTGGCTCACTGGAACCTCTGCTTCCCGGGTTCAAGCAATTCTCTTGCCTCAGCCTCCCGAGTAGCTGGGATTGTGGATGTCCGCCACCACACCTGGCTAATTTTTGTATTTTTAATTTTTAGTAGAGACAGAGTTTTGCCATGTTGACCAGGCTGGTCTCAAACTCCTGACCTCAAGTGATGCCCGCCTTGGCCTCCCAAAGTGCTGGCATTACAGGCGTGAGCCACTGTGCCCGGCCTCAATGTTGAATTTTTTGAGGGTCTGTCATATCATTTTCCACACCATCTGCACCATTTTAAATTCCCACCAGCAATGCTCAAGCGTTCCAACTTCCCCACATCCTCACCAATACTTCTTGTTTTGTTTTGTTTTAAAATAATAGCCATCCTAACGAGTGTGAAGTGGTATACGAGAAAACTCTGAAAGTTGATTTCCTTCTCTATTCAACCCAGTCTACTTTTCTACCACTTCACAGATAAACCTCTTTTAAGGTCACTGGAGTCTTTTATAACGCATCATCCAAAGGTCACTATTCAGCCCCCAACTCATAATACAATCCCCATATAGCATTTGACACAATCGAAATTCTTTCCTCACTTGGTTTCCGGGACACCACTTTCTCTTGGTTTTCTTCCCTCACTGGTTATTCCTTCTCCAGCTCTTCACTGGTTTCACCCATGGGTCGACTTCTCCCCGTCAGGCCTCTTTTGTTTTCTTCTCTACCTATACTCCCTGGATGATCTTCTCCAATTCAGTGGTTTTTTTTTTTTTTTTTTTGAGATGGAGTCTCACTCTGTCAACCAGGTTTGAGTGCAGTGGCGTGATCTTGGCTCACTGCAACCTTCACCTCCCAGGTTCAAGCGATTTTCCTGCCTCAGCCTCCCGAGTAGCTGGGATTACAGATGTGCACCACCACGCCTGGGTAATTTTTGTAGTTTTAGTAGAGACAGGGTTTCACCATGTTGGTCAGACTGATCTTGGAGTCCTGGCCTCAAGCCATCCACCCGCCTCGGCCTCCCAAAGTGCTGGGATTATGGGCATGAATCACTGCGCCCAGCCAATTCACTGGCTTTAAAAACCATCTGACAACTCACAAATGTGTATTTCCAGCTTTGACATCTCATCTGCACTCCAGACTTAAATATCTTACTTCCTATATAATGTATCTTATAGGTATCTCATATTTAAATAATCCAACATGTTCAAAACTGAACTCTTGGTTTTCCTCTCCAAATGAGTTTTCCTTTAGTTCTTATTTACTTCAATAAATGGAATCTCCATTCTTCCAATTGCTCAGGCCAAAAGCTCTGGAGTTTTCTTTGACTCCTCGCTTTCTCTCACACCCTGTATCCATCCCCTAGTCTAATCAGTAAACTATATCTGAAATGCAATCTCATTACCTTCTTTCACTGTTGGCTGACCTACCATCATCCCTCAAGGATCATTACTATAGATAACCTCATACCTGGTCTTTTTTCTGACCATTTCTCCACTCTTTAAAATGGAATCTCAACACAGGAGCCAGGTCTTTACTCAGATTAAGTCATGCCCCTCTTTGCTCAGACTCTAATCCCACTCAGTGTAAAAGCTTGTAATCCCAGCATTTTGGGAGGCTAAGGTGGGTGGATCACTTGAGGTCGGGAGTTCAAGACCAGCCCGGCCATCATGGTGAAACCTCATCTCCACTAAAAATACAAAAATGAGCCAGGCATGGTGGCATGTGCCTGTAATCCCAGCTACTCAGGAGGCTGAGGCAGGAGAATCGCTTGAACCTGGGAGGTGGAAGTTGCAGTGAGCCGAGATTGTGTCACTGCACTGCAGCCTGGGTGACAGAGTGAGACTCTGTCTCAAACAACAACAACAAAAAAAAAAAAAAAAAAAAAACTTGTATAACAGTGGCCTCCGAGGTCTTTCATAATCTGACCCTTTCCCCTTCCTCTGATTTTTATTATATATCCTACTATCCTCTCTCAATACATTATGCTTCAGTCACACTGGCCCCCTTGCTGTCCTCAAACATACCAAGGATATGTCCTTCCTACACATCCCATAGGCCCTCATATCCACCAAGTTTCATTCAAATATTACTGTAGAATAAGGCCATTTGAACACTGTATATAAAAAAGCATCAGTCCCATTTCCTTAATCCTGCTTTATTGCACTCCACATACCACTATTTGTTGTCCTATATTTACTTTTTTATTTGTTTCCCTCTACTCCACTGAAGTCTCCACGAAGCAGAGACTTTATCTTGTTCACTGCTGTTTCTCTAGTACATATTTGCTCAACAAGTAGTAGAATAATCTTACATTTTCAAGTGTTGGCAGAAAAAAAAAAGTATTACAAAGAATGAATCATTTAGGACCAGATAGCTGAATTGAGTGAGTTCAAGCCTTGCTCTGATACAATTCTCCTTCAAGACAAGAGCCATGAGTTGGATACAGAACATTTATATCCCAAGCATATATTTTACTGAACAGCATCAATGGTGTCTCCAAGCCTCTAGATAGTTGACACAATAAAATCTAGGAAGGTGCCGGGCACGGTAGCTCACACCTGTAATCCCAGCACTTTGGGAGGTCAAGGCGGGAAGATCGCTTGAGGTCAGGAGTTCGAGACCAGCCTGGCCAACGTGGCAAAACCCTGTCTCTACAAAAAACACAAAAATTAGCCAGGCATGGTGGCAGGCACCTGTAATCCCAGCTACTCAGTAGGCTGAGGCAAGAGAATTGCTTGAACCCAGGAGGCAGAGGTTGCAGTGAGCTGAGATAGCACCACTGCACTCCAGCCTGGGTGACAGAGTGACTCTGTCTCAATAAATAAATGAATAAATAAAATCTAGGAAGGTAATCATCTTAGTTCATTTTGTGTTGCTATAAAGGAATACCAGAGGCTGGGTAATTTATAGAGAATAAAGGTTTATTTGCTCATAATTCTGATGGCTGGAAAGTTTACAATTGGGCACTTTCATCTGGTGAGAACCTAAGGCTGCTTCCTCTCCTGGCAGAAGGCAAAGGGAAGCCTGTGTACGCAGAGATCACATGATGAGAGAGGAAGCGAGAGAGAGAGTGGGGAGGTGTCAGGCTGTTTTTAACAGCCAGCTCTCCTAGGAACTAATCGGGTGAGAACACACTCATCCCGGAGGGAGGGCATTAGTCTATTCATGAAGGATCTGCACCCATAACCCAAACACCTCCCATTAGGTCCCATCTCTGACACTGGAGATCAAATTTTAACATGAAGTTTGGAGGGGACAAACATCTAAACTATAGCGGTCATCAAGATAGCATGGTGGGGGCACTGCACTACATGGATTACAAAGAGAGGACAACAGAGTCCTTCTCTCTTTTATTTATTTATTTATTTATTTATTTTTGAGATAGAGTCTAGCTCTGTCACCCAGGCTGGAGTGCAGTGGCGCAATCTTAGCTCACTGCAATCTCCGCCTCCCAGGCTCAAGCGATTCTCCTGCCTCAGCCACCCGAGTAGCTGGGACTACAGGCATGTGCCAGCTCGCCCAGCTAATTTTTGTATTTTTAGTAGAAATGAGGTTTCACCGTATTGGCCAGGCTGGTCTCAAACTCCTGACTTCAAGTGATCTGCCTACCTCGGCCTCCCAAAGTGCTGAGATTACAGGCATGTGCCACCGCGCCCGGCCAGTCCTTCTCTATCTGGAGCTTAAAATTCATAATCTGACGACTGTCATCATTCATTCATTCAACAAATGTCTATTGCACAAGGAACCAAAACAGATTTCACTGCACTGCCCGAGGCATGAACAAGAGAACTTTAAATGAACTCTCCTCTGAAATGTTCTCCAAACCAGTTGTTCAAAGAATTCTAAGTAAGGCAGCTGCCCCCGTCGTCACTATTTCAGTGTTTTCTTTCACAAGCCAATGTGGTGAAACATATAGAAATTTGATGGAGTTTCACCTGAATAGAATTTTTATAAAATGGCGCACACCACTAAAGAGCTACTTGTCTTTTTCTTCTAAATGATGGCTCCATTAGCATATTTTGAAAAATAACACTGGTTTTCCAATAAGTGTTTAATGTGAAATAAAAGAGAAAATTTTTAAAGAACAAAAAGTATTTGAGTTAGCATAAGAAGTCTAAATGACAGCTGGGTGCAGTGGCATGTGCCTGTAGTCCCAGCTATTCAGGTGGCTGAGGTAGGAGGACTGCTTGAGCCCCAGAGTTTGAATTCAGCCTGGGGAACATAGCAAGACCCCATCTCTAAACTAAAAAAAGGAATTCTAAATGTAAATCTCAAATCTTTGACAATTGGGCATTGGTTATATATTCATGTTGACATTTAAAAGACAGAAAGGCCATTTAAGAAATATTTATTTATTTGTACTTATTTATTATTATTTTTTTTAGAGACAGGCTCTCGCTCTGCTGCCCAGGCTGGAGTGCAGTGGTGCAATCATAGCTCACTGTAACCTCAGACTCCGGGGCTCAAGTGATCCTTCCATCTCAGCCTCCAGACTAGTTGGACTACAGGTGCATGCCACCACACCTGGCTAAGTTTTAAAATTTTTTATAGAGATGAAAAATTTATAGAGATGAAAAATTCATAGAGATGAAAAATTCTTGCTCTTTTTTTTTTTTTTTTTGAGACTGGGGCCTAGGTCTGTTGTGCAGGCTGGTGTTCAGTGGCATGATCATGGCTCATTGCAACCTCTGCCTCCTGGGTTCAAGTGATTCTCGTGCCTCAGCCACACCAGTAGCTAGGATTACAAGCTAATTTTTGTATTTTTAGTAGAGACGAGGTTTCACCATGTTGGCCAGGCTGGTCTCGGACTCCTGGCCACATGCCACATGTGATCCACCCACCTCGGCCTCCCAAAGTGCTGGGATTACAGGCATGAGCCACTGCACCCAGCCTGTATATCTCTTTATAGGTTTGAAAGTTGCCCTCATGAATATCATTTCACCAAACCCTAATGCTAATGCCATGTGGCATTTATTGTGTTATCTCCATTTTATGGTATATTCTTTGTAACATTCTGAAAATATGCATGTATAACTATTATTACTCAGATACAATGATAAAGGCTGTGCTTTTTACAATAGTAATAGTAACAGATACTATTTATTAATTGCCTCTGTCTTGTTTTCTTTTTGTTGTTTGTTTGTTGAGACACGGTCTCACTGTCATCCAGGCTGGAGTGCAGTGGTGTGATCTCAGATCACTGCAGCCTCGACCTCCTGGGCTCAAGTGATCCTCCCAAATAGCTGGGACCACAGGCGGGCACCATCATGCCTGGCTAATTTTTTTTATTTTTAATTCTTATTTTTGGTAGAGACAAGGTCTCACTATGTTGCCCAGGCTGGTCTTGAACTCCTGGGCTCAAGCAATCCTTCCTCTTTGGCTTACCAAAGTGCTAGAATTACAGGCATGAGCCACTGTGTCTGGCCAATTACCTTACTTTTATCATATGTAAAATGGGGCCGATAAGTATACCTCCTTCAGAGGGTTTTAAGGTTAAGAAATTTAATGTGCACTTTTAAAAATAATATTTATATGCCGGCTAATTTTTCAGATAGGGTGCTCAAATAATGGACTGTCCAGTTCAAAACCAGACTTAACAATCTTAACAAGAGATAATCACCAATGAAGGACTTGAAGAAGAATGAAGACTGGCCCAGTCTTAAAGTAGCTCACTTCTCTAGGCTTAGCACATATAGAGGAATGATTCATTCATTCCACGAATATTCATCAGGCACAGTTCTAGCTTTTGTGGAGACAGAGTGAAGAGGGTAGATCTCTGCCTACATGGACCAGTTAGGGAAAGACAGGAAGAAAAGCATGGAGGGAGAGAGAGGGAGAAGAAAAGAAAGGAAAATAAAAAATTACAGATAGCGATAACTGCAATGATGAAAATAAAACAGGCCACCGTAACAGTGATGGGGGTATGAATGTCGGGCTTCTTTGGACTGGGAGTCAGGGACACCCTCTTTGAGGAGGCCACATTTGAGCTGAGACCCAAATGATGATGATGAGGAGAAGCCAACCATAAAATAGTGGAAAACATCCAAAGCAGAGTGCACAGCAAATGTAAAGAACGTGAAGCAGCCTGGGCACGGTGGCTCACACCTACAATCCCAGCACTTTGGGAGGCTGAGGCTGGAGGATCACTTAAGCCCAGGAGTTCGAGACCAACTTGGGCAACATAGTGAGACCCTGTCTCTATTATAAAAAAAAAAAAAAAGAAGAAGGAGGAGGAGGAGGAGAAGGAGAAGGACAAAGACGGAGAAGGAGAAGGAGAAGGAGAAGGAGAAGGAGAAGGAGAAGGAGAAGGAGAAGGAGAAGAAGAAGTAGAAGAAGAAGAAGAAGAAGAAGAAGAAGAAGAAGAAGAAGAAGAAGAAGAAGAAGAAGAAGAAGAAGAAAAGAATCTGAGGCAGCAATGAGCTTGGTTGGTTAAAAAAACAAAACAAAACAAAAAAAACAGAGAGGCCAGAACAGCTGGGGAGCAGGGAGTGGAAGGGAAAACTGCCTGTGAGGAAGTCAGAAGGCAGGCACGGAGAGGAAATCTCAGAAGGGCTTGCAGATCAAGGTAAGAAGTGTGGATTTGGCAGGGTGCGGTGGCTTACGCCTGTAATCCCAGCACATTGGGAGGCCGAGGCGGGCGGATCACAAGGTCAGGAGATCAAGACCATCCTGGCGAACATGGTGAAACCCTGTCTCTACTAAAAATACAAAAAATTAGCCAGGCGCGGTGGCGGGCGCCTGTAGTCCCAGCTACTGGAGAGGCTGAGGCAGGAGAATGGCGTGAACCCGGGAGGCGGAGCTTGCAGTGAGCCGAGATAGCTCCACTGCACTCTGGCCTGGGCGACAGAGCGAGACTCCGTCTCCAAAAAAAAAAAAAAAAAAAAAAAAGAAGTGTGGATTTTATTCTCGGTGCAATAGCAACGGCAGGACAATAGGTGCAAGAAATGGGGTGTCTCCAAGCAGAGCGGGCAGAAGCAACGCTCAAGACCTAAGGAGGGCATCAAATGAGAAACGTGGCAGCCAGCACGCCCCTGGAGCTCTAGAATACACACAGCTGCATACTGCTCATATTATAAGCGGACCCCATTGATTGAGGGCCAATGATAAGCCAAGCAATATAAACACAAAATGATGGAGTTATGCTGAATTGTTTTTTAAAAAGAAATTGGGGGCTGGGCATGGCGGCTCATGCCTGTAATCCCAGCACTTTGGGAGGCTGAGTCCGGCAGATCACTTGAGGTCAGGAGTTCAAGACCAGCCTGGTCAACATGGTAGTACCCTGTCTCTACTAAAAATACAAAAATTAGCAAGATGTGGTGGCAAGCACCTGTAATCCCAGTTACTCGGGAGGCTGAGGCAGGAGAATCACTTGAACCCAGGAGGTGGAGGTTGTAGTGAGCTGAGATCGTGCCATTGCACTCCAGTCTGGATGACAGAGTGTGACTTGATCTCAAAACAAACAAACAAACAAACAAAAAACATGAAAAAGAAAGTGGGAAAGGAGATAGTGGACTTTTAAAACAGAAGCAGGCTGGGTGCAGTGGCTCATGCCTATAATCCTCGCACTTTGAGAGGCCGAGGCGGGTGGATCACCTGAGGTCAGGAGTTAGAGACCAGCCTGGCCAACACAGCGAAACCCTGTCTTTACTAAAAATATAAAAATTAGCCCAGCAGGGTGGCGGGCGCCTGTAATCTCAGCTACTCAGGAGGTTGAGGCAGGAGAATCACTTGAACCCAGGGGAGAGAGGTTGCAGTGAGCTGAGATCGCGCCACCTCAGTCCAGGCTGGGCGAAAGAGGGAGACTGCATCTCAAAAAAATAAATGAAAATAAAAACAGAAGCAAATTGCAGTGGTTTTCTTTTTTTTTTTAATAGTGATGGGGTCTTGCTATGTTACTCAGGCTGGTCTCAAGCCATCCTCCTGCCTCAGCTTCCCAAAGCACTGGGACTACGGGTACGAGCCACCATGCCCATCCTTGCAGTGATGTTGAGGAAAGGTATGGCAGGTTCCAAAAAACCCAAATACAGATTAGTGTAAAGCAGGGTTTGTCAATCCTGGCACTATTGACATTTTGGACCACACGATTGTGGGGTGCTATCCTGTGCATTGTAGGATGTGTAGCAGCATCCTTGGTCTCTACCTATGATGACAATAGCAACCAGCAGTTGTGACTACCAAAAATGTCTGCAGGCATTGCCAAATGTCCCTTGTGGGGCAAAATCGCCTCTGTTGGAAAATTCACTGATGCAATCAACAACATTTAATCTAATATACTTTTGTGATATATGTTCTAAGACAGGTTTGAGTATTTTAATTTTCCCTTCACAAGCAAAGAAATTCTATGAGTGGGCTGGGCGCGGTGGCTCACGCCTGTAATCCCAACACTTTGGGAGGCCGAGGCGGGAGGATCATAAGGTCAGGAGCTCGAAACCATCCTGCCTAACGCGGTGAAACCCCGTCTCTACTAAAAATACAAAAAAATTAGCCGGGAGTGGTGGCGGGTGCCTGTAGTCCCAGCTACTTGGGAGGCTGAGGCAGGAGAATGGCGTGAACCCGGGAGACGGAGCTTGCAGTGAGCTGAGATCAGGCCACTGCACTCCAGCCTGGGCGACAGAGCGAGACTTGCCTCAAAAAAAAAAAAACAAAAAAAAAAACAAACCCAAAAAGAAAAAGAAATTGTATGAGTGAGCGCAAAAGTAATTGCAGTGTTGGCAGTTGGAAATTACCATTTGACATTGGAATACATTCTTAAATAAATGTGGTTATGTTATACATCATTTTAATGGGTATTTCTTGCTTTTTGTTTTTTTTTTTTTGCTAATGACTTATTACTTGCCATTTATTTTATGTTTATTTTAGACTATGGAAATGAAGTTACACAAAAAGCAAATTTGAGTGATTTTCATATTCAAGTTCAAAGTGGGTCATAAAGCAGCGGAGACAACTTGAAATATCAACAATGCATTTAGCCCAGGAACGCTAATGAATATATAGTGCAGCGAGGGTTCAAGAAGTTTTGCAAAGGAGAAGAGAGCCTTAAGGATGAGGAGTATAGCGGCCAGCCGTTGGAAGCTGACAGCGACTAACTGAGAAAAATCACTGAAGCTGGTCCTCTTGCAGTACACGAGAAATTGCCAAAAAACTCAGTGTCTACGATTCTATGGTTGTTCAGCTTTTGAAGCAGATTGGAAAGGTGAAAAAGCTTGATAAGTAGGTGTCTCATGAGCTGAGTGAAAATTTAAAAATCATCGTTTTGAAGTGTCGCGTTCTCTTATTCTACACAACAACGACAAACCATTTCTAGATCGGATTGAGATGTGCGATGAAAAGTGGATTGTATACGGCAACCGGCGATGACCAGGTCAGTGGTTGGACCACAGAGAAGCTCCAAAGCACTTCCCAAAGCCAAATTTGCACCGAGAAAACGTCATGGTCACTGTTTGGTGGTCTGCTGCCGGTCTGATCCACTACAGCTTTCTGAATCCTGGCGAAATCGTTACATTCGAGAAGTATTCGCAGCAAATCGATGCGATGCACAGAAAACTGCAGTGTCAACTGAAAGGGCCCAATTCTTCTTCACGACAGCACCTGACCGCATGTTGTACAACCAATGCTTCAAAAGTTGAATGAACTGGGCTATGAAGTTTTGCCTCATCCGCCATATTCACCTGACCTCTAGCCAACAGACTTCTTCAAGCATCTCGAGAACTTTTTGCAGGGAAAATGCTTTCACAACCAGCAGGATGCAGAAAATGCTTTCCAAGAGTTCATCAAATCCCAAAGCACAGATTTTTACGCTACAAGATTAAACAAACTTATTTCTTGTTGGCAAAAATGTGTTCATTGCAATGGTTCCTATTTTGATTAATAAAGATGTGTGTGAGCCTAGTTATAATGTTTTAAAATTCATGGTCTGAAACCGCAATTACTTTTGCACCAACCTAATAGTAACTAGAGGGTTAAAAAAATGTGGAATGACTCACTATTTCATTCATTTTTGTGGGCTTGACACAATTCTATGGTGGTTAATAAAGAATCTTTATTAAGCGCATTCTATATGCCAAGCACTGTTTTTGGGGACTAGGGATAGAGAAGTGATCATGTACATTAAAAAATATATATATCCTGCCCTTGTGGAACTTATACTCTCATAAGAGGAGAGAGGGTAAACAAATAAATGGGTATATCATTTAGAATACTAGAAAGTGATAAGTGCAATAGAAAAATTAAGTTGGGAAAAGAGATGGGAGTGCCACGATGGAGCAGGATGGAAATCTAAAATAGAGGCTGGGTGCAGTGGCTCACGCCTGTAATTCCAGCACTTTGGGAGGCTGAGGTGGGTGGATCACTTGAGGCCAGGAGTTCGAGATCAGCCTGGCCAACATGGTGAAACCCCATCTCTACTAAAAATACAAAAAATTAGCTGGGCGTGGTGGTGTGCACCTGTAGTCCCAGCTACTCAGGAGGCTGAGGCAGGAGAATTCCTTGAACCCAGGAGACGGAGGCTACAGTGAGCCGAGATCGCACCACTGCACTCTAGCCAGGGTGACAGAACAAGACTCTGTCTCAAAAAAAAGAAATCTAAAATAGAGTCCTACTGCAACAGTAATATTTAAGAAAAGAGTTAAAGGGAATAGGGAGAAAGTTGTGCAGAAAGCAGAAGGAACATTAGTGCAAACTCCCTAAGGCACGAGCAGAGCTGGGTTTGTTGCAAAATAGCTGGGAAACCAGGATGAGTGGTTAATATGAACAATTATGTTTAAAGTAACCACTGGCCTGACTTAAATAAAGCTCTCTGAATGACTGCATGGTCAAATCTGAAATGGCAACTCCTTGGTATAGTTTTTCAGCGGATGAGGGAATGGGAAACCATTGGTCTTGAGCATCTTACGAGCCTCTAAAGATGTAAAGTAACACCAACAATTAAAGAATGATTCCAAATGTTTTACCTACACTTAGCTCTTGAGGTGCATTTTGGGTGGGATAACTTTCTTCACAGGTTATCTTTTCCCATCTTTCCGTTCAGGTTTCAACTAAAATAAAATAAAATGTTCTGAGTAAAATGTAGGGGGAAACACTGGTCAAAAGTGAATTGATTTTTAAAAAGTAAATTATAATTTGATGAGAAGGAGCAGTATTATTACCTGATCAAAGAAATAGATAGGCCCAGAGTCAAAGGGCTTGGCTTTGGTAAATTCCTTCATTCTGCCATGAGACCTGAGACAGAGCAATTGAAAATCTGAAGACAAATGATCATGTTCATGGATGATATTTCAAAGTACTTTATGGTTTTAAAGTTTAACTCTTCATTTTTTTTTTAAATATAGATGAGGTCTCAGCAGGTGCCAAGGCTCATGCCTATAATCTCAGCATTTTGGGAGGCTAAGGCAGGCTGATTGCTTGACACCAGGAGTTCAAGACCAGCCTGGGCAACACAGTGAGACCCTGTCTCCACAAAAAATACAAAAATTAGCCGGACGTGGTGGCGCACACCTGTATTCCCAGCTACTCATGAGGCTGAGGTGGAGGATCAATTGAGCCTGGGAGGTTGTCGAGGCTTCAGTGAGCTGCGATTGTGCCACTGCACTCCAGCCTGGGTGACAGAGTGAGACCCTGTCTCAAAAAAAATGAGGTCTCACTATGTTGCCCAGGCTGATCTCAAATTTCTGGCCTCAAACAATCCTCCCACCTCAGCCTCCCAAACACTGGGATTACAGGCATGAGCCATCATGTCCAGACAAATGTTTTATTTTCATCGAAGTATAAAAACACTGGGGGGAGAGGGACGCCACTGTTCCTTTATCTCCAACTTTATTTCATACACTATTGACTTGACATAGATACAATCAGAACTGAAAGCTATTGGCAAACAAAGCAATAATGGCATATTAATAGAGACTTTCTCAACCTCAGCACTACTGCCATTTGGACCAGATAATTCTCTGTGGCAAAGAGCTGCTTTGTGCATTGCAGAATGTTTAGCAGCAACCTTAGCTTTTACCTCGTCAGATGCCATAATATAACCTCTCACCCAGTTGTGACAACAAAAAATGTCTCCTGACATTGCCGATGGTTCCTGGGGGTCAAAAATCACCCCTGGTTGAGAACACTGCACAATGGCCAAAACAAACAAAAAAAAAGGTTTGTGAAAAGAGGAACTGTTGTCTGTGAGGATGGGTGGCACTGATGATGGCAGGGTCATTAAAGCAGTGACACTCAAAATGTGGTCCCTGGACCAGCAACATCAGCATCACCTGGGACCTTGTTAGAGATGCAAATCCTCAGGCCTTACCCAGACCTAATGTTAGAATCTCTGCAGGTGGCACCTGGAATCTATGTGTGGGCAAGCCCTCCATGGGATTCTGAGAACACTCAAGTTTGCAAAGTCCTAACCAGAGGGACACATTTTACTAAGCACTTCATAGCCACTAGCATAGTTATAATGAAAAAGACAATAAAAAGGGACACATTTTACTAAGCAGGTTGTGAAAAGCACATGACTGTGATTGGAGAGGAACTGAGGGGCTGGCTAAACCAGAGCTAAATGGCCTCAGGGATTTGCAGTGACCACCCAGCGGAGGACAGGGCACCAGCAACAACATGAGGACTGGGACACATGGTGGACTGAGGCTTATTAACTATTGTGATTATTGGCTGGGTGTGGTGGCTCATGCCTGTAATCCTAGCACTTTGGGAGGCTGAGGTGGGCGGATTGCCTGAGCTCAGGAGTTCGAGACCAGCCTGGACAACATGGCGAAACCCCGTCTCTACTAAAAATACAAAAAATTTACCAGGTATGGTGGTGCATGCCTGTAAGCTATTCGGGAAGCTGAGGTATGAAAATCACTTGAACCTGGGAGGTGGAGGCTGTGGTGAGCCGAGATCGCACCACTGCACTCCAGTCTGGGCAACAGAGCAAGAATCTGTCTCAAAAAAGCAAAAATAAAAACAAAAACAATAAACAAAACAAACCAAAAATAATTATTTGATTATTAATAATAATCATTTTCTGCGAATATACCAAAAAAGTTTAAAAAAAGAAAAAAAAGAAAATTTTAAGGCTCAGACTAAACTAGCCCTTCCTTAAAGAGGAGTAGGAGAACACCTTTATTTTTTTCTTTTTTTATTTTTTAATGGAACGCTTCACGAATTTGTGTGTCATCCTTGTGCAGGGCCCATGCTAATCTTCTCTGTATCATTCCAATTTTACTATATGTGCTCATTGTACAGACAGAAACTCTATTTGTTCCCCAGGCTGGTCTCAAAATCTTGGCCTGAAGCTATCCTCCTGCCTTGGCCTCCCAAAATGCTGTGATTACAGACATGAGCCACCATGCCCGGCCTGGGAAGAGCTTTAAAATGAAATTTAAGGGACACCTAAAGCTTCTGTTTATCTAAATTTTTCTCTCTAGAGAGGGAAAAATAAATTTCTCAGCCAGGCACTGTGGCTCACACCTGTAATCCCAACATTTTGGAAGGCCAAGTGGGGGCAAATCACTTGAGTTCAGGAGTTCAAAACCAGCCTGAGCAACATGGTGAAACCCCATCTCTACAAAAAAAATACAAAAATTAGACAGGCATGGTGGCACATGTCTGTAGTCTCAGCTACTCAGGATGCTGAGATGGGAGGATGGCTTGAGCCTGAGAGGCAGAGGTTGCAGTGAGCCAAGATAGCACCACTGCACTACACTCTGGGTGACAGAACCAGACTGTCTCAAATAAATAAATAAGTTCCCTATCTCATTGTCTTGCCACTGTAACTGAAGATTCCACTTTGCATGAATCCCATATCTCCAAAATCCCTGATTAAAATGTAAATTTAGGCATTTATGCTATAATATGCTGTATGCATTCATGAAAAACGTCACATCCTGCAAAATTGTGTGCACTGAAATTAATAGGACTTATAGGAAAAGTAGTGTGAGGGCAGACCACGGAAAACCTATGCCACTTTGTAACCAGAGCACAAAAGGAAAATAATAATTGGTATGGCAGGAGAAACTTAGATAGTCCAGGCAGCCGGTTGTGGCCAGAGACCGCTTCAGGAGATATGAAAAAAAAAAAAAAATCAACAGAGTATAAATGCAAACTTATGGGTACTGAGATAATGTGGATGGAAGTGGAGCTCCTTGCCAGTGAGTTCAACTTTAAGGTGGGCAGGGAAGGAAGTGAAACCTGCCAGAATCAGAGAGCCGTGGAAGACTGGGAGTGCACCATTCTGGGGAGGGAGGCTTTGCTACTAGTGCTCATTTTTAATGTTTGAGTTTTTAAAAAAGAGTTGACCCCATGGTGCACGTCTCTACTCCCAGCACTTTGGGAGGATGAAGTGGGAGGATCACTTGAGCCCAGGAGTTCAAGATCAGCCTAGGAAACATAGTGAGAGCTCCCCCATCCTCTCACCACCTGTCTCTACAAAAAAATAAAAAATTAGCCAGGCGTAGCGGCACATGCCTATTGTCCCAGCTCCTCAGGAGGCTGAGGTGGGAGGATCTCTTAAGCCTTGGGACGTAGAGGCTGCAGTGAGCAGTGTGCACCACTGCACTCCAGCCTGGGCAACAGAATGAGACCCTGTCTCAAAAAAAAAAAAAAAAAAAAAAAAGACAAGCCAATGTAAAATGTAAAAATGGGCAAATGATTTGGATAGACACTTCTACCAAGAATATATACAAATGGGCCAGGCACGGTGGCTCACGCCTGTAATCCTAGCACTTTGAAAGGCCGAGGCGGGTGGACCAGATCACCTGAGGTCAGGAGTTCAAGACCAGCCTGGTCAACAGGGCGAAACCCCGTCTCTACTAAAAGTACAAAAATCAGCCAGTCATGTTGGCGGGTGCCTGTAATCCCATCTCCTCATGAGGCTGAGGCAGGAGAATTGCTTGAATCTGGAGGGCGGAGTTTGCAGTGAACTGAGGTCATATCACTTCACTCCAGCCTGGGTAAAAGAGTGAAACTCTGTCTCAAAAAAAAAAAAAAAAAGAATATATACAAATGGTCACTAACACATGAAGAGATGCTCAATGGCATGAGTCATCAGATAAATGCAAATCAAAACCACAAAGAGATACCACTTCATATCCAGTAGGATAGTTATAATGAAAAAGACAAGAAACAGTGTTGATGAGGATATGGAGAAATTAAAAGCCTCATACACTGCTGGTGGGAATGTAGTATCGTGCAGTTCCTTTTGAAAACAGTCTGGCAGTTTATCAACTGTGCTATATAGTCTGAATGTGTTCCTTCAAAATTCGTATGTTGAAACTTAACTGCCAATGTCATAGTATGATTGGAGCCTTAAGGAGGTGATTAAATCATTAGGGCAGAGCCATCATGAGGGGGATCAGTGCCTTATAAAAGAGGCTTCAGGGATCCCCCTTGCCTTTTCTGCCATGTGAGGACACAGCAAGAGGTGTCACGTTTGAAGCAGAGTAAGCCCTCATCAAACTTCTTTTTTTTTTTGAGCTGGAGTCTCACTTTGTCACCCAGGCTGGAGTGCAGTGGCACAATCTCAGCTCACTGCAACCTCTGCTTCCCGGATTCAAGCGATTCTCTTGCCTCAGCCTCCCGAGTAGCTGAGATTACAGTCATGCACCACCACTCCTGGCTAATTTTTGTATTTTTAGTAGAGATGGGGTTTCACCATGTTGGCCAGCCTGGTTTCAAACTCCCGCCTCAGCCTTCCAAAGTGCTGGGATTACAGGTGTGAGCCACTGTGCCCGGCCCTCATCAAACATTGAATCTCATGGTGAATTGATCTTGGACTTCCCAGTTTCCAGAACTGTGAAAAAATGAATTTCTGTTCTTTATATATTACCCAGTCTAAGGCATTTTGTTAACAGCAGCCCAAACAGACGAAGATACCTAGCAATGGTACTCTTATATAGATACCCAAGAGAAATGAAAAGATGTCCACAACAAAAGTTGCACAGGAATGTTCACAGGAGTATCATTCACAACAGTCAAAAAGTAGAAACAACCCAAATGTCCACCAATTGATGAGTAGATAAGCAAAATGTGGCATATCCATACAATTGAATATATATATTTTTAATTCTTTTTGAGACATGGTCTCACTCTGTCCCCCAGGCTATAGTGTGGTGGCACGATCTTGGCTCACTGCAGCCTCGACTTCCCAGCCTCAAGTGATCCTCCCAACTAAGCCCTCCAAGCAGCTGCAACTATAGGCGTGCGCCACCATGCCCAGGTAATTTTTGTGTTTTTTTGTAGAGACAGGATCTCACCATGTTGTCCATGCTGGTCTTGAACTCCTGAGCTCAAGCAATCTGCCTGCCTTGGCCTCCCAAGGTGCTGGGATTATAGGTGTGAGCCACCATGCCTGGCCACAGCAGAATATATTCAGCCTCAAAACAGAAAGAAGTATTGATATATGCTACAACGTAGATGAACTTTGAAAACATTATGCTAAGTGAAAGGAAGCAGACATAAAGCCACAAATTGCATGGCTCCATTTATATGAAATATACAGAATAGGCAAATCCATTGAGACAGAAAGTAAATAAGTGGTTTCCAGGGATTGAGGGAGGGAGAAATGGAGAATGACTGCTAATCAGTAAAGGGTTTCTTTTTGGGTTGATGAAAATGTTGTGTAATTAGGTAGTAGTGACGGTCGTATGACCTGTAATATACTGAAACCACAGAAATGTAAACTTTAAAATGGTGAATCTTACATGCGAATTATCATAATTGTTTTAAAGGAGTACTGAAGAATCTCAGCCAGTTCCAGCTTCCACCCATACCCATCTAGAGATATGAACTGCCAAAGATCAGCTCCTCGAAAACATCTGAGCACCTTAAAAATTACCTACCTCTGGATCACCAGCTGCTGCCAGTTTTCAGACCAAAGAATATTAGAGATCTGTTGGTTCTGACCCCAAAACTGCTTTATACCAGAGTTCCATGCAGAACCTCAAGACCAGTTGATTCCGTTCATGCCTTTTGTCTTAGTGATCCTCAGTCACCAAAAGTGTAAGCTTGGAATTTCTGGATCAAGAGAAACTTGATAGGGTGCGGTAGCTCACACCTGTAATCCAAGCACTTTGGAAGGCCAAGGTGGGTGGATCACTTGAGGTCAGGAGTTCGAGACCAGCCTGACCAACATAGTGAAACCCTGTCTCTACTGAAAATACAAAAATTAGCCAGGCATGGTGGCAGACGCCTGTAATCCCAGGTACTCAGGAGCCTGAGGCAGGAGAATCACTTGAACCGGGAGGCAGAGGTTGTAGTGAGCTAAGATGCCACCACTGCACTCCAGCCTGGGTGACAAAGCGAGACTCTGAGGTATTGCTCCTCACAAGAGGGCATTAGCTGTGGGGGTCTGCCTGCAGACCCTGACCCAAACAATAGATGAATAACACGAGCATTGAGACACAGATATTCTGTGTTGCCAATCCTGCTGAGTGTCCGACCGCCTGCACACCAAGAGAGGTTTGTCACTGTGGCCAGCCTCGATCAGCTTGGGAGGCTTGCATTAATTCATTAAGATTAGTTAACAAAAACTTGAGACAACACCATTAGAGGGTAATTGACATTGTCGACTTCCTGAGTAAAAAGCATACATCAAAGGTTTAAGGCTTAAGACCATATGAGTAAACAAGTTAACTAGATAACTTCCTCACATCCCCTTGTTGACTACTCTAATTTATTTAACTAAAGGTAATGAGACCAGGCCACCTTCAGCCCGGTCTGTTACCGAAGTCATATGAAAACCCTCAGGCCTTCCAAAAGGGTTTTGTGGCTATCATAACTAATATTTTTCCCACCTGCCTGATCGAATCCCAACATCTCCCCCTTTTTTGTTTGCTACATCAAATTTTTTGATTGGAGAGCGCAGATAGGTGCAGCCACAGGTTTGTCAGGCGAGGTGGTCACTGCTCTTATTCCGGCTTTGCATCCTAGGATTAGCAAATAACACAAAACAATCATGAGTACAATTAGCAACATTCTTTTCTAGTCAAAGAGTGACATGTGTTACTTGGCATCTTAGTTTGATGTGTGCCATTACTAAGGAACCCCACTGGGGGTATGTTAACTCCTTCCAGCCAGGCAGTTACATTGTCAGAAGCTGGAAAGGGAGTGTCTGCTTAGATAACAGGGCTGAAAAAAGGCAGATTTAAGAGAGGAGCTTAATAGAGTCTAGCAGCTATAGGTAGTAGGCAAAGTGAGAGAATAAAAATGAGTAAATTATCTGGTTTAGCCTTCTGCTTCTTCAGCATAATGTCTGGGGCCTGTGTTGTTCGTGGAAGCCTCATTGTTGAGGCTGTGGGTCCTGTAGGGTTTTTGTTAGGCTGGCTTGAGTTTTTTCTTCTTTTTTTTCATCCCTTGATGAGGACATAGTCTCCAGGCTGGTGCTGGAAATTCTAGGGGTGTTGCCTGTGCTAAGAGACCTTTTACATTCTTTAAAGAGCAGGTTAGTGCTTTAAGAAAAACTAGTTGTGCTTTATTTTAATGTCTAGTTTACAGAAAAACTGGATGATACTTTCTAACTTTAGCCAATATGTTGACACACAGAATTTTTTTTTTTTTGCAATTAACATTTTAAAACTTGTTTAGACCTTCAAAACAAAAATCGTACATTTCCTGCATAAATTCCTTTTTATAACTTTTTCATGACTTTCACAGACAATCTTCAACGTGCCTTACCTTTCTATGTTTTATAACCTTCCTTACTAAAGGTGCATTCTTATAACTTTTCTAATATTTCCTTTCCCTTCTTCCTGCTTTATTTCTCTCCTTAGTACTTCTTTTTGTGTTCTTCTCTGATCTCTGTCTTTTCTAGTCTCTTTCTTACTCATTCTTTCCTTTTATTTCTCTCTCTAGCTGTGGACACAAGCATACTTTCTTCCTCATGTTAATAATTCACTTGGACCACGCCATTTATTACTGTTCACATCTTTCCATAAAATTGTAGGTTTTATGCCTTGAGAGGTTTTAGCAAAGTGCTTTTCTGCAGCTGATTGAAATTTGTCATATAAATTTTAAAAATTAAGGTTAAATAAAGCTTATGCCAGTAGTGTCGCAGTGTACTTACCTATATTTCCTTTTTTCCATTTTTTTGAGCATATTTTTAAGGGTGAAATGTGCTCATTCTACTATTGCCTGTCCTTGGGGGTTATATGGGATGCCTGTGGAATGCTGGATATTCCACATGTGACAAAATTGTTGAAATTGTGAGCTGGTAAGCTGGACCATTATCAGTCTTAATTTTTGTGGGTTGCCCCATAAATGCAAAAGTTAAAAGAAGATGTTTAGTGACATATCGAGTAGACTCTCCAGGCAAAGCATGTGCACTAATTAAATGAGTGTTGGTATTGTGTCAGGAGTTGATTCCTGCTGGTGGGTTGGTGGTCTCACTGACTTCAAGAATGAAGCTGCGGACCTTCACGGTGAGTGTTACAGCTCTTAAAGGTGGCACAGACCCAAAGAGTAAGCAGCAGCAAGGTTTATCGCGTAGAACAAAAGAACAAAGCTTCCACACCATGGAAGGGAATCCAAGTGGATTACCACTGCTGGCTGGGGTAGCCAGCTTTATTCCCTTATTTGTCCCCTCCCATGTTCTGTTTCTGTCCCATCAGAGTGCCCTTTCTTCAATCCTCCCCGTGATTAGCTACTTTTAGACTCCTGCTGATTGGTGCATTTTACAGAGTGCTGATTGGTACGTTTTAAAAAGTGCTGATTGGTGCATTTTACAGAGCACTGATTGGTATATTTTACAATCCTCTTGCTAGCTACAGAGCACTGATTGGTGCGTTTTACAATCCTAGCTACAGAGTGCTGATTGGTGCATTTTACAATCCTCTTGTAAGACAGAAAAGTTCTCTAAGTCCCCACTCGACCCAGGAAGTCCAGCTGGCTTCACCTCTCAGTATCAATGGATACATGCACCTATCTTAGTTTCCTAAATTCAGAGATGTGTGTAACATCTGTTTGCCACAAATGATTAGCTTCTGATCCTCTAGGGTTAACACCTGTTGAAGGAGGGGACATCCCTGTGAGCTGGCAATCTGGGCACATTGTAGGATAATTTGTTTAGCCAGCCTCTGAGTAAGTTAAAATTGTTTAGGTAAGTTTCTCTAATTTTGGTGGAAAAATTGATGAGATTGGGTGGCTTGGTCTAGCAGTGATGTCATAACCTGAAGGTATGCTTGATCATTGCCATAAGCCAATGGGCCAGGCAGAGCTGTGGGCTCGAATGTGTGTAATAAAAATAGGATGTGTACATTGATCTAGCAATTACTGAAGTCGGAGAAAAAGAGTAAACAGGGCTGGCTCCAAAGTGGACTTAATTAAAGCTGTTTCAATGTTTTGTAATAAATTAAATGGAGTATGCAGAATCGCTAACTATATTTATGGGCTGAGTGGAAAACGTTTCTAAGGCCAAAATCAGAGCCCCAATCGTAGCTCTCTGAGTGCTAGTACATCCAAATAGAGTGATTGAATTGTGTGGTCTCCACCAGATTGCCGCTTTTCCATGTTTACCAGCCCTATCAGTCAACAGTGTTAAAGCATTAGGTATGGGGGACTGAACTATTTGTGTAGGTAAAACATTTACCAGACTTTTTGGGAATTATGAAAATAGGTAAATTCCAAGGGCTGGTAGTAGAATATTACCTGCAAAATGAATAACCTTGAAATTACGAAACTTTTTTTTCTACTGGGGAGCAAAGTTTGCTTTTAATTGCTCCTAAACTAACTCATGGGCCTTTTGTAATGTCTCTCCCTTTAGAGGTTACTGTTTTACTTAAATTGGTTTTTGAGAAAATCACGTTAAGGGTAGGAGAGAGATAACAGTTGCCATGATCAGAAAGAGGTTTTCCAAATTCTTACGTTTTACTTAAATCTTAGCAGAGAGTTATAATCTGGGACGTCCTTTGTATACAAGGGACACACAGAATTTTGTCCTGGGCCGCCTGCGAAGCTAGAGAGCTGAGAGGGCGGGCCCTGGGGCAGCGGCCACTTTCAGCTTGTGCTACTTCTTTCGCTTGTGCCGCCCCCTCCCACTGCCAAGGCGCGGCTGTCCCCGGCTGGGTGGACTCGCGCGCGCGCCTCCTGCCCCACCCCAGCAGGCTAACACTGGCGCACTGGGCCTGGCTCCCCGCTGCTACTGCCTCAGCGCAGGCCTAGTTCCCAGGAGGATCCGCCAGCTCAGTGTTTGGGAGCTTCCTTGATGCTGAGCCTTTCCTTCCCTCTACTGCTCGCTTGGCCGCGCAGCTCCAGCCTCTAATGCTTTTTCTTATTTCTTTATGTACCTGATTACCTCGTTAATGTTGCATTACCGGGCAGGCTAAAAGCTCTCCTTTTAATTCCGCCTGCTTAAGATAGGGACTGATAGCTGTAGCGTATCCCTGGTTTTTTTTTTTCTTATCTATTGGAGGAGGAGGCTCAGGTAAAGGGAGACTTTACTCCGTTTCCTCTTTGTTATTTCGGCCGGCCGGGTGATACTAGGGCCGAAAGAAGAGGAGGTGATAAGGCAGGTGACATTTCCTCCTCCTTCCCGTTTTTAGGCTCTTCTGTGGGTAACTGAGCCAGGGGTGCTCTAATTAAAGCCCATAACGTTATAGAGATTTTACTGGGACCTGTTGCCTTTGCGCATGATGTTGCTTAAGATTTCTCCCCACTTGTTCCAGAGTTCTACATCTTTCGTTTCTTCTTCTGGGAACCATGGTCTTGGGATTACAGCAGTTTGTATTATTATGTCCCTTAATTGAGCCTGCGAAACTGATGCTCCACTAGCCTTAAGCAACAGTGTTTTAACACTTCTATATACTGTTTCTGTTGAGCTGATAACTGTTGTCTCATAATGAAAACTCAGCTTGAACCAACTTCCCCAAGAACTTGGTAACCTCGAGTGGGCACCAACGACTTACTGATTACTCACTGACTTGACCGCGTGGTCCTTCTTCACCTTCTTTTTCGGGGGTCCATCGCGTTCTTCACACTTCCTTCACAGCTTGCCTCACAAGGGGCTCCAACTGTGGGGGGTCTGTTTCCGCAGACCGCTGACTTTCCTCACACGGGGCACCAATTGAGGTATTGCTCCTCACAAGAGGGCGTTAGCTGCGGGGGTCTGCCCACAGACCCTGACCCAAACGATGGATGAATAACATGTACATTGACACACAGATATTCTGTGTTGCCAGTCCTGCTGAGTGTCCGACCCACCTGCACACCAAGAGAGGTTTGTCACTGCGGCCGGCCTCAGCTGGGCAGGCTTGCATTAATTCATTAAAAATAGTTAACAAAAACTTGAGTCAACACCATTAGAGGGTAATTGACATTGTGGACTTCCTGAGTGAGAAGCATACATCAAAGGCTTAAGGCTTAAGACCACGTGAGTGAACAAGTTAACTAGATAACTTCCCCACATCCCGTTGTTGACTACTCTAATTTATTTAACTAAAGGTAATGGGACCAGGCCGCCTTCAGCCTGGTCTATTACCAAAGTCATACGAAAACCCTCAGGCCTTCCAAAAGGATTTTGTGGCTATCATAACTAATATTTTTCCAACTAGCCTGATCGAATCCCAACAGGACTCCATCTCAGGAAAAAAAAAGAAACTTGAAGGCCGGGTGCCGTGGCTCATGCTTGTAATTCCAACTCTTTGGGAGGCCAAGGTGGGAGGATTGCTTGAGGGGAGGAGTTCAAGACCATCCTGGACAATATAGCGAGACCCCAATCTCTACAAAAAGAGAGAGAAACTTGAACTGAGCACACGTAACTTTCTTGTTGCTCCCAGTGTGTCCAGAGTTGGTTCCTGCCAGTGGGTTCGTGGTCTTGCTGACTTCAAGAATGAAGCTTCGGACCTTTGCAGTGAGTGTTACAGCTCTTAAAGATGGCGTGGCCCCAAAAAGTGATTGGTAGCAAGATTTATTGTGAAGAGCAAAAGGACAAAGCTTCCACAGTATGGAAGGGGACCGGAGCGGGTTGCTGCTACTGGCTGGGGTGGCCAGCATTTATTCTGTTATTTGTCCCCTCCCATGTTCTGTTTCTGTCCTATCAGAGGGTGCTTTTTTCAGTCCTCCCCACGATTGGCTACTTTTAGAATCCTGCTGATTGGTGCATTTTACAGAGCGCTGATTGGTGCTTTTCACAGAGCACTGATTGGTGCATTTTACAAACCTCTTGTAAGACAGGAAAGTTCCTGATTGGTGCATTTTACAAACCTCTTGTAAGACAGGAAAGTTCATGGCCGGGCATGGTGGCTCACACCTGTAATCCCAACACTTTGGGAGGCTGAGGCGGGCGGATTACCTGAGGTCAGGAATTCGAGAACAGCCTGGCCAACATGGTGAAACCCCATCTCTAACTAAAAATACAAAAATTAGCTGGGCGTGGTGAAGGGTGCCTGTAATCCCAGCTACTTGGGAGCCTGAGGCAGGAGAATGGCTTGAACCCAGGAGGTGGAGGTTGCAGTGAGCCGAGTTTGCGCCACTGCACTCCAGCCTGGGGGACAGTGAGACTCTGTCTCAAAAAAAAAAAAAGAAAAAAAATGACAGGAAAGTTCCCGAAGTCCCCACTCGACCCAGGAAGTCCAGCTGGCCTCACCTCTCAATGCCCCCTCTAAACAGGACACCCCAACTGCTGTTGGGAAATGGGCAATGACCGCTCTAGCTACTTTCTGCTGGATAGGGGCAAAGAAGGGGCCCTGCAGTTGTAGTGTCCTCCAGAGGGGAACTCTCTAGGCCAGTCAAAGAGCCAGTGGGTCAGTACAGGGGTCCTTGGTAGAAGCTGTGAGTTGAGCTTATTTGGGGTTCCATTTGTCAGACCATCTATAGTTTGATGGCCTCAATCCTGGAGGAGACAAATTTTGACAAGGAGGTTAAAAATACGGGACCCAAGCAAGATGGCTGTCACGAGACCTAAAAAGGGGAGAAGCCATGTCGCCCAACTCCAGAGGTTGGTATAAGAGTTTGAAAGGCGTTGTCTGATTTCAGAAGCCTTTTCCTATAAACACTGGGCAGCGTCTCATACTATCCCTGACTGATTAGTGTAAAAACAACACTCTTCCCCTAAGAAGATGCAAAGTCCTCATTTCTCAGTAGTGAGGAGGTCTAGACCTCAGCGGTTTTGGAGAGTCACTGCTGCCAAAGAGTCTATTTGGGATTGTAGAGTAAGGATAGATTTTGTTATTTCTTGCCAACTGTCTGAGAAATCCTTTGAGAGTGTATGGTAGTAGGATAATGAAGTAGATAAACTGGCTATTCCAGTTCCTGTAGCTGTGGCCATTTCTAACCCTGTAAGTAAGGGTATTAGTTGTATGACCCTGTGCTGACAGACTAGAGCTTTGAGGGGCACTGATAGGGTCTGATTTCCTGGGACAATGTCAATGTTGGAACTTAGGAAGACTAAGGTGCAGGTGTCTGTCCAGTTGGTGGGGAGGCAGATATAGGTTGAAGTTCCACATAAGAAGAATATGCCTTGGCTGGGTAGACAGAAATGACTGTGTATGTTAAAAAGGTGTGTGAGTTTGTTGTTTTCATTTTCCCATACTCATAGAGTACTTGCCAAGGTAGCTCTGGTGAGCGGCTGGAAAGAGGTGTTGGGAGCAAACTGAGTGGCTCCCTGTGTTCTATTTTCCCATTGGAGAAAAAACCATTTTGTTATCTACTAGGAACCATTCAAGAGAGTAGCTGAAAGAGGGGATGAGAAGACATTCACTAGTGGTGGGGGCGTTGCTGCAGGGGGTCCAGGGGTGAATGGTCGTGCAGGGAGTATGTTTGCCATTATAAAACCTGGACTGTTTGTTAAGCAGGGAGGAGGTGATGATTTTTGGAGGCCCTGAGAACCAGACAAGCCATCTGAATGGAGCTGTTTGGGTGACTCGGAAGTTACTATGATCAGTTGGGGCTTGAAGTTGTAGGGTGTAATTACACTGATGGGATAGTAGATGCTCCAGGGGCAGGCCTGATAACAGGTTGCTTTGGATGCATAAAGGGGCTTGGAAAGTTAAGACATATTCGTGGTTACAGGGCCGTGTATGGGCTTTTCATTGCTCGTGTAATAGGTGAGGTTGGCAACGTAAGAACATAAAAGCTGGATTACACATCCTGTTACGGTATTTTTGGTCCTATCAAAGATGAGGAAGTCGGCTAATGATTATATATTTAGAAGTTGGAAAGGATGTCTTCTTTCATAATGGGGGTGGTAGGTTATGTTAGTAAAAACCCCCCCTTTTTTTTTTGCGGGAATGGGAGTGGCAACGTAAGCAGTGGCTGATAGAGAGATACAAAGCTGACAGTAATTTGCCAGGGAAGGATTGGACTGGTTTAACAGAGAGTGGGTTAAGTTGAGAGTCTTGTAGAGGTAATTAGGAGCTAGTGGAAGGGGAGGGGCGACTATGTGGGGTATCCAAGGAAGCAGGAGGGATACATAGGCAAAGAGTAAGTAGGAAGATAAAGAGGGTCCCCTGGAAGATGAGGTCATTTTATTCAGTCTGAGTTAAAGGTAGGAGTAAATTGCTGTTAGAGGGAAGGACGATAGAAAAAAGGTTGATGTGATTAGGATTTTTGTCCCAGCAGGAGCTACAGTATATAGTTCTGCTGCAAAGAGTATGGTTAATATACTGCTTAATAACGTGATGAAACAGTAAAAGGATTCCATTAAAGGGGAAAGGAGAGGTGTTAAAGATTATGTAGGTTTTCACTTATCTTTTTAAGTAGGAAGGGGTTTTTCCTCAGGATCAGCTGTGGGAGCCTTTTTAATCTGGGACGTTTCCTTCCAAAATAGGAGACGCAAATCCTTCAATGGTTCACAGGTGTATCGAGGCTGGTCTGGCTGAACTTGGGACGCCTGAGCTGATGATCCCGCAGGTTCTTCAGGGGGTGTCCAAAGTTTAACTTGGGTGTAGTGAATCCAAGATTCCACTCCTGCCACCTTAACTGCAGTGGGGGTACAGAGGATTACTGAGTTTGGTCCTTCCCACAAGGAATTCATGGATGGGGAGGTAGAGGAGAGGGACTTGACCAACACTAGATCTCCCGGTTGGAACAATTCTGTTCCCTTGTCTCTGTGACATCCTTCGGGTAGGTTTTTAGGGTTTTGTTGATATTTTGCCAAGGAAGTTATATCCTTGACCTAGTTGGCTGTTTCCTGATCAAGTAGGAGGTCATCTGTGAGAAAAGGTCGTCCATACAGCATTTCATATGGACTGAGCCATATTTTGTGAGAAGAATTTCGGATTCTTAACAAGGCCATGGGAAAAAGAGTAGGCCATGGGAGATGAGTTTCTTGTATTAGTTTCCTTAAGTGCCTCTTGAGTGTTTCATTTGCCTTCTTGACCTTCCCTGAGGGTTGTGGCCTCCAGGAGCAGTGAAGGTGATATTGTATCCCTAGCACCCTGGAAATTCCCTGAGTTACCGTGGCTTTAAAAGTCAGACCATTGTTGCTTTGTAAGCTTTAGGGAAGCCCAAATCTATATTTCATGAATTAGGACTGTAACCACTTCCTGAGCCTTCTCTGTCTTGCAGGGGAAGGCTTCTGTCCAATTTGTAAAGGTATCAACACAGACCAACAAGTATTGAAATCCCCTTGACTTAGGCATATGGGTCAAGTCTAACTGCTAATCCTCTCTGGGATAGTGCCCTATTCTTTGTTCCCCAAGAGGGGCCTTACAATGGACCAAGGATTATTCCTTTGGCACACCTCACAGGCTTTGACTACTTGTCGGATGGTCCAGAGGAGATTTGGCCCTGTAAATAGGGATTTGGCCATTTGATGAGTGTTCGCAATACCCATATGAAAAGTTTAGTGGAGGGTCTTAAGTATTTTCCACTGGCTGGCTTCGGGTATGAGTACCTTTCCCTCTTCTGTCGTTAACCACCCCAAGGGGAGAAAACGATGAAAGTGCCCCCTGTGAAAGTCCCCATTCTGTTTTGGTTGGGGAATACTAGGGCTTAATCTCTTGGAGAGGGTTGTTCCATAGCAAGGGTCCTTCCATAGGTATTTCTAATGGGAGGTTCTGCCTGGCAGCAATTTTGGCCTCAGCGTCTGCCTGACAGTTTCCTTCTGCCTTCTCTCCTTCATCTTTTTGATGGCTTCAGCAGTGTAAGATTGTGACATCCTTGGGTTTTTGCATTGCATGCAATAACTCCATGATTTCTTTGTGGTATTTAATGGGGGTTCCCCCATAGGTTAGGAACTCCCTTTCTTTCCATATTGCAGCATGGGCATGTAGGATTAGATAAGCATACTTGATATCTGTATACACATTTATTCTTTTTTCCTTTCCCAGTTCTAAGGCTCGGGTAAGTGCCACTAGTTCTGCTAACTGGGTGCTGGTCCCTGGGGGAAGAGGCTTACTTTCAAGTACTGTCACTAACTGTGGCATAACCTGCCCTTTGTATCCCATTCTCCCCAAATGAACTTTCATTGGTATGTAGGTTAAGGTCAGGATTAGCTAAGGGGACTTCTAAGAGATCCTCTCGGGTGGCATAAGTCTGGGCTACAATTTGTTGGCAGTCATGCCCGATTGGTTCCCCATCCTCTGGGAGAAAAGGGTTGAGGGCCGCACACATGCATATTTGAAGCACCAGTCCCTCAAGGAGTAGCTCCTGGTATCTAAGCAGGCAGTTGTCTGATAGCCATAAATTTCCTTTGGCACCTAGTATGCCATTTACATTATGAGTAGTCCAGACGGTGAGATCCTTTCCTTATATTATTTTGACAGCCTCTGATACTAAGCTGGCCACTGCCACAACTACCTGTAAAAAGTGAGGGCAGCCTTTTGCTACTACATCAATTTCCTTACTTAGGTAGGCCACTGGTTGTGGGGTTGTCCCACGAGTCTGAGTAAGGACTCTAAGAGCCCTTCCTGCTCTCTCTGTAACGTATAAAGAGAAGTTTTGTCCTGTGGGAAAGCTTAAGGCTGGAGCTTGTATTAGGGCCTACTTTAAGGTTTTGAAGGCTGTTTCTGCCTCTGGTTCCCATTCTATTAGATGAATATTTGCCCTCTGAGTCTCCTTGATTAGAGTATAGAGTGGCCTGGCCATCTCACTGTATCCAGGGATCCATAGTCAGCAAAAGCTGGTGATCCCAAGGAACCCCTGCAACAGTTTTAATGTCTTAGGGCAAGGACAAGCCAGTATAGGCTGTATTTGTTCTTTGCTGAGGGCCCAGGCTTCCTCTGGCTAAGATTAGGCCTAGATTTTTGACTTATTATAGGCAGATCTGGGCCTTCGATTTAGATGCCTTGTACCCTTGCTTAGCTAGAAAGTTCAAGAGATCTAGAGTAGCCTGCTGGCATAAGGCTTCCGAACTGGTCGCCAAAAGTAAATCATCCACATACTGAAGGACCAGAGTGCCTGGACTTGAGAAGTGGCCTAAATCTTGGGCCAGTGCCTGACCAAACAGATGAGGGCTATCCCTAAACCCTTGAGGCAAGACTGTCCATGTAAATTGGGATGTGTGGTCTGTGGGATCCTCAAAGGGAAACAGAAACTGGGAGTCAGAGTGCAGGGAAATGCAGAAGGTGGCATCCTTGAGGTCCAGAACAGTGAATCATTCTGCTTGCTCTGGTATTTGAGAGAGCAGGGTGTAAGGGTTGGGTACAACTGGATATAGAGGAATTACTGCCTCATTGATGAGTCTAAGATCTTGCACTAGTCTCCACTGACTGTTCAGTTTTTGTACTCCTAAATTGAGGTGTGGCAGGGACTGCTGCATTTCCTTACTAAGCCTTGAACTTTTAAATGTCTAACAATGTCCTTTAATCCTTTATGAGCTTCAGGCCTTAAGGGATATTGCTTTTGATAAGGAAAAGTGGTAGGGTCTTTTAGCCTGATTTGGACTGAGTGGGCATTTTTTTGCCCTTCTGAATTGTCCTTCCAATGCCCAGACTTCAGGGTTAATTCCCTCCTCAAGTAGGGGACAACAAATGGGTAACTTGTTCCCGATATTCATATAGATAATAGCTCCAGCTTTGGCCAATATGTCCCTCCCTAATAAGAGTGTAAGACTTTCAGGCATAACAAGAAAGGCAAGTGAAAAGAGCAAAGTCTCCCAATTACAACTGAGGAGGTGGGAGAAATACCTGGTTACAGGCTGTCCCAGGATTCCTCAGGTGGTAACGGACCTTGGGGACAGCCATCCGGGGCAGGAGATTAAAACTGAGTAGGTCACGCCAGTGTCCAGGAGGAAGTCAATTTCCTGGCCCTCAGTGGTTAAACTTACCTGGGGCTCAGTGAGGGTGATGGCATGAGCTGGCGCTTGCCCCAGGCACCCTCAGTCCTGTTGTTGGATCATCTGGTTGGGGGCTTCTGGCCCAGAGAACCTTGGTCCTCTGGGGCAGTGCACCTTCCAGTGATTGCCTTGGCATAGTGGACGGGGGTGGGGGGGCAGCTTGTTTCTCGTTGGACAATCTTTTTTAAAGTGTCCTTGCAAACCACACTGATAACAAGCCCTACCAGGTGATTGGCCTGCTCCGTTTTCTGGCCTCTCTGAACCACCAAGGTTTGTTTGCCTGAGGGCCATGACTAAGGCTGTGGCCTTTCTCTTATCTCGCTTTTCCTTTTCGGCCTGTTCCTCTTGGTGCCTATTATAGAACACTGAGGTTGCCAGATTTAATAATGCCTCCCAATTTTGTTCAGGGCCCAGGGCTAACTTTTGGAGCTTTCTCCTGATATCTGTGGCTGATTGGGTAATAAACTTCTCTTTTAGGATCAATTGACCCTCGAGGGAGTTGGGTGACAGGGGAGTATATTTTCTTAAGTCCTCCTGTAGTCACTCAAGGAAGGCGGAAGGATTTTCTTCCTTTTCCTGAGGACATCATTGAATAATTCATGGGCTTTTTCCTAATTCTCCTTAGTCCTTCTAGAACACAGGTCAACAGATGTTTGCAACTCCAGTCCCCATGATCTGAGTCTAGGTCCCAGTGGGGATCCATACTATGGATGGCTTGCTGACCAGTAGGGAATTTGTCCCTTTCTTCAGCTGTCATTCTATCATTTACTTGACTAAGATACCAGATATCTCCAAACTCTCAGGCTGCAGCTAAAGCCACATTTTTTTCATTAAAGGCCAGGGTTTGATCTAACAATAGCATGACATCTCTCCAAGTGAGGTTGAAGGTTTGCCCTAGACCCTGTAGGACATCTATATACCTATCAGGATCACCTGAAAACTTCCCCAGGTCTACCTTGATCTGCTTTAAATCAGAGAGAGAGAAGGAGATGTGTACCCTGGTTGGGCCAAATTCCCCTCCCCCTACAGCTTGAAAGGGACATAACCGATAGCCTGAGGGGTTTTGTAGCCCCTTAGAGATTTCTTTGGTTGTTTCCTTCTGGGTGGGGGAAGTTAGAGGAGGCTTACAATTAATAGGAAGGGGAGCTGTAGGGAGGCTAGGATATGGAGGTAAGCTGAGAGGCCCTCCTGTGGAATGTAAATTGCAAGCTTTGCATAGTTTTGGATTATCCTTCTATGAAAAGAAAGCTTGGACATAACGTATTTCACTCCATTTGCCTTCCCTCTTACAGAAAAGGTCAAGCTGAGGAGGTAGGAGACATACCTGGTTACAGGCTGTCCCAGGATTCCTCAGATGGTAACGGACCTTGGGGACAGCCGTCCAGGGCAGGAGATTAAAACGGAGAAGGTCACGCCAGTGTCCAGGAGGAAGTCAATTTCCTGGCCCTCAGTGGTTAATCTTACCCGGGGCTCAGTGAGGGTGACGGCATGAGCTGGCACTTGCCCCAGGCACCCTCATTCCTGTTGTTGGATCATCTGGTTGGGGGCTTCTGGCCCAGAGAACCTTTGTCCTCTGGGGCAGTGTGCCTTCCAGTGATTGCCTTGGCATAGTGGACATGAGCGAGGGGGTGGCTTGTTTCTCGTTGGAAAGTATTGTAATTTATACTTCCCTCAGGTGGCCATTTTTCCCCATCAGAGAGAGAATGTTGGGGCCAGACCATAGTGCAGAAAAAGAAAAGCCCTTCTTTTTCAAGGTTTGCAGGTCAAATTGGTCCCAATGGCTTAGGATGCATCTCAAGGGTAAGCTTGTTGATGCCCGAGTGTTTCCCATCTGAAAGAAAAAACTGCCCCTGTTTTGGTCTGCTTTTTTTTTCCCCGCCCAAGAACCCACAACAGTCCCTAGACCCTGCTATTCAGAGTAGTTGTGCTCACCGAAGCAGCAGTGGAAACACTAGTTTTCCTCCTAGACCACAAAGAGGACTGAGGAAGTTCGGATTTAGTGGCCCTTACTGATGCATTCTTGAAAACCTGCACCCTTGCCTTTCCTCTTAGACCACAAAGAGGACTGAGAAAGGTTGGATTTAGTGGCCCTTACCAATGTATTCTCAAAAACCTGTTAAAGTCCTAAGCGATTTCTCCTGTTGGTATTGGGACCTTACCCTTGTCCTATAAAGATGATATGCCTCAAAATGAAGTGGAGGGCCATACCCTGAGGGAGAGAAGGGATCTCCAGGGTTGGAAGAGTGACTCCTTTTGTCCTCACTTCTCATCATATGAATAGGAAGGATATCCCCCCAAATTTGGAGTCTGTAATTTCTGTGGCTCCCCATATCCTAGCTTCGGGAATAGGCTTTGTTAGGCCTGCTAGTCTGACGAGGGATCCTAAAATTCCAGATAGTGCCCCCACTGATGGGGCTTCAGGCAAAAATTATGTCTTTCTGATTGGTGAGCCCAGGTGCCTAAAAAAGGGAGCAGAATCCCGAAATTTATATTATAAATCATCCTTATAGGAGAAACTAGAAGAGCACCAGGGACAGGGAGTGGTTTTTAGACTCAGGACTAGCCTCAGAAAAGAGAGGTGGGAGGAAGTTTGTCTGACAGGCATTAGGACCCAGGAGGCAAGGGTCAGGATAGATAGGATAGGTGGGCAAGTCTCGCTTGGGTGACATAACTTTGAGAGTTCCACTCATGGCTGCAGGGTCAACCACTTTTTGTCAGGACCCTGGAGCTGAATGGCTTTCCTCTCTGTTGACCCTTGGCTCAGCCCAGAAGTGCAGGAAAAGCAGAAGCTGGTTGCAGGCAAACCAACACTTCCGCTTCCAAAGAGTCAGAGGTTATTAGAGAGCCCTTTCCCAGAAAGCCTGACACCCGTGTCTTTAGTACAGCAGCCACACTAGTTGCTTTTAACTGGCCAACAGATGCCCAGTGTTTAGTCCCTGAATTCTAAGGAAAAATAGGACAGAATAGCAAGTGAAAGGGGTCTGATGGTACTCACCACGTGGCAATATCCTGGACGAGCCCACAAGATATGTCAGGAGTTGGTTCCTGCCGGTGGGTTCGTGGTCTTGCTGACCTCAATAATGAAGCCATGGACCTTTGCGGTGAGTGTTACAGCTCTTAAAGATGGCACGGACCCAAACAGTGAGTGGTAGCAAGATTTATTGTGAAGAGCAAAAGGACAAAGCTTCCACAGCATGAAAGGGGAACTGAGCGGGTTGCTGCTGCTGGCTGGGGTGGCCAGCTTTTATTCCTTTATTTGTCACCTCCCATGTTCCATTTCTGTCCTATCAGAGTGCCCTTTTTTCAATCCTCCTCGTGATTGGCTACTTTTAGACTCCTGTTGATTGGTGCATTTTACAGAGCGCTGATTGGTGCATTTTACAGAGCACTGATTGGTGCGTTTTACAGAACGTTGATTGGTGCATTTTACAGAGTGCTGATTGGTGCATTTTACAAACCTCTTGTAATACAGGAAAGTTCCCCAAGTCCCCACTCGACCCAGGAAGTCCAGCTGGCCTCACCTCTCACCAGGACCTTATTAAAATGATACTAAAGGAATTTTTTTTTAAATCAATCCACAACACATAAGACAGGAGCAGGGCTTCTGGGGATGAGAGTTATAAAAGTTCTGACTGAAATTTGATGAAGGAGAGAAAAGTCATGAAATAGTGTGGAGGAAGCACAGCCAAGAAGTCAGTAGAATAAGATGCTTTGAAAAGGGACCCAATTAGCCCTGCAAAACCTCTGAGAAATTCAGGACTTGGAAACACTAAGCAGGCCAGAGAGTGGGACCTGGGGCTTAAAAAGGAAGAATTAACTTAAAGTTTATATCAAGAATTAAGTCAGCAAGTCTACTCTTACAAGCATAATGTCTGCAGTTTAGGTGTTTCTCCATCTTCTAGGAAAAAATACAACAACAGCAACAAAGCTAAAAAAAATAGAGTGTTCTCTTCTAAGAAATTTAACAAATAATCTGGAAGCATTATGGAAATTAGAAAGGAAGTTCACATTTAAGCACCAAGTCCTGTGTATTCTGGAGTTTGCATCACTTAGGATGACTTTATTTATAGGTATCAGAAATCTCTAATTCTAAAAATGTGGAGATGTGATATCTTACATGTTTGAATGTAGAGTGACTAGGATTTCCCAATTCAATGGCTGAATGACACCATCAAGGGCCCAGCATCATTCCACCTCTCTGTCCTGTGCTCTTCATATCCCCAGGGATTATTCATAGACTTGAAAACATCTAAAGAAGAAAAGAAACGATATTTTGGTCTCTTTTTTTAATTTGAAGCACTTTTTCCAGAAGTTCCCAACGGTTTTACCTCCATGTTTTTGTTTTTGTTTTTGTTTTTTGAGACAGGGTGTCTCGCTTTGTCACCCAGGCTGGAGTGCAGTGGTGCAATCTTGGCTCACTGTAACCTCTACCTCCTGAGTGCAAGTGATCATCCCATCTCAGCCTCCTGAGTAGCTGGGATTACAGGTTTGTGCCACTACCCAGCTAATTTTTAAAGTATTTTTTGCAGAGCCTGGGTCTCGCTATATTGCCCAGGCTGGTCTTGAATGCCTGAGCTCAAGAGATCCTCCCACCTCAGCCTCCCAAAGCACTGGGTTTACAGGTGTGAGCCACCATGCCTGGCCCTCCATGTTTCATTGACCAAAATTGCAACACAAGCCGATGCCTAAACAAACCACTGGCAAGAGGAATTGGAATTCTCATGTATTAGTTTAGCCAAATCAGGATTTACCCTTGAGTTAAGGACAGGTTCACCTAGCTAGGCAGAAAAGCGTGGACACCTGAACCCAAAGAAGGATTATGTTAGCAAGGGAAAAACTAAAAATGAATTCTGGGTAAGCATCCAACAATGTCTGTTTTCCAAAGTACATGGTCTGCTTTTCATCCATTCACACTAAAGCAAACCTCCTAATTGACAAAGCTCTACCTAAAAATACTGAGTTCCCAGTCAGTTTTTCTACTGCATCATTTAAAAACAAAAAACTGGGCTGGGTGTAGTGACTCATGCTTGTAATCCCAGCACTTTGGGAGGCTGAAGCAGGGGTGGATCACTTGAGGTCAGGAGTTTGAGACCAGCCTGGCCAAGATGATGAAACCCCGTCTTTACTAAACATAGAAAAATTAGCCAGGAATGGTGGTGGGCACCTGTAGTCCCAGCTACTCGGGAGGCTGAGGTGGGAGAAACACTTGAACCCGGGAGGCAGAGGTTGAAGTGAGCTGAGATCGTGCCACTGCACTGCAGCCTGGGTGACAGAGTGAGGCTTCATCTCACTAAATAAATAAATAAATAAATATAAATAAAAACTGGCAAGCAAAGCCCACCAGATGTTGACAGAAAGCCTGCAATGTGGAAGTGCTTCCACTTTCAGCCTTGATGTAGGAAAAGGACTGATACTGGACAAGACTTCCCATTATACGCAGCTGTCAAAGTTGGAAAAAGAAATAAGTCCTTTTAGACATCCACCAATAGGAAACACAGAACTGTGATACCAGATGACAGGGAAATGATGCAAGATTCACAATCACCCTGGCTCTTTGTGTGGAAACACTGTCTTGTGTGGTGGTATCTCTGAGCTGAGGAGACATATCAGAGAGAAAGAAGCTGCACAGAAAAGAAACTCCAGGCCAGGTGAAGTGGCTCACACCTGTAATCCCAGAACTTTGGCAGGTCAAGGTAGGCACATTGCTTGAGGTCAGGAGTTCAAGACCAACCTGACCAACATAGTGAAATCCCATCTCTACTAAAAATAGGAAAATAAGCCAGGTGTGGTAGCATGCACCTGTAATCCCAGCTACTCAGGAGGCTAAGGCGGAGAATTGCTTGAACCTGGGAGGTGGAGGTTGCAGTGAGCTGAGATCACACCACTGTACTCCAGCCTGGGTGACAGAGTGAGACTCCGTCTCAAAAAAAAAAAAAAAAAAAGTAGCCGATTGCAGTGGCATGCGCCTGTAATCCCAGCTACTCAGGAGGCTGAGGTGGGAAGATTGCTTGAGCCCAGGAGGCTGAGGCTGCAGTGAGTCAAGATTGTGCCACTGCACTACAGTGACAGAGTGAGTGATAGAGTGAGATTCTGTCTCAAAAAAAAAAAAAAAAAAAAAATAGAGAGAAGGAACTCCAGAAATCTGCTCGGGGAAAGACTCCATGAGTCTAGGCAAAGTATTTCATCTAGCTCTAAGCTTTCTTTCATGAACACTTGATATTAAATCCTACACAGCCCTGGCCAATAAGCACTTGAAAATTTGCATGAGGGCTGGGTGTGGTGGCTCATGCCTGTAATCCCAGCAACTTGTGAGGCAGAGGCTGGAGGATCACTTGAAGTCAGCAGTTAGAGACTAGCCTGGCTAACATGGTGAAACCCTGTCTCTACTAAAAATACTAAAATTAACTGGGTGTGGTGGCACATGCCTGTGCTACTAGCTACTTGGGAGGCTGAGGCATGGGATCACTTTAAACCTAGAGGTGGAGGCTGCAGTGAGCCAAGATCGTGCCACTGCACTTCAGCCTGGGTAACAGAGCAAGAGCTTGTCTCAGAAAAAAAAAAAAAGAAAAAGAAAAAAAAGAAAACTTTCATGTGGGTAACGATACTCCTGACATCTTGGGCATAAGAATATTGCTTTGGGCTGGGCGCGGTGACTCACGCCTGTAATTCCAGCACTTTGGGAGGCCAAGGTGGGTGGATCACCTGAGGTCAGGAGTTTGAGACAAGCCTGGCCAACATGGTGAAACCCCGCCTCTACTAAAAAAAAAAAAAAAAAAAAAAGAATACTGCTTTGAACCATATATGTTTTCCCCAAAGCGTAAGCCTCAATACGTGGACACCACAGAAGGTAAATTTCTACTATTAGGTATCTAACTTTATTCCAACTACAAAAGGAGATAAATTATAAGATTAATAAGTAATTTAGTTCCACTTCTGTCACCTTGAATGGAAAAGAAAAAAAAGTAAGTAATTTAGGATGTTATTGGATACAACTATGATTGAGAAAGAATGTGTATTTCAAGGAAGTAAAAGAAGACAAGCTTTTTATTTTATTATTATTATTATTTGACACGGAGTCTTGCTCTGTTGCCCAGGCTGGAGTGCAATGGCACGATCTCAGCTCACTGCAAACTTCACCTCTGGGGTTCAAGCAAATCTCCTGTCTCAGCCTCCCGAGAAGCTGGGATTACAGGTGCCCACCACCACACCCACCTATTTTTTGTATTTTTAGTAGAGACGGGGGTTTCACCATGTTGGCCAGGCTGGTCTTGAACTCCTGACCTCAGGTGATCCATCTGCCTCGGCCTCTCAAAGTGCTGGGATTAAGGTGTAAGCCACTGTGCCCGGCCTAGGAAGACAAGTTTTTTAAAGGAAAAATGAGGAGGATCACTGGCTAAAAGGATCAATAACGAGGGTGGAGCCAGTCAGAGTATGGACAAGCAGTTGCTGGGCAGGTGTCCTCACAGAAATGTTTTGTTTTGTTTAGTTTTGCAAGATTGCTATGGCCTTTGTGCAAGGCTGTCATTTTTGCAGTCTTTTACCGTAATTCTTGTTATCAGACTTTGGGCATGAGAATCCTCCCTTCATGGCTTTCTGAGGCTCTATTTTTCAGGGTTTTGTTGTTTGGCTTTTTTTTTTTTTGAGACAGAGTCTTACTTTGTCCCCAAGGCTGAAGTGCAGTGGCACGATCATAGCTCATTGTAGCTTTCACTTCCTAGGCTCAAACCATCCTCCTCAGCCTCCCAAGTAGCTGAGACTACAGGCATGGGCCACCATGCCAGCTAATTTTTGTATGTTTTGTACAGATAGGGTTTCACCATGCTACCTAGGCTGGTCTTGAACTCCTGGACTCTCCTGGACTCAAATGTTATGCCAGCCTTGGCCTCCCAAAGTGCTGGGATTACAGATGTGCACCACTATCCCCGGCCTTGTAAGGGTTTTTAACACAAGTGACTCCATTATGATTCTGACAACTTTCACACTTTGTCCCTTGAGTTGGTGTCCAGGAAAGTACATCACAATCTCTCCTACGTAGCCTGTTTTGATGCCCCCTAACAAAATTGCTCTATCTGAAGTCAACAGTCTATTGTGAGACTTTGTACTACTTGATCTTTCTACAACAGCTGACATAGGTGATCAAACTATTTCATGAAACATTTTCTCTCCTTACCTTCATGTGATTTTTCTCTACAGCATTTTCTCCTTCTTGTCTTACCATTCCCTTGTAGTGTCCCACTCTCCCCACAAACAAACAAAATCTCCAAAACATTAGTGTCCTTGTGGGTTGTGTTTTGTTTTTTGGTCCCCTTCCTGTCTTCCTGAATGGTCTTGTTCATAGCCTCTGCCACACGGAGGGCCTAATTACTCCCGTGTCTGTATCTCTAGATGCATATTTCTAACTGACTACCAGATATCTTTGCCTGGGTGCCCTGCAGGCATCTCAAATTTAGAATACCCAAAGCTTATCTTCCATTCCACTTCTTCCAAAACCTACCTCTCCTCCTTCATTCTCTATCTTAGGGAGCGGTACCCGTCTCCACCCAGCAACCCAAGCCAGAAACCTGGGTCTCATGCTCAACTCCTCTCTCTCTGTGCTCAGTGCACTATTAAGTT
Source organism: Homo sapiens (assembly GCF_000001405.40). Lineage (NCBI taxonomy): Eukaryota > Metazoa > Chordata > Mammalia > Primates > Hominidae > Homo > Homo sapiens. The sequence goes on from NC_000012.12 coordinate 95,463,414, forward strand.
CTCTTAATATCTCTTTAGAAATGTTTCTGTGGAGGCCGGGTGCAGTGGCTCACGCCTATAATCCCAGCACTTTGGGAGGCTAAGGCAAGTGGATCACTTGAAGTCAGGAATTCCAGACCAGCCTGGCCAACATGGTGAAACCCTGTCTCTACTAAAAATACAAAAATTAGCCATGCGTGGTCGTGGGCGCCTGTAATCCCAGCTACTTGGGAGGCTGAGGCAGGAGAATCACTTGAACCCGGGAGGCAGAGGTTGCAGTGAGCCGAGATCGCAGCACTGCACTGCACTGCACTCTGGCCTGGGCAAGAGAGTGAGACTCCATCTCAAAAAAAAAAAAAATGTTTCTCGCCTGTAGTCCCAGCTACTCAGGAGGCTGAGGCAGGAGAATTGCTTGAACCCGGGAGGCAGAGGTTGCAGTGAGCTGAGATCACGCCACTGTACTCCAGCCTGGGCGACAGAGCAAGACTGTCTCAAAAAAAAAAAAAAAAAGTTTCTGTGATGCAGCCTCTCCTCTTAGACCCCAACCACAGCCTTTGCATAAGTTCCCATCAATATTGTTATCAGCAATAATTTGGCAGTTCTCCCATAACACTAGGCTCTCCCATCTCCAATTATTTCTTTAGAATAGAGACCATCGGACTTAGGGATGTCACTATTAAGAAATGTTTAAAAAGTGGTTTTGAGAACTAACATAGTTTTGCCTTTTAAAAAATGTTGTCAAGGCACTGAAAAACAGTATCTATTATCACTGTCATTTTATAATAATAATGTAAAATGACTAACTTCAAAAAATAAAAAAAAACCATACTCTCAGAAGACAGTTCTTTAAATATATTTGGCTTTTTATTTTATTTCTTTTAGTTTTGAGACAGGATCGCCTAGGCTGGAGTGCAGTGGCACGATCATAGCTCACTGCAGCCTCTATCTCCTAGGCTCAAGCCATTCTCCCGGCTCAGCCTCCCAAGTAGCTGGGACTACAGGCACCCACCACTATGCCTAGTTAATTTCATCTTTTCTTCTTTTTTTTTTTTTTTAGTAGAGATGTGGTCTCTACTATGTTGCCCAGCCTGGTTTGGAACTCTTGAGCTCAAGTGATCCTCCTGCCTCAGCCTCCCAAAGTTTTGAGATTTGTCCTGAGGCTGACCAGGCACATCTTTGCCCTGAGTCTAAAGATCTTTTAGATCCCTTGAGAAATTCCTCAGCTGACCGGGCACGATGGCTCACGTCTGTAATCCCAGCTACTTGGGAGGCTGAGGCATGAGAATGGCTTGAACCTGGGAGGCAGAGGTTGCAGTAAGCTGAGATCGCACCCACTGCACTCCAGCCTGGGTGACAATGCGAGACTCCATCTCAAAAAAAAAAAAGAAAGGAAAAATCCCTCAGCTTTGTGATAGACTATCTTAGAATAAAAAAGAATTAATAAATAAGTAAAGTGTTAGCATCTTATTTCATTTGTTTACACATCTGTCTCATTGAATTCTAAACTTTCTTGAGCGTACAGATTTCTGTCTTATTCAGTTTTGTGTTTTTCACCAAGCAAAATTACTCCCAGTCTGCAATTCTCCTGCTTCAGCCTCCTGAGTAGCTGGGACTACAGGCAAGAAACATTTTTTTTTTTTTTTTGAGACAGAGTCTTGCTCTGTCGCCCAGGCTGGAGTGCAGTGGCATGATCTCAGCTCACCGCAAGCTCCGCCTCCCGGGTTCACGCCATTCTCCTGCCTCAGCCTCCCAAGTAGCTGGGACTACAGGCGCCTGCCACCATGCCCGGCTAATTTTTTGTATTGTTAGTAGAGACGGGGTTTTGCTGTGTTAGCCAGGATCGTCTCGATCTCCTGACCTCGTGATCCGCCCTCCTCGGCCTCCCAAACTTCTGGGATTACAGGTGTGAGCCACCGTGCCTGGCATTTTTTTTTTTTTTTTGAGATGGAGTTTCTGTTACCCAGGCTGGAATGCAGTGGTGTGATGTCGGCTCACTGCAACCTCAATAAATATTTACTGAATTGATTTGAAATTTCAACTGGGAAGGTAGAATTCAAAATCATTAAACTTTTGGTATCTGATAACCTGGCTTTGGATTCTGACTCCACTATTCACTTGCTGTATGACCTGGGGCAAGTTGCCTAAACTCTCTCTGTAATTTCCTCAACTCAGAAATGGATTAAATGAGATAATGAATGTAATATGCTGGGTGCTTAAGTGCTATTTATATAGTGAGTATTTACTGAGCTCCTACTATGCCTTAGGTTTGAGGCAGGTGCTGGTGATAGTGCAGAAAATATGCAGGGGCCGGGTGCAGTGGCTCACACCTGTAATCCCAGTACTTGGAGGCCGAGGTGGGCAGATTGCTTGAGTTCAGGGGTTCAATACCAGCCTGAGCAATGTGTTGAAACATCATCTCAAATAAAAAAAAAAAAAAAATTAGCCAAGTGTGGTGGCATGTACCTATAGTCCCAGTACTCAGGACGCTGAAGTGGGAATCACTTGAGCCTAGGAGGTTGAGGCTGTAGTGAGCTGTGATTGTACCACTACACTGCAGCCTGGATGGCAGAGTGAGACTACCTGTCTCAAAAAAAAAAAAAAAAAAAAAAGAAAGAAAGAAAAGGAAAGGGAAATGTAATATGCAGGGCTCCTGGGGAGACAGCCATAAAACAAATAACCACATAAATAAATTCATTACACATTGTGATAAGTACCATGAAAAAAAGTTAAGAATTCAATGAAAGGTTGTGAGAGGAGGACCTGATTTAGAAAATTATGGAAGGATTCCCTGAAAAAGTGGCACTGAAGCTGAAACTTAAAGGATGGGGAGGTTCTCTATTTCCCCACCCCCCCAACTCATTCCTCAACACTTTTTTTTTGTGTGTGTGATGGAGTCTCGCTCTGTTGCCCAGGCTATAGTGCCTTGGCACAATCCTGGCTCACTGCAACCTCCGCCTCCCGGGTTCAAGCAATTTTATGCCTCAGCCTCCCGAGTAGCTGGGATTACAGGCACCTACCACCATGCCTGGCTAATTTTTGTATTTTTAGTAGAGGCGGGGTTTCACCATGTTGGCCAGACTGGTCTTGAACTCCTGACCTCATGATCCACCCACCTTGGCCTCCCAAAATGCTGGGATTACAGGCGTGAGCCACCGCGCCCAGCCTCCTCAACACTCTTTAGTCTGGTTTCCATCTCTCTACCTAAATAGCTCTTGCTAAGGTCACCAATGGCATCCAAATTACTATGTACATCAGTCCTCTTGCGTGACCTCCTAGCTACACTTAACACAGTTAATCATGCCCTCCTTCTTGAGAAGGTCTTCCCTTGGCTTCTCTAATAAGAAATGCCTCCTGATCATTTCCTCCCTCTCTGGTTACCTCGTCAGTCCTCTTTGAAGGTTCATCTACCCCACTCATTCATTAAATGTTCCCCAAGGCTTAGTCTCAGGTTCGCTTTTTTTCTGTCAGCCTAAATAACAGAGAGAGTCTCTGTAAAAGAAAAAGATATGTGGTAAATTATGTGCATATCCAGGGAGGTTTAAAAAAAGATAAAGGTATTTAAAGGAAAAATGAGAAGGATAATTGTTTTGAGATAATTATCCTTGGCTACAAAGATCAATAAAAAAAGTGATGCCAGTCCAGAGTCATACAGGCAGTTGCTGGGTAGATGTCCTTGTAGAAGTATTTTTTTGTGTACAGTTGGGATGGCCTTTATGCAAAGTTGTGGTTTTTGCAGAGTCTTTTGTGATAGTTTTTGTTATTAGGCATCCAAGTGTGAGAACCCTCTTTTTATAGCCTTCCTCAGCTCTTTTTGTGTGAGTTTTTTAACACTAGTGACTCCATTTTGATTTTGACAACTTCCATACTTCTTTTTTTTTTTTCCTGCCTCAGGTTTATTTGTACAAATAGCACAGGAGGACCCCAGCCCCATGCAGATGGTAGCCCAGGGGCGGGGGTGGGGGGTCGCACCAGTCCTTCTGTCCTCACATTGGCAGAGATATCTACTCTGAAGCCTTTGTAGGGGCCTGGGCACCTTTGGGAGCCTGAGCTGGAACTGAAGCTGGAGCTGCAGCCTGGGCCTTGGTTTGATCCTTGGCCTTGGCCTTTGGCCGGCACAGCCTGAGCCCTTTGGCAATATGGGCACAAGCACGCTTCCCAAGCTTGGGGTGGGCAATGTAGGCAAGTCAATCGAGCTTGTGGCTGACACCCTTTGGGATCTTGGGCTTAACCTCCTTGGGCTTTACGAGGGCCTTGATAGCCTCGGCACGTGCACTCATGGCCTTGGCATTGTTGGCCTGCATCTTCTTTAGGCCCTTCTTGTTGTGCTTCTTGGCAAAGCGCATGTTCCTCAGGAACTTGGGGTCCACCCCCTTAAGAGATTCGTATCTTTGTGATCGGGGTTTCTTGATACCATTTCTGTGCCATTTTCAGGACTGGTTGTGTGTGGTGTGGTTCTTGGACTTGGCCATGTCTGCACCTTAAGCTGACAACTTCCATACTTCTTACTCTAGACTTTGTGAAGGTTGAAGATGCCAAAATGAAATCGGTTTTGTCAGACACAGACAAAAAAGGGCCAGGAAGGTTGAAAGGAGAGGAGGCCTATGCTTATATGTCTAAGAATTGTTTCCAAGGATGTTCAAAAAGCTCTTCCGCATCCTTCAAGCATCTCCTGATTTGATAAGGTTTATCACTAGACATTTTTTAGGACTGCTGTAATTCAGGTAAAATGTTCTCAGAACACTTACCCAGTAAGGTGTCTCCACCAATGAAATGACAACTCTGGCTTTGAGCCTCTAGAAACAATGATCTGTTTCTAAGCAGTTTATATAAATCTCTTTTTTGTTAATAAAAGCTCCCCTTCCCTCACTGAGTGCACTGGAGGCTTGCCATTTCCTGCATTCTGGATTATAATCCTTATTTCTATTCCCAAGTAAACCCAACATGTTAGAGATAATTTTCTCTTGCTTTTTTTTTGAGACACAGTCTCACTCTGCCACCCAGGCTGGAGTGCAGTGGTGCAATCTCGGCCCTCTGCAATCTGCCTTGCGGGTTCAAGTGATTCTCCTGCCTCAGCCTCCCGAGTAGCTGGAGCTACAAGCACATGCCACCACACCCGGCTAATTTTTGTATTTTTAGTAGAGACAGGGTTTCACCATGTTGGCCAGGCTGATCTCGAACTCCTGATCTCAAATGGTCCACCTGCCTCGGCCTCCTAAATTGCTAGGATTACAGGTGTGAGCCACCACACCTGGCCGTTTTTTCTTTTTTTTGAGACAAGGTCTCACTCTGTCATCGAGACTGGAGTGCAGTGGTGATGAGATGGGATAGTTCCCTTGACCCCCTTGGTGGGTGGGAAGTGGAGTGACTGGTTTCACTAAGCCCACTGCTGGCCACTCCTCACGGGAGGGAGTGTGCGAGAGAGCGAGTGTGGGAACTGGAGTGAACGAATTCTGGAACCAGCCAGTTGCTCCTTTCTGGTGGGAGCAGGCTCTATGTGGGCCCTGCAGCAGCATCCAAGCATATTACAGCCAATGCTCTGTCCGCTCTGCCTTCCAGGGATGGCCAAGTGCCAACCAGCTCAGTGGAGGGTCAGGGTGGCAGCCCCTATACTCTCAGGGGCTTCCTGGTTCTTGTCTGGCATCCAGGAAGAATCAGGTCACATGAACGGGTTGAAAGGTAATGAATGCAGACAACTTTATTGAGCAGTGGGTGGCTCTCAGCGGAAAGAGAGGCTGGAAAGGGGGTGGGAAGGTGATCTTTACCTGAAGCCCACCCATCTCTGGCTAGGCCCCTCTCGGAAGCTGCACGTCCAAAATTAGCTGCATCTACTCTCTAACACTTAGTTGTTTCTTTGCTTGCCACTCAGCCGCTCGTGTTCCCGACGCTCAGCCGCTTATGTTGCTTTGCCAGCTTAAGTCTTTCATGGGCACAGGATGGGGTGGGGCAGGCCAAAAAAGCAACATTTGGGCAGAAAAATGGGGTCAGCTGTTTTCACTTAGGGCCATGGTTCCAGGCTTAAGGGTGGGGTTTAGCTGGGAGCCCAGCCCTTCTGTGACAGTGTGATCATAATTCATGGCAGCCTTGACTTCCCCTGGGTCAAGCAATCCTCCCACCTTAGCCTCCGAGTAGCTGGGACTACAGGCACATGCCACCACGCCCAGATAATTTTTTAATTCCTTGTAGAGAGGGGGTCTTGCTTGGTAACCCAGGCTGGTCTCTGACTCCTGGCTTCAAGTGATCTTCCTGGAGTGCTGGGATTACAGGTGTGAGAAACCATGCCTAGCCTCTAGTGTCTTTTTTTTAAGGTTGACAATTTACATTTCCAATAGTCACTCACGTAATTTTAAATTTTCTAGTAGCCACATTTTAAAAAGTAAAAAGAAACAGGTAACAATCAATCTTAATGATGTTTTTATTTAACTCTATATAAAAATTATCATTTCAACAATAAATATAACATTATTGAGAAACTTTAGTATTTTTGTATTAAGTTTTTGTAATTCAGTGTGTATTCTAAATTATGGCATAACTCAATTTGGACTAGCAGCATTTTTTTTTTTTTTTTTGAGATGGAGTGTTGCTCTGTCGCCCAGGCTGGAGTGCAGTGGCACCATTTCCGCTCACTGCAAGCTCCATCTCCTGGGTTCACGCCATTCTCCTGCCTCAGCCTCCCGAGTAGCTGGGACTACAGGTGCACACCACCACGCCTGGCTAATTTTTTGTATTTTTAGTAGAGACAGGGTTTCACCTTGTTAGCCGGGATGGTCTCGATCTCCTGACCTCATGATCCGCCTGCCTCGGCCTCCCAAAGTGCTGGGATTACAGGCGTGAGCCACCGCGCCCGGCCTGAACTAGCAGCATTTTAAGTGCTCAGTGGCAACGTGGTAGGTGGCCACCATGCTGTGCAGTACAGGTAGACTCTCATGTCTAGATCCACTTGCTGGATGATCTTATCTGTGTCAAAGTTCCAATTCCCATCTATTAGTTGATGACTCAAATTTTTATATCTGCTCCAACTATTCTTTTGATCTCCAGTTCCTTATAGTTATCCACCTTCTTCACAGCTCCACTTTAATGCCCCAAGACACCTCAGACTCAGCATGTCTCACATCTAACTCATAATCTTCCCTTTCAAATCTGAAATGTTTTTCTATCTCTGTTATTTACATTACATTACCAGTCAATCCAGTTTCACCAGCACACACCGAAGGGGATTCCTTGATATCTTCTTCTCTCTCAAATCCCTTATACAATTCATCACCAAGTCTTGCCCATTTTATCTCCCACATATCTCTTAAATCTATTCATTTTTTTGGTCATACCCATCATCATTCCCTTTCAAGCCACTATAACCTATTGACTGTAATAGCCTCTAAACTGATCTCCCTGCTTTCATTCTGGCCACCCTCAACTCTACTCTGTACACTGCAGCCATGGTGATCTTTTCAAAAATCTAATCATGTTAATTGCAACTCTCATCAGGTTAACTGTCTCCTCACCATTAAAATACTTAAGGGGGCTGGACACAGTGGCTCATGCCTATAATCCCAGCACTTTGGGAGGCTGAGGAGGGCGGATCACCTGAGGCCAGGAGTTTGAGACCAGCCTGGCCAACATGGTGAAACCCCGTCTCTACTAAAAATACAAAAATTAACTGGGTGTGGTGGCGCGTACCTGTAGTCCCAGCTACTCGGGAGGCTGAGGTGGAAGAATTGCTTGAATCCGGGAGGCGGAGGTTGCAGTGAGCCGAGATCATACCACTGCACTCCAGCCTGGGCGACAGAGCAAGACTCCATCTCAGAAAAAAATAAAAAATAAAAATAAAATACTTAAGGGAGGTAGGTGGATCACCTGAAGTCAGGAGTTTGAGACCAGCCTGACCAACATGGTGAAACCCTGTCTCTACCAAAATATACAAAAATTAGCTGGGTGTGGTGGCATGTGCCTGTAGTCCCAGCTACTTGGGAGACTGAGGTGGGATAATTGCTTGAACCCAGGAGGTAGAGGTTGCAGTGAGCTGACATCACGCCACTGCATTCCAGCCTGAGCAACAGAATGAGACCCTGTCTGAAAAATAAATAAAAAAAGTAAAATAAAATACTTAAGAGTTTTATATTGTTCTTAGGACAAAGTATAAAGCCCTTAGTATGATCTAAAAGGCTCTGTCAGCTCTCCTACCCTTTCCTTCCTGCAAGGCTCTTACCTTTCTAGTCTCATCTCATCACACTCACTCCCTTCTCCACCTCTTTGCATTCCAGCCATTCTGGATGTTTTTTAGTTCTTTAAATGTGTTATACTCCCTACTGTTTTACAGATGAGAAAATCAAGGCTCAAAAATATATGGGCTGTCCAGAGTCACAAAATTATAGCCAAATGACCATTCTAGTATTAGAATCCATGTCTCCTCTTAAATACCTCTTAAATTTTTCTTTACCTTCCCTTTGCCAAGAATACTCTGCCAGGCGCAATGGCTCATGCCTGTAATCCCAACACTTTGGGAGGTTGAGGCAGGTGGATCACCTGAGGTCAGGAGTTTGAGACCAGCCTGGCCAACATGGTAAAACCCCGTCTCTACAAAAATTAGCTGGGTGTGGTGGTGGGCGCCTGTAATCCCAGCTACTTGGGAGGCTGAGGTAGGAGAATCGCTTGAACCTGGGAGGCGGAGGTTGCAGTGAGCTAAGATCAGGCCACTGCACTCCAACCTGGGTGATAGAACGAGACTCCGTCTCAAAAAAAAAAAAATACTCTCTCTAAACCTTTCCCCTCCCCTTTGCCTATTTATCCTTCAGATCTCAGCCTAATTGCTACTTCCTCAGGAAACTCTACCAGGCCATCCTACCTAGGCAAGTCCCTTTGTAATATGCTCTCATAGCAGCAGTTGTAAATTTGCTTTTATTAGCATCATTGCTTGATGTCTATTTTTGTTAACTGGCTCTATGATGACAAGGATCATCTCTGTTTTTGCTCTCTAAATATTGCCAGATCTAGGTTTATAGTAGGCATTGAACGAATGGATGGATGAGTGAATAAGTGAATATGTCAGCCAAGCAAAGAGCAGCCCAGATAAAAGTAACAGTGAGTTTGAAATGCTCCAAGGTCAGAAAGAGCTTTGAGAGCTGGAGCTATAATAGTAAGAGAGTGGAGACATTGGAGAAGTAGATATGGCTGGGTCTTGCCGGGCATTTTAAAGGATTTTGGACACATGGAAGCTACTTCTATTTTTATTTTTGTGGTATTATGTTTGGTTTACCAACTTTTTATTTTTTATTTTATTTACTTTTTTGGGGGGGATGGAGTCTCGCTCTGTCGCCCAGGCTGGAGTGCAGTGGCGCAATCTCAGCTCACTGCAACCTCCCCCGGGGTTCAAGCGATTGTCCTGCCTCAGCCTCCCTAGTAGCTGGGACTACAGGCGCCTGCCACCACGCCCGGCTAATTTTTGTATTTTTAGTGGAGACGGGGTTTCACCATATTGGCCAGGCTGGTCTCGAACTCCTGACCTTGTGATCTGCCCACCTCGCCCTCCCAAAGTGCTGGGATTACAGGCGTGAGCCACAGCGCCCGGCCGGTTTACCAACTTTTATATTGCCAGCAATCAACTAGGGAAAACAATTTAAAATCTAAATAGGGATAGATTTAAAGAGATAAAGATCTGTACAAGAATAAGAGGAACAGTTTTTATTACTATTGGATAGGTGCTGCCTGAAGCTTTAAGACAGAGAATGTACATTTATGCAGCTGCAGTCAGAGCCTGTGTGAGGTTTACTGTAAACTCACTGGCAATAAGGCTCTTAACGACATTTTGATGCCCATGAAGCTTGGTGCCTAGTTTAAAACTAATGAAAACACCTAAACTCTCCAGGTGGACAAAGCCATATTCAGGAGAAATTGAGAAGGAGTTGGTGCAGGCAGCCAATCACAATCCACTTACGCCACAAACTAAATCTCAAACTGCGGTTTGAACATGAGGCTCAAAACATAAGAAGTAAAGAAATGGGCAAAATTCAATTAGTTTCTGGTGAAACGTCCTAAATCCAAAAGAAAGGTGACCAGAAATAGAGAAAACGGAGTGTGATCTTTTGCATTAATGAGAGAGACCGTGTCCCCGTGTGTTAAAACCTGTCATTCTTGTCCTGAATTGGAAAGTGAGCGGAGTGTGACGGGTTCCCATCTTGAACCGTCCGGGGTTGAGTAGTACAATAAACTAACACGGAACTCCAGCTTCCAAAATTCTCTCCAGTGCCTACAGAGCCTCGCGGAGAGCTGTGATTGTGAATGTCAACGCAGATTTGATTAAATCTCTTAGATTTAAGAGATATGTGGAGTCATGACAATAGAAATGTGTACAAGTGAACACATTTCTTAGCCCGTTTCCCCACTGCCTGTGTGATTTATAAAAACGCAAATATAAAATATTTCCGTTCCAGCAGAGACGCCGCTTGCTACGGCGGGTTGCCCGTCTCCACAGGTATCTCCGGCTGACTCTAGAGCTCAACTTCCCCTTTAAACTTCACCCTGCGCTTGCCGATTTGCTTCGGGAATGCCCGAGGCACCGGACGAAGCAGTCGGGTCTGGCCCCAGTCGACTCCAGCCAGGCGGGGCTCCAAGCCGAGACTCCTGCACGCCCGGCCCGAAGCTAGCCCGACACCCTCAGCTGAGTCCTCCGCCGTCCCAGCATTCCCTGCGTCCCTACCATCGAGAGCAGCTTCCGGCGTGGCTGGTGTAGGCGGGTGGAGAAGGATCGGGGCCCTCGCCGCTCTGTCTCATTCCCTCGCGCTCTCTCGGGCAACATGGCGGGTGTGGAGGAGGTAGCGGCCTCCGGGAGCCACCTGAATGGCGACCTGGATCCAGACGACAGGGAAGAAGGAGCTGCCTCTACGGCTGAGGAAGCAGCCAAGAAAAAAAGACGAAAGAAGAAGAAGAGCAAAGGGCCTTCTGCAGGTAAAGAGAGTTTTATGTTTTCCCAGTCCCCTCCGGGAACGGCTGAACTGTTTGGCTCAGGCCCGTTGAGGGGGCCGGGACCGGGGCCCCAGAGCCCCGACTAGACTGATTCTTGGGCCTGACAGGGTGGCAAAGCCGGGCTATAGATTCCTAGTCTGAGAAGAGGCGTCATCTCCTCCTGTGGGACTAGAGGGCTGGTGGGGGAGAAAAGAGTGCCTGAGGTTGGCGTGTGGTACCTCTGGGGTCGCTGGGCCCGAGCCCCTGTATTACCAGAACTCAGCTCCCACGCACATCGTGGCACGGTCTTGAGATTGTGCGCAGAGCACAGCCCTACCATCTTTCGCGCGATTTGGCCGCCGCCTCAAAAATCCGATTCTGATCCGTATTGCCGCGTCTTTGCTGGTTTGCTGGAGCAAGCTAGGACTTATTTTCTTTGGGGGTGGGCAAATGTAATGGAGAGCACACCTCCTCCCACTATCCCGTTTCACGTTGGGGTTGTTGCAGCCTGCACTTTTGGGGTGTGTGTACATGTGTGTTTGCCCGCGCGCTCATGTCATTAATTGCAGAATTTGTGGTGGTGATAACGAATTTTCACCTGCCTAATCCCATAGCATCGCCAAGCTTTAGGGCCTTTAGACCTGAATTATGATACCAATTGCAGGCAGTGCAGATAGGATATTCTGTGGCTCAGAATGGAACTTCTGAGGTCTTAACCTCTAAATCCACTGGTAAGGCAAGGAGAACTGCTGAGAGTTTACAGTTGGATATTATGAACTAGGAACTTACATATTTTGAGAAGTCTGTGTTTTTGCTGCACAAGCTCCTTCACCTTAATAAAAATTATTTTTACTTGTTTCTAATTAAAATCGCCAGAGAAACAGAAAATGGAGAAGTCAGAAGCGATTAAGATGGAATTGAGAGAGGTCGAAGAGAGCTAATCTTCATCTTTCTGAAATTTTGATTAGATAGGAATGGAAGGAGAGTTGTAGCGTTGCTGGAACTCTTCCAGAGCAAAATTTGTTACTCTGGTGGCTGTTCCTGGATTTCGAGTGAAATTCAAACACTGCTGTTTGTCTTGTAAGGTGTTAAGCTGACTGATCCTAATGTATTTTTAACAGTTGTATTTCTTAATATGAATTCTCTCCAGTAGCCAGAATGTCACTTCATTTCGTGCTACCTGATACTATTAATGCATGTAACATATTGCTCTTATAGGTAGGTTATAATCACTTCCAGAGCAGGGGCCTGGTCTTGTGCTTAGATATTTGAGCGTTTTAGTTTTTTAGTAATGGACTGTCTTTGCCTATTTATTTTGACTTTACCCAGCCCATCGTGATATCCTTATTCATGAAACCAGGCTGCCCCGGGGTGTTGCACATGAATCTTTTTCCTAAGGCCTTCAGCATTTATTACCTATCTGGTGTTTAAGTATTTGTTAAGTCTAATTGCTGACCACTATTACAAGTTAAACTACTTGAGGATAGAGACCAGTTCACGCTGTTTATCTTTTAGCTGCTAGTGTGTGTAATGGATATTTTGTTGAGTAAATTAATGAATGGACAATACTGTGTAGGTATGGAAGATTTTTCTGTCATTAAACGAATTCTGTTATGTTCACAATAATGTTTCTGTTTTTGTTTCCTGAGGAAAGGATTTGTAAGTTTTCCAAGATCATTAGAGCATATTCTAGTGGGAAAGTGTCTGTATTAGATTTGATTTCTGCTATTTTATTTTGATCAGCAGGGGAACAGGAACCTGATAAAGAATCAGGAGCCTCAGTGGATGAAGTAGCAAGACAGTTGGAAAGATCAGCATTGGAAGATAAAGAAAGAGATGAAGATGATGAAGGTAAATGGTTAATTTGATCTTTGTGGTTAGAAAAGCTAGAAAATGTAGCCGGGTGTGGTGGCACACACCTGTAATCCCAGCACTTTGGGAGGTCGAGGCGGGTGGATTACATAAGGTCAGTAGTTCGAGACCAGCCTGGCCAACATGTTGAAACCCCATCTCTTCTAAAAAGACAAAAAAAAATTTAGCCGGGTGTGGTAGCACACACCTGTAATCCCAACAACTTGGGAAGCTGAGGCAGGAGAATTGCTTGAGCCCGAGAGATGGAGGTTGCAGTGAGCTGAGATTGCACCACTGCACTCCAGCCTGGCCAGCAGAGTAAGACTGTCTCAAAAAAAAGAAAGAAAGAAAGAAAGAAAGAAAAGCTAGAAAATGTGATATTCCTTAATCAAAATTTATTTACTCGTATAGTGTTTTCTCTGACATTTCACTTGTTACCTCAATTAATGTCACAGATTAAAAAGGAAAAGGTATTTATTAGCAAGTCTTGAAAAAGTTCAATGTGTTAATTAGCTGTTCAGATAGGACAGATCTCAGAGTTTAAAAATATACTTGGTAGAAGGCAAAGTAGTGAGTATTAATAAGATTGAGGGGTTGTTTATTTAACTAATACTTACTGAAGAACTACTATGTACTAGATACTTTCCTAGGTTATTTTCACATACATTCACATTTTAACCTCACAAAACCAAGCAAAGTAACCTACTTGTGCTTAGATATCCATTTTGTTTTTTGGTAATGGACTGTCTTTTCCTATTTATTTTGACTTTACCCAGCCCTTCATGGCTTTACCCAGCCATCTCATTTTACAGATAGGGAAGTGGTAGTTACATGATTTACCCAAAGTGACATAGCTAATATGTGTAGAATAGAGCCAGAATTTCAAACCTAGTGCCTGACTGCACGTTTGTTCCTTTTACTCTCTATTTTTTTTTTTCTTTTTGAGACCGAGTCTCGCTCTGTCGCACAGGCTGGAGTGCAGTGGCGTGATCTCGGATCACTGCGACCTCCCGAGCTCAAGCAATTCTCCTGCCTCAGCCTCCCGAGTAGCTGGGATTACAGGCGCCTGCCACCATGCCCAACTAATTTTTTTGTATCTTTAGTAGAAATGGGGTTTTGCCAGGTTGGTCTTGAACTCCTGACCTCAAGTAATCTGCCCACCTCAGCCTCCCAAGGTGCTGGGATTACAGGTTTGAGCTACTGTGTCCGGCCTGTTCCTTTTACTCTCTATACCAAAATTAACTCTTTTCATTCTGAAAGAATCGTATAGGAGTGCACTAAGTTTTATTATAAATTCCTTGACCCTAGCTCCTTCTGGGTGTTTGGGTACAATAAGATTTTTTTAAAGACAGCAACTGCTAATTGATGTTATCAGTAAAACAGTGAAGGAAGAGACAGGTAAGAAAACTTAACTTTTTTCCAGCCTCTTTTGGCGGAGGAAAAATGGGGCTTTCCCATTCTTTTTATTTGTAGCTGCCTACTACTGAGAACATCTGCTCCCCCTCAAGCACCACCAGCCTGGGGTTAGGTCTTTAACCATTAGTTGGGGCTGTAATTATTGTGTTAGGGTAATGTAGAGTAGTTGTTTTCCTTTAGAGTGGTATGTTCTCTGCCTTCAAGAAGCTTATAGTGAACATTTGGTGGAAAAAAGTGCCAAGATTCAAGGGAATTACTAGCTTTTCCTCTTCCTTAAACCTCTGTTCTACATTGGCTTATGCTTTAGATTATGAACTTATTTTGAGCTCTTCACAAGAAAATGTTTTGTAAATTCAAGGCAATATAATAGATTGCTATAGACCCACTGTGTATATGGTATCATAATGCTTCCTGGGCCTGTCAGGCTAGTTAAAAAATATTGGCTGGGTGTGGTGGCTTATGCCTGTAATCCAGACAAGCCTGGGCAACATAGTGAGACCCTATGTCTATACCCGTCCACCTCCCCCCACCCCCCAAAAAAAATCACAGTGCTAATCTTGAAGTGTTATCTTGTTCTGTTACATCTCTACAAAGTTGCCCATCAGGTTGGAAATCTTCAATGTATTAAAGAAGATTTTAGGAATATTTGTAGTTATTTCAGTAATCAGAGTCAGTCAATACTACTTACCTGTTGTTAGGTCTTTGAGGGAATGGAAAGCTAGTGTTTCAAGATCTTTCTCCTAATGGAAAACTAGACCAGGTGTGTTAGCTCTCGCCTGTAATCCCAGCATTTTGGGAGGCTGAGGTGGGTGGATCACCTGAGGTCAGGAGTTCAAAACCAGCCTTACCAACATGGTGAAACCCCATCTCTACTAAAAATACAAAAAATTAGCCAGGTGTGGTGGTGGGTGCCTGTAATCCCAGCTACTCGGGAGGCTGAGGCAGGAAAATTGCTTGAACCCAGGAGGTGGAGGTTGCTGTCAGTGGAGGTTGCGCCATTGCACTTTAGCCTGGGCAACAAAAGTGAAACTCTGTCTCAAAAAATAAGAAAAAATAAAGAAAACTAAGGATGTGGTAGACAGACAAAACCTAGAAGTGAAAAGGTATTTGGGTACCTGTAATAAAATTTATTGAAATTTGGTGGTATAAGTGTGGGCTGAATGCCGAAGGAAGGCTCATTGGAAGGAATAGAACTTGAGTAAAACCAAACAAAGGAACTATTTTGGGTTGGGGTAATGCTGAGAAAACATTTGAAGCATTGTGGTAATACAAGCTTGCCATATGAGGTGATAGATTGAGGGAGCCTTAGAGGATTTTTAAGAAATGTTATGAGCCAAGCACAGTGGCTGGTGCCTGTAATCCCAGCTACTTGGGAGGCTGGGATGGGAGGATCTTTGAGTCCAGGGGGCTTCAGTATGCTACGAAAACACCTGTGACTGGCCACTGCACTCCAACCTGGGTAACATAGTAAGACCCTGTCTCTTAACAAAAAAGGAATGTTATGAAATAATAATTTAGGCTTTACCTGTATACAGGGTTGTTTAGAGGAGAGGAAGTGTGTAGGAAAGGCAAGGAGGAGATCATTTTGGAGGCCTCTTAGAAATAGCCCAGGCATATGGTAATGAAGATGTAAACTGATAGTCATAAATAGGCATGGAGAGGAAGGATCCAGTGAACAGTAGTGTGGAAGCAGAATTCAAAAGACTTGGAGACTTGCATTCTGGGAGCAGGAGTAAGGCATTAGTGGACTCTGGG
Organism: Homo sapiens; assembly: GCF_000001405.40. Lineage (NCBI taxonomy): Eukaryota > Metazoa > Chordata > Mammalia > Primates > Hominidae > Homo > Homo sapiens. Next base: position 95,479,350 of record NC_000012.12, read on the forward strand.
AGTTTGCACTTGGGTGACAGAATGTTGGTGCTGTTGACTGAAATAGTGAAGTTGGGAAAGAGCCAGTTAGACATTGGGGGAGAGGTTTGCAGGCAAAGAAGAGGGTACTAAGTTTAATTTTAGATGTGCTGAATTGGAAACTGTGGTATTGGTATAAAAAGTTGATCCTGTGGTCATCTGACAGTGTGCTGGAGGTAATTCATTCAATACATTTTGAGTCAGGCTCATTAACATATAATTTCCCTAAAATAATAGTCACCACTCTTTTTTTTTTTTTTTGAGACGGAGTCTCACTCTTGTCCAGGCTGCAGTGCAGTGGCACGATCTCAGCTCACTGCAACCTCTGCCTTCCGGGTTCCAGCGATTCTCCTGCCTCAGCCTCCTGAGTGGCTGGGATTACAGGTGCCCGCCACCACTCCCAGCTAATTTTTGTATTTTTAGTAGAGACAGGGTTTCACCATGTTGGCCAGGCTGGTCTCGAACTCCTGGCCTCAAGTGATCCGCCCGCCTCAGCCTCCCAAAGTGCTGGGATTACAGGCGTGAGCCACCATACCTGGCCCCAATAGTCATCCTTTTTAAGTGTATAGTTTGGTGAGTTTTGACAAAGTATGCAATTGTGTAACTACTACCACGACGGAAGATACAGACTATTTCCATTTAACATTTCCATCTCCAGAAAAAAGTTGTGTCTCTTGTAGTTGGTTCTCTTGCACTATACCTAACCCTTAGCAATCACTGATACGTTTTCTGACCCTAGTTTTGGCCTTTCCTGGAGTATCCTATAAATGGAATTATTCGGTATGTAGTTTTTTGTGTTTGGCTTGTTTTACTTAGCATAATACTTTTGACAGTCATCGAGTTGTGCATTTATCAATAGCACATTCCTTTTTATTGCAAGTAGTATTCCTAATATGTTTTACCCTTTTACATTGAACAATATTTGGGGTGTTTACAGTTTTGGTCTGTTGTGAACGAAGTTACTATGAACATTTGCATATGGGTCTATGTGTAGATATGTTTTCATTTCTCTTGAGTAAATAGGACTGGGTTGCCTGTCATATGGTAAGTATGTGTTTAAACTCCTAAGAAGCTGTCTGGTTTCCAAAGTGGCTATGCTGTTTTGCATTCCTCTTAGCAATGGTTGAGAGTTTCAGGTTGTTCGTATCCTTGTAAGGACTTGGTATTTGTTTTAAAATTTTAGTCTTTGATAATGGGTATGTAGTGCTTTGTCATTGTGGTTTTAATATGCACTTCCCTAATGATATTGAGCATCTTTTCATGTTTTTATTTGCTTTTTCCTTTATCTTTGGTAAAGTGTTTGTTCACATTTTTTGTCCATGTTTTATTGGGTTATTTGTCATCCTATTGAATTGTAATAGTTCATTGTATATTCTGGTTGCAAGTTCTTTATCAGATAATATGTTTTACAGATATTTCTATGGGATGGCTATTCACCTGGTTAATGGTATTGCTTATAGGACAGTTTTAATTTTGATAAAGTCCAATCTATCTGTTTTTTAAATTTATGGGTAGTGCTTTTTGTGTCCTGTCTAAAAAGTTAAGTCATTGCTGTCTCTAAGGTCACAAAGATGTTCTGTGTTCTCTTCAAGAAGTTTTATATATTTTTAGCTGTTATGTTTAGGTCTATGGTTCATTTAGAATTAATGTTTCTAGATAGTGCAAGGCAGAGCTTAAAAGCTTGAGACTCTTTTTTTTAAAATATGATTTCCAGTTGTCATTCAACAGATATCAACTGATTTGGGCATAGTAGTAACACAAATAAACATAAGCAGCCTCTGCTGGCCAGGCCTGGTGGCTCATGCCTATAATCCCAGCACTTTGGGAGGCTGAGATGCGATTCGAGACCAGTCTGGGCAACTTAGACCTTGTCTCTGCAAAAGATTAAAAAACATTAGCCAGGTATAGTGGTGCGTGCCTGTAGTCTCAGCTATTCAGGAAGCTGAGGTGGGAGGATTTCCTGAGTCTGGGAGATTGAGGCTGCAGTGAGCTGTGATCCTGCCACTGCACTCCAGCTTGGGCAACAGAGTGAGACCCTGTCACAGAAAAACCAAAAAAACCAACCATCTCTGCCTATGAAGAATATGCTGGGATACTGTGAAGAAAAGACATGTAAAAGCACAAATTTCAACATGGTATAATGGTTGGAACTATAAACATATATAGATTAATACTCAGATCCTGGCTCTGCTGCCATCCTGGCACAAAGTTCTATAAATGGTGGCTGTTTTTCTGTACTGAATACAGACATTGGACATTGAATAAGGTAATTAGCCTCAAAAGGATGAAAGTATCAAAGAAGGACCTTTTTGTTCCATTTTAAAGATGAAGAAACCAGGGTAGAGGGAGGCTAAATAACTTGCCCAAGGTCACCCAGATGGAAAGATTTTTAGTATATGTTTAAAATTGGTGATGTATCTTCAAGTATTTGTTTTAGGTTGTGCTACATACACTAGGTATAGTGCTACATACACTAGTCACAACCTAAAACAAATACTTCAAGATTCATAACCAGTTTTAGTCTGGAAAAAACTATTGTTTCTCCAGAACAGAAACTATCTTATTTTTCTGTCCCTATTGCCTGGCACTTAAGAGCCCAACAAACATTTAATGGGGTGAAGAAGGTTACTGTTAACGTTACAGTGCACGATATGTGAATTAGATTATAATTTTTCGTGTGCCTTTTGTTAGGCTTTTGAATCTAAAAATCCATAATGAATAAGTCAGCAATATTTGTGTTTTGGGTTTGTTGTTGTTAGGATACAAGATCTCCCTCCCGTCACCCAGGCTGACGTGCTGTGGCTCGATCTCAGCTCACTGCAGCCTTGACTTCCCTGGCTCAGGTGATCCTCCCACATCTCAGCTTTCCAAGTAACTGGGACTATGGGCGCATACCACCACACCTGGATAATTTTTTGTACTTTTAGTAGAGACAGGGTTTCACCATGTCCTCCAGACTGGTCTCAAACTCCTGGGCTCAAGTGATCCACCTGCCTCAGCCTCCCAAAGTGCTAGGATTACAGGTGTGAACCACTTTACCTAGCCTAATATTTGTACTTCTACTGTTCTCTTCTGCCTGCTAGGTTTTTGATAATTTCATAAGATTGAACATAAGAAATGGTGATTTTGAGGCTGGGTACAGTGGCTCACGCCTATAATCCCAGGACTTGGGAGGCCAAGGCTGGCAAATCACTTGATGTCAGGAGTTCGAGACCAGCCTGGTCAACATGGCGAAACTCCATCTCTACTAAAAAAAAAAAAAAAAAAAATTAGATGGGCATGGTGGCATGCACCTGTAATCCCAGATACTTGGGAGGTGGAGGCTGAGACATGAGAATCACTCAAACCTGGGAGGCGGAGGTTGCAGTGAGCTGAGATTGCGCCATTGCACTCCAGCCTGGGCAACAGAGCTAGACCCTGTTTCAAAAAAAGAAAGAAAAGAAGTGGCAATTTTGACCAAAAATGGTCAAGTATTGGCATTTTCATATGGTTCAACCCACGTAAGTCCTAGATCACGTTACCTCCCACTTTGCTAAACTGCTGCTTCCTGTTTCTAAATTTTTTAGTGTTGGAGTCTCACTATGTTGCCCAAGCTGGATTCCAACTCCTTGGCTCAAGTGATCCTCCCACCTCAGCTTCCCTAGTAGCTGGGACTATAGGCATGTGCCACCACACCTGGTAGCTGCTTCCTATTTCTTATTTCAGTGAAAGAATAAATGTAAACAAGATAAAATAAACTAACGTTTGTTCATTTATTGAATAGAGCAAATACTTGTCTCCTTGTACTTGCTTTGTCCCTCTGCTTATGAGGTTTAAATGAACATGTACTTGAAATGTCTTTTCTTAGATGGAGATGGCGATGGAGATGGAGCAACTGGAAAGAAGAAGAAAAAGAAGAAGAAGAAGAGAGGACGTTAGTGTCTTAAGTTAATGTTAATTGATATATTAGAAGTGTTTATTCTGTCGGGTGTGGTGGCTCACACCTGTGATCCCAGCTACTCCGGAGGCTGAGGCAGGAGAATTGCTGGAACCCAAGAGACGGAGATTGCAGTAAGCTGAGATTGTGCCACTGCACTGCAGCCTGGGCAACAGAGTGAGACTCTGTCTCAAAAAAAAAAAAAAAAAAAAAAAGAAGTGGTTATTCACTGACAGGTTTGAAGAGTAGGTTTGAAGTTGCTTAAGGTCCTGATATATGTTAGGGAAATAAACTTAGGCTTAATAGAAGCAGAATTTAGTGAAACTAATAATTATTTATTAGTTTAATAACTTTGGTTTAACAATCCTTTATTTTCTTTAGCTGTTAGCTAAGGGATGTCGATATGAATTGGTTGCATTTTACTGCAAGTTAGGGATGAGTTTCTAAAAATTTTATGATTTAAAACTTGCATAATTTAAAGAATAATTCTGTCAAGAATGGCCGAAGTGGTGCCATGGTGGTGGTAGGGTAAGCGTTGTTTGTAATTTACCTTCCAGCTTTTAAATTATGAGATTCTTGATGAGTATTTAATGAGGAATCCCGTTATTTAAGATGTGTGCATATGGTGAGACTTTATTATTAATAATAACTTTTATATTGTACGATCAGATTTGTATAAAATATCCTGCTTGTTTTGAGTTTCTGTAAGTGCCACAACCAAACATCATCAGGTGCCCGAAAATATATTAAGGAGGCTGAAGGGAGATTTCGTAGTGTTGAGGAAGAAAGGTTGGGTTGAGAATCACAACATGTAAGTTTTAATCTTGGATGCCATTTGGGCTGTTGTAGACCACTGAATGTCTGGTTATGCCTTCCTTTAAAATTTTTCAGGCTAAAATTTTATGAATCAGAATTTTGGGGGCTTGGTAGTGATTCCCCTGGTCTCCAGGTGGAGGTGGAATAGCCTTCTTTGCATTTAGGCGTCCATCATTACTAGATCCTTCCACTCTAAGAAGAGGATGTCAGCTATTCTCGTAGCCTGTGAGGGCCCATGAGTCTGTATTTGATGAGCACAGGATACTTGCATTCCAGGAATCTTCCAGGGGCTATATTGTCCTATTCTTTCCATTAAAAAAAAATTATTAAAAGTTTGGCTATAAGAAATAGTGTTACCTGAGAATGAATTAAGAGATACCTATTTCTTAAATTAAAAAAAAAAAAAAGATAACTATTTCTTCAAATACTCTAAATTGCTCCCTTCTGAAGGCAGACCAGCAGGGAGGAGTGTTGTTAGAGGACTGTTTTATATTTGCCCTTGACAGAATTCTTCTGACAGATGTTTTAAGTATGATGCCATTAACATTTGTTCTGCTTCCTCTGAGGATGTTGTTGAATGTACTGTTCATTATATTTCTTTATGAGGTACTCTTTTTTTTTTCTGCTTAGTATCAAGGATAATTGTGTTTTTTTCTGAGTATCAGTCTGTTTCATCTCAGAACCATTGTGACCTGTGCAAATAATTTTTTTTTAATGTTGGCTACTAAAGGGCTTAGAGCCAAATGTGTGGTTTTTGTGTTGGCCTCATTTCAGGTACTATTCTATGTTCTTGTTTTGGTTTTTACTAATTTACTTTGAATGTCTCTTTATTTGTTTATTTTTTATATCCTGGTAGACTTCTTGAATCATTTCTGTAACAAGCCAAATAATATAATCATGGGCAGTTCACTGCCCTCATTTTCCTCATCTATACAGTGGGAAAATTATAAATGTTAGTTAATGATAACCATAGTACAGATTATTACAGATAATTCATAGTTTTATATAATGACTTGGATGTAATACATTATAATTTTCGAAGGTTATCCAGGATTTCATCTGATCGTTCATTTTGTAGATGAGGAAACTGAGGATTGGTACTATTTAGCCATTTGTTCAAGTCATAGCTAATAAGTGGTAAAGGCTAGACTTCAACTTTGATATTCTGATTACAAATTGTGTATTTTTTCTCTAATGATCTTTTTAAGTCCCTTGTCATGTAATTTATGCACAATATAAAAGGCATCTTTATCAGATTTGTAGATGAGATAAAGTTGGAGTGATAAATACTTTGACAAAAGTTACGATTTCAGAAAACCATGATTGATTATGTATGCTTTTAACTTTTATACCTTATATACTCTTGAAATAATAGTTTTTCTTATTTTATTAATATATATTAGGTTTATATTTTTATTTTATTGCTATAGGACTTCTTACTACTTTGGTTTGTATTTGTGAAAGCCAACCTCTCTATGCTGTTCCATCTCTAGTATAGTGAGTGAAGATGAAGACATTAGAAGTGTGCCTTTTGCCAAGGCATATACTGTTTAAATACATAATGGAGTTCTGAGGAGTTAAAAATTTCTTTTTCCCAAGCAGCAATAAATCATTGAGGAGGTGGCCAGCATGATGAAGTGTCTTCTGCTTTTAACTGTGGCAGCAAGGAGTTTCCTTAAAATCAGAACATATAACAACCATTAGGAACTGAGAAAACTCTAATAACTGCTTAATTTTATTTTTAACTACAGAAGTTAATGCTTTATTTGTATCTCACAGCAAAAGTTCAAACAGACCCTCCCTCAGTTCCAATATGTGACCTGTATCCTAATGGTGTATTTCCCAAAGGACAAGAATGCGAATACCCACCCACACAAGATGGGTAAGGATCATCAAATCACTTCCAGTTTAATTTCTGACAGTTATAGCTTAGCAATAAAGCAGATTTGACATTTCTCAGAACTTTGCTCCACTACTTTAATAAATGCTTATAAATTTGTCATAAAGAAGATACAGTAGAAGCCCTCTTATCCAAAATGATTGGGACCAATAGCAGGTTATTGGTCATTTAAAAAGTATATTAAACTGAGGATCACAAAATAAAAATTCTTGTAGATAAAGGTTAACTTAAACAAATTTGTTTTTCACCTCTCTTGAAATTTGGGTATGGTTTAGTACTTTTCCCCCCTCATATGTATTCATAATGCGTTATCTACAATTCCATTTGGGATTTCTGAGTGATATAAGGGTTGATGTCTACTATATCTTTACTTTTTTTTTCCTGAAACCTTTTGATAGTTCTTACCTACACTTAATTTGACAGAAGTATTTTTTGATCACTTATCCTTAGTGAGATTTATCAGGGTAGTTAGTTTTCATGGAAACAGTTTTTTTAATGTTACTTTTTTTTTTTTTGAGACAGAGTTTCACTCTTGTTGCCTAGGCTGGAGTGCAATGCTGGGATCTCGGCTCACTGCAACCTCTGCCTCCCGGGTTCAAGTGATTCTCCTGCTCCAGCCTCCCGAGTAGCTGAGATTACACGCATGCACCACCATGCCTGGCTAATTTTGTATTTTTAATAGAGACGGGGTTCCTCCATGTGGATCAGGCTGGTCTTGAACTCCCAACCTCAGGTGATCCGCCCACCTTGGCCTCCCAAAGTGCTGGGATTACAGGCATGAGCCACTGCGCCCAGCCAATATACCATTATTAAATCACATAATTACCATAACAAGTACAGATGACTTAAATAGTCTTGGAAACAAATTCACCTGATTCTTCAAGGTGTTCTGTAAGGATACATTTAAAATGGTTAGCAGAAGTGGCATTATGAAGACATATTGAGAGCATGGAAGCTGGGGCCAAACTATCTGCATTTGAATCCCAGTTCTGACATTTATTAGCTTTGTGACTTGGGCAAGTAATTATCACATCTGTGCTTTTATTTCCTCATCCATAAAATGGGCACTCTGCAGGGTCATTGTGAGGAATGATATATGCATAGCACTTAGAAGAGTAGATGCATAGTGAACATAAAGCAAGCTAGTTCCTGTTATTCAAAGTAATAACCTGTCACCCACAATATTTATAATACCATGGACATTGATCAGTGTGTTTTACAAAGGGACTTAAGAGTATTGCTTAATCCAGTGGTTGCAGTCGTTGGTTAAGAAAGCTTCTACTGTAGCTCTTGTTTTCTTGGCCTGTAAAGACACCATTTTTTTTTTTAAAACATAGAAAAAAAGAAAGAACATACTGTTGTTACATTACCACCTGCTCCCTCATTTCCAGTTACGAATGTTCTTAGGGAATAAGTGTAAAGTTCTGGAATTGTATGACATGGGCTTCTTTTCTTTGAATTTGAAATCGTCAATTGTCCCTATCTTAAAAGCACTTATTTTTAAAATGCCACAGATACAGATAATTTTACATTAATAAATTCTTATAGTACATATGATGTGATCACATTTATTTTTAAATATAATCTCTTAATTTTTTTTTTTTTTTGCTTGTTCCCTCTTCTTTTCCTTCCTTCCAGACCCATGTTAACCACCTAGCAGGTAGCCTTCCATATTTTTTCTATGCTCATATATGTATACATCTGTCTGTTTATGTAAGGGAATGTTTGATCATTGTTTGTTTTACAAAAATGGAATCATAGGCACACTTTCCTCCACCTTTTCTCATTCAGTGCTAACTCTTGGAAGTTCCTCCAAGTCAATTAGAATAGTTCTATTATTATCTTGAATGGCTTCATAATATTCCGTGGTGTGAGTGTACCACACTTTATTCCACCATTCTTTAGCTGATGGCCATTTGCTTTGTCTGCAATAATTTTTGCCACTATAAACCATTCTGCAATAAACCTCCTTAGGTAAATAGGTAGCTGGATATGTAGGTATTTTTCTCTCTTTCTCATGTACTGGTAGTTATATTCTGAAATACGTTTTTAGGAGTGAGATTGATTAACCAAAGAATATATTAATAATTTCCAGTTCTTATACTATTAGTGATTTCGAGCATCTTTTGATCGTAGGCTTTATGATATCTTTTGCTCTTCCCAGAAGTTTTAAATTTTTAAATGCATTATGTGTCCATGTTTAATACTTCTGAGTTCCGGCCAGGCATGGTGGCTCATGCCTGTAATCCTAGCACTTTGGGAGGCTGAGGCAGGTGGATTACCTAAGGTCAGGAGTTCAAGACCAGCCTGGCCAACATGGTAAAACCCCGTCTCTACTAAAAATAAAAAAATAAAAAAAATTAGCCGGGTGCAGTGGTGCGTGCCTGTAATCCCAGCTACTCGGGGGGCTGAGGCAGGAGAATCGCTTGAACACAGGAGATGGAGGTTGCAGTGAGCTGAGATTGCACCACTGCACTACACCCTGGGTGACAGAGCGAGACTTTGTCTCACCAAAAAAAAAAAAAAAAAAAAAAAAAAAATACTTCTGAGTTCCCAGTAGTCTCTCAGATTTTCTTGAACACGTATTTTGTGTGTTATTACATCTTTAATCTGGAATTTTTTGTGTAAGGTTGGGAGCACTAATTATTTTATTTTTCTTTCCAGTGCAGAGTCAGTTTATTGTCTATTAAATAATCCCTCCTACTGAATTGAATGACCACCTTTGTCACATGCTGTATTCCCATGTATATAATGGAATCAGTTTCTGGATTATTTACTCTGCTCCACTGATCTGTTTCTTCTTAGGCTAATACTATTTTGATTTGATATCCCAAACAGTTCTTTTTAATACTTTTCTTAGCTACTCTCAGTCATATAGCCTTACACACACACACACACACAAATGTCCTTGTTAGAATTCTCATCAGAATTGCATTTATATTTATGTATTAGTTTCTGAAAATTGACAGTTTATCACCTTGTCTTATCCAATGTCATGGGATGTTTTTGATATTTTTTCACTTATTCAATTTTATTTTTTCCAGGTAGGTTCTAGCCCTTTTTAATTAAATTTGTTAGTGTTTTATGGTTTTTGTTAGTGATGTGAATTAAATATTTCAATCCCGTTTCTGTTTCTTTATACTTGCTGCTAGAGTGGAGGAAAGCCATTGATTTCTTATACTTGTTAACAGATTGTTAATACTTTTAACAATGTGAATGTTATGGAACACTTGAAGTGGTATTTAATACATGAAAAAAATGAGATTTTGTAAACTTCAAAAACTTCCTTTTCCTTACTCTAAGCTTCTATTGAAATTAAATAAGTAGAATAACTTCTGTTTTTGAAATAATAGAGGAAGATATTAATTACATGTTATAATACTTCTCAAAGTAATTTTCTTAAATATTGCATTATTGTATGTTATCCTGGAGAAATACAGAATAAGTATAAGATAGTGTGGTGTGTTTGCTTTTTAATAAATCTCAATACTTTTTACATTCATATAACCAGTTTTGACTATTTGCAAATAGATCAGATTCAGTATTCTTACAGATTTGGTATAGTTTGTATCTTTCCTTCATTGTTTTATTAATAAACTTTTATTAGAAATTGAATGAATTATCACAACTCACCTTTGAAACTACTCTAGGTTAAGTGTATTTTTAAAAACTTCTTATTTTGTACAAAATTAGTCGGGCATGGTGGCGCATGCCTGTAATCCCAGCTACTTGGGAGGCTGAAGCAGGAGAATCTCTTGAACCTGGGAGGCGGAGGTTGCGGTGAGCTGAGATGACACCATTGCACTCCAGCCTGGGCAACAAGAGTGAAACTCTGTCTCAGAAAAAAACCCAAAAAACTTCTTATTTTGAAATGATTTTGTACTTCCAGAAAAGCTACAAGCATAGTACAAAGAATTCCCACATACCTTTCACCTAGATTTCCTTTGTTTTGCCACATTTGTTTTATTCTTTATCTCAATGAAATACAACAAGTATGCATATTGTCATATACAAATAACATTCCATTTTCTCCTTGGAAGACAGATATAAGGCAAATGTGAAAAATGTTAAATTGGTGAGTCTGTATATATATAGTTTTTTTTCTTTTTTTTTTTGTTTTGAGACAAGGTCTCACTCTGTCAGCCAGGCTGGAATACAGCGGTGTGATCATAGCCCACTGTAGCCTGGAACTTCTGGGCTTAAGCAATCCTCCTGCATTGGCCTCCCAAAGTGTTGGGATTACAGGCGTGTGCCACCACACCCGGCATAGTAGTTTTTTTTTTTTTTTTTCTGAGCCATTTGAGATCAGACTGCATTTTCGGCTGGAATACTAGATAATGTATATACAGTATCCTTTTCAGGGTGTTATATCTAGAGGCATACATTGTCAATTTGCTCCTTATTGGTGATATTTAATTTTTATCGTTCGTTTAAAGTATTAGCCAGTTTCTCAAGTGTATTGTTACTAGTTTTTTCCTCTTGTAATTATTAAGTTGTGGGTAGTTGTTTTGAGTGTATCCAGATGACTGTTGTGAACACTCTTCTCACACATAGCTTGAAGCCTGTATTTTTTTTTTTTTTTTTTTTTGAGATGGGGTGTTGCTGTATTGTCCAGGCTGGTTTACAATTTCTGGGCTCAAATTATCCTCCCATCTTATCCTCCCAAGTAGCTTTGAAACTAATTTTTAGTAGTTATAGTAATGTTTGTTTACTTTCTAAAACCAGGATCCACTTGAGGTTCTCATTGCATATGGTTAGAGGCCTCACCTTTTTCTCTTTCTCTTCAGTGCCCCATCTCTTTGAAGAAACCAGGCAGTTGTAGAGGTCTCATGTTCTGGGATTTCTCCGATTGTTTCCTTGTTGGGGGTTAAACTTTTTTCTCTATTTCTGTGTTTTCCGTAAACTGGAATTAGGTGTTAATGGGCTTAGATTAGATTTAGGTTAAACATTTTTGACAGAGGTATAAAATAAGTGATTATGACCTTCACATTGTACCATATTCTGCTACATTAGATGTAATCTCAGGCTATCCTACTGTTAGTTTTATTGTGTTTGACCTCTTGATTAATGTGACAGCCAACTCTTTTTTTTTTTTTTTTCTTTTAAAGGTACTTTTTGCTTTTTGCAGTTTCCAAGTAATCTGTGGGGCTACTTTGGTATCATTTGGAATATCTATCTTCCTTCCTTTTCTTCCTATTTAGTTTATACAAACTTGAGAAGAAAGGAATATCCTTTTCTTAACAACTTTTCACTTAATTCTTTTAATATCCATTGATGATCCTTGCTTTTATGGGTTATTTCATTGGGAACTGCAAAATGGTGGATTTTTGATTCTTTCATTCCTTCTACATTTATTAGGTGATACTATTCTGTAAGAAGAATTTTCTCTGTCAACTGGGAATCAACTATAGTTCCTTCTTATAGGCAGAGTTAAAATATGCTTTATTTCTTACCCTTTAAGTACCAGTTTTTAGAGGAAGGATTTTATGTGATACATGCATACATTTTAATTGTTATTATTATGTTTTTGAGACAGGGCCTCATTCTGTCGCCCAGGCTGGAGTGCAGTGGTGCAGTCTTGGCTCACTGCAACCTCTGCCTCCCAGGCTCAAGCAGTTCTCGTGCCTGAGCCTCCCGAGTAGCTGGGACTACAGGTGTGCACTGTCTTGCCTGGGTAACTTTTTGTATTTTTAGTAGAAACAGGGTCTTTCTATGTTGCCCAGGCTGGTCTCGAACTCCTGAACTCATGCAGTCTGTCCCCCTTGCCCTCCCAAAGTGCTAGGATTACAGGTGTGAGCGACCATGCCTGGTCATTACTATTTTTTGAGATAGGGTCTCATTCTGTCACCCAGGCTGGAGTGCAGTGGTGAGATCTAGCTAAGTTCAGCCTTGACCTCTGGGGCTCAAGTGATCCTCCTACCCCTTCTCCCAAGTAGCTGGGACTACAGGCATGTACCACCTTGCCTGGCTAAAGTTGTTTTTTCTTTTTGTAGAGATGGAGTCTTGTTATGTTGCCCAGGCTGACCTTGAACTTCTGGGCTCAAACAGTCCTCCTGCCTCAGCCTACCAAATGGCTGGGATTATAGGCATGAGCCACTGCACCTGGCCTATCGTGTGTATGTATATGTGTGTTTGTGTGTGTGTGTGTGTGTGTGTATGTATATGTGTGTGTATATATTTTGGTGGAGACAGGGTCCCACTGTGTCACCCTGGATTGTCTTGAACTGTTGTCCTCAAGCAGTCCTCCCACTTTGGCCTCCCAAACTGTTGGGATTATAGGAGTAAGCCACTGTACCTGGCTTTAATTGCTATACTTTTGTTTAATTGACTGAACTAAATAAGATAAAATATAGGAAAATAATACTCTTAGTAAAGGTGTGTTGAGGCAGATTTTAAAAAAATTTTTAGTCCACTTATAAGGAGTTTTGGGGGAGTCTGGAATTATAGACCCTGACGCTGGGTTTTTCTTATTGTTAATAACTTTCTATCTGAACTCGAGACTTTGAGCAAAAGAATTTCTTTAATTCTGTTTCTTTTTTCTTTATTATTTATTTTTATTTTTTATTTTTTATTTTATGTTTTTAGAGACAGGGTCTTGGTCTGTTGCCCAGGCTGGGGTATAGTGGTGCAATCATAGCTCACTGTGTCCTTGAACTTCTGGGCTCAAGTGATCCTCTTGCCTCAGACTCCTGAGTAGCTGGGATTACAGGGATAAGCCCAACGCCCAGCTAATTTTTTTTGGTAGAGACAGAGTCAGAGACAGAGTCAGGTTGGTCTTGAACTACTAGCCTCAAGTGATCCTCCCACCTTGGCCAGGGTCTGTAGTTTAGGGCAGAGTTGAGTGAACTTTTTCTTCAAAGGGCATATAGTGAATATTTTAGGCCTTGAGTGTTACTTAGCTTTGCCATTGTAGCATGAAAATAGCTATAGACAGTACATAAATGAGTGGGCACATGTTGCAATAAAATTTTATTTATAAAACAGGGGAGGCAAATAGCAATTCCTTGAAGGTATCACTTTTACACTTGTGTAATTTATACTCAGTGGTCACTAAGTTGCAAACTGTATATTCAGTATTTAAGAATGTGTGAAAATTGTTTAGATTTTTTTTTTTAAATATCATTTTAAGGCAGTTAATGTTTTTCCTACTACAGGAGTCATGGATCTTATTCCCAGATACTGAATAAAAAATTCTGTCAGTTGGGGTGGCTCACGCCTGTAATCCCAGCCACTCAGGAGGCTGAGACAGGGGGATCACTTCGGGGCAGGAGTTCAAGATCAGCCTGGACAACATAGCAAGACCCCATTTCTTTAAAGAAAAAGTTTTTAAAAATTAGCTGGGTGTGCTGGTATGCACCTGTATACTCCCAGCTGCTTGGGAAGCTGAGGCAGGAAGAACCTAGGAGTTTGAGGATGTAGTGAGCTATGATCACATCACTGCATCTGCCTGGGTAACAGAGTAAGACCCTGTCTCTTAAAAAAGAAATTCGTTAGCACTGGCAGTTTTAAAATGTGAGCCATGTCTTTCAAGGAAGAATACCTCTTATATTTATGTATACAATTAGGAAAACCCAGCACACGCATGTAATATGTGTTTTGAGGAAGTATATGCAGATTTCCAAGTCAGTTTCTTGGGTTAGTAGTTACTCTGTTGGCAAAATTAAATGCAAATTGTTGTTGTGCTCCTTTGAAGTGTCTAAAGTATATATGACCTCAAGTGGAAGGATGACTTTTTCCTACTTACTCTGATTCTAGGACTCTTCAGACTTTTCTGATTGTTTTATTATCTTTTTGTGTTGTCAGGGTATTAGTTCCTCTGACTATGAATGAAATCTCACATGAGGGTTTTTTTCCCTCCCTTAGAGTCTTAAAAAGTTTTTAATTTCATTTGAGTTGGTTGCAAGTGTTTGGCTTTTTGTATTTCAGAAACTTTATTGACATAAACTGAATATGTACTGTATTTTTATTTGAACTGTCTTGTTACTTAGTATAGTTGTCAGCTTTTATGCTTGTTCTGCTGTTTTATCACTAATAGTATTCTATGCCCACTCTAAAGGCGAACAGCTGCTTGGAGAACTACAAGTGAAGAAAAGAAAGCATTAGATCAGGCAAGTGAAGAGATTTGGAATGATTTTCGAGAAGCTGCAGAAGCACATCGACAAGTTAGAAAATACGTAATGAGCTGGATCAAGCCTGGGATGACAATGATAGAAATCTGGTAAAAGGAATACTTCTTCGTAAGAACATGATAAAAAATGTTTTATTAAGTACTAACTCTCCAATTATAATGTTTGGCTTTCATTACCACTTTGCTAAATCTTTAAGTAAAGGTTGTAGAAATGCCTTCTAGATTATTTTAGTGTCACTATGAGAAAACCATGAAGAGGAGTACACATTGGCACCTCAGCCACCCTTTTGTGTGCACATGTAGTCATTACTGATTGTTATTTTCTATCTGGAAATCTGTTATTTTGCTATCTAACAAGTCATACTAAGAAATAAGAAAGTATTGGAGCAATTGCCCAAATACAGAACATGATGATAATACAGTAACAAAACCAATTCAAGTAATTATTCTCTAGTTTTTCCTTTTGATAAATGGTTAGTATAACATGTAATTCTCTGATTCCTACAATTTAAAAAATATACAACATGAACAAATAAGATCAGCATTTAAATTGGTCTAAGTTAGACTCTTATTTTCTAGTAAATTTAGTTAAAAGTGGATTGTGTTTCTCTGACTTTCTAGCAGAATCAAATTCCTTGTCTTCTAAAGATATGCTATTTTCATAGCATCAGAGAACTGTTATTTATTTATATTCAGAAAGTGCTCAGATCATTCCCAGAAGGTATTTAAGGTTTTTAGTAAACTTTCTGGACTTGATGAACTATATGGTATTAATATATAAAAGTAAGAATGTAAAAGTAAACAAGTTCCCTTTGCTTTTTTGTTTTAGTGAAAAGTTGGAAGACTGTTCACGCAAGTTAATAAAAGAGAATGGATTAAATGCAGGCCTGGCATTTCCTACTGGATGTTCTCTCAATAATTGTGCTGCCCATTATACTCCCAATGCCGGTGACACAACAGTATTACAGTATGATGACATCTGTAAAATAGACTTTGGAACACATATAAGTGGTAAATTCTTGCAGAAAATTCCTACCCCAGCCTCCTCCTGAAAAACTAGTTTTTGTCTCTGTTAAATGGAGTGATAAATACTGAACTCCCAAATTTTGTTCTTGCTTCCTCATTTCATTAGGAAAGGTGTGTTGAGGCAGATTTTTAAAAAAATTTTAGTGCACTTATAGGAGAGAGAGGCAGTTGTGACATTTACTTGAAAGCATACTACTAAGTAGAATAAAATGAAAACTGTTGGGTAGTTGAGGTTTATTACCCTTTGTATCAAGGCATGAAAGACATTATCCTACCTTTCTTTAGGTCATTGTTTCATATCTCTTTTATTCAAATAATAACATTTATTTAAAATACTTAAGTTTATCAGCCTTAATATACATGTTTGCTTTTCTGAATTCTCTCCAAAACCTGGTTAGGTAAGCACCTTGTTATCTTACTTACAAGTGAGAAAGCAAGCTTAGAATAAATACTTGCCTAAGGTTTCACTACCTTGGAAAAGTAAAAGTATATTCAGAGCCCTGTATACTTTCTCTGCCCTGCGTTACTATTTCTCATTTCCCTAGTCTTTTCTTGTATTCATTTTGTTTCTGTTTATATGTTTGTATAACTGCCAGGGTGAGCACTGAACTGGTGCTGTCTTGGGGTAATATATACTAACCTTGTAATTCTTTCTATTCTGAATCCTTTATATACTTCTACATTTTGTCTCTTTGATTATGAATGATCTTTGGGTATTTGGAGTGCAGCCTTCATTTGAGCCTTCATTCTATTTTTCTGTTAAACTAGCAAGATTAATAGATTAAATGCTGTAAAGTAGATAAATTGACTAGCTGATAAGTAAAATTAAAAGAGGAATTTTCTCTTTCAGGTAGGATTATTGACTGTGCTTTTACTGTCACTTTTAATCCCAAATATGATACGTTATTAAAAGCTGTAAAAGATGCTACTAACACTGGAATAAAGGTATGTGAACTGTAAGCACCATTTCATTCCCAATATTTTGAGCACTTTAAGGTCTTTTAAACACTTAACAGCATTTAAGCACTTTTAAGGCCTGTTTAAGGGCTTTGGGTAATTAAGAGGAATAAAATTGATCCATTTCCCTTATGGTTTTAAGCGGGTAAGTGTATGATTGTGTACCAAAGGTTGTTTTTTTGTTTGTTTGTTTGTTTCCCTTGAACTTTGCTAAAATTTATTAAAACAGAGTTTGGATCTATTTTTGCCTGTCAGTTGGCAGTGGTTTTTTTGTGGTTCTTTTTTAGAACAATTTTAGGTTCATAATAAAATTGAGCAGAAAGTACAGAGATTTCCCTTATACCCACCCCTCCCCAATTTCCTCCATTGTCAGCATCCCCACCACATAGGTATATTTGTTAAAATCATTTGAACTAGCATTGACCACATCACAATTATTCAAAGTTCATAGTTAACATTAGGGTTCATTCTTAGTAATATACATAAGGGGTTTGACAAATATATAATGACACGCATCTACCATTATAGTATCATACAGAGTATTTTCATAGCCACCAAAATCTTCTGTGCTCAACTGATTCATCCCTCTCTGTCCACCAAACTCTGGTACAGCCCAGCTTTTCCCCACCCACTCAAATTTTTTTTTTTTTTGGAGGGAGGTGCAGTTAAAATAGACATTACATAAAATTTACCATATTAACTTTTTCTTTCTTTTTTTTTTTTTTTTTTTTTGAGATGGAGTCTTACTCTGTTGCCCAGGCTGGAGTGCAGTGGCACGATCTCGACTCACTGCATCTTCTGCCTCCTGGTCTCAAGTGATACTCCTGCCTCAGCCTCCCGAGTTGCTGGGATTACAGGCACGCACAACCACTCCCGGCTGATTTTTATGTTTCTAGTAGAGATGGGGTTTCACCATGCTGGCCAGGCTGGTCTCAAACTCCTGATCTCAAGTGATCCTCCCGCCTTGGCCTCCCAAAGTGCTGGGATTACAGGCGTGATTCACCGCGCCTGGCCATTTTTAAGTATGTTGTTCATTGGTATTAAGTACATTCATAATATTGTGCAGCCATTATCACCATTCTTCTCTGTTTACTCTTCATGTTATAAAACTGAAACTCTATACTCATTAAACAGTAACTCCCATTTTCCTCTTCTCCCCCTACCCTGGCAACCACCATTCTACTATATATGATTTTTACTGCTGTAAGTACCTCATATAGTGTTTGTTGTTTTGTGACTGGTTTATTTCACTTAGCACAATGTACTCAAGGTTCACCTATGTTGTAGCATGTGTCAGAATTTACTTCCTTAAGGCTAAATAATCTATTGTGTGTATATACCACATTTTTGCTTATCCATTCATCCACTGATAGACACTTGGATTGCTCCGATGTTTTAGCTATTGTGAATATTGCTGCTATGAATACGGGTGTATAGATACCTCTTCAAGGTCTGTTTTCAATTCTTGGGTATATACCCAGAAGTGGATTTGGGAATCATCTGGTAATTATATCTTTTTAAACTTTTTGAGTATCTTCTCTACTACTTTCCACAGTGGCTGTACCATTTTCATTCCCACCAACAGTATGCAAGGAAAGGCTCCAATTTTTCCATTTCCTTGCCAACACTATTTTCTGGGTAGTTTTTGTTTGTTTTTTGTTTTTAATCTTTGGAGAAATGTCTATTCAAGTTTTTTGCCCATTTTTATTTATTTATTTTTTAATTAAAAAATGTAGGCCAGATGTGGTGGCTCATGCCTGTAATCCCAGCACTTTGAGAGGCCAAGGCGGGTGGATCACGAAGTCAGGAGATGGAGACCATCCTGGCTAACATGGTGAAACCCCGTCTCTACTAAAAATACCAAAAAAAAAAAATAGCTGGGTGTGGTGGCGGGCGCCTGTGGTCCCAGCTACTGAGGAGGCTGAGGCAGGAGAATGGCGTGAACCTGGGAGGCGGAGCTTGCAGTGAGCCGAGATCGCCCCACTGCACTCCAGCCTGGGCGACTGAGCGAGACTCCATCTCAAAAAAAAAAAAAAACAGTAGAGATTGGGGGTGTTGCTTTGTTGCCCAGGCTGATCTTGAATTCCTGAGCTCAAGCTGCACCCTCACCTTGTCCTCCCAAAGTGCTGGGATTACAGGCATGAGCCACCCTGCCCAGCTCTTTGCCTGCTTTTTAATTGAGTCGTTTGTTGTTGAGTTTTAGGAATTCTGTATAGATTCTGGATGTTAATCCTGTATCAGATATATTATTTGAAAATCCTTTTTCTCATATTGTGGGTTACCTTTTTACTCCGGATATTGTGTTTTGAAGCATAAAATGTTGTCATGAAGTCCAGTTTGTCTATTTTTTCTTTTGTTGCCTGTGCCTTTGGTGTCATATCCAGTAAATCATTGCTAAATTTAATGTCATGAAGCTTTTACTCCGTTTCCTTTTAAGGTATTTATAGTTTCAGGTCTTCAACTTAGGTCTTTGATCCATTTTGAGTTAATTTTTTATATGGTGTTAAGTAAGGGTCCACATTCATTCTTTTGCATGTGAATGTCCAGTTTTCCCAGCACCATTTGTTAAGACTGTTCTTTTGCTTTTCAATGGTTTTGACACCCTTGTCAAAGCTCATCTGGGTCAGGCACAGTGCCTCATGCCTATAATCTCAGCCCTTTTGGAGTCCGAGGTGGGAGGATCGTTTGAGCTCAGTAGTTAAAGTCTAGCCTGGGTAAGATAGCAAGACCCCAACTCTACCAAAAATTAAACAAATTAGCCAGGTGTGATGGTGCACCCTTGTGGTCCCAGCTACTCAGGAGGCTCTGGTGGGAGGATCACGTGAGCCCAGGGAGGTTGAGGCCTCAGTGAGACAAGATTACGCCACTGCGTTCCAGCCTGGGTAAAAAAGCAAGACCCTGTCCCAAAAAAAAAAAAAGAAATCATTTGTTTTTGTAAGTGAGGGTTTATTTCTGGGCTGTTCATTTTATTGTATTGGTTTATATGTCTGTCTTTATGTCAATACCACATTGGGTTTTTTTGGTTTGTTTTGGTTTTGGTTTTAGTTTTGAGACAGGGTCTTGCTCTGTCACCCAAGCTGGAGCGCAGTGGTGTGATCTTGGCTCGCTGCAACCTGTACTTCCTGGGTTTAAGCAGTTCTTCTACTTCATCCTCATAAGTAGTTGGAACTACAGGCTCATGCCACCGTACCCATCAATTTTGTTTGTTTTTTATAGAGACAAGTCTCACTGTGTTGCTCAGGTTGGTCTTGAACTTCTGGCCTCAAGCAGTCCTCCTGCCTCAGCCTCCCAGAGTGCTGGGATTACAGGCATGAACTATTGTGTCTGATGTCCACACTGTTTTGATTACTGTAGCTTTGTTGTAAGTTTTGAAATTGAGAAGTGTAAATTCTCCATCTTTGTTCTTTTTCAAAATTGTTTGTCTATCTAGGATGTCTTGGGATTCCATACGAATTTAGGATTTTTTTTTTCTGCAAAAAACACCAAATGGATTTTGATAGGGATTGTGTTGAATGTGTAGATGGCTTCAGATGGTATTGACATTTTAATAATACTAAGTCTTCTAATTCATAGACATGAGATGTTGTGTTAGTTCATTTTCACACTGCTATAAAGAAATACCTGAGACTGGGTAATTCATAATGGAAAGAAGTTTAATTATCCACAGTTCCACATCAGTAGGGAGGCCTCAGGAAACTTAGAATCAAGGCAAAAGGCAAAGGGAAAGCAAAGACCTTCTTCACATGGCAGCAGGAGAGAGAACTGCAAGCAGGGGAAGTGCCAGATGTTTATAAAACTATCAGGTCTCATGAGAACTTCCTATCATGAGAACAACATGGGGGAACCACCCCCATGATCCTATCACCTCCCTCTCTCAGCACATGGGGATTACAATTCGAGAGGAGATTTGGGTGGGGACACAGAGTCAAACCGTATCAGATGTGTTTCCATTTATGTCTTTAATTTATTTCAGCAATGTTTTATAGTATTCATTGTACATGTGTTTTAATGTGTTTCACCTTCTTGGGGTTAATTCCTAAGTTTTTTTTTTTTAGTTATTGTTAATGGAATTGTTTTTGTAATTTCCTTTTCAGATTGTTCATTGTTAGTATGTAGAAATGCAACTGATTTTTATGTTTTGACTTTGTATCTTGTACTTGGTTGAATTAATTTATTCTGACACTTCTTTTGTGTGGAATCTTTAGGGTTTTCCCTAGGTAAGATCATATAATCTGTGAACAGAGATAGTTTTACTTCCATCCCAATTTAGATGCCTTTTTATTTTTCTTGCCTGATTGTTCTGACCTGTGTTGAGTAAAAACGGCAAAAGTGGATATCCTTCCTTGACTTGTTTGTGATCTTAGAGGAAAGTTTTCCATCTTTGACCATTGAGTATGATGTTAGCTGTAGGTTTTTCATAGATGGCTTTTATTACGTTGAGGTGGTTGACTTCTGTTCTTAATTTGTTGAGCCTTTCATCATGAAAGGGTGTTGAATTTTGTCATGCTTTTTCTGCATCAATTCAGACAGTCATATGGTTATTTTTCTTCATTCTGTTAATGTGTATTATTAGATTGATCTGTTTTTCTTATGTTGAACCATCTTTGGAATAAATCCCACTAAGTCATGGTGTGTATTCCTTTTAATATGCAGTCGAACTTGGTTTGTTAATATTTTGTTAAGGATTTTGCATCAGTGTTCATTAGAATATTGGCCTATAGTTTTCTTATAGTGTCTTTGCCTCGCTTTGGTATCAGAGTAATGCTGGTTTCATGTAATGACTTAGAAAGTATTCTCTTGAGGTTTTTAGAAAAGTTTGAGGAGGTATTAGTTCTTTAAATGTTTGGTAGAATTAACCAGTGGAAGCCATCAGGTTCAAAGTTTTCCTTTGTTGGGATTTTTTTTTTTTTTTTTTTTTTTTGAGACAGGTCTCCCTTGTTACCCAGGCTGGAGTACAGTGGTATGAACACAGTTCACTGCAGCCTTGACCTACTGGGCTCAAGCAGACTCCTGCCTCAGCTCCCAAGTAGCCGGGACCACAGGCGTGTACCACTACACCCAGCTAATTTAAACAATAAAATAATATTTTAAATTTTTTGTAGATACAGGGTCTTGCTGTCTTGCCCAGGCTGGTCTGGAACTCCTGGTCACAAGCCATCCTCCCACCTTGGCTTCCCAAAGTGTTGAGATTACAGGCATGAGCCACTGTGTCCGACCTAATAATTCTTTTAAATGCATTAGTCTCTTGAATTATGTAAAAAATAGAATATGGAATTATAAACCAAAGTTAATAATAATACTAGCTTTTAGAATAAAAATAATTTTGGCCGCGCGCGGTGGCTCATGCCTGTAATCCCAGCACTTGGGAGGCTGAGGCGGGCGGATCACGAGGTCAAGAGATTGAGACTGTTCTGGCCAACGTGGTGAAACCCCGTCTCTACTAAAAGTACAAAAATTAGCTAGGCTTAGTGGCATGCGCCTGTAGTCCCAGCTACTCAGGAGGCTGAGGCAGGAGAATGGCTTGTACCCAGGAGATGGAGGTTGCAGTCAGCTGAGATTGCGCCACTGCACTCCAGCCTGGCGACAGAGCAAAACTCCGTTTCAAAAAGAAAAAAAAAAAAAGTAAATATATTAGTTCCTTAAGTCATGTGGAAAACAAATAGTGTTTGCAGACTATTGTTAGAATAATACTAGTTGTTACAATTGGCCTTTTTTTTTTTACTTTATTGAGATTTTAAAAAAATTCATATGGCTTCAAGTTACTACATAGTATCCTTTGCAGGGCATTTCTTGAGCACTTCTTGCAGGCCCGGTCTAGTAGTAATGAACTCCATCAGCTTTCGTCTGGGAATCTTAATTTCCCCCTCACTTTTTTTTTAATATAATTTTTTTTTTTTTTTTTTCCAAATTGAAACAGGGTTTTGCTCTGTTGCCCAGGCTGGAGCGCAGTGGTATGATCATGGCTCACTGCATCCTCGACCTCCTGGGCTCAGGAAATCCTCCCACCTCAGTTCTCCAAGTAGCTGGGACTATAGGCGTGTGCCACAATACCTTGCTAATTTTTAAAACTTTTTTGTAGAGATGGGGGTCTCACTTTGTTGGCCAGGCTGGTCTTGAGCTCCTGGGTTCAAGTGATCCTCCCACCTTGGCCTTCCAGCATGCTGGGATTACAGACATGAGCCACCACGCCTAGCCTGATTTCTTTCTCACTTTTGAAGGACAGTTTTCCCAGATAGGATTCATGGGTGACAGCTTTTTTTCTTTTAGTTAGCACTTTGAATATGTTGCACTGCTGCCTTCTAGCCTTCAAAGTTTCTAGTTTGAAATGTGCTTGAAGTCTAATTGAGCATCCCTTTTATATAGTGAATCACTTCTTTCTTGTTGCTTTCAGGTTTCCTTCTTTGTCCTTTAGAAAGTTTGATTATCATTTTGTGTGTGTGTGTGGGGGGGTTTCTTTGAGTTCATCTTTTTTTGAGTTCTTTGAACTTCTTGGATGCTATATTCTTGTATTTCATCAAATTTGGGGAGTTTCCAGTCATTACTTTTTCAATTATTGTTTACCTTTCTACTTCTTCTGAAAATTTCCATAATGCATATATTGGTATACTTGATATACAGGTCCCTGAGGTTCTGTTCACTTTAATCTTTTTTATTCTTAGACTTGGTGATTTCCCTTGTCCTTATCTTCAGGTTTGCTGGTTCTTTTTTTTGCCTGCTCAAATACTTTTGAATTCTCCTTGTGAATTTTTCATTTCAGTTACTGTACTTTTCAGCTCCAGAAATTTCTTTTTCTTTTAGGTTTTCTATTTCTTTTTTGATATTTTCATTTTGTTCATACATTTTTTTTTTTTTTGGCTCTCTCAATGTCTTCCTTTAATTTTTTAAGTATCTTTAGAAGAGTTGTTTTGAAGGCTTTGTGTAGTGGTAGATCTGCCATCAGGTGTTTTTTCAGGGATAGTTTCTGTCGATTTATTATTTTCCTTTGATGGGTGTTCTTATTTCCTTGTATGCCTTGTGACTTTATGTTGAACACTGCCTATTTCAATGTGATATGGTAATTCTGAAAATCAGATATTCCCCCTTCCCCAGCATTTCTTTCAGATTTTTTGTGTTGGTTTTTTTGTTTTTCATTCTTGTAACCAATCTCTGCCAAGGATCCACCTGAGGTGTGAACTTCAGGTTTTCTCAGGTCTTTCCCTGGGCATGTGTGCTCACTTTTAGAATTTTCTCATATATGCAGTTGTTTTTGAATGACCTAGTCTTTAATATCTGGGCCCCAGAGGGGGAGAACAAGAAAAATGAGTATGGACGGGAGGCCATGCTGAGTGTGAGGGAGTGGAGGGGAAAGGGGTGCTCACCATTTAAATCCTCTGAAAGTCACTTCAGCCACAGGGGTGTGTAAGCGCTGAGGTGTGCAACTATGAGGGGAGATGCAACAACAGTGGCCACTTCTGTATCTGCGCCTATGTGACCAGAAGCAGCAACCAGGGATCAAAGCACAGATCCCTGATGTTTAGGACATAGACTGTTCTGCCCACTCCCATACCCCCAAGCTGTGTGCGTGTTGCTCCAGGAACACGAGCCAACCATGAGTTTATGGAACGGTATGTAGCAGTGCTGCTACTGTGCTGAGAGCTAAAATGGATGGAAATAACCACACTTGACCATCCCATTATTCCCCTGGAAGTTGCAAGGCTTCAGTAGACTCCAGAGTTCCCAAGTACTTACATTAGACAGATTTTGTCAGTGCACTTGTTGTCTATTTAGGGAGGCAGATTCCTGGTGCTTAATACTTCACTATCCTCCCATAATCCTCTGCAAAGTATTTTAAACAGGAAGTTACAATGTACAAAGCAGTTTTTCTGATTGTCCCTTGTTTTTAAATGTTACAAAATTAAGTTGCTATGAAAATTTTGCACTTTGAATAATAAAGCATATGTTACTCTTTTTTTAGTGTGCTGGAATTGATGTTCGTCTGTGTGATGTTGGTGAGGCCATCCAAGAAGTTATGGAGTCCTATGAAGTTGAAATAGATGGGAAGACATATCAAGGTATGTTCTTTTAAAATATATCTTATTTTGAAATTGATTTTACAAACTATTGTCGAGTGTTTTCTTTGGGTCAGCTGCTTCATGTTTCTATCTTGGTAATTCAAGGAAAGAAGACGGGAAATGACCTGCTTAGAGCATGGTAGGAGTAGTGTTGTAACTAACTGGAAACTATTGCCAAGCCACTCTGTTAGCTGATAAGAAAACACCTGAGGAAATATCCTAGGGCAGCCAAAATGTGCAGCCAGTTTTCTGTGACTAGTCAAATCAAGGCTGAGAGAAGCCAGGTCTCTTGCCATTGATGACTTCTCATTGTGATTTTTTTTGTTGTTGTTTTTTGTTTTGTTTGTTTTTTAAAGACAGGGTCTCGTTCCGTCATCCAGGCTGGAGCGCAGTGGTGCAACCAGAGCTCACTGTAGTTTCAACCTCCCAGGCTTAGGCTTAAGCGATCCTCCCACCTTAGCCCTCCCGGGTAGTTGGGACTACAGGTGTGGGCCACCATGCCCGGCTGATTTTTAATTTTTTTGTAGAGACGAAGTCTCACTGTGTTGCTCAGTCTGATTTTGAACTACTGAGCTCAAGCGATCCTCCCACCTCAGCCTCCCAAAGTGCAGGGATAACAGGTGTGAGCCACTGCTCCTAGCCTGTGGTTTTTTGGAATCACATTCAGAATTTGGAGGCCAGTTCCTTCTGTATCACTTTAATTCCCAAGTTCCTTTGCCTTCTAGTCTTTACCAGTGACTACCTCAAGTATATACTCCCAGAGTCCCCTGTGCTTTCTGGTGCTGTACGTTAACCTCTGTCAGTCCAGTCCTCCTCTGGCTCCCAGGTCTGTCTGACCATCCCCCAGCCACCATCCTCCTCCCTCATCTGTGCTCATTATTCTCTGTGATCCTGCTGTAATAACTTCCTTATAGACTATTTTCTATATTTCCTTTAACAGAATTCTGTCTCTCTTTGTAGACTGTGAGTGGAGACTCTCATGTTGTTTTCTTGCCTCTTAGTAAATTCACACCATTCAGCATTCTTTGCATTTCCTGTTGCCCATTATGTGTTTCTACCAAGAGCAGAAGTGATTCTTCCTCTGGAACCTGACCGTGCCTTCTATATAGACAGTTACCACCAACGTAACAGTCCTCTTTCATGTCTAAATACTGAAATTTATTACCAGACTTAAACTTTTTTTTGAGACAGTCTCTCGCTCTGTTGCTCAGGCTGGGATGCAATGATGCAATCTCGGCTCACTGCAACCTTTGCCTCCTGGGTTCAAGCGATTCTGCCTCAGCCTCCTCATTAGCTGGGATTACAGGTGCCCACCACCACGCCCGGCCAAATTTTTTTTTTTGAGATGGAGTCTTGCTCTGTCACCCAGGCTGGAGTGCAGTGGCACGATCTCGGCTCACTGCAACCTTTGCCTCCCAGGTTCGAGCCATTCAAGCCATTCTCCTACCTCAGCCTCCTGAGTAGCTGAGATTACAGACGTGTGCCACCATAGTTGGCTGCTTTTTGTATTTTTAGTAGAGGCGGGGTTTTGTCATGTTGGCCAGGCTGGTCTCGAACTCCAGACCTCAGGTGATCCGCCCACCTCGGCCTCCCGAAGTGCTGGGATTACAGGCATGAGCCACCGTGCCCAACTCTTTTTTTAGACAGAGTCTGCCAGACGTGGTGGCTCACGCCTGTAATCCCAAAACTTTGGGAGGCCAAAGTGGGTGGGTCACCTGAGGTCAGGAGTTTGAGACCAGCCTGGCCAACATGGTAAAACCCCGTCTCTACTAAATACAAAAAAAAAATAGCCAGGCGTGATGGCACACACCTGTAATCTCAGCTACTCGGGAGGCTGAGGCAGGAGAATCACTTGAAGCCAGGAGGCAGAGGTTGCAGTGAGTCAAGATTGCACCATTGCACTCCAGCCTGGGCGACAGAGTGAGACTTCGTCTGGGGAAAAAAATAAAAAAGAGTCTTCCTCTGTTGTCCAGGCTGGAGTGCAGTGGCACGGTTGCAGCCCAACCCCCTTGCTCAAGCACTCGGTGGAGTGCGCTCAGCTTCCCGAGTAGCTGGGACTACAGATGTACAGTATCATACCTGGCTAATTTTTGTATTTTTTAAAAAATATTTATTTTTATTTCTAATATATATGCTTTTTTTTTTTTTTTTTTGAGACGCAATCTCACTCTGTCGCCCAGGCTAGAGTGCAGTGGCGCAATCTTGGTTCACGGCAACCTCCGCTTCCCGGGTTCAAGCGATTCTTCTGCCTCAGCCTCTCAAGTAGCTGGGATTACAGGCATGCGCCACTACACCCAGCTAATTTATTTTTGTATTTTTAGTAGAGACGGGGTTTCACTATATTTGCCAGGATGGTCTCAATCTCTTGACCTCATGATCCGCCCGCCTCGGCTTCCCACAGTGCTGGGATTACAGGCATGAGTCACCGTGCCCAGCCTATATATGTTTTTTGATATCAAGATATTCTTCCATTTCATTGTTCTTCAAGGTTTCATTTCCCTTCCTCCTGCCTAGACCCTGTGTTGGCAGCTTTAATTCTTCTCTCATCTATATCTTTAACTTCTTTGTTATTTGATTTTCAGATATTCTCTTTAAGATCTCTAATCCTGTGAACACAAGTGCAAAGCAGAATACTTATTTATTTATTTATTTATTTATTTATTTATTGAGACAGAGTCTTACTCGTTCTGTCACCCAGGCTGGAGAGCAGTGGTGCAGTCTTGGATCACTATAAGCTCAGCCTCCCGAGTAGTTGGGATTACGGGTGTGTGTCATCATGCTGGCTAATTTTTGGACTTTTTTTTTTAGTGGAGATGGGGCTTCATCATGTTGGCCAGATCAGGCGATCTGCCCACCTTGGCCTCCTAAAGTGCTGGGATTACAGGCGTGAGCCACTGTACCCGGCCCAGAATACTCTTGATGTTACTCACACTTAGGTAGGAGGTGTGGGATAATGAAGAAAACACACTTTGGGGTTCAGGCAGTTTTTACTTGGAGTCTTAGATAAATCTGTAACCTGAATACCCAAGTTTCTTGACTGTAGTAGGGTTAATGGTATCTAGTTTATTTTGAGAAATGTAAATTGTGTGATAGTGCCTGGAATTTATTAAGTATTCAACAAATATTTGTCATTCTGTCCCCTTCTCACCCCAATTCTGGGATTAGTGCCACAAATACAGTGCTTATTCAGGCTCTTCCAAATCGCTCTTCGCATCCAGGAAATTACTTACCTGATGAGAAAAATAGCCAAACAAGCCTAACACTCTTTAACATTTTTTCCACGTTGCATAAAGAACATGGCAAAATACCAGGATTGGCAAATGCCGGGATTTGCCCATCTTCTCCCTATTCTTATGTTTTTATCTCTGTTCTTCAAGGAAGAAATATTCTGTCTTCTATACAGTATTTTCTTTAAAATTTTTTTAAATTGTTAGCTCAAACACTGCGTTAAGGATCTTCTTTTCAGTGTTAATCCTCCACCTCCTTTGAGATACCACCTTATTACGCCTTTTCTCTACATACTCAGCCTTTCCCCTAGTGGCTCCTCTCAGTGTGAAAGCACATGTGGAGGAGAATAAAAATCATAGCATTAGATAACCTTCCATGATTCTCATGATTTTTTTTTTTTTTTTGAGAGAGACTTTTGCTCTTGTTGCCCAGGCTGGAGTACAATGGTGCGCGATCTCGGCTCATCACAACCTCCGCCTCCCAGGTTCAAGCAGTTCTCCTGCCTCAGCCTCCCGAGTAGCTGGGATTACATGCGCCACCACGCCCAGCAATTTTTTTTTTTTTTTTTTTTTTAGTAGATGTGGTGTTTCTCCATGTTGGTCAGGCGGTCTTGAACTCCCAACCTTAGGTGATCTGCCTGCCTCGGCCTCCCAAAGTCTGGGATTACAGGCGTGAGGCACCGCACCCAGCCGATTCACATATTCTACTTTTGGCTTTTACTTACTGTTATGTGAAATTTTTACAATTTATTTTTACATTAAGACATGATTTAAATTTACTATGTTCCTTAGTAAGGGTAAACATACTTTTCTTTGTATCCTAGCCAAAGCCATAAGGAAAGCAAAAGATTTTTAAAGGCTAGAATTTAGAAGATCTCATTTCCAGTGTGCTTTTCTTTGGAAAATGTTTTGTCCAGTTCTTTAAATAGCTTAGAACCAGTTTTAGGAGTTGCTGCTTCTATTAACACTTTATGAGCTCCCCAGAAGCAAGATTCTTAACCCAAAGAAAGCTGAGATTAAGAGCATAAATGCCAAGTTAATTTGAGGAATTTATGGGACTAGAACATGGGCCTTCTGATTTCTAGGTTCACTGCTACAAATGAACAGAATCTATTTCCAAATTCGTGAGTCTTATGTCAACTTGGAGTACACACTGTAGCAGTCTGCTTGGGGGACTACCTCTAGAGTTAGTTATTTCTCTTTTTTGAGAATTTGCTGAAATTTTTGTAAATTCCAACACTAGCCAACATATACCAATGTCTTCTCTTTTTCCTTTCATTTTCTCCTAATTCTACAACTTGTTTGGTATGTGGTCTGCCTTTCAAGGTATGGTAGGTGACAGTTTGACTTAATGTTTTAGTCACTGCATAATAATTCCAGCCTGCAACATCGGGATTTTTAATATCTACCCTTTTACCTCTTCCATTAAGCTAGTGCAGCATTTTTGGTTTCATTATTTCAGTACCCCTCTTTTGATCCCTGTTATTTTATTGATCAGTGTTCTTAGTTTAAGGCAACAATCCATTTTTATAGTTTAAGCAGAGAGGATGTGGAAAAATCATGATAATAGGGAGATGAAGAAATGGATTCCGGGTTGAACTTTCCAGAACAAATCAAAACACATAGCACAAACGGGCCATCAAAGGAGTATCTTAATCTCCTTTGATCAGGAAGCAATAGAATTAAAAAGTGATTGTTAACAAATTACTGGTCCCAGAATTAGCCTGTGCTGTTACAACCTGCATAAGTAAAAAATGAATTCCCCTGTACCCTCATTTTTCTGTGTAACTAACATATTAGGTTGGTATGGCTAAGAAACTTTCTTTAAAAAAATTGATTGGCTTGTAAGGGTCAGTCTGCAAAGTTTGAATTTTAAAATAAGCTTGTTACTTGTCAACCTAAATAACAAACAGAGGCTCTCTAAAAGAAAATGATGTTTGGGAATAGAGCATTGCAGTGGGAATGCCATAGTAAACTTGTGCATATTCAGGGAGGTAAGGAAGACAGAGGTTTTTGAAGACGAAAATGAGGATGACATAATTGTTTTGAAATAATTATCCTTGGCTCCAAAGATTAATAACAAAAGTGACGCCAGTCGGAGGTTGGGCAGGCAGTTGTTGGGCAGATGTCCTTGCAGAAGTATTTTTTTGTGTAAGGTTGCAGTGGGCTTTGTGCAAGGTTATGGTTTTCATAGTCATTTTCATTATCAGGTGTATAAGCATGAGAACCCTCTCTTCATGGCTTTCCCTAGCTCTGTTTGAGTCTGACAACTTTGACACATTTATATAAGAAGGTTGTTGTGAAGAGTGAATTGATTTGTTTTTCTTGCTGTCCCACTAAGTTTGTAACATACTTGTTCATTGCTTCAGACTACTTAACTCTGCTCTAGAAGAAAGGTAGCTCATACTGAGGATTCTAGAGTTATAGAGTTAAATTTTTTTAAGACCTCCCCCCCAACCTTTTTTTTTTTTTTTTTTTGAGACTCTGTCGCCCAGACTGGAGTACAGTGGTGCAGTTTCATTTCACTGCAGTCTCTGCCTCCCGGGTTCAAGTGACTCTCCTGCCTCAGCCTCCCAAATAGCTGGGACTACAGGTGTGTCACCACGCCCAGCTAATTTTTATATTTTTAGTAGAGATGGGGTTTCACTGTGTTGGCCAGACTGGTCTTGAACTCCTGACCTCAAGTCATCCACCTGCCTTGGCCTCCCAGAGTGTTGGGATTACAGGCGTGAGCCACTGCACCTGGCCGTTTTTAGCCCTTTTTTAAAATTTGAAATATTAACACAAAATGCACAAAGCATAAAAACTCAGCTTCTCAATTGCAGAAGCTACGTAACCTCACTCCTCAAGAAATTGAATATTGCCAGTATTCCAGAAGACGCTCAGTCTCATTTTCTTAGTCCGTTTTGTGCTGCTACAGCAGAATACCTGAGACTAGGTAATTTATAAAGAACAGAAATTGATTTCTCACAGTGTTGGAGGCTGGGAAGATTGAGGGACTGGCATCTGGTGAAGGTCTTCTTGCTGCATCATCCTATGGCATTAGGCAGAAGGGCAATGAGAAGTTTGAGAGAGAGAGCAAGAAATGGTCAAACTTGTCCTTTACAGGGAACCCACTCCTGAGATAATGGCTTGAATTCATTGATGAGAGTGGTGCCTCCATGGCCCAAACTCCTCCTGTTAGGTCCCACCTCCCAACACCATCACACTGGGGATGAAATTCCCAATACATGACCTTTGGGGGATACATTCAAACCATAGCAGCAATACACTGCTTTCCAATTACAGCAGCCTGCCTCTAGTGAGCCACCATCTTGGCTTGTGGGGTCAGTTTGCCAGGTCTTAGAGAAATAGTAATGATGTCTGAATTTTAAAATATATTTAGCTTATCAGCACTGCAAGTATGAAAGGATTTTCATTTGCTTTTCTTTATGTCTTTACTACCTAATTATGCATCCCTAAACTAGTTTTATTGCCTAATTTTGAACTATTATATATATGTGGAATTGTACAGTATATATGTAATTGTGCCTTTTTCTGCTCATTTTGTCAGTTTTAAAACAACTGGAATAAAAAAGCTAGACGTTTTATTCCAGTTGTTAAATGTATTCCTAGCTTTTTGTTTTGATTGTTGAATGTTATTCCCTCGTGAATATGCCACAATTTGTCTATTCTGTCCTTGCTGTCATGACAGTGGGATGTTTAGATTTTCTTTCTTCTTTCTTACTTCTATTTCTTAATTACTGTGTCTCAGCCACATAGGTTTTCTTTTTGAACATTTGAAATGTTGATATAAAGTTTTATAATACTGTCATATTAACAGTATCTTTCACATTATCTTTTGGTCTGTAACAATACAAATATGTATTTTTTATGTTTCTAATAATTTGTGTACATGGCATTTTATTTGTTGTTAACAGTACCTCCTTATACCTCCTTAGATGACCTCCCTTGTGCCCTTAATCCTGTATTTCTTTCTTCCATCCTCCCTTCTAGCACCGTTTTTTTTTTTTTTTTTTTTTTTTGAGACGGAGTTGCTTTCGCCCAGGCTGAAGTGCAGTGATGTGATCTTGGCTCACGGCAACCTCCGCTTCCCGGGTTCAAGTGATTCTCCTGCCTCAGCCTCCTGAGTAGCTGGAATTACAGGCCCCCACCACCACACCCAGCGAATTTTTGTATTTGTAGTAGAGACAGGGTTTCGCCATGTTGGTCAGGCTGGTCTCGAACTCCTGACCTCAGGTGATCCGCTTGCCTCGGCCTCCCAGAGTGCTGGGATTACAGGCATGAGCCACTGCACCTGGCCTACTTCTAGTATTAATAACACTGCAACTACTTTTTATATTCCACTAGATTCCAGTTTATATTAAACTACCTTAATGTAAGGTTATTTAGTAAAGCCATACCTGGTTTTTGAATAAATGCTTGAACTCTGTACCAAAATGTAAGAGATCTGTTTTTGCTTCTTGAGATCCTGAATGACTTTTATTTCCCTATTTTTTATAACAGTGAAACCAATCCGTAATCTAAATGGACATTCAATTGGGCAATATAGAATACATGCTGGAAAAACAGTGCCGATTGTGAAAGGAGGGGAGGCAACAAGAATGGAGGTATGTGTGTCACTAACATTTTACTTCCATGGAAGACATTTTTTTCTTCCAAGCAGAAGGTCATGGTAGTTAAATATATGGTTATACTGACCAGAATTAGCTGCTTATCATCCATATTCACCCTGCCAGGAATTGGGCCATTTGAATTTGCAAATTGTGTATAGTCAGCACTAAATCAGTTGTGGAAATTGGGGCTGTGAAAGGGTTGTTTATTCAACATTTAATGAATATTTATTGAGCATTCTCAGGTGCCAGTCTCTTTATAGTAGGCTCTAGGGGTAGAGCTGTGAACATAATTCATAGGGGGAAGCAGAAAGACCAAAAAGTGCTAAGGAGATAAAGCAGGGCAAGGCTAGATAAGGACCGCCAGGGGCTATTTCATGTTGCTGCTTAATCAGGTAGAGACTTCAAGAGATGGTAATTGTAGGCCAGGCTCGGTAGCTCAGGCCTGTTAATCCCAGCACTTTGAGACACCAAGGCAGGCAGATCACCTGAGTGAGGTCAGGAGTTTGAGACCATCCTGGCCAACATGGTGGAACCTTGTATCTACTAAAAATACAAAAATTAGCCAGGCATGGTGGCACGTGCCTGTAGTCCCACCTACTCGGGAGGCTGAGGCAGGAGAATCGCTTGAACCTGGAAAGTGGAGGTTGCAGTGAGCCAAGATCTCACCACTGCACTCCAGCCTGGCAGCAGAGAGAGACTCTGTCTCAAAAAGAGAGAGAGAGAAAGAGAGATGGTAATTGTGATTCGTTCTGAATTTTTCTTCTTTCTCTCCCCTTGACCCTTATTTATTTTTCAGGAAGGAGAAGTATATGCAATTGAAACCTTTGGTAGTACAGGAAAAGGTGTTGTTCATGATGATATGGAATGTTCACATTACATGAAAAATTTTGATGTTGGACATGTGCCAATAAGGTGAGAGACGAGACGATTGATTTTATGTGGCTAATTAGCATCTCTTCTGAGTTAACAGCATTTCTAAAAAATGTGGCATACATACAAAATAGTATATTCATGAATGTAGAGTTCTGTAGCCCAACAATAAGAAAAAAAAATAGCCTGTTAAACATTTTAACTGAGATAAAAATTACACACACACACACACACACACACACACACACACACACACACAAGTGCTCTCTTCAAGTCCGGTTTCTGATAATCATAAATGTCAGAGATTATTTTGCTAGCATTCCTAGGTTTTTGCTTTAATATTTTTCCATTGGTAAACTTCCATTTACAGCGTCTTTCAATTTACATTGAAATTTTTTAACATTTGAAGATGATTGAAATCTGCATTTACATCTTTTATATGCAGGTCTTTGAGCTTGCTGCACACAAAAGGAAATTCACATCATAATACCCTGTAGTAGGTCTCTAGTGGGGAATATAACACACACACACGCACACGCGCGCGCACGTAGACACGTAAACATGATAAGATGGCCTCCAGCTGGTGTCCTATTCAGCTGCCATCTATAATTAGGTATGGGCTATTATACATTCTGGCTTTTGATTGTTGAAAGAGCAACAATAAAAGTTTTTGGACTTCAACTACTAGGACACAGCTAAGGTCTGGGCTTTTCTTAATGAGGGAAATCAGTTCGTAACTCTTTTGCCAACAGTTAATTTTGGATTTTCTCCTCTTAGGCTTCCAAGAACAAAACACTTGTTAAATGTCATCAATGAAAACTTTGGAACCCTTGCCTTCTGCCGCAGATGGCTGGATCGCTTGGGAGAAAGTAAATACTTGATGGCTCTGAAGAATCTGTGTGACTTGGGCATTGTAGATCCATATCCACCATTATGTGACATTAAAGGATCATATACAGCGCAATTTGAACATACCATCCTGTTGCGTCCAACATGTAAAGAAGTTGTCAGCAGAGGAGATGACTATTAAACTTAGTCCAAAGCCACCTCAACACCTTTATTTTCTGAGCTTTGTTGGAAAACATGATACCAGAATTAATTTGCCACATGTTGTCTGTTTTAACAGTGGACCCATGTAATACTTTTATCCATGTTTAAAAAAGAAGGAATTTGGACAAAGGCAAACCGTCTAATGTAATTAACCAACGAAAAAGCTTTCCGGACTTTTAAATGCTAACTGTTTTTCCCCTTCCTGTCTAGGAAAATGCTATAAAGCTCAAATTAGTTAGGAATGACTTATACGTTTTGTTTTGAATACCTAAGAGATACTTTTTGGATATTTATATTGCCATATTCTTACTTGAATGCTTTGAATGACTACATCCAGTTCTGCACCTATACCCTCTGGTGTTGCTTTTTAACCTTCCTGGAATCCATTTTCTAAAAAATAAAGACATTTTCAGATCTGAGAGCTACATCTCAATGTCTGTGGTTATAATTCTGGACAGGATAAATAGCTAAACTTAATGTAGGCAAATGCAGAGACATTTATCTGAAATGTAGACCTCTACACTGAGACTTTTCTGGCATAGTGGCTAAAACAAGATCTACACATGCATAAAAAGGGACAATCACCTTTTCTTCATAAATATACAGCTTTAGGAATATTTCACCATTCTTTGTAGGACATAGTAGTCCTTGTCTTTTTTTCTCCTGACATTGGAAAGATGTGCTAATTGAAACTTGACTTAGTAGGAACATTGTGCCAACTCAAAACCTTGATTTAGTAAAAATCTCAATGTTTAGATCCTTTGTCCAGTGGTGGTGTTTATCAGGGAATGTATTCAGCTTGCTCAGAAAACCAAAAGGGTATTAAAGCCACAAAAGCAAAGAAGAAAAAAAAAAACTTCCCATGTTTGGATCTTGTTCTAGTTAGAAAAATTAAGTTGAAATTCTTGGACTTTTTCATTCATGAGGCAAATGCTGTAATACCTTCCCCTTTGACAGGTTTGGATTCTTAACATTACTAGTGGTATTTCAGGAAGTGACGTTACAGTTACTTTCCTTATAGCGGCTAAGTGTATTAAGTTGAATGTAACGATGGTAATATTAATTTGTTTGAACTGAGGCCCACTACTGATTCTTTGACAAATTGAATTCTTATATTTAAATAATTTTATGGGAATGTTCCATCATAATTTCTAAATCATTTATATATCAAGGTAGCCTTAATTTGTATATGTTTCAGTACAATGAGATTTTATTGCCTCTGGGATGCTGTTTAGTTTGTATTTTGTTGAACGTTTTTATCCTAGGAAGAGAAACCTATGACTTGTGTACCTAGATCATCTGTTACATTAAAAAGCTGCTCTTTCAGCATTAGAGCTATAAATGAATGTTACCTTGTCGGGAAACAATCTAGGTTTTAGCTGTATGAGCTATGTTTATTATGGTGCTAATGTTCAGTAGCCACATTTGACTAATGTCTCCATTCTCTGTGATGCTGTGGCTAGCAGCAGAGCTCGCCAGTTCATGCCTGGACATACTGTCAGGGCTGGGCCCTCCAGCTAGCTCCTTTGGGGTTGAGTCCGTATCTTTTTGATGTGGAAGTATAAAGCAAGTATCTTGATTTCTAAACCCAGCAATTTTAGAATTGACCTTTATGAGTGAAGACTTTTGGAGCTTTTAAAGACCTTGGCAGTCATGATCTCAAACCAATTAGGAGCTCCAAGCTCCCTTCCCAGGTAACTGTTGGGAGCAATGGCATCACTGTATGCCCTTGTAATGGCTGGAAGGGACATGATCTTGTAAGTAGGAAAGCTGTAACTAAAAATTGTATTGTTTGCTTATTAGCCATGTATCTCTTAAAATTTTGTTATGTTTACAACGATGTACCTTATTGGCAACAAGTTATTAGTTTGATGTTTAACAATAGTGCCTTTAGTAAATTATTTTACAACTAAAACATGTTGTTTTTTGTTAGATCAACTTAGCAGAATGTAGACGTCCATGTTGAGATTTAAGATAAATAGTAAGAAATCTAAGTTTCTGTTTATTGTTTAGGTTTTAATTTTATTGTTGGTATTTTGAGACATTTTTCACACTAAAATTTAGTGGAAAGTACTACAGATTTCCCAGACCCCCCCCCAATAATATCCCCCTTTTCCAAGCCTCCCCCCATAGGTGTTTGTTAGTTTTAAGGGATTAAAAAGTAAAGGGCTAAGTCACTTTGTTTTTTTTTTTTTTTTTTTTTTTTTTTTTTTTAGCGGGAGTCTCGCTCTGTCACCCAGGCTGGAGTGCAGTGGCGCGATCTCAGCTCACTGCAGCCGGGTTCAAGCTATTCTCCTGCCTCAGCCTCCTGAGTAGCTGGACTATAGATGCATGCTACCACGCCTGGCTAATTTTTTTTTTTTTTGTATTTTTAGTAGAGATGGGGTTTCACTGTGTTAGCCAGGATGGTCTTGATCTCCTGACCTTGTGATCTGCCCGCCTCGGCCTTCCAAAGTGCTGGGATTACAGGCATGAGCCATGGCGTCCGGCCTCTTGTATGTTTTTATATTGAAATAAGTACAAGCAACGATACCATTACAAATAGCTCAGGAGTTTTTACAGTTCCATTAAAATGACGTGCTAAAATGTATAACGTTAAAAATAGTCCTTGAAATTAGAAAAGAGTAGACTCTGGTTATCTTGACCATGTAAATTTTTAATGAGGTATTAAGAAGTGTGTAACAGTTGAGGTAACAACTTGCATAGGTATTATGAACAATTTTAAACATAGCCATTTAATATTCCAGATGTATTTTCGGCACAAATGATTTGTCTATTCAGTGATAAAAGTCTCACTGCACCTCACTATCAGCTAACCCAGATGACTTGTTTTGTGAAATTTAAGAAAAATTTATTGGTAGAGACCTCTTTCAAGTTTGTACTTAACAGATGATCACTAGTGGTGAACAGCATTCTACAGGATACTATCTTTCACTAAGACTTCAACCTGCAAATAAACCCACTTATAAAAAAGGGATACATGATCTTCCTGTGGTTAACAGAGCTTAGATACATAGCTGGTCTACAGAGATTAGTTGATTCTACCCTCTCCAAATAAGATAAAGTTAGCAGCAACAGGACTTTAAAGAAACCCAGTGAGATTATCAGAAGAAGAAAAAGAGTGACTCACACTGTATTTTTTTTTGTGCAAGTTTAGATAGATAGCTTTTAGTTTTTTTTTTTTTTTTTAATGCTCAGGGCCAGTGTTTTAAGAGGCTCCTACCTAGTAGTCACATAATCCTAGCAAGAGTAAATCAAGCTTTAGTTATTTAGAATGAGATGCTAGACATAATAATAGTCCAGTTGCCAATTTTGAACACTTATCTTTTCTGCCCTATAATTTTTTCTCTTCAAGACTCTATTCCTTTGAACTAAAAAAAATACATAAAGTTTTAAGAGATCTAATGTCATCAGACATTATAAAATGAACTCATACCCAAGGTAAACTATTTGAATAACATCATACACTGGTTTACTAAATTCAGACTTTTTATGACTGCTTAATTATTAGACTTCTGGACAAACCTGTTTGCTGCCAGACAAAAATCATAAATCCCAGCCATCATTTTTTTCATGTCCATAGTTCCAGAGTTCACTTAAATATACTATTTGTAAAGCTGCCATTTTCATTTATAGTTTGACTATGCCAAAGAGCAATTACTAAAGCAATTTTGGGGTTACATTAACCAAAATAATGTCAATTACAAGGCCTGTTAACACACAAAGCCTCAGAAATACCAGTGAGTGTGACTGAAGAATATTTAGGTGATACCTTGACATGTCACTTCAATAACTCCAAGGGGCAAGGTAACTTCAATATACAAATGAAAGACTATTAGTGACCAAAGTAGAGTCTAATTTTCCATCTATTAAGAATTTGTATAGAAAATACCTGAAAAAGATACATGTATATAAAATGATGCCACTTGAACTTTGTTGGTAGAAGATTGCACAAGTTCATCATCCGAGCCAATTAAGACATAAAAATATAAAAGAGGTAACATCAGTCTGAGGTAAACACCAAAAGTTTAAAACTCCAAATATGAAAAAAGTAGTTACCTTCAGTTGATATATACATTTATACTTTGTAAAAAAAAAAATTGTTAGATATAAAATGTATAAATGTAGTATACACTGATTCACAAGAAAAAATGAAGTTTAAAATGGTACATCAGTCTTTTAAAAAGTATATATATAAATCACAGGAAGAAAACCCCATTGTCTTTGGATCAGCTAAGGATTTCATTAGACGAGGTATCAGCGTCTTCATTGGGATGTTGGCTCCCCAACAGGAGCTCTGGAGGCAAAAGTTTAGAATGTCCATTCTCAGTAAC
Organism: Homo sapiens; assembly: GCF_000001405.40. Classification (NCBI taxonomy): domain Eukaryota; kingdom Metazoa; phylum Chordata; class Mammalia; order Primates; family Hominidae; genus Homo; species Homo sapiens. The sequence goes on from NC_000012.12 coordinate 95,518,259, forward strand.
TCGTTGGGTATAAAACAAGATATAAGCTTGAGCCTTGCATACTTCATCCATAGTGCACATGCTTAGTTTGGAATCATTGCAGTGTACCCAGAACCCTAGAGTGAAGCACAGAAATACATTTATGAAGGGACTTTAGAAAATTCTAGTATGAAAGGCATTGAGTGAGAAGCTTTTTCTGAAGGGAAAATAATTTTCTAGCCAATTCATTTTTCTTTAATGAGAAATATAGATTGGGCAGTGTTACCCTGGAATTATCTACCTTTATTCTAAAAGTAGCTTAAGTTTTTCACAGCATGTGACTGATTAGAGTACCTGACACTATTTATTCTTTGTGTAAATCTACCAGTTAATGCTTTTGCCACTAATCATACAGGATGATCATCCCTAATTCCAAAATCTGGCCAGGCATGGTGGCTCATGCCTGTAATCCTAGCACTTTGGAAGGCCGAGGCAGGCAGATCACCTGAGGCCAGGAGTTAGAGACCAGCCTGGCCAACATGGTGAAACCTGTCTCTACTAAAAATACAAAAATTCGCCAGGCGTGGTGGTGCACACCTGAATTCCCAGCTACTCAGGAGGCTGAAGCAAGAGAATGGCTTGAACCTGGGAGGCAGAGGTTGCAGTGAGCAAGGATGGCGCAGCTTGCCCTCAAGCCTGGGTGATAGAGGGACTGTCTTAAAAAAAAAAATTCCAAACCAAAACTTTTTGTGCCAACATGATGTCATAAGTAACCCTGAACACATTTTTTTCCACTGTATTAATATTTTTTACTGTGAAACTTATGGGCACATAAGCATAATGCACTTATGTACATTACATGCACATAAGTATGCTAATGACTGCTTATATTAGCATATAAAAATCAGCCAGGAATTATGGTGATGCCAAACCACCAGACTGTCCATATGAGTGGCTGAGATAGTGACACCTTTGTTTGCTGATTGCTCAATGTACAAACTTTGTTATATGCACTCTGTTAATGAAACTGTTTCATTATTTAAAGTGTTGTATAAAATATTTAGGCTATGTGTACAAGGTGTATATGAAGCAAATGAATTTCATGTCTAAACCTGGGTCCCATCCTTACAATACCTCATAATGTCTATGCAAAAAAATCCAAAATTCAAAACACTTATGGTCCCGAGCATTTCAGACAAGGTATACTCAATCTGTATTTTTTTTTTTTTTTTTTTTTTTTTGAGATGGAGTCTCGCTCTGTCACCCAGGCTGGAGTACAGTGGCGCAGTCTCGGCTCACTGCAAGCTCCGCCTCCCGGGTTCACGCCATTCTCCTGCCTCAGCCTCTCCGAGTAGCTGGGACTACAGGCACCCGCCACCACGCCCGGCTAATTTTTTTTTTTTATTTTTAGTAGAGACGGGGTTTCACCGTGGTCTCGATCTCCTGACCTCGTGATCCACCCGCCTCGGCCTCCCAAAGTGCTGGGATTACAAGCGTGAGCCACCGCGCCCGGCCCTCAATCTGTATTAAAAGGCAAATTGGGTCGGGCATGGTGGCTCACGCCTGTAAACCCGGCACTTTGGGAGACCAAGGCTGACAGATCACTTAAGGCCAGGAGTTCAAGACCAGCCTGGCCAACATGGTGAAACCCCGTCTCTACTAAAAATACAAAAATTAGCCAGGCGTGGTGGTGCACACCTGCAATCCCAGCTACTTGGGAGGCGGAGGTTGCAGTGAGCCGAGATCATGCTGCTGTACTCTAGCCCAGGGGAAAGAGTGAGACTCTGTCTCAAAAAAAAAAAAAAAAAAAAAAAAAAAAAGCCAATAGTGTACAATTAACTTGGTAGTTTTTGGTAGCTCAGTGTTGAGTTACCCTGGTGGATTATTGGGCTTCTTGTCCTCACCTCTCTTTTTCTGTTTGGGCTGTGTTGGGTGGGGGTGGGGAGTTGGAGTTTCATTCTTTGTTCAACAGTAAGTATCAAAAGGGGAAGTAAGGCTGGGTGTGGTGGCTCATGCCTGTAATCCCACCACTTTGGGAGGCCGAGGCAGGCGCATCACAAGGTCAGGAGATTGAGACCATCCTGGCTAACATGGTGAAACCCCGTCTCTACTGAAAATACAAAAAATTATCCAGGCATGGTGGCATGTGCCTGTAGTCCCAACTACTTGGGAGGCTGAGGCAGGAGAATTGCTTGAACCCGGGAGGCAGAGGTTGCAGTGAGCTGAGATCGTCCCACTGCACTCCAGCCTGGGCGACAGAGCGAGACTCCATCTCACAAAAAAAAAAGGTGTTGGGGGGAGTAAAAAATAAAATCTCAATCCAATCACTTTTGCTAGAACTAGACTATCCTAGAAGGCAGAAAATAAGTGAGTTTTGTGTGTTAAACTTGAACGCAGTGTTTGTTCCAAATATCTATGATCCCCCAGTTCATTAGGTACCCTATTTCTTTAACGAAATTAACTGAAGTAAACCAGTAAACATACGATCTGCTTTTTGAAGTGTGTCTTTAAGAAAAGTTAACACTCTGACTTTTAGTTAGCAACAAGACTATCCTCATTATTATATCCCTCCAGCCCTTAGTCAAAAGTACTGCAAAACCTACAGAAAATATTTCATGCATTAACTCTCATTTTTTAGTACCTGCAGAGGCATTCTCCCTAAGAAAATAAGTGGTCGAGTAGCTTTGTTTATGATTTAGTAGTCAATTTAGAAATCGGTTAAAGCCTGAACTCCAGCCTCCAAGTCCAACCCAAGATAAAATACTTTTTCTTATCTATACCTCCTTCAGAATTATAGCAGTAGGCAGTGTAGTGCCCTGAGCCAAATCCTTTCCCATGGTGCATCACCACCGCGGACAAGTCATAGATAAAGCATTCTGGTCTGAGGGATTTCAGGGTCTCCCTGCAGCAATAGGGCTCCATGTTTAAGATTTCCTCAAAGCCAACATGAACACCAATCTTCTCTCGGTTATTACGTCCTGACCACCTGTGAACAAACCAGTGTAAAATTATCCACACAATTAAGGGAAAATAACCACGTACTAGGTCTAGACACTTGTAACAGATGACCCCAGGCAGCATGGAATACAAAGTATCATATGTAATATAAAATGATGTCAATGCTGAAGCTGGCTATAAATGGAGACATTTTGGCTTATTTTGCCTTCTTGTAGTTAGATGATAATGTAGGAAAAAAAAATTTAACTTTTGGGAAAGTATTGCCTTATGGGGGCATTTACCCCCTAACAGGTAAAAGTCAAGGCCACGAAAGGGTTGGGGATTTTTTTGTTTTTTGTTGTTTTTGAGACGGAGTCTTGCTCTGTTACCTAGGCTGGAGTGCAGTGGTGCGATCTTGGCTTACTGCAGCCTCTGCCTCTCAGGTTCAAGCCATTTTCCTGCTGGGACTGCAGCTGTGTGCCATCATGCCTGGCTAATTTTTGTATTTTTAGTAGTAGAGACAGGACTTTATCATGTTGGCCAGGCTGGTCTTGAACTCCTGACTGCAAGTGATCCTCCTGCCTTGGCCTTCCAAAGCGCTGGGATTACAGGTGTGAGCCACTGTGCCCAGCCCCACCGAAGGGTTTTTAATTCCTTACTGTCTTGCCAGGATATGAAGAGGGTTATCCCAGATGGGAGCTACAATCTGGATCTTTCTTGGCCAGGTATGGAGGAAAACAAAACAGGGCATCTCTATTTCCTCAGAACACTTCAGAGATTTTCAGACTAAAACAACAGGAACTGTGTCCCCTCGCTGTGTGTAAGTCAGCACAACCGCCCATTGGTGACAGAACTGAAAGAATGCCCTTACCCTGTTATTTTCTCAGTCTGCTGGTCATACTTCCCATTACTGGATCTCAGCATGGCAAGCAATGTGTTTATCAATATGCATAATGAGTTGGTGCTACGAGGGGAAAATAATGTAACATGGTAGTTCAAGAGATTATAATCCAGTTTGGGGTAGTATGGTAGAGAGACAAGGCAGACATAGATAAAAATATAGTAGTAAAGTACTAAAACATGAGGTTCAGACCAATAGCAGGTAGAGAAGGGAGAGACAAGAACATAGTTTTATGATGGAAAAAAAAAAGTGAAAATGCTTAGTCCAGTGTAAAATGGCACGGAACTAAAGATGAACCATTCAAATTATGTTATCTGCTGGACCATAAGTCATATTCCAATCTCTCTGTGGGGTTGTGAAATATATATTTGGTTTTCCTTCCAGTTTCCTCAGATACATCTCCTAAAATTTTTGGAATCTCTGGAGTGATGAGAGTGTCTTGGTTGGCCGTGGTGGCTCACGCCTGTAATCCCAGCACCTTGGGAGGCCGAGGTGGGTGGATCACCTGAGGTCAGGAGTTCAAGACCAGCCTGGCTAACATGGTGAAACCCCGTCTCTACTAAAAATACAAAAATTAGCCAGGCTTGATGGTGCATACCTGTAATACCAGTTACTGGGGAGGCTGAGGCAGGAGAATCGCTTGAACCCGGGACGCAGAGGTTGCAGTGAGCTGAGATTGCGCCATTGCACTCCAGCCTAGGCGACAAGAGCGAAATTCTGGCTCAAAAAAAAAAAAAAAAAAAAAAGTGTGTCTTTTGTATGCTAATGAGACAACTAGTGGCTGGCAACCCCTAGATAGCTTCAGGATGTGGGCAAGTCACAGGAAAGACCCGGGAATGACTAGAGGATTGGGACTTTCAGCTTCCTTCCAAACACTGCCCCCAACCCCCAAAGGGAATGGGGCTGAATGATGTAATCAGTCATGCCTATGTACTGAAGCCTCCATAAAAACCCAAAAGGATGGGCTTCTGGAGCTTCCGGATAGCTAACCATGCTGAAGTCCCCAGAGGGCAGCACCCCCAGGGAGGGTGTGGAACCTATATGCCCCTTCCCACAAGCCATGCCCTACACATGACTTCCATCTGGCTGTTCATATGGATCCTTGAAACTCTCCTTTGTAATAAATGGGTAAACACAAAGGTTTCCCTGAGTTCTGTGGGGGCCCTCTGGAAAATTAATCAAACCAGGGGAGCAGCTTGTGGGAATCCCATTACATTTACAGCCAACAGGTTGGTCACAATTTCCACAAACCTGGAGTTATGACTGGGGTCTGAAGTGGGGGTCAGTCTTGTGGGACTGAGCTCTCCATCTGTGGGATCTGATGCTACCTCCAGGTAGACAGTGTCAGAACTAAATTGAATTAGAGGACACCCAGCTCGCATCCACTGCAGAACTGATGACTTGCTTGGTGGGGAGAAATCTCCTACACATTTTGGTAAGCAGAGGTCACATTCGTATTCTCTGTTGTAAGAGTATGGTAGGAGAAACTGAGTTCGGTTTTTCCAATATCTCTCAGCCAGGTGCGGTGGCTCACGCCTGTAATCCTAGCACATTGGAAAGCTGAGGTGAGCAGATTGCCTGAGCTCAGGAGTTTCCAGATTAGCCTGGGCAACATGGCAAAACCCTGTCTCTACCAAAAAAAAAAAAAAAAAGAGATACAATAAACTGATAAAGAACAATAAGGTAACACTATACTCAAAATTCATAATGGTTTGCTTCTGAAGAGGGGAAAGGAACAAGATTGACAGGCACACACAGGGGACATCAAAGGTATTAGAAATATTCTGCTGGGCACGGTGGCTCACACCTGTCATCTCAACATTTTTCTTTTTTTTTTCTTGAGACAGAGTCTCGCTCTGTCACTCAGGCTAGAGTGCAATGGTATGATGTTGGCTCACTGCAACCTCTGCCTCCAGGGTTCAAGTGATTCTCCTGTCTCAGCCTCCCAAGTAGCTGGAATTACAGGCGTGTGTCACCACGCCTGGCTAATTTTTGTATTTTTATTTTTATGTTTATGTATGTATGTACGTACATATGTATGTTTGAGATGGAGTCTCACTCTGTCGCCCAGGCTGGAGTGCAACAGTGCGATATCGGCTCACTGCAACCTCTACTTCCCAGGTTCAAGCGATTCTCCCGACTCAGCCTCCTGAGCAGCTAGGATTACAGGCATGCGCCACCATGCCCGGCTACAGTTTTGTATTTTTAGTAGAGATGGGGTTTCACCATGTTGGCCAGGCTAGTCTCGAACTCCTAACCTCAGGTGATCCACCTGCCTCGGCCTCCCAAAGTGCTGGGATTACAGGTGTGAGCCACCTTGCCCGGCCAGCACTTTGGGAGGCCCATGTGGGTGGATCGCTTGAGCCCAGGAGTTTGAGACCAGCCTGGGCAACATGGTAAAACCCTATCGCCAGCCTAGGTGACAGAGTGAGACTCGATCTCTAAATAAATAAACAAATAAGCAAATGTAAGTCATTTACTAGCCAAGTATATGATATTAAAAGTTAATTCATTTGTCAGAAAGGTGATTAAAGTAAGGGGAAAAAATTATAACATGCATTCTTTAAGTTTTGAAGCATTATAAGCACAAGGAATGATAACTTTGCAACTGGTCCTACTACAGACCTGAATCGTTTGAGGTGCAGTCTGAGAACCTGAGGTAGGTGGCATATCATAAGTTGTTTCTGGGCTTCTGTGAGTACAACTGGTTTGGAGGAAAACCTTCTACGCTTTGCTGTAACATCAAAGAAAGAATAAAAATCAAATTTCATTTAAAGATTCAGGGAAAAGCTGAGTGAACCTTCTTTTTAATTAAGTCAGAAATGAAAAGTATGTACTGTGTTCCAGGCATTGTACTGTGCTAGAGATAGACATGGGCTTTGCCCTCAAGAAACTCATGATCCACAATTAACCAAAAAACTTAGGAGCTAGTCAAGTTAGACAGATCTGTAATCAAGTACATGATTTAATAATAATCTTGCATATAATGTGATAGAACAAAGTATACTGCTATAATATTTTTATTTATTTATTTAGAGACAGAATCTCACTCTGTTGCCCAGGCTGGAGTGCAGTGGCACAATCTCGGCTCACCACAACCTCCGCCTCCTGGGTTCAAGCAATTCTCCTGCCTCAGCCTCCCATGTAACTGGGACTATAGGTGCGTGCCACCATGCCCGGCTAATTTTTGTATTTTTAGTAGAGACGGGGTTTCACTATGTTGGCCAGGCTGGTCTCGAACTCCTGACATTGTGATCCACCTGCCTCGTCCTCCTAAAGTGCTGGGATTACAGGCATGAGCCACTGCACCCAGCCATAATAATATTTTTAAATGGAACTGGCTATACCAATTAATAGGAAAAGTTACAACATTCCCTAAACATTTTAATATACATTTCCCAAACTCTTAATTTAAAAGTTTGTGGTCAAAAGATTTAAAAAAGAAAAAAGAAAAAAAAAGTGAGTGGTCAGTTCATTTACCAAGGCTAGTCAGAAACCCAGAGGAAGGTCCTGATTGCCCAGAACATCCCTCCACTTTTCCTGGGGACCACCTCAGCCCTGGCCAACGGCCTAGGAAAGCAGGACTTTACCAGTTCTGAGGCCTCCCTCACTCAAGCGTTTTGCTTTTGCTCTTTTAGCACTAGATCTTAGACAGCTGGAACTCAGGATTCTTCTTGTTGTCCCTTCTGCTTCCCTAGAGGTCCACCTATGGACTGTCCTGGAGCTGGGCCATCAGCTACAGTTTGCTCCTGATGTCCAGGAGCTATCCTTCAACTTGTACACCAGCTCCGACTCCAGCCATGGCAGCAGCTGCTTCTCATGTGGGAAGCAGGCTCAGTCCACCATGAAGCTGAGCTCTAAGCCACCTTCGCTGGCCTTTCTTCCAGGTGTCTAACCCTGCGATCCAGGTATCTGGCTGCTGCTGAATGTCCTGGACCTACCTCTGGATTGTCTCCTAGCACATCGGTCCAAGGGTAGCCAGATAGGGGATATCAACTCCTCGGCATATAATTGTAAACATTTGCACTGCTGTGTTAAAGCAGCTCTTTTAGGCCTGTATTTGGTAGCTTTAGTAAACACATAGAAATTTGCTATAAAACCATATTCTGCATTCATAACATCACCCCCAAATTTGGTGATGAAAGCATTTGGCACTCACCACATTTATGTCCAAGAAAAAATAATACTTCATCATAACAACTTTGACAAAGATTTATTTTTTAAAAAAACCTTATAGGCCGGGCGCGGTGGCTCGCGCCTGTAATCCCAGCGCTTTGGAAGGCAGAGGCGGGTGGATCACGAGGTCAGGAGATCGAGACCATCCTGGCTAACACGGTGAAACCCTGTCTCTACTAAAAATACAAAAAATTAGCCAGGCGTGGTGGCGGGCGCCTGTAGTCCCAGCTACTCGGGAGGCTGAGGCAGGAGAATGGCCTGAACCCAGGAGGCGGAGCTTGCAGTGAGCCGAGACTGTGCCACTGCACTCCAGCATGGGTGACAGAGCGAGATTCTGTCTCAAAAAAACAACAAAAAAAAACCTTATAAATTTAAGGCTACTTTATGCGTTCACATTAGACAGCACTTATACAAAAGTGTTAAAGTCATTCCAGGAAACCATCAATTGATATAACATTTCTTCAATGTGGGAATATCCTATTTTTTGTTTACCTTAAAAGTTTAGTTATTTAAAGCCTTAGAATCTATTTGCGAGATAGGGAAATTAGGGAGAATACCTGAAAAAATATATATAGCATAGTATAAACTATAGCATAGTTTACTATACACTACACTATACTACACTATATGTTTATATAGTATAAATACTAAGATGCTATGTAAGTATATCTTATTCTTTTTTTTAATTTCAATAGGTTTTTGGGGAACAGGTGGTGTTTGGTTACATAAATAAGTTCTGTAGTGGTGATTTCTGAGATTTTGGTGCACCCAACACCTGAGCAGGGTACACTGTACCCAATGTGTAGCATTTTATCCCTCACCCCTCCCACCCTCTCCCCTGAATCTGTAAAGTCCACTGGATCATTCTTTTTTTTTTTTTTTGAGACAGAGTCTCGCACTGTTGCCTAGGCTGGAGTGGAATGGCGCGATCTCGGCTCACTGCAACCTCCCCCTCCCAGGTTCAGGTGATTCTCCTGCCTCGGCCTCTTGAATAGCTGGGATTACAGGCGCACGCCACCATGCCCAGCTAATTTTTGTATTTTTAGTAGAGATGGGGTTTCACCATGTTGGCCAGGCTGGTCTCGAACTCCTGACCTCAGGTGATCTGCCCACCTCAGCCTCCCAAAGTGCTGGGATTACAGGTGTGAGCCACTGTGCCCAGCCCACACTCGATCATTATTATGCCTTTGCATCCTCATAGCTTAACTCCCACTACATATACACATCAACAGAGGAAATAAAGACACAGTAGATGTTTTTGTGTGTTTTTTTGAGACAGAGGCTTGTTCTGTCATCCAGGAAGGAGTGCAGTGGCACGATCTTGGCTCACTGCAACCTCCGCCTCCTGGGTTCAAGAGATTCTCCTGCCTCAGCCTCCCAAGTAGCTGGGATTACAGATGCACTCCACCACACCCGGCTAATTTCTATATTTTTAGTAGAGATGGGGTTTCGCCATGTTGGCCAGGCTGGTCTTGAACTCCTGACCTCAAGCGATCCACCTGCCTCGGCCTCCCAAAGTGTTAGGATTACAGGCGTAAGCCACCGCACCTGGCCAACACAGCAGATCTGATGTGGTTTTATACACTGTTTCCTTGGAGGAAGATGCTTTTTTTTTTTTTTTTTTTTTTGAGACAGAGTTTCACTCTTGCTCAGGCTGGAGTGCAGTGGCACAATCTCAGCTCACTGCAACCTCTGCCTCCTGGGTTCAAGCAATTCTCCTGCCTCAGCCTCCCGAGTAGCTGGGATTACAAGTGCGTGCCACCATGCCCAGCTAATTTTTGTATTTTTAGGAGAGACGAGGTTTCACCACATTGGCCAGGCTGGGCTTGAACTCCTGACCTCAGGTGATCTGCCCACCTCGGCCTCCCAACGTGGTAGGATTACAGGCGTGAGCCACTGCACCTGGCCGAAGACGCTTCTCTTTTAACTGAAGTGGCTGTTTCACCCCCAGTGTCAGGTTCCTGTGCTCTCCTCCATTAGAGCACTTATCATAGTGGATCCTGTCTATCTGCTTCCTCCATTAGGAATGTAAGCACCTTGACAGTATCTCACCTCTATCTATAGACACTGGGAATAACTAACACAGAAGAGACAGTGCATGGTTTTGAATAAATCTTTGTTTTGATGAAGCCAATCTCCACAGCAGCAGTCCTGCATATATTATTTCCTATTTTATGTATATAGACATACACACACGCATTTATCTACATATCACTTTGATATGTAGCCAAAAAAGCTCATAAAGCAAGTGTTTCATTCATGCTACATGACATGCTTTCCTTTCATTATTCCTCTTTGCTACTTTATTTTGCTCCACATATCATATTTAAACTTGTTATGAATCTTCTCTCTCCAAAATTGTCTACAAGATCAGAAACAATTTAAATTCCATCAATATGGCCAAACAAATGCATAGTTCATAAATGCCAATTATAAAGTGAAAACGTCTGTTTCTTTTGATGAACTGAAAAAAAGTTCATTTTCATAACTGCTAAAGATTTCTTTCAGCTTCCTCTCATCTGCGTTTCTCTTTATCATTCCTAGGAAAGCACCAAGAACACAACGTCTTTACTCACAGTTACACTGGTCACATACGTAGATTTTTCCTTCTAAAGCTTCAGTTTCTGTAAATTTGGCCAACATTTCAGTAACCAGACATGGCTGGGAAGCAATATCTTTTCCACTGCATTGATACCTTTCTGGAAACTCCAATGACAAGTCCCAGAAAGGTTCTATGGTATTTGATTTGTTGTCACATGCAAGACATGTAACCTGCAAATGAGAATATGAGTTCCTAAGATTATAATCTTTCCATCAAAACATTAACTCTTTTCACTAGAGGTCACTGCCACTAAATAAACTTTTCTCATGAAAATGCACCATTAGGATTCTGAATAATCTGCTTTATATTCTTGTCAGGAAATCTTTCATTATGATTTTTCCTTCCAAAAGATTGTTATCAGAGCCATCATGAATTGGTTGCTTTAACTACTGGGCATTCAAAAAGCTCTAAGGGCATTAAATTTAGGTAAAAATCCAAACTGTGGACACACTGAATAGAAACACACTATGTATACATATATACATATATACATATATCTATGTATACATAGATATATACATATGATGTACATTCACATGCATTAAGTTTAATGTATTTATGTCATTAGGCTTGAGGTTCCTCACTGTTTCTTTCATCTTTTTTTTTTTTGAGATGGAGTCTCGCTCTGTCCCCAGTGCTAGGGTGCAATGGCGCAATCTCGGCTCACTGCAACCTCTGGCTCTTAGGTTCCAGCGATTCTCCTGCCTCAGCCTCCTGAGTAGCTGGACTACAGGTGCCAGCTACCACGCCTAGCTAATTTTTCTATTTTTAGTAAACGGGCTTTCGCCATGTTGGCCAGGATGGTCTTGAACTCCTGACTTTAGGCGATCCGCCCACCTCGGCCTGCCAAAGTGCTGGGATTACAGGCGTGAGCCACCATGCCCGGCCTCTCCTTCATCTTTTGCTGATTTTTCTTCCTAACCCCAAATCCTATAACCTCTTAACCCAATCCAATCTTAACCATATTACAAGTAAAATACTATCTTTTCATTATGCAGATTTTAAGGCCCTGACAACTGATAATTTCAAAAGACAAGATATATGACATAAATAATGATGTCATACTCCTACTTAAAGCAAACATAACATTAAAATCCCCATCCAAACACAGAAAACACGAAAAACATGGAGCTGTTTTAACAACTTACATAGGCAATGTAGCAACCGGAAAGGAAATGAATAGTAACTTCAGTGAAACATTCAGCAGGATTTAATGCCAACAAACACTGCACATAATTGAAGACAGACTCCATGAACTAACAATTCACATATGATATGAAATATTATAAAGAACCTCTTTCATACAAGCTATAGTCCTGGCACAGGCAACAAAATAAAGAAGCCAGTTGTAATACAGATTTTAGATTTCACAAATTGACACAAAGAACTCTCCTGGCGTTTATAGTCTAAGGACTCAGTAGTGCCAGGGCCAGACATTTTGAGAATTTTCTTGAATTAAACAAAAAAAACAAAAACAAAAGCAAAAACACACAAAAAGCCATCCCAGTCTGGGTGTAGTGGCTCATGCCTGTAATCCCAGCACTTTGAGAGGCCAAAGCGGGAGGGCTGCTTGAGCCCAGGAGTTTGAGACCAGCCTGGGCAACACAGTGAGACCTTGTCTCTATAAAAAAAATAAAAAATAGAAAGGAAAAGCCATTACAGCAACCAACTGTCTTAAATCTCCTGAGAACCAGTTCCCTAAGAGTGTATTAAAGAAAGAGAAGCAAAAAGCTGGTACAATAATTTTTATTAATTTGAAAATACATTTATAAAGGAAAAAATAAGCACATAGCAACTTTCATACTACTGGAAATATAGATAGATAGATAGATAGATAGATAGATAGATAGATAGATAGATATAAAAGAAAAACACTTTCTGGAAAGAACTTTGTCACCAAGTATCAGAAGTCTTACTCTGACAAAGTCAACTTCTAAGACTCTGTCATAAGGAAGTCAGAAAAATTAATTGATGACATTATAATAATGAAAAAAATTAAAAACAGTCAACAATAGGGGAATGGTTAAGTTACGGTATAAACATACGATGTGGCCAGGAGCAGTGGCTCATGCCTGTAATCCCAGCACTTTGGGAGGCCGAGGCGCGTGGATCACAAGGTCAGGAGATCGAGACCATCCTGGCTAACATGGTGAAACCCCGTCTCTACTAAAAACACAAAAAATTGGCTGGGTGTGGTGGCAGGCGCCTGTAGTCCCAGCTACTTGGGAGGCTGAGGCAGGAGAATGGCGTGAACCCAGCAGGTGGAGCTTGCAGTGAGCCGAGATCGCGCCACTGCACTCCAGCCTGGGCAACAGAGTGAGACTCTGTCTCAAAAAAACAAAAACAAAAACAAAAAAAAACATATGATGTTAAATAGCAGACATATACCAAAAAAAACACACAAAAAAATTATGAACATTGAAATGTTTTGAAAAGAATGATGAAATATTTTTAATTATTGGAAAATAATTACAATATTAAATGGGAAAAGCAGATAAATGCAAAATGACCAATTATGGGAAAAAATATTTATACATGTGCAGGAGAAAAAAAGACTAGAAAATATACCAAAATATAAATAGTTTTACCAATGGATTGTGGGGTTATAGGATTAGAGAATGATTTTTCTTTCCTTCTATATAGATTTCCTATATTATATAGGTTTCCTGCAACTATATGTTGCACTCTGTAACAGTGTATTTTAAAACTTTTGCATAAAAAGGAAATGACAGAGAAAGATGGAGAAGTAAAATTGCAGTACAATTCTTATTTGCTAATTGACACAAAATCTTTGCATTTCTGAAACACTGAAAAATAAACTTCATAGATATTCCTTAAGAAGAATTACATCTGAAATACTTAAACAACATTTTAGGAAAGTATGCTATAAAAACAAAAGATGGCCTTATTACAATGCAAGTTGAACTGAAGAACAGAGGCAGGTGTGCAGGGGGAAGGAAATGACCTAAAAGCCTAATAGCCTCAGTTATAAAAAAAATTTTGTTTAAATTTGTGTGTTATGGGAAAGTAGAGAACCTTATGTCTATTAACAGTTCACCAATAAGTCCACTCAGTATAGAGAACCTTTACTTCGAAGATTCTGGTTTTATAGTCCACCTTATCATGACAAAGGAAACTTTTGAGTAGTAATTAAAATAAAGGAAAATCATATAAGATTATTCTAGATGAAATCACATTTGTTTACCTTAAAATTTCCCTACCTACTTGTTAAAGCTCTCAGACCATGACCCTTTGATTTTATAGGAAGTCCTCCAGGGCTACTCCTTGGTCCCTGAAATTGCTCAAGTGTGCACCATTTTCTTTCTTTCTTTGGGTTTTTTTTTTTTTTTTTTGAGACGGAGTCTCGCTCTGTCACCCAGGCTGGAGTGCAGTGGTGTGATTTCAGCTCATTGCAACCTCCACCTCCTGGGTTCAAGCGATTCTCCTGACTCAGCCTCCCAAGTAGCTGAGATTACAGGCGTCTGCCACCACACTCAGCTAGCTTTTGTATTTTTAGTAGAGATGGGGTTACACCATGTTGGTCAGGCTGGTCTTGAACTCCTGACTTCAGCTGATCTACCCGCCTTGGCTTCCCAAAGTGCTGGGATTATAGGTGTGAGCCCCCACGCCCGGCCATGTGCACCATTTTCATCCCGAGAATAGCAGCATCTTTAAATCCGTTCCCTCTGGGATTAAACCCTCCTCTTCTCAATCCCTCAGATAATGAATGTAATATTGGTAACCTAGAGAGCTCCGTCTCCTGATTTCTCCCTCCCTCCAAAAGCTTTTGCTACCATAGATGTAAAACTACTTCCAATGATTCATGAAAGAAGGAATTGAGTGAGCTGATTTCTCTATACATATTTATAAAAACAATCTATTTTGACCTGAAAATGGTACTAGCTCAACACACTAGATGTACATAGAATATGCCTTTTTATAGGCTACACTTTATGAACTCCCAATGATGAAAATAAGATTCTTAAAAATCCATACCTGACTAAGAAGTTGTCCATGAAAAATGTTATTTACAACATTCAGAACTTGTTTGATGAGTTTCCTTTGAGAAGTGGGGATAAGAGCTGGTAAACTGGTACCAGTTGTCTCTAATTCACGTTGTATTTTATCTAAAAGTTCACAAAGAAATTCCTGAGCGTCTTGTTGGGCGTAACCACGAAAGGCAGGAATGAGTCTCCACACTGAGTGTAGCATAGCAAATGGTGAGACCAACGCCCACTTTCCAGACCACATGACTTGGAACAAAGTATGCAATTCATGACAAAGAGAAATGTACTGTGAAGTTGGCTCCTTTGGCTGAATAAGTTCCATCTTTCTACCTTTTGATGCTCCACCACTTAGTCCTGATGACAGACTTGATTGTCTGGAGCAAACAAAACCTGTATCTTTTTCCTGACATTCATTCATTTGATATACTACTGTATCTGTGACTGGTGGATGCTTACAAGATCTTGTCTTCTCGCTAGCAGTCATAGCCAGCCATTGGTTCAGATCAAGCTTTAAAAAACATTGTCGAAAAATAAGTAAATGACTCAACACCTGAAGAACAGAATTCATATAGCAAGTATTTCCCAAATTTCTCAATCCTGTTACACCAGGAGTTACTATTGGCCTTCGTTTAACTGAGGAGTCACTGACTTTTTGAGATATTTCATTTTCTGAGGTAGAGAGTACTTTATCTTTTGCTGGTGATGCTGGCGTTTGTGCTGGCACCTGAACAGAAACTATTTCTATTATGGTCGACTGAGCGAGCCCTTGTAAACGTAAACTCTTTCTTGGAGGCATACTTTCCAATTCTGCTTTAACTTGATACTCCAATTCCTGCCGTCTTTTCTTTACTTCTCTTTTTACTACTATTTTTTCCTGAAATGGTTCTTCTTGCTTTTTTCTTCCAATGGGTGATTGTTCAAACCATGTTCGAAAGATTTTACCCATTAGTATCCTTCTCCTGTGCCAAAGAGCAGTATACAGTTGATCTTCACTTTGAAGCAGAGATTGGGCACCGTCATGTAAGAAATAAGAATCATCACCTGTACCCATGGACCGTAAAAACCTCCCACTACGAGTTGTGCAGTGATAATTTTGACTTTTGATGGCACTTAATGTACGTCGTAGTAACTTCAGGTCTCCAGTTGTGTTATCATTCAGAACATAATCATCACAAAGGTAACAAAAAACGTACATCTCATTCACCTCCAATGCAACAGGATGACTGCTTTCTTGAAAGTGCTTGAGTGCATGCTCTTCAATATATCTTCCACAGGCAACATGGGAGCAGCTAAGGCAAGCCCAAATGGACTCGGTCGTGTTGCAGTCCACACAGTGCCATTTCTGAGGGTTGAGGCTGGAATGGTCTTGAGCAAGCTGCAGCTGCCCAACATGTTTGCACGTATCCATTGCTAGCATTTATTTAGTCTAGCTGAGAAATGCATAATCCAAACAAGTCTCTGTTCACAACACTTGAAGCATCTGAAAACTAAACAGAACAATGTCAAGTGTTAATAACAAGATGCTAATATTTTTCATATTTTTTCCCAAGAATAATAAAGATTTGTGTCCTCTGCTCCCAATTTCTAGGCTGCTTATCATAATACCATTGGCAGTTCTCCCATTTCCCTTTCTCTAAACTTCCCTAACCTCACATCCACCTTGCTCTGAAAGCACAGACACTTCACTTTCTCTAATGAGGCGCCTTTAGCTTTTGTTTTTAACTTTCTGCCACCATCTAGTGGTGAAAAATGGGTAGTAATCACTTTCCACTGAAATAGCTTAAGATCTATCCTTTTTTACCCAGTAGTCTGAGGGCAGTTTCCAAAACTGCATTCCCTTTTTTTTTTTTTTTTGAGACAGAGTCTTGCTCTGTGGCCCAGGCTGGAGTGCAGTGGTGCGATCTCAGCTCACTGCAACCCCTGCCTCCTGGGCTCACGTGATTGCTGTGCCTCAGCCTCCCGGGTAGCTGGGATTATAGGAGTGCACCACCACATTCAGCTAATCTGTTTTTCGTATTTTTACTAGAGACAAGGTTTCGTCATGTTGCCCAGGCTGGTCTTGAACTCCTGAGCTCGGGTCATCTACCCGCCTTGGCCTCCCAAAGTGCTGGGATTACAGGCGTGAACCACTGTGCCTGGCCCCTTTTCTTAATGACAGGGGTTGGCAAGACCCAAATATATCTCACTAATATTTATAAACATTATGAGCCTTATGTGGAGTTAATAAAACATAATCAAAGATGAAAAGGTGAGTTTTAAGGCAGAAAAACATAGGTTTGAATTGTACCTTTGCCACACACTGTTAAATGTATGATTTTGAGCAAATGTTTTAACTTCTCTAAACCATCTGTAAAAGAGGGAAAATCATACCAACTTCAATTGAGTTGTTGAAGAACTGAGAGATAATATTTATCTGACACATGGTAAATGGTAGTTTTAATTGTATCTATAGTGAACGAATCTTATTACCCTATTTAAATAAATCATATTACCATTAAACTTATTTTTTTCCATTTGGTAAATCAATAATTACCTTTAATTCATGGCTCTATAACATACTCTGAGGCCGAACAGACTTGACAGTTGGCTTTAGGGAAAGAGAAAGACAGAAGAGGAGAATGTGCTTTTGTATTTGAATATTCTCAGAAACATACAAGGAAATAAAGAGAAAAAAAGGAAGAATATGAAGTGGGTGGCAATAAGCTTTTATTACATTCTAGCAGGCCTAAACCTATCTGAAATTATAAGCTTATTTTTTTAAAAAAGCTTATGTGATTTTTGACACAGAACTTGTTCCTTTATCAGTTAAAGTCAGGAACACTTCTGCTGTAAGTTATTTACATGTAATGAACAGAAATCTTATTTAAAAAGCCGTGATCACAAACACTTTTTTCATTGATTTAATACAAATCAAAGACAAATTTCAGGGTTTGGGTGGAGACCTAGTTACGGAACACTAAAAACACCCTATGTATCATGACCAAGGCATTAAATTTTTAGGGCAGTTGAAACTGTGAATTTCAACGGTACCTGCAAGTGCCACCTCCAGGCCTTAAGAAAACTGCAAAAGCAGTTGATTTTTGGTTCCTTCCCACCTCTTTTTGTAAAATCTCATATTCGTTCCTTAATTTTTAGGTATCAGGTACTGACCAGTCCCAAATCTCACATGTTCACATGTTTCTTTCTTTCCTTTTTTTTCCTTTTTTTTTTTTTTTTTTTTTGAGATAGGGTCTTGTTCTGTCACCTAAGCTGGACTGCAGTGGTGCAGTCTCAGCTCACTGCAACCTCCACCTCCCAGGTTCCAGCGATTCTCGCACCTCAGCATCCCCAGTAGCTGAGACCACAGGCATGTGCCATTACGCCTGGCTAATTTTTGTATTTTTGGTACAGACATAGTTTCACCATGTTGCCCAGGCTGGTCTTGAACTCCTGGCCTCAAGTGATCTACCCGCCTAACCCTCCCAAAGTGCTAGGATTACAAGCGTGAGCCACCGTGCCCAGCCCCCATTTCACACGTTTTAAGTGCACATTTTAAATTTACTCCTCTCTCTAAAAATTTCCAGAGGTTTAAAATCTGGTCAAATATGGTACTTTATTAGAACACCTAGGATTTGACAATAGTTGCTAATGGCAGAATTGAGACATCAGTGATTTATATATTCCACTATCCCATATCTTTCTGTACTGAGGCAAGAAACCTTAGAGTCATCCTTGACTCTCTCTCTCTAAATCAATCCTTCAGGAAAAATGATTGACTCTACCTCCAAAATATACTGAGAATCTGACTTACTTAGTGCCTCTACTGCCACCAGCCTGATCCAAGCTACAATCAAGTCTTACCGGGATTACTGCAGTAAGGCTCCCAGATGGTCTCTCCACTTCTGTCCTTACTGCCACCAACAGTCTACTCTCAACACACAGTAGCATGGTCTGCATCTAGACCTAAACAACCACTTTAGGGGATCCTTGCTGTGACCCTCCTCTATTAATGTGTAGTCAGCAAGGCCAAGGGCATGTGGCCACCTGAAGTCTGCACACACCAGCAACTCCCCTTCTAAGGCCACTCGCTGGTACCTGGGACTCAGAGAATTACTTGCCCTAATCATCCCCAAGCTTGCTTCTAGGGCCTATGAGCAACACAGAGCCACTGAAGAAATCTGTAGAGGAGAATGATATGATCAGATCTGTGGGTTACAGAGGGATCTGAATTACAAAGAGCTCTGGAGAAGGGACGAGTGATTAAGAGAGACTAGCAGTCCAGAAATTATAAGGAAATTAAAGCTGCAGGAGTATAGCAGTTTTGAAGAAGGGGGCAGAGGTAGAATTAGTGCTTAACAAACATTAGTTGAGAGAATTTACTCAATTTGGAGGTTAAGGGAAGGATCTAGGGCTCTGTATTACCTTTTATTCAAAATGATAAAATGAATACAGAGAAAATTTAGTTAAACATGTTTCTGGCAAACCATAGAAAATAATTTTTATATTATTTTATTTTTTGAGACAGAGTCTCACTCTGTCGCCCAGGCTGGAGTGCAGGGGTGCTATCTTAGCTCACTGCAACCTCCACCTCCTGGGTTCAAGCGATTCTCCTGCCTTAGCCTCCCGAGTAGCTGGGATTACAGGCACACGTCACCATGTCCAGCTAATTTTTGTATTTTTAGTAGAGACGGGGTTTCACCATGTTGGCCAGGCTAGTCTTGAGCTCCCGACCTCGTGACCTGCCTGCCTTGGCCTCCCAAAGTGCTGGGATTACAGTCATGAGCCACCACGCCAGGCCGAAAATAATTATTAGTTCAACATCCTTGCAGAGGTGAAGAAGGAAATGCCAGCAAAAAAGATCATTTCATTCCAAAATTTTAAAGACGTAGAATGAGTTAACACTTTCAGAAAAGGATCAGTAGGAAAAAGCCTGGTGAGAATACATTTATTCTGAGGTTACCTCTGGGTAATGGGACTGAAAATTACTGTACTTTCTTTATTAATCTATACTTTCAAAATTGTAAAAATAACATGTTTTAAATAAAAACAGCTCAGATAGTGTTAAGTATGTGCTAAATTGTACACTAACCTCTTTACTCCTTTCTCTACTCTGCAAATAAATTCCCTTGAATACAAAAAAAGTACCTGTTTCATTGAAGCTATTGCTAAAAAATCTATTTAGATAATAACAAAGTACTTGACCTTCAAAGGGAAGTGGCATCTATAATTAAACACATCATTCTATTTGATACAAAATTGTGAAAAGGGTGAAATCTTGATTAGATGTCATCTATCTGAGACATCATGGTAGAAGAGAGGGATTACAGTAAAACGGTGAGCGAGCACACACTGGAATCTAAATCCCCGAGTTTAACACTTGACAGGATTTACTATGTGACCATAAATTACGTGCTACATACCTCAGTTTTCTTATCTGTAAAGTAACAGTGGTAATAATACCAATAGGGTTGTTGAGGGAATTAACTTAGAACAACTCCTGACACTTAATAATATGGCCCTGAGTACATCTTAGCTGCCAATAGTAATAAAATAATAATAAATTATTATTATAAATGCTAGTTTCCTTCTAGTTGATCACTTTTAGCCAGGGATTCCTTCTTCTCAGCCAAATGTGTACTAAGCCCAACTAAGGTGCTAACAGATAATCAAGATGTTAGCTAAGAACTAAGGTCTGACCTCTCCCAGGGGAATTTGCATTTTAAAAGGGGGGGGTCTCTCAAAGATAAAATCTTTTTAAAAATAGACGTGAAACCAGAATAGTGGAATGACGGATCACGAGATTAATATTTTAGCTCAGGGGGCCCACTTACCCTGTCTACTTATGAAAGAAATCAGTAAGGGGTAGACGACAGAGGCAAGGGCACCGTGGAAAGCAGGAGCTGCAGAGCCAGGCTGCTGTCCCTAGAGATCTCCAGTAACTCAGACAGTAACTAGGGTATCCCCAAAGGGGTCTCATCACACAAAGATCTAAGAGCTTGGAGGAAAGAAAGGAGGATGGGAGTATTTTCTTGACACTTCCTATATTCCTCTACTGGGTTCAGAGCACCTCTTTTCATTTGCTAATCCACCGCTGTGAAGCTATGCATTCGCTCTGGCGTCAGCAGATTGGATGTATGATTTTTGGCAGTATATTCATTTTAAAGAGGTATTACCTGACAAAACATTTTTATATCCCTCATGCAGATTCTGACAAAATATTACCTGTACCAATATAATAGCACCTTACAAATAGGATGCTTGAAATGAAATCTATAAGGATTAAAACTATCTGTGCTATAATTCTCATGCATTTAAAAAATGTTTCACACTCCAAATTCAAATCAGTAGCTATCAAATGGCTTTTTTTTCTTTTTTTACCAGTGTGACTTGTCAATGAAATGGCTTTTTTTTTTGTTTTTTTTTTTGAGACGGAGTCTTGCTCTGTCAACCAGGCTGGAGTGCAGTGGCGCGATCTAGGCTCACTGCAAGCTCCGCCTCCTGGGTTCACACCATTCTCCTGCCTCAGCCTCCTGAGTAGCTGGGACTACAGGCGCCTGCCACCACACCCAGCTAATTTTTCTGTATTTGTAATAGAGACAGGGTTTCACCATGTTAGCCAGGATGGTCTCGATCTCCTGACCTTGTGATCTGCCCGCCTCGGCCTCCCAAAGTGCTGGGATTATAGGCATGAGTCACCGCGCCCGGCCCAATGAAATGGCTTTTTAAACACCAAGTATACTATTTTCATTTTTAAAGACAGATGTATTTACAAATATTCTAAAAGCTTTTTTGTCATTCTTCAGTGCAAAAAGACAATAAAACATTTAATTTGTTCAAACAAAGCCATTCAAGCTCTTCATACTTTTCACACCTATGACTGAGCATGCATTTTAAAAATTCCCTTTAGCAAATCTCTAAAGTTAAATAACTATATTTGACTTATTGAAAGCTAATTTTATGTAGAATTAGTATATCATTGAAGCACTTATTAAACAAAAAGCTAAAATGATTAGGAGAGAAATAGATGATCTTATAAGGGATTTTTAATCAACCGTTTATATCAAACTCCAAAATCAAATATCACAGGTAATATATTTAACTTGTTACAGTTCGACAGCATAAAACAGCTTATACTCACCACAGTGAGGACTCTCTGAAATTAATTTCTATTAACTCAAATTACAGCCCTTTGTAACCTACAACCCACAGTTTCGCATGTAGTGTAATACCTTCCTGTTGTATTTTTGTAGCTCTTCAAACCTCTTCTGATAATGAACTCATCCTACAGAGGTTCCAGCAGAGGTTTGATCATCAGTTCTAGACAGCTAACTACCCAGACTTTACCCTTAGCCCTAACCTTTCTGAACCAGTCTCAGGCACAACCCAAAGTCAGCTTACCTACGCAACTTACCTTCCCAAATTAGCTTTTTATCGGGTATTTTTCTCTAACAGATACTATATTATCATTCTAGGACCTAGGCTAGAAATCTTAAGGATTTTCTTTACTCCTCCCTTCCATCCATCTTTTTTTTTTTTTTTTTTGAGTGAAGTTTCAGTGTTTTTGCTCAGGCTGGAGTGCAATGGTGTGATCTTGGCTCACTGCAACCTCTGCCTCCTGGGTTCAAGTGATTCTCCTGCCTCAGCCTCCCGAGTAGCTGGGATTACAGGCACATGCCACCACGCAAGGCGAATTTTGTATTTTTAGTACAGATGGGGTTTCACCGTGTTGGCCAGGCTGGTCTCAAACTCCTGACCTCAGGTGATCTGACCACCCTCAGCCTCCCAAAGTGCTGGGATTAGAGGCGTGAGCCACCACACCCTGCTCTCCCTCCCATCTTTTTTACTACTGTATACTTAGGGTTATTGTTCACTAAGTCTCTATTACTTTTCATTTCCACAGCTATCACTCTAATGGATTTTATTATATTGTTCCTAGAGTACAATATTTTGGTAGCCTCCAAACTGGTCTCCCATCATCTGGATTGTCTCCTGCATACTATCCCACCAAATTAACCTTTGAGTTTGCTCTGAGCCTTTAACTCTTTTTTTGATGAAAAAATTATAATTTTAATTTCCTCATTATGAAAGCAAAACATATTCATTACACAAAAATTGGGAGAGGAAAAAAAATTCCCCCTGATCTCACCATACGGAAGTAGCAATTTAAAACATTTGTTTTGGCCAGGCGCAGTGGCTTACGCCTGTAATCCCAACACTTTGGGAGGCCAAGGCGGGCGGATCACGAGGTCAGGAGTTCAAGACCAGCCTGGTCAACATGGTGAAACCCCGTCTCTACTAAAAATACAAAAAATTAGCCGGGCATGGTGGCAGGTGCCTGTAATCCCAGCTGCTTGGGAGGCTGAGGCAGAATTGCTTGCACCTGGGAGACGGAGGTTGCAGTGAGCCGAGATGGCGCCACTACACTCCAGCCTGGGCGACAGAGTGAAACTCTGTTTCAAAAAATAATAATAATAATTAATTCTGGCTGGGCACAGTGGCTCATGCTCAGAATACAAAGTCCTAGCAATTTGGGAGGCCAAAGTGGGCAGACTGCTTGAGCTCAGGAGTTCAAGAGCAGCCTGCGCAACATAGTGAAACAAAATATGCAAAATTTACCTGGCACAGTTGCGTGTGCCTATAAGCCCAGCTACTCGGGGGGCTGAGGTGGGAGGATCACCTAAGCATGGGGAGGTCGAGGCTGCAGCGAGCCATGATGGTGCCACTGTACTGCAGCCTCAGCAAAAGAGCAAGACCCTGTCTCAAAAAAACAAAACAAAAAAAAGTATGCTGATATTCCGTTTCATTTAAAAAATGCTGATTGTGACAAATTTCATAATAGTTTGACAAATATTTCAATAAAAACGTATACATTTGTCAGTCTTGCTTTCAAAATCCTCCACAATCAGATTCTAACCTATCTTTGCCTCATGACCCTTCTACCTGTCATGTGCACGCCAGCCAAAAGTCAGCCCCAGCTAACTTCCAGAACTCATCTTCATCCTCCAAGGTCCAACTCCTTCATAAAATCTTTTTAGTCAAAAATAATATCATCTCCATTTTTTTTTTTTTTTTTTTTTTTGAGACAGGGTCTTGCTCTGTTGCCCGGGCTGGACAGCAGTGGTGTGATCTTGGCTCACTGCAACTTCCGTTGTTGCAGGCCCAAGTGATCCTCCCACTTCAGCCTCCCAAGTAGCTGGGATTACAGGCGTGTGACACCATGCCTGGCTAACTTTCATATTTTTTGTAGAGATGGGGTTTCATCATTTTGCCCAGGCTGGTCTCAAACTCCTGGCCTCAAGTGATCCTCCCACCTTGGCCTTCCAAAATGCTGGGATTATAGGCATGAGACACTATGCCCAGCCTTCTTTAATTTCTTAAAGGACTTTGGATTGTGCTAACATTATGCCAACTTGCCAAATGTGAATCCTTGTGTTATGTGTGCATACATCCTTACTTTGCCACCTAACTGTTGGGTAGGCTCCTTATGGTCAGGAAAAGACTATATCCCAAACATCATCTTTTAACCTAAAAATTCTCTCAGGGCTTTATGAAGATTGTATAGATGTACAGCTATATTTTTTCAGGCTACCAAATTCTTGGAGCAACCAACTAGCATTAACTGCAGGTCATCCTCTTTATGATATTTGAATCAGAGGTTGAAAGTAGGCCAGGCACAGTGGCTTACGCTTGTAATCCCAGCACTTTGGGAGGCCAAGGTGGGCAGATCACCTGAGGAGTTCAAGACCATCCTGGCCAACATGGTGAAAACCCTGTCTCTACTAAAAATACAAAAATTAGCCGGTTGTGGTGGTGGGCACCCATAATCCCAGCTACTCGGGAGGCTGAGGCAGGAGAATCACTTGAACCCTGGAGGCGGAGGTTGCAGTGAGCCACTGCACTCCAGCCTGGGTGACAGAGCAAGACTCCATCTCAAAAAAAAAACCAAAACACAAAAAAAAACAACCAGAGGTTGAAAATAGTAAGTCCTTGGCTGGGCATGGTGGCTCACCCTGTAATCCCAGCACTTTGGGAGGCTGAGGCAGGTGGATCATGAGGTCAGGAGATTGAGACCATCCTGTCTAACATGGTGAAACCCGTCTCTACTAAAAAATACAAAAAATTAGCCAGGTATGGTGGTGGGCGCCTGTAGTCCCAGCTACTCAGGAGGCTGAGGCAGGAGAATGGCGTGAACCCGGGAGGCGGAGCTTGCAGTAAGCCTAGATCGCACCACTGCACTCCAGCCTGGGTGACAGAAGGAGACTCTGTCTCAAAAAAAAAAAAGAAAGAAAATAGTAAGTCCTGCCGGGCACTGTGGCTCATGACTGTAATCCCAGCACTTTGGGAGGCTGAGGCAGGTGGATCACTTGAGGTCAGGAGTTCAAGACCAGCCTGGCCAACACGGTGAAATCCCGTCTCTACTAAAAATACAAAAATTAGCCGGGCGTGGTGGCACGCATCTGTAGTCCCAGCTACTCGGGAGGCTGAGTCAGGAGAATCACTTGAACCTGGGAGGCGGTGGTGGTTGCAGTGGGCCGAGATCATGCCACTGCAGCAGTCCAGTCTGGGAGACAGAGTAAGACTCTTTCTCAAAAAAAAAAAAAAAAAAAAAAGAAAAAGAAAAAGAAAATAGTAAGTCCCAAACTGGGCAACATAGCAAGACCCTGTCTCTAGAAAAAAAGAAGAAAAAAAGAGACAAGAAGGATGTTTTTCCAGCAATATTGTGAGATCTCATCTCTAGTCAAATAATTTAAAAAATCCACGCGTGGCAGTGCATGACTATAGTCCCCAGCTACTTGAAAGCTACAAGAATTACTGAAAAATCAGAAGGGTAGCTAAATTTTTTTTACTTCAAAAACTAACATACCAGGCCGGGCGCGGTGGCTCACGCCTGTAATCCCAGCACTTTGGGAGGCTGAGGCGGGCAGATCACGAGGTCAGGGGATTGAGACCATCCTGGCTAACACAGTGAAACCCTGTCTCTACAAAACATACAAAAAAATTAGCCAGGCGTAGTGGCGGGCGCCTGTAGTCCCAGCTACTCCGGAGGCTGAGGCAGAAGAATGGCGTGAAACCAGGAGGTGGAGCTTGCAGCGAGCCGAGATCGCGCCACTGCACTCCAGCCAGGGAGACAGAGGGAGACTGCATCTCAAAAAAAAAAAAAAAAAAAAAAAGAAAAAAACCCAAAACAAAACAAAAACAAACGGACATTCCACTGTAAATTTTAGTTATCTTTTTTTTTTTTTTTTTTTTTTCTGAGATGGAGTCTCGCTCTGTCGCCCAGGTTGGAGTGCAGTGGCACGATCTCGGCTCACTGCAAGCTCCACCTCCCGAGTTCACGCCATTCTCCTGCCTCAGCCTCCCAAGTAGCTGGGACTACAGGCGCCCGCCACCATGCCCGGCTAATTTTTTGTATTTTTTAGTAGAGACAGGGTTTCACTGTGTTAGCCAGGATGGTCTCGATCTCCTGACCTTGTGATCCACCCGCCTCGACCTCCCAAAGTGCTGGGAATACAGGTGTGAGCCACCGCGCCCAGCCAATTTTAGTTATCTTTGACATAATAAACTTTTCAGCCAGCCACTCTCTTTCAACCTCAGTTTATGAAGACACTTGGAAAGAAAGCATGGAAAGGGACGATACAGCTGTAAGCCCTGGAGGTTCTTACAAGAGGATATCAGGTACCAAAGGTCAATGGTATGAATAATGTAATATAGATCTAATTGGCGTAATCAGTAGCTCAATTTTCAGATCCCTTCTTTAAAAAAATATTTTAATGAAAGTCAGGAAGTTACCATGATGAATAAACACACAAAAAAGTCAAATTAAATTACTATTTAATAAAGTGACAGAATGAGGGAAATGGCAAAAATACATTCCTAAAAAGAATTAGTCTATACATCTGTATAGTGTGGAAAAATAAAGAAAAAAAGAATTAATCTATATGTTAAAATCTGAATAGACACTGAGATAACATTTTCATTAAGAAGCTTCCCCCCGCCATAGCTCATATTTAGTCAAATAATCATCATACAATATTTACATTTTATATGTCTTAGTGTCTTATAACCACAATTTTATCAATATTAAGGTATTTCTAAAATAGCCACGATTTTATAAATATTAAGATTGTTTAAAGTCTTGAAAGACCACAAGCTAAATCTAAACTTCTTAACATGGCACATAAAAGCCTTTGAACTTTGGAACAATATACACTTTTCTACTCTCATGTATGACTAACTACTTCCCAAACATCTTTTGTTAAGATGTTTTTAACAAATCTTATTGTGAATGTTTAATTTTTAAAACTCTTCATAATTGGGATATAAACGATTTTCATAAGAAATGGGCATTCATATTTTACAGGAACACATATACATTCTAACTCTATTAAAGAAAGAAGAAATATAAGTACCACTGGGCATAAAATAGAACACATTTAAAAATAAAAGTGTCACAGTAACCATCTCATTAAAAACAAAAACGAAAAAAAAAAAACTTGAAATCTCCCAGAGGGAGAATATGTTGACTATTTTAATGAAGATAATTTTTGTAACAAAACATTTTTCTTTAAACAGTAACAAACCAAACAGATCCTCTACAGGCTATTAAAAGTTGTATGATTTGTTATTTTCCATAATAAAAGATAGGAGGAAATGGTAATTTCGGTAGGAAGTAGGCCTTAGGAATTACTAACCACCACAATGCATTTGGATAAGAATGAAAACAACTTTATCCATAGTTTGCAGTAATTAGGGTAAATCTTACCCACTCGTATAAGCAATTTTCCATTTTCCATTTACTTCACGGAACCACCATAGTATTCTGTCCTCTTAAGAAATGTTTGTGAAACGCCAAGGGTCAAGCACAGTGCTTGGTTCACAGAAAGGGGTTCAATATTTTTGAATGAACAAATTACTGAGCGAATGAACACAATGGGCTCTCAAACCCTCCCCTACTCCCTCTTAGGTATGCTATTATGTCCATTATGTGCTTTGGCACCTCTCCATGTCAATCATGATGTATTTCCTTTCCTTTATCCCTAGAAAGGCCCTGGTTATTCTTTCTTCCTTTAGAGATCTAGAATCTATAATTACCCTGATCTTGCTTGGAACTCCTCATTAAACAATAAAGGACACCCTTTTCCCTTGGGCCTTCCTCATGTCTCTAACATGCCTCTCCTGAAGCAGAGATTGAATCTAGTTGAACACGTTGTAAGATAAAGCTCCTGAAAGCAGTTTCTGCCTCCGGGTTATTTGAATTTCTCACCCCCATCCCTACTTAACAAGTAATTTTGTTCCAAAACATTTATCATCAGTGTCACATCAACAAATTTACACATCAATCTACCGCAGCTAACTTCGTAACAATGGGAGAAACATTCAGAATAATACTGAGCATCCTACCAAGGGTCTGAAAAATTGAATTCAAATACTCTGTGTGTAAAATGCCTAGACTCTGTCATTCCAGCACATCTATGATCTGATCTAGCAAGTATATCGTTAGACTACAAATTACCTTTTTCCTATGACGTGTAAAACTCCATTAAAAATGAATTCTTCCTAATAAAGTTTTTTATGGCGTCTAAAATTGCTGTGAATGTTACACCTTTTACAATCACCTTTTAGCCAGAAAGCCATTATTTGTAGAATCCTCCTGTATTTCAGTTATTTGTCACCTATTTAGGCTGGGCCTAATAGCAAAACTGTCCCCCGTTACTGAATTCAGAGAATTATTCGGGCACACGATTTATTTCCTATCTTGATTAGACTCCTGAGCCCGTGCCCCAGCCTCTCGCTAATCTCCCTGGACCAGACAACTCCATTAGAATCTGGCACCCACGTTTGTTCTGCCTAACACTGCAGGAAGGACAGAGACTTCAAAGCACGTGTTTGTTTTTTTGTTTTGTTTTTGGCTACCAAGAAGCCAAATTTCTGTATCCTCTACCATTCAAAACCCCAATTCAACAAATTTACACGGGGGTTTTTCCTCCACGTTAAGCAGTTAGTCGGGTACTAGAGATACACATATAAAACACAGACTCTGCCCTCAAACAACCCAATGAGCAGAAAATTCTCTTAGGCACCAAAACGCTGTAATAGATTCAAGTGTGTAGAGGAGAAGTTTGGTAGAGTGGATATGACGCTTTCTTTCTTTGTAGTACAGAAAAGATAAATCTGTAGAAAAGGGAGAAAGACAACTGGGTAGAAAATTTATTTCAAATATCTAACCCAAATCTTCAACAGATTTTCCATTTTAAATATTCCAAAAAGTGTACCATTGTATATTATACTAAATGCAGGTTCATTTATCACTTAAAAATTTTTAAGCTAAAAAATCTCAAACAATTAACATTTGGGAAGAAAAACAGGACTGATACACAAAGTAGTCAAAATATTTCAGCTTTCTAAACTGTATGCACTGGACTAACTGTTCAATATTAGAATATCTCTACATTTGAATTTGGATAGCCCACAGTGATAAATACTGGACTGAAAAATCTGACATCGAACATATGCAAAACTAATGGCTACTATGAAAAAAGATAGAATGGGGAGAGAAAACTTGAATGTGCCAAAACATTTAAACGCTCTTTAAAATATCCTGAGATGCTAAATTAAGGACAAAACGATTAGAGTTCCAAGAATACAAATTTTCATCTCTTTCAAGATTCAACTGAATATTGAATCTCATTGAGATTATGAAATATTCTCTAAGCATGTGCTTAACTTCTATTTGGCTTTCCGCATTTCACCACAGTGAACAGCCCATTCTTTTTCCTTGTTTACACCAAATGCTCGTTTTGAACACAACTCAAAATGGAATTCCAGGCCCAAAAGTCACCACCCCTACTTTCACCCCCACAGGCAGCTACTTAACAGATAAGGAATTCAAGTGCAGGACCTGAAGGTCTTATTTCCATGCAAATTTCACAATCCCCGTTACTTGCCCAGATACAACAATTAAAGCTTAAAAGGTGGCGGGAGTGGGGGACTTGAGGACTGGTCTGAGGAGAAAGTGAATCTCCCAAGGGTTCCTAAATGGTTTTGCTTCCAGTATAAAAACTGCGAGCTACCAGTAGAATTTAACAACAGCTCAACCTTGCATTTGGAACAGTTACTATATAGTTCACTTTCTTTTTTCATGGGGGCGGGGTATGGTGTCTTACCTACTCTTAAATTTGAACGTATTAACAGGTTCCCCTCCGCGCACACTGACATATTTCTTATCCCCCATAATGAATTCAGCCATATGGCATTCTTTCCCATCGAAGGCCATCGGGAATGGCTTTAGGAAGCTGATTTTCAAGCTTTAAGCGGCAGCAGGTGCCGGCAGCGCGGGGACCGATCGATGGAGAGAAGGCGGGCAAGACGCCGGGAAGCGCATTCCTCCTCAACCGAGTGCCACAACCGCCCTCCCGAAGTGCCCCGGGGCTTCGAGCATCACCTCGCGGTAATCCGGGAGGGTGGAGGGATGCGGCTGGACCCGGGCGTTGCGTGCTCCACACAGCGCCCAGCCCGTGCCAGCCCCGCGCCCACCTCTCCACGACGCTCGTGCCGGGATCAGCGCGAAGCCCCTTCCAGTCCCCGAAGCCCTCGCCCGCGCCCGTTCTCCCCCAGCTCGCCCCCTCCAGCCCGCTGCGCCTTGCCGCAGCATCTCCGGGCACTCTGAGGCTGCCGCCGGGACAGGGTCGGAGCGCCGCAGAACCCACCGAAACTTCCCAGGGGGGCAATTCAAAATTCGCCGGACGCGTCGCCGCCGCGCGCCCCTCGGCTCATTCCCTTCCGCGCGCCCGCAGCCCCAGGCTCTCCCTCTCTCAGGACCCCCCAGCGCCCTGCGCGGCGAGAATAGGCCCCCAGGTGCCTCCCGGCCCCGGGGGCTGCCGTCGCACGTCCGCTCCCGCAGGGGTCCTCACTCCGCCAATCGCCGCGGCCGCGCGCCCTCGCGCACACTCACCAGCCCGAGCCGGGGCGGCCATCTTAGCGCTCACCCCGGCCCCCCGCCCCCCGGTTCGGCGGCCGCGACGACCCGGTGCGGCGGCTACGACAGCCGTGACGCGCAGCAGGCCCCGCCCCCTCCCACAGCCCCACCCCTGCGCCGGCTCTTCGCGGGCACCGAGAACCTGCCGGTGGCCGCCTTCCGCGCCTCGTGGGGGGGTCGGGGCCACGGACGGTCCCCGGCGCCGCAAGTGGGTCTGCGCGAACAACAAGCACTGCCTCCCCGGGCGGGCTTCGCACCTGTAGTGCCGTCGGGACACGGGAGGGTAAACCCAGCGTGTCCTGTGTGCCTGTGAGCCGCAGAATCATCCACGGACGTCGTTAGTCCTTCCTGGAATTTCTGCGATTTACACAACGTCGAATTGTTTGGCAGAAACGCGTGGCAAACTCCGTTATCTTTAAAACCTTCCCCAATTCACTGGCATAGAAATTCTTAAAGAAAACGTTTCCTTCTTGAAGCGACCCCTGGGTGTAACTTCAGTGGCGATGACGGCTGTGAATTGGGTTTTTTCGCACCGCAGAAGGGCGAGAGAGGTTCCAGAACGGGCACAGGAAGGGAACCGCTATCTAGAACTGCCTAACCCGAAATTGCCCATTTAAATAATGAAGTACATACCGAAAAGGAAAAGGAGGGGAAATCTGGAAAACAGGAAAGTCAAGGCTAAGGTACCTGAAAATTAACCCATTAATATTTATTGGATTCTTTGTGTTCAACTCTGAGCCAGATTGTTGTTTTTAACTGAACCTATACTCAATGACAAAGCAGTTCTACTTTGGCCACCCTGTGGAGTGTACTGAAAATTTAAAAACTCTCCAAGGAGAGCTTAAAAAGAAGACAAACATGCAAAGTTAACAATACATCAATGCAGTGCAAAATCTTGCAATATGTAAGACAAGGTATAAAATTGTTCCTATCTTTTCATCATCAGTTTTATTCTGGGGAGTATGTTTCAGTGGTATGACCTGAATAAAGAAATGAGTGCACAAAGGTATTCACAGCATATTATCCAAACACCGTAAAAGGCAAGAAGGAGCGGCACAGGATTCTAACTAACAGGAAATGGCTAATTAAGGTCTGACATAGAGGCCGGGCGCAGTGGCTCACGCCTGTAATCACAGCACTTTGGGAGGCCAAGGCGGGTGGATCACCTGAGGTCAGGAGTTCGAGAGCAGCCTGGCCAACATAGTGAAACCCTGTCTCTACTAAAAATACAAAAATTATCCGGGCCTGGTGGCGGGCACCTGTAATCCCAGCTACTCGGTAGGCTGAGACAGGACAATCGCTTGAACCCAGGAGGCGGAGGTTGTGGTGAGCCTAGATCCACAATTGCACTCAAGCCTGGGCAGCAACAAGAGCGAAACTCCGTCTCAGAAAAAAAAAAAAAAAAAAAAAATCTGATATAACACAGGAAGTTCTTATGTTAACAAAATAGATACAAAATAGCAACAATGTCTAATCAATTCATGTTTGAAAAAAATACCAAATATGTACATTAAGGTTACAACTGCATAAAATGTAGTCATGCAAATAAAGATTAAAGGGATGAATTTGCATAGTTTAATACTCATTTTGTTCTTTTTTCTATATATTTAAGTGCATAATAATTCTGATTCAATAATGACCCCAGTGCACTTCTCCCACTCAAAACATCTAACCTCTATGTTGTACTTTTGCCCACCACCTGAATTTCTCAAATGCATTAAAAGCATTACATGAGGGCATCTCTTAAGATGAAATATTTAAAATTTAAGTATTTCTGGCATGCAATATGGTTTTTCCTGTAATTCCTTGAAAGCAAAATATTAATAATAGAAAAATCAAAACTCTTGCTTTCCTATTATAATGCCATAAAACCATTCTGGAAGGTCGTTTGGGAGATAGGAAGAGTCTTAGTTGCCTCCCTCTGATCTAGTAATTGGGCGGGGTCTTTTAAGGACTAAAATGATGTGAATAAATGAAGAGAAAAAGTGAAATGGGAAGAAAAGCAAAGGCAAGCTGTGTAAGGCATAGGTGGAGAGTGCTGAATAGTGTCTTCAATAAAATGCCTTAATACAATGATGTAAGCTAGGAAGAGGTGCGGAGTGGGAAGGGAAGAGGCTGGAGACAAATTCTCATTACTAGTGTTAGTAATTAAAGAGCAGATGTTTGTAGTTTAGCTTTTTCTTCATACTTATTACTACTTATTCAACTTTGAAATTTCCTCAGCTACCATTTTATTCATGATCTTCACTATCTAGGCCTAAATTATAGCATGCTCTAGCTCATTTCCTGAGCTCCAGAACCTCTCTATTGCAATTTTATTTTTACATAGCAATCATAGTCATTCTTCTCCTTAAATTTTCCTATTTGTTTTTTAACCCGTCTCATCGAATCTAAGCTTTTTACTGTAACATTAAAAAAAAGAAAAGAAAAAAGCCTCCTTCCCTGCCCACCTTCATCAATGATGTCCCCAAACTTACCTATTAAAACCTCAAAATCAGTCTTTCCCCAGGTCGGCCTTTGGATAACTCAGAGGTCAGTCCCTGCAGGATCGCCCAGTTTCCATCAGGGCAAATGCTGATCTCCTAAGTGAAAAGTCCTGGCGGCTGCCTCCAGTGCCCCCCTGCAAATCATTACAAATCAACCTCTTTCAGGTTTGGCTTAAACTCTCACCTCCTGGAAACTGCTTTCCTGAAGTCACAAACCGGGCGTGCAGATCCCCATCCCCCACCCCCAGCAGTGCATTATTATGCAGTCACTGCTTTTGTTCCGAGTTCTGAGCCTGCTTCTATTTGCATCGTAACCTCTTTGGGGGCCGGGACTGTGCACTTGCTCCCTTTCTATACCTCTCCACAGTTCCTAGTACCGGCCAAAAACACTGCTGAAATGCCTAATGAATCAACCAGAAGTTCCTTAGCATAATATAGGAGCGTGGAAGTGATGTTTAGGGGGGCTTCCCTTGCTTCCCTGATCCCCAGATGGAGAGAAATGGCAATTTGCCCTTCCAAGGTAAGCAGTTTCCTAAACCAGATAAAATTTTAACGATTCTGAAACCTAATGGATGTGTAACTACTCAATTCTGAGTTACTACACAAACAGTTTTGCCCTTTGTATCCTGAGAGAAAAGTACGAATGAATTAAAAGAAGACAAAACATTGTAAATTTCATAAACCTCAGAGTGGCTTTTTATGCTTTATGTCGATTTTTAGAATTTCCTAGTCCAGTCTTTCATGAATCGAAGAATATTTCAGGAATCATAATTGCAGACTAAAGAATTTATGAGCTTGTGAAATTTTAGGAATCACTTTTAAGACTTTTCAGAGTTTTACAGACAATGCTCTTACCTAATAACTAATATTCGCTTAACATTTTTTTCAACACCTAAATGCCTGGCACCATGCTAAGCATTGAGATATTCATAGCATTCATTTCAATGGTTATGAGGAGATGAAGGATTGAGCAGAGGAAGTGGGTAAAGAAACGCTAAATAACTCAGCCATAAACTTTTGATTAAGGTGTAGCAACACACTTCAGTTGAACTTTTTAAATGAGAGGAACCCAAACGACCTTAAATTTCTGGCAAATATGAAAGAAAGGAGTTGAGAAAAAAGGAGTATGGAAAAAAGAGCAGCAGATGTAAGCTATGGCCTTAGTGGAGGAAAGTGAGTAGAAGGGGCTTTAGAATTCGCCTTTTTTCTTTAATTCTAAGAATGAGGTTGGTAGCAGGTAAGGAAGGTAAATGCCAGCTGAGTAGATGGTACCAAAGTTGATTTGTTTTTAAAAGACCATTGTTTATTTGGTGGTCTGTCAGGGAAACTTGTACCTTGCAGGTGAATTTCCAACATAGGCCTACTGGAAACTGAAACCCTGAGCCCCAGGGTTTAGGTATAAATGGAAGCAAAATTGTGAAGTGAGTCCATTTCTCCCCCTTTTTAAACATAAACATCCACTCCACCTCCACCCTATACTCAGTTTTTCTTTTCTTTTCTTTTCTTTTTTTTTTTTTTTTTGAGACAGAGTCTCGCTCTGTCACCCAGGTTGGAGTGCCGTGGCGTGATCTCGGCTCACTGCAACCTCCGCCTCCCGGGTTCAAGCAGTTCCCCTGCCTCAGCCTCCTGAGTACCTGGGATTACAGGTATGCACCACCACGCCTGGTTAATTTTTGTATTTTTAGTAGAGACGGGGTTTCACCATGTTGGTCAGGCTGGTCTCCAACTCCTGACCTCGTGATCTGCCCGCCTCGGCCTCCCCAGGTGCTGGGATTACAGGCGTGAGCCACCACGCCTGGCCCACTCTATACTCACTTTTACAGGGATCCTCAGGATGCTGTGTCCAGGGCTTTACTGCAGTCTGTCTCTCTTCCTTCCCATCAAAACTCTTCCCATTTTGTTCAGGACAGGTACACCAACCTTTCATTCTCTCTTTTTATTTATTTTTAAAATGGAGACAGGGTTTTGTCACCAGGCTGGAGTGCAGTAGCGTGATCATGGCTCACTGCAGCCTTGACCTCTCAGGCTCAAGCAATCTTCCCACCTCAGCTTCCTGTGTAACTGGGACCACAGGCATGCGACACAACTTCTGCTAATTGATTTTTTGTAGAGATGTGGGGGTGGAGGGGGGTTCTCCCTATGCTACCCAGGCTGGTCTCAAACTCCTGGCCTCAAGCAATCCTTGTGCCCCGGCCTCCCAAAGTGCTGGGGTTACGAGCATGAGCCACCATGCCTGGCCCCAACCTGTCATTATCTAAGGAGCTCAGTTATGAAGTAAAGTTATCTACTTTGTATTATTAGTGTTTAGTATTTTTTTTTCCATTTCTCTCTCAGACTGTTCTACCTCCTGTAGACACCCAGAGTTTGGAATTTCTAAAATGACATTTTAAACATTGTGACAGATCAGTGGGATAGATATTTTGCTAAGCCAAGGTACTTCCTTTCCAAGGATAAGCTATGGGAGGTGATGACAGCAGAATACACACACACACACACACACACAATACACGCAGACACACATATATATACTCATATGCACATATATAATTAGAACTCATTTAGCTATAATAACAATTTGTCCATCTAGTTATTTGCAATCCTTTCAGGATTTTTAAAATTTCTATCTCATTTGTAGAGTTTGGAAAATAGTATCTGTCCTATCTTCTTCACAATAATGTTTTAAGGACCAAATGAGGTTTTGTCCATGGAACCTGCCTAAACTGTAAGGAGAAAAGTCAGTGTGTTTATCATTATTTCTCTCTTAGGTTTACTATTACCCTGTAAAGTTCTTTGAAGTCAGAAACAGACTTTTGTTCATATTTACAACCCCTATAGCAATTAATACAGAACCTCACTCAGGATAGATAAGCAGTATTCCCTTAAATCAAGTTTTACTTCTGTACTAAAGTAATAGTCAATTCAAGGACAAGTGCTATAAAGGTTAAAATTAATTCTATTACTCTGAGAAACATGGCAATACTATTTTAGTCTTCCTCTCTCATAGTAGGGAGGGAAAGGATCTGGAAAGGCAGAGGGAGAGAGGGGGAGAAAAGAAAAGGCACTACAGGTGGAAATTTCAACTCTTAAAGTTTTAGTAAACCATGCCAAAAAGATACTAGTAACTTTTCATGAGGAAGAGATTATTGGGGTACCCAAGTTTTGTTTTTATACTCTATACATGTTTTTAAACCCATTTCTTTTTTTTAAAAAAAAATAATAGAATGAGGAAAGTGTAGATGGATAACTGTAGCTATTTGTATAATTATTTACATCTTGCCAAACCATTTGGAAATTGAAATCCTGCAGTGTCGCTCCTGGGTTGTAAAAGATAAGAAAAGTAAATAGAAGGCCCCCTTAATACAACGTGATATTGCATCATTTAAAAGAAACCACAAACTGTCTATTCAGGATGTATGCATACAATAAAAAGAGCTAACAATTCTTCATGTGTAAGAGCTAGGATGATCAACCTGCTTTTCTCTGCCATCTTAAGGTTGCTTCTTTTTAGGCCAAGGTACCTCGTGGTAGCAATCATTGATTTAGTCATCTGTAAATAGTGTTTGTAAGCCTCTTTTCCTTAGCTAACCAGTGATTAACTCCTAGAAAAACCACATTTTTTTTCCTGCCACCCAGGAGTGCAGTGGCGTGATCTCAGCTCACTGCAGCCTTGACCTACCAGGCTCAAGCAATCCTCACACCTGTGCCTCCCAAGTAGCTGGGACTACAGGCACATGCCACTACACCCAGCTAATTTTTGTATTTTTTGTAGAGATGGGGTTTCACTATGTTGTCCAGGCTGGTCTTGGACTCTTGAGCTCAAATGATCCACCCACCTGGACTTCCCAAAGTGCTGGGATTACAGGTGTGAGCCACTGCACCCAGCCTTGAAAACCACATTTCTGAGGGAAACTCTTTGGGGGAAGGGAGGTTGTGTGTAAGTTAGATAGTCCCTATCTATTTCATTTTATTTTTGGTTTTGAAATTAGTGTTTAAAGAATTAAGCATAATGAATACTTGATATTAATTTCTTGGATGTTTTTTGAGATGGAGTCTCACTCTTGTCACCCAGGCTGGAGTGCAATGACACAATCTCGGCTCACTGCAACCTTCGCCTCCTGGGTTCACGTGATTCTCCTGCCTCAGCCTCCTGAGTAGCTGAGATTACAGGCACCTGCCACCACACCCGGCTAATTTTTTTATTTTTAGTAGAGACGGGGTTTCACCATGTTGGCCAGACTGGTCGCAAACTCCTGACCTCAGGTGATTCACCCGCCTCGGCCTCCCAAAGTGCTGGAATTATAGGTGTGAGCCACTGTGTCTGGTCCTTGGATTTTTTTAAATGTCCTAAATATGCGGCTCCTAATCTTTAGAAAAATAATGAAGGATGAGCCAAGCATTGTAGGGGGGGGAAAAAAAGCTTGAAATATGACATGTAATGGGATGTTTTTCACAAGTATAAAGTTTTATTTTGTCTGTTTGGATGAAAACTCCAAAATGCCACAGGAATGATCACAGAAGGAAATTTATATAAATTTACCATTAAATGCCTATGAAATAATCTCTTCTTAAAAATCAATGGTAGTAATAAAGGATG
Source organism: Homo sapiens (assembly GCF_000001405.40). Classification (NCBI taxonomy): domain Eukaryota; kingdom Metazoa; phylum Chordata; class Mammalia; order Primates; family Hominidae; genus Homo; species Homo sapiens. The sequence goes on from NC_000012.12 coordinate 95,555,875, forward strand.
ACTTAAACATTTATTTGCTTATGCCCATAACATTGTATTAAATTTAAGATAAAAGAGCCGGGTGCAGTGGCTCACGCCTGTAATCCCAGCACTTTGGGAGGCTGAGGAAGGTGGATCACCTGAGGTCAGGAGTTCCAGACAAGCCTGGCCAACCTGGCGAAACACCGTCTCTACTAAAAATACAAAAATTAGCTGGGTGTGGTGGTGGGTGCTTGTAATCCCAGCTACTCGGAAGGCTGAGACAGGAAAATCACTTGAACCTGGGAGGCAGAGGTTGCAGTGAGCCGAGATCATGCTACTGTACTCCAGCCTGGGCGACAAGAGCAAAACTCTGTCTCAAAAAAAAAAAAAATTTTTTTAAGACAAAAATGTGGTCTTATCATTAGTCACAAAATTAAACTGTGTAAGACAATTATAATTCTGACTAGCCTCATAGTGAATAATTTTCCCCTTATTGTTTTGTTAAATATCAGTCTACAGGTAATTAAGACTAGACTTATTCCTACAAGAGAACCTACGCAGTAGGCCTTTGTTGTGTTGGTGTGATGGGATGCTAGGAGAGACCAAATGTCCCTGGCCCAGTTTTTGGGGTCAAAAATGCCCATATTACTAAACTACTTAAGGTCCTAGGGTAAAATGAAAATCTGGGAGGAGATAATTTGGTAAATCCTTATTAGTGCTAATACCTTAGTACAAATTAATGAGTTAGGTAAGTTTGTCATGTCCTGAAGAAAGTTGGAAGCATGTTGTTACATTGTGATTGGGAGGGAGAGGGAAGGGTGAGAAAGGTGTATGGGTAGTAGGCTGCCTGTGGGAGGCCAGATCAAGATTGGGGCACTCACTGCGTCTTTGGGGAAATACAAAGAGGGATCTCAGTGAGATGCAAAACTTTTAATCTAGGACTACCTATAATCAAGAAGTTAAACATTTTATTTTATTTTTATTTTTTGAGACAGTCTCACTCTGTCGCCTAGGCTGGAGTGCAATGGTGTGATCTCGGCTCACTGCAACCTCCACCTCCTGGGTTCAAGCGATTCTTCTGCCTCAGCTTCCCGAGTAGCTGGGACTACAGGTGCACCCCAACATGCCCAGCTAATTTTTGTATTTGTTTGTTTGTTTGTTTTGAGACGGAGTCTTGTTCTGTCACCCATGCTGGAGTACAGTGGTGCGATCTCGGCTCACTGCAACCTCTACCTCCCAGGTTCAAGCGATTCTCGTGCGTCAGCCTCCTGAGTAGCTGGGATTACAGGTGCCTGCCACCACACCCAGCTAATTTCTGTATTTTTAGTAGAGATAGGGTTTCACCATGTTGGCCAGGCTGGTCTGGAACTCCTGACCTCAGGTGATCCACCCACCTTGGCCTCCCAAAGTGCTGAGATTACAGTAATTTTTGTATTTTTAGTAGAGATGAGGTTTTGCCACGTTGGCCAGGCTGCTCTCGAACTCCTGGCCTCAAGTGATCCACCCGCCTTGAAGTTAAACATTTTAAATATCTACTGAAAACCTAACAACCTAACAGTTCTCTGGGAAGAATGACTCTGTGATCAATTCTGTGCTTAGGGAAAAGATCAGCCTCCTTTGAAAGTTATCTGAGGTGTTTTATGCATTTATACATGTCAAAATATATGTTCCTTCATAGAGCCAACCCTAGGAAAAGTTATACGAACCTGTCGGTCACCTTGTTCTCCAGACTCTTTTTTTTTTAACCCTTCTCTTCGGCAAAACCAACCATTTGAATTTTCGTTCTGTGCCAAGCAGATAATTGATTTTAGTTTTTTAGAGACAGGGTCTTACTCTGTCACCCAGGCTAGAGTGCTGTGGCATGATCATAGCTCACTGCAGCCTTGAATTCCCAGGCTCAAGTGATCCTCCCCTCTCAGCCTCCTGAGTAGCTGGGACTACAGGTATGTGACACCACACTCGGCTACAGGCAGGTGATTTAAATGAGTGAATCAGTCTGGGTGTGACTGTGTATACATTGTTAAGTAGTAATGCCCTGAAAAAGCTCATGTAAATGAATTCATTGATATCAAACTTACTACTTGTCAAATATTTGCTCAAATTTTTTTTTTCCATCACTCTATGGGTCAAACAAAACACATCTGTGGGATGGATTTTGTGCATTCATCCCTGGCTTGTGAACTGTGGATTAAAGGACCAAAGAGCCACAGCTTCTGCCTTGGGAACAGTGGGAAAGACACAGTAATTTTAGCACAGTGCGGAAAATGTTATGAGAGTGATATGTGTGTTTAAATTCTATGATCCATCATTACAATGACTCTCACACATACATCAACTCCCTTGTGCCTTTCTCTTGACAAACATCTATACTCTTTAAATTCAACTCTCCCACCTGCTCTACAGCTCCATCCAAGCAGGCTGATGAGGCTAGAAAAAAACAACCATGATGTGATGACTGACCCCACTTTACGTGAACCCATCATGCTGCCTGGAAATCTTCCTGTATACCTCTAGTTTATGTATTCTTCCATTTTCTTAGATGACTATTTCATACTTTCAAGTCGTTCACCAACATTTTAACAGTTTTTCTCTCAGCCTCACGCTCAGGTGATAGCCTTTCTTCATTTTGAAAATTGAAGCAAGAGGGTGTTTATCCCCATATATACTCACTACTTGCTTCTCTGCCCTTCTACTTAGCCTTCCATCCTGCTGTTACTATGCATTAACTGTCCATGCTACTTTTTTTTTTTTTTTTTTTTTTTTTGGTTTGAGACATCCAGGCTGGAGTACAGTGGTGCAATCTCAGCTCACTGCAACCTCCATCTTCAGGGCTCAAGTGATCCTCCCATCTCAGCACCCCAAGTAGCTGGGACCACAGGTACATGTCACCAAACCTGGCTAATTTTTGTTTGTTTGTTTGTTTGTTTTTTGAGACAGAGTCTTGCTCTGTCGCCCAGGCCGGAGTGCAGTGGCGCAATCTTGGCTCACCGGAACCTCTGCCTCCCGGGTTCCAGCAATTCTTCTGCCTCAGCCTCCCAAGTAGCTGGGATTACAAGTGCCCACCAGCATGCCTGGCTAATTTTTGTAGTTTTAGTAGAGACAGAGTTTCACTGTGTTGGCCAGACTGGTCCTAAACTCCTGACCTCAGATGATCTGCCTGCCTCGGCCTCTCAAAGTGCTAGGATTACAGGCCACCACTTCCAGTTATGCTTCTTTTTAAGGCCAGTTCTCCCATTTTTGCTAGATCACACATTTTTAAACTTATTCAAAGATGTTATTTCAGCAATTTCCTTTTTTCTTCTGTATTATCAAATATTCCCTCTCTATTGACTCATTACCAACAGCAAACAAATGTTACACACACACACACACCCCTCTCTTGACCTATCTCTTCCAATTAATTAATTATTATTATTATTTTATGAGATGGAGTCTCACTCTTTCACCCACACTGGAGTGCAGTGGCGCAATCTCAGTTCACTGCAACCTCCGTCTCCCATGTTCAAGCAATTCTCCTGCCTCAGCCTCCCAAGTAGCTGGGACTACAGGTATGTTCAACCATGCCCAGCTAATTTTTGTATTTTTTAGTAGAGATGGGGTTTTACCATATTGGACAGGCTGGTCTCGAACTCCTGACCTCGTGATCTGCCCGCCTCAGCCTCCCAAAGTGCTGGGATTACAGGTGTGAGCCACCGTGCCTGGTCCCCTTTTAATTAATTTCTACATTCTCTGCTTCCCTCTCCTCCCATTCTCTCTTGAACCCTCTCTCATCATCAAAATGCCATCAAAACTACTTTGTGGAGGTCAGTAATGACCTCCACATTATAAATCCACAATGTGACAAATGTTTTGACACATCATTAACCCCTCTTGGAAATACTTTCTTCCCTTGGTTTCCAGCATACCACGCTCCTCTGATTTCCTCCTTCCTCTTCTTCTGGGGTCTCCTTGTCTAGGTTCCTCAAATCCTAGCCACTGCAAAATTGCTCCTGGATGTAAGAATGTCTAAATGTCATAACAAAGTTTGTTGTTTATTAGATGTTCTGACATTTAGACATTCTTACAGTGTTTAGTTATTAATTTTTTTTCTCTTCACTCTCTCTGCTCACAGTGATCAATGAGATCACTGATGACTTCTTCCAGTCTTAGGGTCTTAAATATCATCTATACATCGATCACTCGAACACTTATATTTTCAGCCTGGACATCTCCCAGGAACTCCAGATTCATCTATTCAAAACTTGCTCTACAATTCCACTTGGATATCTAACAAGTACTTCACACTTCACATAACCCACTTAATATTATGAGCTGAATTTTGTCCCCTCAAAATTCATACGTAAAGGCCAAACTCCCAGTACTTCAGGATGCGAGATTTAGAAATATTTGGAGAAAAGGTCTTTTAAAACGGTGATTAAGTTAAAATGAGGCCCTTAGGGTGGACCCTCATCCAGTCTGACTGGTGTCCTTCTAAGAGGAGGAAGTTTGGACACACAAAAAGGAGATACCAGGGGCTTTTGAGCACAGAGGAAGAAAGGCCACGTGAGGACACAGTGAGAAGGTGGCTGTGTGAAAGCCAAGGAGAGAGGCTCCAGAAGAAACCAAACTTGCTGATACCTCCTTGGATTTCCAGCCTCCAGAACTATGAGAAAATAAATTTCTGTTTTTTTTTTTTTTTTTTTTTTTTTTGAGACGGAGTCTCACTCTGTCGCCCAAGCTGGATGGAGTGCAGTGGCACGATCTCGGCTCACTGCAAGCTCTGCCTCCCAGTTTCATGCCATTCTCCTGCCTCAGCCTCCCGAGTAGCTGGGACTACAGGCGCCCACCACCATGCCTGGCTAATGTTTTTGTATTTTTAGTAGAGACGGGGTTTCACTGTTGTTAGCCAGGATGGTCTCAATCTCCTGACCTTGTGATCCACCCGCCTCGGCCTCCTAAAGTGCTGGAATTACAGGCATGAGCCACTGCGCCCGGCCAATTTCTATTGTTTATGCAAACCAGTCTGTGGGACTTTGTTATGGTAGCTCTATGAAACTATTACCTATATGTAACAAAAAGATATTGGTATTTCCACCCAAATTTGTTCCTCCTAGAGTCTTCCCCATTTCAGTAAATGGCACCTCCACCCTCAGGCCAAAATCCCAGCTTTTCCTTTTCACACACTTTATATTCAACTGGTCAGCAAATCCTGTTAGCTTTACTTTCAGAATACATCCAAAACTCAATTACTTCTCATCACTTCCATCTTGGTCCAAGGCACCGTACCTCTTATGTGGATTACTGTGATAACTTAAGAAGTTATAGTGTAGCAGGACAAGCCACAGGCAAAACCCCTCAGACACCGAGTTAAAGAAGGAAGGGCTTTATTCAGCTGGGAGCTTTGGCAAGACTCACATCTCCAACAACTGAGCTCCCCAAGGGAGCAATTCCTGTTCCTTTTAAGGGTTCACAACACTAAGGGGGTCCGCATGAGAGGGTCTTGATCATTGAGCAAGCAGGGGGTACGTGACTGGGGGCTGCATGCACTGGTAATCAGATCGGAATAGAACAGGACAGGGATTTTCACAGTGCGTTTCTATACAATGTCTGGAATCTATAGATAACATAACTGATTAGGTCAGGTTTCGATCTCTAACTACCAGGCCCAGGGCGTGGCGCCGGGCTGTCTGCCTGTGGATTTCATTTCTGCCTTTTAGTTTTTATTTCTTCCTTCTTTGGAGGCAGAAATTGGGCATAAGACAATATGAGGGGTGGTCTCCTCCCTTAATATTAGTAGTAGTAGTAGTAGTAGTAGCAGCAGCAGTACCTCAGCCCTCCCAAGTAGCTGGGACTATAGGTGCATGCCACTGTGCCTGGCTAATTTTTTTTTTTTTTGGCAGGAAGTTATCACAGTAATCCAGATACGAGGTATGGTGATGTTCCATGATCATCAGAGGTACTGTGATGTTCTCCCTCTCTTGGCCTTAGACACCATCTATCAACATTCTGTTTTCAACACAGTAGGCATTTTCATGTCACTCCTCCCCTTGAAATCCTCCAAAGGCTTTTTGTCTCAAAGCCTTTACAGTGGCCTACAAGGGCTCACATGACTTGGCACTGCTGTATTTCCTATTTCATTTTTTTCCCTTTTTTTTTTTTGTTTTGTTTAAGAGACAGGATCTTACTCTGTCACCTAGGCTGGAGTGCAGTGGCACGATCATAGCTCACTCTAGCCTTGAGCTCCTGGGCTCAAATGATCCTTCTACCTCAGCCTTCTAAGTAGCTGGGAATACAAGCGTGCACCACCATACTCAGCTAAATGTTAAATTTTTTGTAGAGTTGGGATCTCCCAAAGTTGTTCAAGCTGGTCCTAAACTCCTAGCCTCAAACGATCCTCCCACTTCAGCCTCCTGAAGTGCTGAGATCACAGGCATGAGCCACTGTGCCCAGCCACAAGTATTTGTTGAGTACATTCTATTTGCCTCGTAATTTTTATTTTTTTTTTGTTTTTGAGACGGAGTCTCGCTCTTGTTGCCCAGGCTGGAGTGCAATGGCACGATCTCCACTCACCCCAACTTCTGCCTCCTGGGTTCAAGCAATTCTCCTGCCTCAGCCTCCCAAGTAGCTAGGATTACAGGCATGTACCACCAAGCCCGGCTAATTTTGTATTTTTAGTAGAGATGGGGTCTCTCCATATTGGTCAAGCTAGTCTCAAACTCCTGACCTCAGGTGATCTGCCCACCTTGGCTTCCCAAAGTGCTGGGATTACAGGTGTGATCCTGTAAAAAATTACTGGGCCAGCCAGTAATTTTTTTTTTTTTTTTTTTTTTTTAAGAGATAGAGCCTCACTCTTTTGCCCATGCTGGATTGCAGTGGTATGATCATATCTCACTGTAACCTCAACCTCCTGGGCTCAAGCAATCTTCCCTCCTCAGCCTCCCAAGTAGCTGGGACTACAGGCGTGCACCTGTAGACCACAGTTGTAGAACTGGCTAACTTTTAAATTTTTTGTAGAGATAGGTTCTTGGTCTCACTGTGTTACCCAGGTAGATCTCAAACTCCTGGCCTCAGACAGTCCTTTAGCCTCAGCCTCCCAAAGGACTAGGATTACAGGAATGAGCCACTGTGCCCCACCTTGCCTAGTAATTTACCAGACACTGTAGAAAGAGGATTAAGGCTCTCTCTTTCGGTTGCTTACAGTCCAGCACACTCAGAATCTCTGTTTCTCAATAGATCTGCCGTAAACGTATCAGTGACTATTTATTTAGGCATGTAATTTTTTTAAAAGCCTGAATTAAATATTTTCTAAACGTTTCTACAGAGGCTCTCTTGTCTTCCCATGAACCCTGAAAGATAGGAAAAAAGTAATGTATGCATATTTGAATCTCAATTACTAATTTCTCTTACTTTTTTCTTCCAATACCAATTACTTTTCCCACATACCTGAATATATCTTGGTGAAAGATACTTGAATTCATTTATACATACAGATTTGCTTTAGGGGTATCTCCCCCAAATCCATAGTTGGCAAGCCCTATAATAGTGGTAGCATGATAGCTGCAGATCTACTTCCGCTTTTCTTTCTTTTTCTTTTTTTTTTTTTCTTTGAGACAGGATCTCTGTTGCCTAGGCCAGAGTGCAGTGGTGTGATCATGGCTCACCGTAGCCTCGATCTCCCAGGCTCAAGTAATCCTCCCACCTCAGCCTCCCAAGTAGCTGGGACTACAGGTGTATGTCACCGTGCCAGCCTAATTTTTCTTTTTTTTGTATTTTTTGTAGACTAGGTTTCACTATGTTGCCCAGGCTGGTCTTGAACTTGGGCTCAAGTGATCTGCCCACGTTGGCTTGCCAAAGTGCTGGGATTAAAGGTATAAGCTGACCGGGTGCGGTGGCTCAGGCCTGTAATCCCAGCACTTTGGGAGGCCGAGGCAGGAGCATCACGAGGTCAGGAGATCGAGACCATCCTGGCTAACACAGTGAAACCCCGTCTCTACTAAAAATACAAAAAAAAAAAAAAAGAAAAAAGAAAAAAAATTAGCCGGACGTGGTGGCGGGCGCCTGTAATCCAAGCTACTCAGGAAGCTGAGGCAGGAGAATGGCGTGAACCTGGGAGGCGGAGCTTGCAGTGAGCCGAGATTGCGCTACCGCACTCCAGCCTGGGTGACAGAGCGAGACTCCGTCTCAAAAAAAAAAAAAAAAAAAAAAAAAAAAAAGGCATAAGCCATTGCACCCAGTCCTATTTTCTTTTTTCAAGCTCAAATTTACTCCAAAAATGTACTAAAATAATAGAATCCCAAAAACAAACTGTATCTTCTTACAACAGGGTCATTCTTGGCTCTGAAGCAAACAATCATCCTTGTAAGGTTCGTTGGGTGGGGGCAGAATGGTTCAGTGGAAAGTTTTGAGGTAATCTCAAATTCTGTTATTGGGTAAAGCAAGTTTTAATAGACCAAGTTATTTAACTTCTCTGAGGCTCAGTTTTCTCAAATATGGCTTTGGTTCTACATCTGTTTAGCCAGGAGTATGGTGAAAAATTTAATGAGACAGTATGTATAAGGTACCTAGCAAATAGTGATATAAGTGTTAATAAAGGGGAAGGAATTTGTTCACCAACCTGTCTTTTGGGAGAACTTTGGTGCTCAAGTTGTAACTCTGATTTGTGCATCCTTGAATACATTTATGCTTCTCCATAGCTTGCTATCAATAAATAAGCAACTGATAAGTCAGAGTAAGATTGCCTACTTACTCCTCAAAGCCATATTCATGATTTAATTTATAGACAAGCATTTTATGGGTAAAACTACCCCCCTACTTAATTATGTAATCTAACTGCTTTTTAAGGTTCAACAGATGCATTTAGGATTACAATCCTCTACAAATTATCACTTATTTGAAAATTTGCTTATTAAAAATGTTACAGAGCCATGGTTAAATTTGAATGTGCATATTTTTCTTCAAATTATTTTTATCCTAAGTGAATTAATTCAGGAACAAAATCAAATATTGCACATTCTCACTTATAAGCGGGGGCTAAACATCAGGTACTCATTCACATAAAGATGGCAACAGTAAGGCCGCGTGCAGTGGCTCACATCTGTAAGCCCAGCACTTTGGGGGGCCAAGGCAGGTGGATCACCTGAGGTCGGGAGTTCAAGACCAGCCTGACCAATATGGTGAAACCCTGTCTCTACTAAAAATACAAAAATTAGCCGGGCTGTGGTACCACACATCTGTAATCCCAGCTACTCAGGAGGCTGAGGTGGGAGAATCGCTTGAACCCGGGAGCCGAAGGTTTCAGTGAGCCAAGATCACGCCACTGCACTCCAGCATGGGTGACAGAGGGCGACCCTGTCTCAAAAAAAAAAAAAAAAAAAAAAAGCAACAGTAGACATGGGGACTACTAGACGGGGGAGGGTGTGAGGGGGCCAAGGACTGAAAACTCAATTGTTGGTTACTGTGCTCAGTACCTGGGTGATGGGATCCTTTGTACCCTAAACCTCAGTATCACCCAATATACGCTGGTAACAAACCTGTACATGTACCCACTGAATCTAAAATAAAAGTTGAAAAAGAAAAAAGGAAAGAAAAAAAAAAGAATAGCAAAGACAAAGAAAACCTATTAATGGAAATCGTAAGTGAAAAGTTCAGAGCCATGAATGTAGGACACCAATATACAAATCATCAACAGAATAAGAATCGAAGAATGCCAAAAAAGATCTTCTGCAGGCCAAAGCATGGACATTTCTAAGCTACACAAATAAATACAAATAATAGAGTGAGGTAAAAGAGCTTCCTAATTCACATGAAGAAACTCGTGTGCATTTAATTAATTAACAACCTCCATCTCCTGCATTCAAGCAATTCTCCCTGCCTCAGCCTCCCAAGTAGCTGGGATTACAGGCATGAACCACCACGCCTGGCTAATTTAAAAGGCCAAATACAGCTACCAGAAAAGTAAATTATTTACCAATTTACTCGACAATAATGATACAAAAATTCAAAAATAAAGTATTGGCAAATTAAAAAAATATAATTTAATATATGTGTTAAAAATATAACAATATATATTTAAAAATTTCAAAGATAACTTGACATGTTGATAGATATATTACACAGGGTAGAGACTTAATACATGAATGCAGATTCACTCTATTTGATTCTGGTTGATCCCTTTGCTAAGCCTGTGGATATAGTGCAATCGGAGATGATTTACATTTTAGTCTTGAATCAATGAAGTTTTTTTACAGGCTAAAATCTATTTTCTGACGAGTGGGAATAACCTGATTTTTATGTCTTGCTGATATCTTACTGTTTTCGTCTTTTCTATCGGGGTGCTAGCTGAAGTGGGGAAAATCAGAGTTTATTGCTGGAGGAATGGAGAGAGGAAGAATGAGGGGATATTTCAAAGCAGTGGATTTGCATATTGGCTCTCCTATTTACTAGCTGTGTAACCTCACGCATGTCATTTAACCTTCATGACTCTCAATTTCTTTATCTTAATATGAAAATTATAGGCCGGTCACGGTGGCTCACGCCTGTAATCCCAGCACTTTGGGAGGCTGAGGCAGGCGGATTATTTGAGATCAGGATTTTGAGACCAGCCTGACCAATATAGCGAAACCTGGTCTCTACTAAAAATACAAAAATTAGCTGGGCTTGGTGGCACATGCTTATAATCCCAGTTACTTGGGAGGCTGGTGTGGGAGAATTGCTTGAACCCGGAGGTGGAGGTTGCAGTGAGCTGAGATGTGCCACTGCACTCCAGCCTGGGAGACTCAACTGACTCTGCAGATTCACAAAGTTGTGAGGATTCTGTGAAAGCTTTTGTAAACTATGAATGTCCCATGAATTTGAGGTATATTTTGAGGTCCAAAAGGTGAATAAATGATGTTACTACTTAATTTGCGATTTATACTTACACCAGTAAAAATCAAATGTGAATTACATATGTTGTGACGATAAAACAGACTTTTAAAAAATGTGAATTACCTTTTAAGCACTACCTGTTACTATGCATAAGACAGATATTTGACACTGCTTTAATATGGTAATGGTACTCAATATATGGAGTTGCTACTGTTACTGAATTAAGACTTATGCTGTCTTAATACATGAGATACTTTGTTGCTAAGCTTTCCCCCTTCCTCCTCTCCCCCGCCCCACACACAGACATCACCTTCAAGCAGATACCCTTCCTCTTCTCTGCGTTCTCTTCCTGTTCACTGGCCCCTTACCTTCGGCTTTCAAGCATGCATATTTATCCATATCTTGAAAGAAATTGCTTGGCCGATTGCTTCCTGTCTCAACCACATTATTCCTCTTCTTCCTTACGTCATCAGTGAGAAAACTGTATTAGCAGATTTCAGTGGTATAGCAGTAATCTAGTGGGCATACTGTGTTTCACTACAAATGCATTCTTTCTTTCTTTCTTTTTCTTTTCTTTTTTTTTTTTTTTTTTGAGACGGAGTCTTGCTCTGTCGCCCAGGCTGGAGGGCAGTGGCGCAATCTCGGCTCACTACAAGCTCCGCCTCCCGGGTTCACGCCATTCCCCTGCCTCAGCCTCCCGAGTATCTGGGACTACAGGCGCCCGCCACCACACTCAGCTGATTTTTTGTATTTTTAGTAGAGACGGGGTTTCACCATGTTAGCCAGGATGGTCTCGATCTCCTGACCTCGTGATCTGCCCACCTTGGCTTCCCAAAGTGCTGGGATTACAGGCGTAAGCCACTGCGCCCGGCCTAAATGCATTCTCTTTCAATCTCCAATCTACTTAGAGATATGGCTCGCCTCCCCCTGCCGACTTCACTTACCAGTTTGTATTAATTATCAATGGGCTCTGAAGTAATAATGACAGCAAAATATATCCTCAATAGTTTTATATATTGTCAACCACTAATGGAACATTTTTCTTGTTTATGACTTACAGCCATGGCAATAAGACGGTCTCAGTCGTATTTTTCTCAATCCTGTAACTTTCTGTAAACGAGAGCTTTAATAAAAAGTTCAGGCCCGGCGTGGTGGCACACGCCTGTAATCCCAGCACTTTGGGAGGCCGAGGCAGGCGGATCACGAGGTCAGGAGATGGAGACTATCCTGGCTAACACGGTGAAACCCCGTCTCTACTAAAAATACCAAAAAAATTAGCTGGGCGTGGTGGCGGGCGCCTGTGGTCCCAGCTACTCGGGAGGCTGAGGCAGGAGAATGCGTGAACCTGGGAGGCAGAGCTTGCAGTGAGCCGAGGTCACACCACTGCACTCAAGCCTGGGCGACAGAGCGTGACTCCGTCTCAAAAAAAACAAAAAACAAAAAAAGTTCAGAAACATACATTTCTCTCTCTCTCTCTCTCTTCTTCTTCTTCTTTTTTTTTTTATGAGACAGAATCTCACTCTGTCACCCAGGCTAGAGCGCAGTGGTGCAATCTCAGCTCACTGCAGCCTCCACCTCCTGGGTTTGACTGATTCTCCCGCCTCAGCTTTCCAAGTAGCTGGGACTGCAGGAGTGCGCCACCACATCCGGCTCTCTCTCTCTCTCTTTTTTTTTTTTTTTTTTGTATTTTTGGTAGAGACAGGGTTTCACCATGTTGGCCAGGCTGGTCTCCAACTCCTGACCTCAAGTGATCTGCCCGCCTCGGCTTCCCAAAGTGCTGGGATTACAGGCATGAGCCACCGCGCCCAGCCTTTCTCTGATATTTTAAAATCATGACTCTATAATAGTTATTGGTGAATACAAAATGTTGAAAACCTCCGGTTTATACCTGCTGCCTCCATTTTGTTTTCTTTTTCTTTTCTTTCTTTTCTGTCTTTTTTTTTTTTTTTTTTTTTTTTTTTTTGAGACGTAGTCTCGCTCGGTCACCCAGGCTGGAGTGCAGTGGCGCAATCTCGGCTCTCGGCTCACTGCAAGCTCCGCCTCCCGGGTTCACGCCATTCTCCTGCCTCAGCCTCCTGAGTAGCTGGGACTACAGGCGCCCGCCACCTTGCCTGGCTAATTTTTTGTATTTTTAGTAGAGACCAGGTTTCACCATGTTAGCCAGGATGGTCTCGATCTCCTGACCTCGTGATGCGCCGGCCTCGGCCTCCCAAAGTGCTGGGATTACAGGCGTGAGCCACCGCGCCCGGCCACTGCCTCCATTTTCTTTATGTTTGCTTCTTCCTTAGCTGCCTACACTGAGGCTTCCCCTCTTACTGCTTTGGAAATGTTCTCTTGAAACAAAGCTACCAACAATTCCTTTCTTGTCAAATTCAAAAGCCACTGATTTTACTTCACTATTTGCCAACGCTGATCGTGCTTCTTTTCTTGAAACATTCTCTTCATTTTCACTGTCAGACCATACATCATCCTGGATGCATCCGGACAGAATGAGAACTGTGGCTGCTGCTGCTCCTACTGTAATTGTTACTCCTTTTACTTAGTAGTCATCTTTCCTTCACTGCTTACTGTAATTTCCACAGCAACCCTGAGGAGATCGGTATTATTATCCCCATTTTACAGTTGAGGAAACATGCTCAAAATTTAATCAACGGGTTCAAATTCACACACCAGAACAGGATCTGCTCTGGGAAATGTTAGATTTTGCAACGGAAAAGAAGAAAAAGTTTTTTCTAACTGGATCACAGCATACTATGTTGTTTATATTTAGATTAACTAGACTTTGTTTTATTCCATTTATCTGTAGTTTTGGGAAGTACTGTACATTTGGAAAGATGTCATTTCAAGTAATTTTTCTACCCAGGCTGTCCATTTACAATTACCTGGTCACCTTTGAATCACTTTCACCAAAATCAGAGAAGGTGGCTAGATAGCAAGTTGTGATATGCCACTGATTTTTTTTTCTCCCTTTTCAAGTTAAGTGGCTCCTGTAAGAATGGCCATGCAACCTTGGATTTATTCAGAGAATGCTCTAACCACATACACTACATCAAAAAGTATAGTCTCAGAATTTGACAGATGACAATAAAAATTTCCAATTAAACTATGTATTATAAATTGTTCAATTTTTGGCAGAGTGGATCTTATTGAAGGCACCATAATGATAAGGTAGGATTTAGTTACATACTTTAATTACATACATACTTTGTTTTCTCAAGCAAATGTGTAACAATGGTGTGATCTAGCTACAAAATATTTCCTTAAGATTTTTGTTGGCATGTCAGTGCTAACAATTAGGAATTAAGTGTTTTAAATTTAATCTGAAATTAGTGGTTTAAATACAATGATAAATGGTTTTCATGGTTGTCAGCCTTCATTTAATGTTATATTAAACCTCTTGAGTATGTTATACCACTACTTTGTTATTTAACTGATGGATCTGAAAACCCATAAAGATGCAGTATTTGTCTTACAAATAGCAAATGTATAGTCTTTGATTTGATCATTTAATGTACCCTTTTTTACACAGCCATTTGGCTTTAATCCTGTAACAGGTTATTGTCACTTGTCTTTTCTTTATCTACCAAAATGCCTTCAGTCATTTCATGAATAAATCAATGGAGGGAAGAGAGAAATATGAGTTATCCCAAAGATATATTAATGGCATTATTCCAATATAAATGGAATGAGGAAAAGAAGAATTATGCATTAGTAATGATGTTTTTCATTGCAGAGCAATTTCTACCTCGCAAAGGATTTTCATACAGATCCTCTTTCTTCATACTTAGCATTATATAGCTGAGGAAATTATAGTATTAAGTGACTTGTCTGAAGCCACACAGCAAGCATCAGATCTGGAATTAGAAAGCAAGTCTTCTCATGACCAGCCATTGTTCTTTTATAGTTTACCTTATAGATGGCATGAAAGTGACTTTTTTGTGGAATAGTTATTACAACTTCTCACCCCCCAATGTATCTACTTGTGAAAATAATGGGTTTTTTGTTTTGTTTTGTTTTGTTTTGTTTTGTTTTTTGAGACGAGTCTCGCTCTGTCGCCCAGGCTGGAGTGCAGTGGCGCGATCTCGGCTCACTGCAATCTCTGCCTCCCGGGTTCAAGCAATTCTCCTGCCTCAGCCTCCTGAGTAGCTGGGATTACAGGCGCCCACCACCACGCCCAGCTAATTTTTGTATTTTTAGTAGAGACGGGGTTTCACCATGTTGGTCAGGCTGGTCTCGAACCCCTGACCTCATGATCCGCCCGCCTCGGCCTCCCAAAGTGCTGGGATTACAGGCATGAGCTACCACACCCGGCCTGACTTACATGTTAAGGTGTCCAAATTGATTGAGATGTTCTTCTATCATAATTTATAGAATCTCTTCTACCATAATTTACTTCTTAACTGATGACCTTGGAGAATGAGCAGAATAACAGATGAGAAAGGGCTCAGGGAGAAAGAGAAATGTATATGCTCTCACTGGGCATGGTAGCTCATGCTTGTAGTCTCAGCACTTTGGAGGCCCAGGCAAGAGGATTGCTTGAGTTTAGAAGTTTGAGACCAGCCTGGGCAACATAGCAAGACCTCGTCTCTACTAAACATAAAAAAAAAAAAAAAAAAAAAAAAAAAAAAAAAAAAAAAAAAAAAAAAAAAAAAAGCTGAACATGGTGGCACGCCTGTAGTCCCAGCTACTTGAGAGGTTGAGATGGGAGGATCGCTTGAGCCTGGGAGATCAAGGCTGCAGTGAGCTAAGATTGCACCATTGCACTCCAGCTGGGTGGCAGAGTGAGACCCTATCTCTAAAAAAAAAATGTAAAAAAGAGACCGAGATGTATGTGTTCTCTACACTACTCATTATAAGGATGCAGGTGGGGATCAACTGGTTTATAAACAAGGTTTTACTTCCTCTTCCTGATCTGAACTGTATCATCATTTCCTCTATCTTTATTTGATGTGAAATGTATTGATGGTCATATATCAATTTCTTCTGTAGACTCAGTGATACAGGAAGTGTCCTGGTAAGCACTGGCACCCAAAACAGTAAAGATAAAAGCTTTAGTCTGAATTTTGCAGTTGGGAAAGTTGAAGTTGAGGGTGAAATGACTGAGCCACAGTGGGTTACTTAGCTTCCTGATACCAAGGCAGAGCTGTTTCCTCCAGGATTTGGTGACTTAGTAACCTCCTCCTGTTACTAGAAATTTCTCCTTTAGAGAAAACCAAAATTTGCTTCATTGTGATATTTACCCTCTGGGCCTATGTTTGCCCTCCAAGTCTGCATTGAACAAACGACTTTCTCCTTGTCTCCCCTGCATATGTCTTATGCAGCTTAGGGTCAGAAGTGGATTTGATTTCTGAGGAAACATCACCAACCAAGAATCTTTTTGTTTTTCCAGATAGAGGGTTTTGCTCTGTCACCCAGGCTGCAGTGCAGTGGTACCATCACAGCTCACTGTAGCCTCACACTCCTGGGCTCAAGTGATCTTCCCACCCCAGCCTCCTGAGTGTCTGGGATTACACGGGAGCCCCACCATGCCCTGCTATTTTGTTTTTAAATTTTTGTAGAGATGGGGTCTTGTTAGGTTGCCCTGGCTAATCTTGAACTCCTGCCTCAAGCGATCCTCCCTCCCCAGCCTCCCAAAGTGCTGGGATTACAGGTGTGAGCCACTGCACCTGGCTGTCCAAGGGACTTCTAAACAAAGCTTATTTTTGTTATAATAAAAACAAATGAAGATTAAGCAATCTAAAGACAAAGCCTCCTGAGTAGCTAGGACCACAGTGGCCCATCACCATGCCCAGCTAATTTTTGAATTTTTTGTAGGAACAGAGTTTCTCCATGTTGCTCAGGCTGGTCTGCAGCTCCTGGGCTCAAGCGATCCTCCTGCCTCAACCTCCCAAAGTGCTGTGATTACATATATGAGCCACTGTGCCTGGGCTAGTACATTGTGTTTTATCTCACTCTCTCATCTCAGAGGGAGGCTGAGGTAATTTATGCATATACACATGCACACACCCCATTTGTTGGACATCTACAATGTTCCTAATCCTTACAAGTTAGATTTTATTATCCCCATTTTACAGATGAGGAATCTGTGGTTAGATAACTCTTTAAAATCACTCAGCTAGAAAGTGGCTACAGTGGCATTAGAACTAAAAATTCCCATGGGATGAATGCCTTGGCTTTAAGTCCTTGCTCTTTTCACTGTAATATGCTGCGTGTCTGATCACATGGAATATTTGTGGTAAAGGTAAGAAACTTCAGAAGGCCACAGAACTAGTTTTGGAGCTGGAATCAGTTTTATGTTGTCTTGATTTTGTTCCTATTTGCTTGTGTAGTTTGCTAGATGTTACTTGCTTGAAAAGAAGTATCAATTGGGCTCATTTTTCCCCAAGTCCTTACAAACAGTGGTGCCTGTTTGATGCTTTGATTTAAAAAGAAATTGATAGTACCTTTAAGACTGTATGGATGGCAAGCTACTCCAAGGCTGGACTACATCTCTAGTTTCCTGAAAATGATTCCTCTCTAGGATTTACAGTTTGCTGGCTTTTAAGACATAATAGAAAACACAATTCTCTCCTTAAGCCCTGCAAGTCCTTGGCCGGGCGCAGAAGCTCACACCTGTAATCCCAGCACTTTGGGAGGCCAGGGCGGGGGGATCATGAGGTCAGGAGTTCAAGACCAGCCTGGCCAACATGGTGAAACCTCGTCTCTACTAAAAATACAAAAATTAGCCTGGCATGGTGGTGTGCGCCTGTAATCCCAGCTACTCAGGAGGCTGAAGCAGGACAATCGCTTGAACCCGGAAGTTGCAGTGAGCCAAGATTGCTTCATTGCACTCAAGCCTGGGTGACAGAGTGAGACGAGACTCTGGCTCAAAAAAAAAAAAAAAAAAAAAAAAAAAAAAAAAAAAAAAAAAAAAGCCTTGCAAGTCCTGAGGGGGCCCAGTGCTAAGACAAACGGATATGGTCATTTTCCCAAAAGGTTAAGGAGAATAGTTAGGTACAAGAATACCACACACCATCCTCAAACGGACAGAATTTTTGCCAGATACTGTTAATAAGTCAGATTTAATTGATAGATGGGTAAGATCTGAAATAACAGTCAGTCAAAAACAAGGCCTTTATTCTTCAAATCATTCTAAACTCCAAACTTCCCCCAAATGGCTTGAGATCACATTAAAGCCCAAACCTTCCATTTCTAAAGGAACAGAAATACATCGCAGTTCCCCGAATTCTCTTTCCCTTCAGCGTTGCCTGTCTACTCAGTTTAGACTGTTCTGAACTATCAGGCTCCGGGGTGGTGGCAGGCTCTGCTCACCCCAAGCTTTCCATTTTGATCAGTTTAATTCCCTAGGAGCCGACGACTGCCATCGGAAGGAAGAGAAATTGTGAGCTCGCGCTGGGCTGCCGGGGAGGGGAGGGCTGGCCAGTGAGGACTCCTATCTCTGGGGCTGGTCACCCAGCCTCAAACAAATCTGCATCACCCTGGGGGGTCTCACCCCTTTTTCTATGTCAATGATCCCCATTTGTCCCAAGTGCTTGGGGTTTCAGGTCCTGGTGAGCCATTCTCATTTATCTTCCTTTTGTTTTCTGCCTTAACTACTGACAATTATCATTTATTCTGTTCCTTTTAGCTTGGTGGTGAGTGCTGAGGCTTTGCTAGCCTTTCAGTTCCGCCATTCAGCCTCTTTCTAAAAAAAAAAAAAAAAAAAAACTGGGGCTTACCCAGTCTCTGACTAACAAGATGTCTTAGAGTTGGAGGGGATTTCTCAGTCCAGATTTTTCCTTGAATTTTCTTCCGTGTCAGAAAAGATTTAAAGACAAAAAAGTGCTCTTCCAATGGTGGCCGTGAGTCAGATGGCCCTGAATCAGATTTCTCCCTCTTCTTTAAAACCTTATTGAGGATCTTTCTGTCCTCAGCAAAATGCACACAATTTTAGAGGTTCACAGACCTTCTCATCTTTTAGACCTTTTTGAGGTTCTTTCTGTCCTCAGAAAAATGCACACAATTTTAGAGACTCACAGACCTTCTGATATCCATGAATGTACTGTCTCCAAATTAGGATTCCTGCCTGCGCTAGCGTACTTCTGGAGTTCTGAGATCTGATCTAGTATGAAGACCTCAGTAGTGAATGTGGCTTTTGAGATGGAATAATCTGATTTCCTCTCAGTTTTCCATAATTTTCAGCCTCACATATCAGAAAATCTGGGAGCACTGTGTGCCATGGCATGGGAATATGTAATTACTCTCCAACTGGCTCTCATATTTTCCTAGAACATCAACACCAACACTCTGTTAATTCATAGCCTTTTTAGAGGAAGTGGAGCTCCAACATTCCCATTCATTGCATGTGGCAGTAAAGTGACCTCTAGTGGACTTTCCTGGTAGTTTATAGAAAATTCTGGAATAAGGAGCTGTCAATTGTGGGTAGAGGGACAGATTATTGAAATCAGATCTGCTGGGCACTGAAGTTTATTTGGCTGCAAAAGGTCAGCTTCAATGCCAAGTCTGGGGCAGATGAAGGGGCTACATTTGAATGAAGCAAGATTCATCATTGTTTCAAAGTGGCTTCAAGAGACTTTGAGTACCCTGGAACTAACATTTCTCTAAAGAAAGATCAAGGATTAGGTCATGAATAGACCAACCCATTGGATTGATTTTGGGGGACAAAAAACCATCTCTTTGAAATAGTAAGCAGTAAGAATAATTTGAAGTCATGATGTACATTTTAGGTAAAAGCAATGGAGTGAATATTCCACATTTTATGTTCTGAGTGGTGGGACTTTAGGTGGGAGGAAGAGAAGGAAACTAATATTATTAAAGTTCCAGCTGAGGGCTAAACATTTATTTTAATCTTCATAAAATGTCTGAGAGGTAGTTTTATTTTTAGTATCATCTCCAGCAAATAAATTATTGCATACGA
This sequence comes from Homo sapiens, assembly GCF_000001405.40. Taxonomy (NCBI): domain Eukaryota; kingdom Metazoa; phylum Chordata; class Mammalia; order Primates; family Hominidae; genus Homo; species Homo sapiens. Next base: position 95,575,598 of record NC_000012.12, read on the forward strand.
TTTGATGAATTCTGACAGGCTCTTCAATCAAGTGCTATAGGGACCCAGGAATGCTGTGATTACCTGGGGAGAGAGAAGGGGGAGGAGCAGCATCAGAAAGGAATGAACATTTGTGCAGGCTATTGTGTTGTCCAGTAGAGTAACCACTAGCCATATGTGGGTATTTAAATTTCAATTCATTCAAATAAATTAAAAATTCAGTTCCTCAGTTGTACTAGCCACATTTAAAGTACGCAGTAGCCACATGCAGCTAGTGGCTACTTTAATGGACAACACAGGTCATTGCAGAAATGTCTTTAAGAAGGTACTGGAGGGAGGCTGGGTGCAATGGCTCACACCTGTAATCCTAGCACTTTGGGAGGCCAAGGTGAGTGGATCACTTGAGGTCAGGAGTTTGAGACCAGCCTGGCCAACATGTTGAGACCCTGTCTCTACTAAAAATATAAAAGTTAGCTGGGCATGGTGGCGCACGCCTGTAATCCCAGCTATTTGGGAGGCTGAGGCAGGAGAATTGCTTGAACCCCGGGTTTGGAAATTGTAGTGAGCCTAGATCACGCCACTGCACTCCAGCCTGGGCAACAGAGTGAGACTCAGTCTTAAAAAAGAAAAAGAGAAAAAAAGAAAAAGAAATGTGCTGGGGGAAAGACTAGGTGTTTGAATTTATTAGATTGAGGGACTACCCTGTCAAAAGCATAGTGGAGGAATGAAACAGACAAGGAACCAAAAGCAGCTCTGTATGGCTGGAATCAGTACAATGTAGAAATGTTCAGAGATAAAGTTCTCTTTGTTTCTTTCTATATTTCCATTTACTTCTCAGTCTCTCTCTCTTTTTTTCTTTGAGACAGGGTCTCACTCTGTCACTCAGGCTGGAGTGCAGTGGCGTAATGACGGCTCACTGCAGCCTCAACCTCCCAGCTCAAGTGATCGTCCTGCCCCAGCCTCCTAAGTAGCTGGGACTATAGGCACACACCACCATGCCTGCTACTTAAATTTTTTTTTTTTTTTTTTTTTTTTTTTTTTTGAGACAGGGTCTCCCTATGTTGCCCAGGCTGGTCTTGACCTCCTGGGCTCAAGGGATCCTCCCGCCTTGGCCTCCTGAAGTGCTGGGAGCACAACCATGAGCCACTGCAATGGCTTCAGTTTCTTTTTTCTTTTCTTTTTTTTTTTTTTTTAATTTTAGGCAGAGTCTCGCTCTGTCGCCAGGCTAGAGTGCAGTGGTGACATCTTGGCTCAGTGCAACCTCTGCCTCCCGGGTTCAAGCGATTCTCCTGTCTCAGCCTCCCGAGTAGCTGAGACTACAGGCTTGCACCACCATGCCCAGCTAATTTTTGTATTTTTAGTAGAGACTGGGTTTCACCACGTTGGCCAGGATGGTCTTGATCTCTTGACCTTGTGATCAGCCCACCTTGGCCTCCCAAAGTGCTGGGATTACAGGCGTGAGCCACCACGCCCGGCCTGCTTCAGTTTCTTTTGAGGGCTTCTCTTCTACCTACTTCTGAGTTCTTCCTGTAGCTTAGGGCTGTGTGCTAGCTCCCCTCTCTGCTTTCTATGCACTCTTCCTGAGAGCTCTCACTCATATGCTTACCTGACTGCTTCCATTACCATCTCTATGCTGATTGATTTCCAAACCCCTATCTCCAGTCTAAAACAATTTTTATTTCTCTTTTCTCTGCCCAGCTTTAACCTTGTATTGATCTTTGTCTTTATTTCATTCTTGTACTTTTTTTGGCATTCTTATTCAAATCAATAGTAGCTGACTCTTAGGCTGGGCACAGTGGCTCACGCCTATAATCCTAGCACTTTGGGAGGCCAAATTGGGCGGATTGCTTGAGTACAGGAGTTTGAGACCAGCCTGGCCAACATGGTGAAACCCTGTCTGTACTAAAAATACAAACATTAGCAGAGTGTTGGCACATACTTGTGGTCCCAGCTATGAGCTGAGGCATGACAGTCTCTGGAACCCAGGAGGTGAAGGTTGCAGTGAGCTGAGATCGTGCCACTGTACTCCAGCCTGGGCAACTCCAGAGTGAGATCCTGTCTCAAAAAAAAAATAATAATAATAATAAAATAAAAATAAATAAAAAATAGCTGATTCTCTCTCTCTTTTTTTTTTTTTTCCTAAAGTGACAGAGTTTTGCTCTGTTGCCTCAACTCCTGGGCTCAAATGATCCTTCCACCTCAGCCTCTCCAGTAGTTGAGACTATGACTTTCAAATTTATTATCTCTAGTCTAGATTGGTTTTTTTTAACTTTAGACCTTTGTATAAAACACTTGACATCTTCATTTGGATGACTTCATAGGTGCCTCAAACCTAAAACTAGTATGTCCAAAATTGGATTCATCATCTCTCCACCATGCCCAAAATAACTGCCTCCTCCTCTGTTCCCATCTTGAAGAATGGTGGTGCCACATCCTGAGTTGTTGAAGCCAGAAACCTGGAGGCCATTCAAGCTGCCTCTCTCTCTTCCTCACTCCTCCCTCCTTCATCCAGTCTATCACGAGGTCTTATTCATTCTACCTTTAAATATCTATCTGTTCTGCAGGCTTTCAGTCTTGCCTCTCATCCACAAGCCATTCTCCATCAAACAGCTAGAGTGACTTTCTAAAATACAAATCTGATTAAGTTATTCTCTCCTTAAACCTACTGAATGACCTTTAGGACTAACTCCAAACACCTTTAGCTGAGTTCCAGGCCTGTATGATTCTATCCTTGTCTACCTCTCCAGTCTTAATTCTTTCTCCTCTTCTCATATCAAGATCACCTCTTTTCTGAGCCTTTGCATATGCTTGTTCCCTCTGCCTCCTTTCTTTGGCTAACGCGCTACTCATCCTTCAGCTCTGAACCGAGGTGTAAAGCCCCCTAAGACAGCTTTTCATTCCTTTCCAGGACTGGGTTTCTATTCCTTTCTAGGACATACTAGGCTATGAGAACTAGGAGGGCAAAACCCAGGTCTGTTTGGTTCAGCATTTTTTTTTTTTTTTGAGCCAGAATCTTGCTCTATTGCCCAGGCTGGAGTGCAGTGGCACAATCTCGGCTCACTGCAACCTCCACCTCCTGGGTTCAAGTGATTCTCCTGCCTCAGCCTCCTGAGTAGCTGGGATTACAGATGAATACCACCATGCCTGGCCAATTTTTGTATTTTTAGTAGAGACGGGGTTTCACCATATTGGTCAGGCTAGTCTCGAACTCCTGATCTCAGGTGATCCACCTGCCATGGCCTCCCAAAGTGCTGGGATTACGGGCATGAGCCACCGCACCTGGCCTTGGTTCAGCATTTTATCCCCAGTGATCAGCACAGTGTCTGGAGTACAAAAGGTGCTCTTGTATAAATATTTATGTAATATAATGTTTATACAAAAAGAAATATTTGTTGGATAGATGCATGAATGGAGAAAAAGACCAGGCTGGGATTTTATGCCATGCTACAGCATCTAGGGGTTTTTTTCTTATAACTGGTGGGAGCTAGTGAGGGATTTTAAGTGGGAAAGCAACATAAACATTTGCCTTTTGGAAAAGTCCCCAAGTGATGCAGATTATGACTGGGATGGGGATGAGGGCTGGAAGCTAGAAGCAGCAATATTGAAATGTTATCACAGTAATCCAGGAAAGAAATCAGGACCTGAATTAAGGTAGTGGCAGGGGGGATAAAGATGGGTTGATTTCGAGAGACAGGGACTCAGAATGATGGCATCTGGTAACTATTTGTTGGGGTGAGTAAAAGAGAAGAGTTCAAGATGACTTCCAGATTTCTTTTTTTTTTTTTGAGACAGTTTTGCTGTGCAGTTGTGTGATCTCAGCTCACTGCAACCTCCATCTCCCGGGTTCAAGCGATTCTCTTGCCTCAGCCTCCAGAGTAGCTGGGATTACAGGCAAGCACCACCATGCCCAGCTAATTTTTGTATTTTTTAGAGAGTACCACCACGCCCGGCTAATTTTTGTATTTTTTAGAGACAGGGTTTTGTCATATTGGCCAGACTGGTCTAGAGCTCCTGACCTCAGGTGATGTCCTGACCTCAGGTGATCCCCTGACCTCAGGTGATCCCCTCACCTCGGCCTCCCAAAGGGCTGGGATTGTAGGCGTGAGCTACTGCTCCTGGCCTGACTTCCAGATTTCTAACTGGATAAATGAGTGATTCACAAATACTTGAGGAGGGTCTGGAGGAGGAAGTCACAACTGAAGTTAATGAATTCCGTTTGGGAGGTGGTAAATCTGGTTACCTCTAGGTTATCCAGGTGAACCTAATAGGCAAGAGGTTAGAATTGAAGATAGAGATTTTGTCGTTAGTGTAAGAGAGGTACTTGAAAAATACAAGTGAAGGTGAGAGATCACCCAGTGACAAGATAAGAAAGTCAATGATGGAACTCTAGGGGATACTGACCTTTTTTTTTTTCTCAGATGGAGTCTCACTCTGTCGCCTAGGCTAGAGTGCAGTGGTGCTGTCTCAGCTCACTGCAACCTCCACCTCCTGGGCTCAAGGATTATAAGTGTGCACCATCACTCCCGGCTAATTTTTGTATTTTTAATAGAGACACGGTTTCACCATGTTGGCCAGGCTGGTCTCGAACTTCTGAGCTCAAGTGATCCACCTGCCTTGGCCCCACAAAGTGCTGGGATTATAGGTGTGAGCCACCACATCTGGCCAGTGACATTGATTTTTGTTTTAAGTTATTTTTAAAAATGTGGCTGGACACAGTGGCTCACTCCTGTAATCCTAGCACTTTGGGAGGCCGAGGTGGGCTGATTGCTTGAACTCAGGAGCTGGAGACCAGCCTGGGCAACATGGCGAAACCCTGCTTCTGCGAAAAATACAAAAAAATAGCTGGGTGTGGTGGCCCCTGCCTGTGGCCCCAGTTACTCAGCAGGCTGAGTTAGGAGGATGGCTTAAGCCTGAGGAGCAGAGGCTGCAGTGAGCCAAGATGGCGCCACTGCACTCCAGCCTGGGTGACAGAGGGAGACCCTGTCTCAAACAAATAAAATAAAATTTAACAACTCTTTATTGAGTATCTTCTATGTGCAAGGCACTGTGCTTAGTAGTTGTGTCTATGTATATGTAGGTGGGGAAAGGAGATTATAAGGAAATGAAAGTTTCTCAATCTTTTAGTCTCTGTTTTTCTCTCTCACCCTAACTCTGTACCTTTTATGCAACCCAACTCAACAACCAGGAAAAAAAGACAAGATCCATTCACATGTATTGCCCAGGGTGTGTCCACCCTGGTTCCTTTTCTTGCTCTAGATAATGTTTCCTGCCATTTGGACTTGCATTGATCTTGATTACCCCAAATGAATTCTTAGAACTCTTTAAGAACTTGGACTTACCTTTCAGAATGTTCTTACTCCTAGATGCTTTGAGGTAGATACCGTGCTCCAGCTCTGGTCATGAGGACCCAAACCCTGGCAGCAACTGGCTCACTCTTACAGTGGGGAACTCTTTTTTTTTTTTTTTTTTTGAAAGGAGTCTCATTCTGTTTCCCAGGCTGCAGTGCAGTGTTATGATCTTGGTGCACTGCAACCTCTGCCTCCCAGGTTCAAACAATTCTCCCACCGCAGCCTCCCAAGTAGCTGGGATTACAGGCATGCGCCACCATGCCCGGCTAATTTTTGTATTTTTAGTAGAGATGGGGTTTTTGCCACGTTGGCCAGGCTGGTATCGAACTCCTGACCTTGAGTGCACCCACCTTGGCCTCCCAGAGTGCTGGGATTACAGACATGAGCCACTGCGCCTGGCCTGGTTTGGATATTTGGTTTGCGTCTTTTGTCTAATAGCAGTCCCTCCTCCCCTGGCCCCCTGTATCCTGATATTTAGTCTTGTACCTGTGAGACAGTTTTTCAAGTCACCACTGCTGGTGTTGATCCCATATTTAACATGTAGACCACATTTAACTCTGTAAGGCTCAGACTTCCTTAGCTAGGGCGACCTTTTAGGAACCCTGCTATGGTGGGATTGATACTGTGCCTTCACTATAAGGCGATTGTAGATTAATAATTAGGATGCTTTTCTCAAAGAAATAGGGGAACTCAATATCTAATATTATTATCTTTATTAGCATTTAAATATGCTAGTAAACCAAGTTCTATCATACTAGTTACTGTCCAAGCATGCTTAAATTTGATGCCTTTTTTGAATAAGACAAGAACATGGAGATTTATTCTCAAGACATACAGAACACTTGAAAAGTCTAAACAATGTGTTAAAATGTAACAGGAAAAAAGAAGCTATGTGTGAATTTCCTGATGTGCTAAATTATTATAGATGTTTGCCTGCTTGGGTCAGAATTATTATCTCATTTCTTGTCTTTCCAGCTGCAGCAAAAATCCTCCAGAGAACCATGTTTACAGCTATGGCCACTGATGATCTTAACAATAGAAATCAGTGATCCTGTTTAGTGAATAACAGCTTACTGTTACTAGTGAATAACAGTTCATACAGTGTTCATAACATGAGCTGGCTATGAAGTGGCATCCAAGAGGAGTTAAGTGGGTATGAATGGCTTAATGAAAAATTACACTTTACAAAATACTTCAAGTCCAGCTGGTGGTAGAAGAAATCCATCTGGGAATTAAGCTCATCAGGAGTTTAACAACTATGCTAGTTTAGGTTTGCCATGACTGAATGGATCTAGAGTATAGGGTTCAGCCCAAGTACAGTGGCTGATGCCTATAATCTCAGTGATTTGGGAGGCCTAAGTGGGAGGATTGCTTGAGACCAGGAGTTCAAGACTAGCCTGGACAACAACACCCCATCTCTACCCCCGTCCCCCCAGAAAAGTTAGCCAGGTACGGTAGCATGCACCTATAGTTCCAGCTACTTAGGAGGCTGAGGCAGGAGGATCCCTTGAGTCCAGGAATTCGAGGCTGCAGTGAGTTATGATCACACCACTGCACTCCAGCCTGAGTGACACAGTGAGACCCTGTTTCTTTAAAAAAAAAAAAAAAGGTGAAACGTTCTTAAGAGTAGGAAAGCAGCATCTGTCTCCTGAGATCGAAACACTTTGTGATTTTTTTTTTCCCATGGATTTACTTCCTTAGTGCATTTTACCATAAGGGGGTGCTCTGGGATAATACTTTTCAGCACAGCAGTGGTCTCTTCTGCTCTGTTAACTGAAAAAAGGCAAGCATTTATTAATTCTGCATCCCTTCTGTATTCACTAATTTTCAAAACGTGTCCATTTACATTAAAAATATGAAAAACAATTAGTGAAAACTATTTAAAATGTAAACAACCAGTGTCTGACTGCTAAGGAAAAGACAAACATTGAAAACTCTTGTAGGGCTCAGACTTCCTTAGCTAGAGCTGACCTTTTAGGAACACTGCTATGGTGGGATTGATATTGTGCCTTTAGTATAAGGCAATTGTAGATTAATAATTAGGATGCTTTTCTCAAATAAATAGGGGAACTCAATATCCAATGAGGCTAGAGCCGGGCGTGGTGGCTCATGCCTGTAATCCCAGCACTTTGGGAGGCTGAGGCAGGTGGATCACCTGAGATCAGGATTTTGAGACCAGCCTGGTCAACATGGTGAAACTCCATCCTCTACTAAAAACACAAAAAATTAGCGAGGCATGGTGGCACATCCCTGTAATCCCAGCTACTCAGGAGGCAGAGGCAGGATAATCGCTTGAACCCAGGAGGCAGAGGTTGCGGTGAGCCAAAACCATGCCACTGCACTCCAGCCTGGGCAGCAAGAGTGAAACTCCATCTCAAAACAAAAAAACAAAAACAGAAAAGAAAAATAAAAAGAAAAAAAGAGAGAGAGAGATTAGAGTCACAGTGAACTGAAGCTGCACTGGATTTCTTCTGGTTTAGGAGAAGAAAGCCATAAAGGATTTGCATTTGTCCTTTTACTTTAGTTATTTTTTTGGTAGCATTATGTTAACTATATCTTTCCGCCGATGCTGTGGAGATTCATTATGGTTGAAATTGCTTTCTTACAAAGCTCAGTCAGTGTTAACCCATCCTTGGGGAAAAGCATAGGAATTAAGAATTACAAAGTAATTTCATTCTCACTTCTGTCACATTTATGAATCAGTTTTTAGGTTTGTGTGTGTGTTTTTTTTTTTTTTTTTTTTTTTTTGAGATGGAGTTTTGCTCCTGCTGCCCATGTTGGAGTGCAATGGCGCGATCTTGGCTCTCCACAATTTCTGCCTCCCGGATTCAAGTCATTCTCCTGCCTCAGCCTCCCAAGTAGCTGGGATTACGGGCATGCATCACCATGTCCGGCTGATTGTGTATTTTGAGTAGAGATGGGGTTTCTCCATGTTGGTCAGGCTGATCTCGAACTCCTGACCTCAGGTGATTTGCCCACCTCGGCCTCCCAAAGTGCTGGGATTACAGGCATGAGCCACCATGCCTGACCAATTTTTAGGTTTTATTCCTGTCTAATTGTGTGGGGTGAGGAGGTGGAAAGGAAACTCAATTCTGTTTGCGAGTACTTGGGAGAGGCAATCAGTAGCAATCAGCTATTCTAAGCACATGATGTTGTGAAGGGCAACAAACTCGTCAAGGCCACCAACAGGACATTTGGAGAAATGGCCACAATATGGAGGCAGGAATAGGGAGTCCTCAATGTTTGGTCAAAAGAATTCCCTGGGTTGACAGCAGCATGTTTGAAGGTGCTGGTTCCTTCCAATCTGAGTGACAAATAGCCCTGGTATACAGCACAGGGATTGGGAGGAATGTTACACCTTTGCTTATGGAGAGCAGTTCTCTCTATATACATTCTCTGAACTCATCTCATTAGGCAAAAGCAGATGAAGCTTCTTTAGTCATCTTCATGAGCATTTAACTCCATATACAAAATGAAAATTTGGCTGAGGATTTACATAATTTAACTTGGGAGATTTTATGAGAGACTAATGTCTAGTCATTGGTCTTTAGTATCCTTGTTATGCCAGTACTTTTTAAAAGTTCAAGATATATTCATCCCAATACCTACTTTTTTTTTTTTTTGAGACGGAGTCTCGCTTTTTTATTTCCCAGGCTGGAGTGCAGTGGGACGATCTTGGCTCACTGCAACCTCTGCCAACTGGGTTCAAGCAATTTTCTTGCTTCAGCCTCTCGCGTAGCTGGGATTACAGGCATGAACCACCACGCCCGGCTAATTTTTGTATTTTTAGTAGAGATGGGGTTTCGCCATGTGGCCAGGCTGGTCTTGAACTCCTGGCCTCAGGTGATCCACCCACCTCGGCCTCCCAAGCTGCTGGGATTACAGGTGTGAGCCACCGCAACCAGCTGCCAATACCTACTTTTAAAAAATACATTTTCCTGCTGGGAGCAGTGGCTCACTCCTGTAATCCCTGCATTTTGGGAGGCTGAGGCAGTTGCTTGAGGTCAGGAGTTCAAGACCAGCCTGGGCAACACAGTGAAACCCTGCCTCTACAAAAAATACAAAAAATAGCCAGGCATGGTAGTGTGCACCTGTGGTCCCAGCTATTCTGGAGGCTGAAGTGGGAGGATCACTGGAGCCTGTGAGAGCTAGGCTGCAGTGAGCTGTGATTGTGCCACTGCACTCCAGCTTGAGTGGACAGAGC